>NC_000009.12:135568596-136260126 GCF_000001405.40 Homo sapiens
ATCTCTGAGGATAAAAATGCATGCAGAGGGTAGGAATCGAAGCCAGCCTTTTATAAGTGTAACTTTCATGCAGTTTTAACTTTTGAACCAGTTAACATTTTATGTATTTAAAATATAAAATTAAAACAAAAAGTAAAAGGCGACAAGCCATAAAATGAAAACAGAAACAAATGAAACTAAACCCTAAAATCGACAATTTCAGAGGAAAGAAACTGCTTCAGGTAATTGTTTTTTCTAGTGAAGTGTTTTCCTTGGCTGGCTGCGAAGCAATCCTGTGTGAGGCTTGATCACTTCCAGTATTAGTGGCTGTAAACAGGGATGGAACACACATCCTCATTTCAAAATCTGTGGCTGGACCTCATGCACGCTGTGTTGTTAAGAGGATGTTAATTGTGCTACATGACAACTACCTAGCTGCCTGCTGCCAGGGCCTGCAGAGAGACCCTGGCATCTCGTTTTCTCTGATGGTACCCCAGTTTATTCACACTTTGGTCTCTTTTGGAGTATATTCTAGAGCAAAAGGCATTGCCAAGAAATCCTTACTTCAACCCAGTAGTCACATCCATGTTAGTAATGATATTAGTGTTCTATCAGTCAGAGCCCAGTATGAAACAGAGAGCACACAGGAAGTAGATAGTTGAGGGAGGACTCACATACGGAGGTGTATCCTTAGGGAGACAGGAAAGGATAATGCCGTAACTTGGGGCTTAGGAGTAGCCAAGCCCTTGCCATTTATAGTCACTAGAGGATAAGGGGGATACAGGGTTTTCATGGTGACTGGAATAAACAAAACAAAAAGACAGGAGGAACAAAATAGTGTCTAGAAGACATCATAGTCATTGTAGAAATTTAATGGTTGATAAGGGAATTATTTCAATTCAGTAGCAAAGAATGTCTTATGTAGGAAATAGTATGTAACTAGTTGGTATCAGTGTAACGCTTGCCTCATAAGATGAGTTAGGGAATGTCCATCTGTTTGCAATTTATGGGAGAGTTTTTGAAAGGTATTGTTCCTTTCTCAAATGGTAGGATTTACCAGTGAAGCCAACTGGGGTTTGAGATCTTGTTGTGGGGAGGGTGGTACAAGGGGAGGGTGGTTAGGAAAATTTGTGTCTACAAATTCCATTTCGTAAGGTCAATTCTGGTGATCCATTGCTTCTTTAATAAGCTTGACCCTTTGTATATTTCCAGGAATTTATCCATTTTGTCCAAGTTTTCAAAATTATTTTCATCAAGTTATTCAAAGTATTTTCTTTTTATCCTTGTAATGTCCATAGGGTCTGTAATGGTGTCCCCTTTCCTTATTCCTGAGAGTAATCATTGGTGTCAGCTGTCTGATTTTCCTGATTAGTCTGGCTTGAGATTTATCCATTTCATTAATCTTTTTGAAGATCAAACCAGCTTTCAGTTTCATTGATTTCTCTATTGTTTTTCTGTTTTCTATTTCACTGATTTCAGCTATTATATTGAGTGTTTATTTCCTCCTGCCTGCTTTGTTTTAGACAATTCTTTTTCTAGTTACTCAGATGCTAGCTCAGATTGCTGAATGGAGGATGTTTATGTCATTGAATATAAACATTTAATGCTATAAATTTTCTCCAAAGTACTGCTTTAGTTCATCCCACATATTTTAATATATTTTCTTTTATAACATTTTTAAAAATTTATTTATTTTCTTAGAGATGGGGTCTTGCCATGTTGCCCAGTTGGTCTCAAACCCCTGGGCTAAGATAATCCTCCCACCTCAGCCTCCCAAAGAGCTGGGATTCCAGGCAGGAGCCACCACACCTAGCCATATTTTGTTTTCATTTTTTCTCAACTCAAAATATTTTCTGATTTTCCTTGTGAAATTCATCCTTTGGCTACTTAAATGTGGTTTGTTTTGTAAAAGGAAATTAAATTTGGGACCCCAAACTCATTTAGCCAAAGGGAAAAGTCACCCTGAGAACTGAGTCACAAAAGGCTGCCTCCCCACTTCGGTTACTAAAGAAGATTGGCTACAAGATGAAAGGCTACCCACCTCCCCCTATTTTGCCCACAAGGAAATTCCTGGTGAGCCATGGCGATGCAAATTGTCAGCTTATCTTTGCAGGTGCAGTCACCCCAGCCAGCCAGACACAAATACATATCTGATTGTTTCTGCTGCCCCATTGTGTCTGTGTTATCTTATGTAAAATGCAGATTCCCCACATTTTTCCTCTGCCCCTCCCCTTCCGTTTATATGAAAACTGTGTGTTTCTCAATATCCCACCCTTTCCCCTTTACATTTGGAGCACTTAAAATCATCTTCAGAGAAAGGCATAGACCTGTCTCCTGGGTGCATCCTTAATTTTGGCAAATAAATTTCCTAAAATGATTGAGACTTGTCTCATCAGTTTCTTTGATGGACAGCTTCATCACCAAACATCTGCAGATTTTCCCTACATCTTTTTGCTATTGATTTCTATTTGACAAAAATACAATTCGTATGATTTCAATTTTCTTAAATTTGGGGGAACTGGTTTTATGGTCCAGGATACAATCTCCCTTGCCGAATGTTCTGTGTGCTCTTGGAAAGAATGTGTAACCAGTGTTAGGTGGTTGATAGTTAATTGGTTGAGACAATGACCAAGCTTTCTATATCTTTATGTTCCGTCAACTTTTTCTTTGTTACTGAACAGGGAGAGTTGCAGTCTCCAGCTACTACTGTGGAGTTATACGATTCTCCTTTCAGTTATATCAGCGTCTGCTCCATGCCTTATAAAACTCTGTGATTCACTGCATTCACAGATTCTCTTGATAAATTTATCCTTGTAAAAGAATGTGTATTTTGCTGTTACTGCATGGAATATTCTCCTATTTTTACATGTTTGAGAGGCATTTGCATTTTTTTCCATGAAGAATTAAATCATATCCTTTGTCTATTGAGTTCTTGGAGTTTTTCTATTGACTTGTAGGAGCTCTTTATATATTAAGGAAATTAGATATTATTTGTGCTATTCAGTTGTTATAAATAAAGATTTGGTGCCACAAAAGAAATAACACTTGAATATAAAATTCCCTTTTCAATTCTCAGCAAGGCAAGTTACTTCTATAGAAGGGCGCGCCCTTATAGATGGAGCAATGGTGGGCACACACCTGGACAAGGGAGGGGAAGGCGTTCTTATCCCTGACACATGTGGCCCCTGCTGCTGTGTCGTTCCGCTATTGGCTAGGGTTAGACCACACAGGGTAAACTAATTCCAACTGGCTAATTTAAAGAGAGTGATGGGGTGAGTGGTTTGGTGTGAAAAATGGTTATGACAGAGCAGGTAATCAGAATGTAGTCAGGGTGGAGCAGGCAATCGGAAAAATCAGGTACTTGGCGCAATGACATCTCATTCTTGCCACCTCCACTGAGGCAATGTGGAAATAGCAGTGACTACGAAAACAGGTCACATGGCACCAAAAATGGTGTTTGAGAGAAAGAATGATGGAAGGATGGATGGATGGATGGATGGATGGATGGATGGATGGAAGGGTTGTGGATGGATGGTACACGGGTGAATGAATGGATGATTGGAAGGAATGGAAGCCATAGGAGGAGTCAAAAGTGATACTGAACATGAAAGCACCTTGGCAAGCTGGAGAAGTCATGAAAGTGAGAAGATAAATGACCTATTCAATATGAGTAAATGAAGCCATCCACCATTCATCCATCCCTCCACCCATCCATTTATGCATACATCAACCTACAATATCCATTATATCCAATTATCCACCCGTCCATCTACCCTTCCATCCATCCATTCACCACCTCTCTACCCCCATCCACCATCCATCCATCTGCCAATCCATCTATCCATCTAATCATCCATCCATCTACCCATTCATCCATCCATCCATCCATCCATCCATCCATCTATTCACTTATCTATCCATTCCATCCAATCATCCATTCATCTATCCATTCATTCTGTTACCGGATGGTGCTGTGCAGTTACAGGCTCTTGGTGTCCTGAACAGATAATTTGATGTGGCACACACAAATAGCAAAGCAAGCAGCAAAAGTTTATTAAGCACAGTAGCACTCTGAGAGAGGGGAGAGTGGGCTGACCTCTGCAAGATGAGATCAGCATTAGTTTGGTATACTTTGGGTCTTTTTATATGTGTTTTTTTTTCTTTTCTTCCCAAGGCTGCCTAATCTTTAGCCAACATCTGCCTTTTGATTAATAGGTTGGTTGCTTAGTTATTTGGCCCTTGTGCACTTGCTTGTTGCCTCTATCCCAAAATTTTAAGTACATAAATGATATGCAGTCCATATGCATGAGCTTTAATGAGCTGATTATAATACGGGGTCATGATAAGGATACTTTTTCTCTCTACTGTGCATGCCTATCTTTGAGGAGCTGCCCCTTACTGGTTTGGTCCAGATCTTGCTAGCCATAGAGTTTCTTTACTTGCTTTTTTATCTTACTTTTGTTTGGCTGCTCAGTTTCTGTCTCCTGTCTTGCTTCTTGCTCACCCATCCCTTTGCCTAGCTTCTGCTCTCTGCTTTTACTCATTCTGCCTTTTATCCAACTTCCAATTCCTTTTATTACTTTCCTGCCTCAATTCCACACAGTCATCTGTCCATTGACCCATCCATCCATCCATCCACTCATTCATTCATTCCATCTAATCATCTGGCTACCCATCCATTCATCTACCCATCCATCCATCCACCCACCCATCCACCCATCCATCCATCCATCCATCCATCCACCCACCCATCCATCCATCCATCCATCCATCCATCCGTTTATTTTATCTGATCATCCATACATCTACCCATCCATCCATTCATCCATTTATTCATTCCATCCAATCATTCATGCATCTACCCATTCATCCATCCCATCCAATTATCAATCCATTTACCCATTTAACCACCCATCCATCCACTGCATATCCAGAATCTGTAAGAGTTCAACAGATGGGGCTGAAGGGGAGCCCACTAGGAGGTGCATCAAGCAATGTACCTTTTTTTTTCTTTTTCTTTTTCTTTTTCTTTTTCTTTTTCTTTTTTTTTTTTTTTTGAGATGGAGTCTCGCTCTGTCGTCCAGGCTGGAGTGCAGTGGTGCCATCTCGGCTCACTGCAAGCTCCGCCTCCTGGCCTCACGCCATTCTCCTGCCACAGCCTACCAAGTACCTGGGACTACAGGTGCCCACCACCACCCATGGCTACTTTTTTGTATTTTTAGTAGAGACGGGGTTTCACCATGTTAGCCAGGATGGTCTCAATCTCCTGACCTCGTGATCCACCCACCTTGGCCTCCCAGAGTGCTGGCATTACAGGCGTGAGCCACCACTCCCGGCCGCAGTGTACCTATTTTTAAAACACTAATGAAGTTGGGGAATAGAGAAATGGCAGGGAGATTGGACAGGAGGACTTAGGTCTGAAAGATGAGTCATAAGTTACAGGCAAAATGGAAAGGCCAACTGGAGGAAGATGGAAATATTGTTGGTGACACCCAGGGGTATTTGTAGAGGTGTGGCCTTGTTCAGAGGTGTCCTGAAGGTCAGAGCTGTGGGGCATCAGGAGGGAGGTGTCCATTTGGCAGCTACATACAAGAACCTAGAATTTAGGAGATGCACATCCAGGATGAAGCTTTGGAAGTCAAGAAAGGGTGCCCAAGACACCAGGAGAGGCTGAGATCCCCCAGAAGAGGAACAAAAACAGGAGCCATTTTGGCATGGAGAGAGATGGAGGGCGGGAAAGGGAGATAGTCAGAATCGGGGGAGGAAGGTGAGAGAGGAAAGCAGAATCCAAGAAAAGCCTTCCCTGGGAAGCACAGACGTGGCCTTGGGGCCTGGGGCTGAGAAGCCGGTCAGGAAGGGGCAGGCGGACACGGGGCCTCGGGGCCTGGGGCTGAGAAGCCGGTCAGGAAGGGGCAGGCAGACACTGCCTCTGCTGGTTGTGGGTTCAGGGCTGACGTGGCTGTGACGCACTCTGCTCAGGGTTCAGCGGGTCCTGGGTGCAGTGGTGGAGCTGTCACTGCTCACATCCTCATGGAACCACGTGCCAGTGACGGGGATAGATTTGCAGCCAGCAGCACAGCCAGACACGAGGGGCTGAGGAGGAGTCAGCAGACCATGTATTTGTTGTTGTTCTAAGAAACCTTTTCACTCGTCCTGCTTTGGTGACATTCTCTCTTGAGGTGAAGCTTTAGGAAAACAGGGTCCAAGATGGACAAACAGGATGCTTTACGGAATGGTCAGTGTTTTTCCAGCATGGCCCCACCCCTGCTGGGATGGTCCGCGGCCATTGTGAAAAACAAGTGAGTTGGAAACTCACCCAGTTCCCAGTCAGCCCAGAGTCAGGGAATAAATGGACAACCAGAGAGAGCCAGAGTCGCTACAGCCAGCCTGGCAGTGCAAGCCCGGAGCTGACACAGGGCCACAGCCACGATGCAGCCACTAATGCGGACCCTTGGGCTGAGCCTGCTTTCCATGCTGTGAGCCCAGGGGACCCAGATGGTTCCTGTCCCCGCTGAGAAGGTGAGAGCTTCGGGAGGGTGAGGTGGGCACACACAAGAGCCACTTCCCGGGCCACGGTCTCCAGACCCTGGACCGGATGCCCAGCCTCACACCCGTCGCACAGCAGTGACCCAAACCCCGGGGGACATCGTCAGCTGAAGGGTCCCCCTTGTGCCTTTGGTGGCGTCCCCTGGGTAGAGAAGGGGGTGCCAAGCAGTGCCTGGGCAAACTCACTCCTGTAGGCAGAACTGGTGTCTCCACTGCGGGGTGACTGCTCAGAGGCCAACGGGCATCTTGGTGAGGTGAAGATCCCACCCCAGCTCACCCAGCCTCTCCCAGGGCCAGGGTTTGGGGAGGTTTTTGTTGAGTACCTTCATCTCCCAGAGACAGCGTCTCCCCCTGGGGAGCTCAGGTTTGGTAGAAGCTGTGGGGAATCCCCCTTTTCTGAGTTTTCATTTTGCAAGGGCAACACATCGGGGGTCATATAAAATCCATTCTTGGCCGGGCACAGTGTTTCACGCCTGTAATCCCAGCACTTTGGGAGGCCGAGGCAGGTGGATCACCTGAGGTCAGGAGTTCAAGACCAGCCTGGCCAACATGGTGAAACCCCGTCTCTACTAAAAATACAAAAATTAGCTGGGCGTGGTGGCACATGCCTGTAATCCCAGCTACCCGGGAGGCTGAGGCAGGAGAATCACTGGAACCCGGGAGGCGGAGGCCTCCAGTCTAGTCAAAAAAAGCAAGACTCAGTCTCAAAAACAACCGAACAGCCAAACAAAACCCCACAAGTTCTTGTCAAGATTAAATGACTTTTACAAGTTTGTGGCATTATTAGAGAAAAGACTTAAGGGCGGCAAGTGCCCAGACGTCTGGTCCTAACATCCCCAGGGGTCGCCACGGCCTTGACTTCTTGAGACTTTTGGGCCTCTGGTTGGGCTGATGTGGCCTGGACACAGGAGCTCCTGGTGCTCAGGCTGGTGGACCAGGCCCCCCGGCACCTGGGCCCCCACAGCTGTGTCCAGGATTCCTGCTCCACAGAGCCTCCCTCCCTTCTCTGAGAGCCGCTCGGCCTCTGGCCACACTCTCCTCCCCCCGGGGCCTGAGGACCTCTCCCCACTGCCTCACCTGCATTCCCACCTCCTCCATGGCCTCGGTCCCCTCCCCAGGTCTCAGGGACTCGCTCTTTCAACCCAATGCTCATCTGTGGCTTTTGGGCCTGGGAAGTCCACACCTGTGCCCCAGAGACGCCACAGTCCAGCAGCGTGCGACCCAAGGGAGGCGGGAGCTTGCACTGCGAGAACAGACACGAGTGGCCAGGCCCAAGGCCTGCATGCCCAGGGCGGGACTGACTGCTGCTTGCTTTGGGGAGAATGCTGTCGAGTCTCATGCTCAGAGGCACCGGGGACAAGCAGGGGAAGGAAGCAGCGCTGGTCACCTGTGGGCTGTTCACACGCAGCAGCCATGGCTGTGGTCACAAGATGAGCTGGGCTCAGCCAGCGCCACGGCATGTTGCTGACTCTTGACCGGTCGACACGTGAGCTCTAGCCCCTTTGGCCCCTGGATGTCTTCCTGTCTCATCCCCCAACATTAAGGTTTGCCCTGATCCTTCAGGCCTCACAAGAGGGCCCCTGTCCCAGCCTCTGGCCTGGCTCCCCTTCTGCTGACGGATGTGGGGCTATCAGGGACCAGGACTCCTGACTGCCCCTTGAATATCTCTGTCTAGTTTGCTTTGCAACAAAACCCCACACCCTCTTCCACTGCCATTTCTTTCTCTCTCTCTTTCTGTCCCTCTCTCTATCTCTCTCCCTCTCTGTCTCTCTTTGAGATGGGGTCTTACTCTGTCACCCAGGCTAGAGTGTCACCCATGGCTCAAACATGGCTCTTTGCAGCCTCAAACTCCTGGGCTCCAGCAGCCCTCCTGCCTTAGTCTCCCATGCAGCTGGGACTACAGGCACATCCCGCCATACCCAGCTCATTTTTGTATTTTTTTTATAGAGACAGGAGTCTCACTTTGTTGGCCAGGATGGTCTTGAATTCCTGGGCTCAAGCGATCCTCCCACCTCAGCCTCCCAAAATGCTGGGATTCCAGGCATGAGCCATAGCGCCCAGCCTCTTTCCCTCTTATTCCTTCTTCCACCCTCAACCATTTCACGGTTAATTCCCACATCCTCAGAAATTTGTGTCATGCAGCAGTGGTGTCTGCTGAAATGTTGGGGGAGACGGGAAAGGCTTGGCCTCCCTCCCTACGCTCCAGTGACTATGGCATCTCCCTATAGGTGGAAGGACTGTGGCACGCCCTGCGCTGGGAGCAGGACAGGGAGCTACTTAAAGAGGAGACGGCTCACCCTCTGCCACCATTCTGGATCCAGCGTTTCCAGGGTAACTTTATGTTAAAAATGAATGTAAGGTGAGTGCCTGGTGGGGACACGTGGGGTGAGCGAGGGAGCTTCTCAGGCTCTCGCTGCCATCCAGGCCCTGGGCTGATGGAAAGGAGGTCACTGGCCACTCTTCTTCACCAGGCTGCAGCCACTTTGGAGTCCACCTTTCCGGCTTCTAACAGTTTCAGTCAGCAGGTCCCTTTTTAACTGGATCATGTGCTGAAGAACGCCACACACGGAGGGCTTGCTCAGGCTCTGGGCTCAGCCCAGGACCTTCCTGCCCCAAGCACCTCACCACAATCTCTCACAGGCACTTCTGTAAGGTGAGAAGTCCAGCAGCCATGGGTTTATTGTTTTTCCTGTAAAACAATAAAGTCTGGTAGGAGATTACGCATGTATGCTGTGAAAGACCTCTTTGCCTAACATAAGGATGGTAATTTTAGTGCCTTTGGTGTTACAAACCTTTATTACCTGTGGCAGCTAATTAATAGGAGATGTTCTAAGAGTCAAAGTTTCATTCTGTGGGCTTTTCATCTACCACCCACCCACCCATCCACTCACCCATCCACCCACCCTTCCATCTATTCATTCATCTATCCATCCACCATCCATCCACCCACCCATTCACCTGTCCATCCATCCACTCAATCACCCACTCATTCACACCTGCATCCATCCATTCATCCATCCATCCATTCATTCCATTTAATCATTCATCCACCCATCCATCCATTCCTCCACCCATCTATCTATCAAAACACACACCCATTTATCCACCCAACCATCCATCCATCCATCCATCCATCCATTCACCCATGCAATCATTCACCCATCCTCCCACCTATTCATCCATCAATCTATCCACTATTCATTCACCTGCCACCCACTCACCCACCCATCCATTCACCCATTCACCCACCCTTCCATTTATTCATTCATCTATCCATCCACCATCCATCCACCCACCCATTCACCTGTCCATCTGTCTACTCAATCACCCACTCATTCACCCCTGCATCCATCCATTCATCCATCCAGCCATTCATTCCATTTAATCATTCATCCACCCATCCATCCATTCCTCCATCCATCTACCCATCTATCAATCCATGCACACACCCATTTATCCACCCAACCAACCATCCATCCATCCATTCACCCATGCAATCATTCACCCATCCTCCCACCTATTCATCCATCAATCTATCCACTATTCATTCACCTGCCACCCACTCACCCACCCATCCATTCACCCATTCACCCACCCTTCCATCTATTCATTCATCTATCCATCCACCATCCATCCACCCACCCATTCACCTGTCCATCTGTCTACTCAATCACCCACTCATTCACCCCTGCATCCATCCATTCATCCATCCAGCCATTCATTCCATTTAATCATTCATCCACCCATCCATCCATTCCTCCATCCATCTACCCATCTATCAATCCATACACACACCCATTTATCCACCCAACCAACCATCCATCCATCCATTCACCCATGCAATCATTCACCCATCCTCCCACCTATTCATCCATCAATCTATCCACCATTCATTCACCCACCACCCACCAATCCATCCATTCATCCATTTATTCCATTATTTATTCATTCATCCATTTATGGATATATACATGCATTTATCATCTATCCTCCATTCATTCATCTACCATTCATTCCCCCTTCACCACCATCAATTCATCCACCATCCATCCACCATTTATCTTCCACCCATCCATCTAGCCATTTGGCCACCTCTTCATCTATTCACACCCCCATTCACCCACGATTTATTCATCCACTCCATCATCCATCTTTCACCCATTCCCCAACCAGTATTCATTCATCTACCATCCATGCATACATCCACCCATCCACCATCTATCCACCCATTCATCCATTAATTTATCTATCAACCCACATATGCATCCATCATTCATCCTTCCATTCAACCATACACCATCCATTTATTCACCATAATCCAACCATAATCAGTCCATTCATCTATCCAGCCATACATACCCCTCTTACCATCATGAGTCCACTTGTCATCCATTCACACCCAATTCACCACCCACTGTCTATCTTCCACCCATCCATCCATCTATCCACACCTTCATCCATCTATCATTCATTGACTTACATCCCCCATCTTCCATCCATCCATTCTTCCATCCATTATTTACCTATTCATCCAGCCATTCATCCACCTCTCTGCTTCCCCATTCATCTATCCATAATCCATCCACCGCTCATTCATTCATCCATAAATCCGTCCATCATCCACTATTTATCCATCCTTCTATTCATCTATCCACCCACAATCATCCACCCACTATCCATCTACCCTCATCCCCAATCTCTCACCCATCCACCCTTCCATTATCCCCCATTCACTATCCATCCACCATCCACCCTTCCATTATCCCCCATTCACTATCTATTCATCCACCATCCACCCTTTCATTATCCATTGTCCATCCATTTATTTACCAACAAATATTCATGGCATGGTGATCAGGTAGTGCACCATTCTAGACTCTGTGGATACAGCAGCAAAATGCACACATACAGCAGTCCCTACCTTCCTGTAGGTCACTGTGCCCCGAAGCAAACCACTGAAGCCCAGCTGTGTCTGGTTACAGGTGCAACTATCCACATGAGCTTCTCCATCTGGACCCACTGTTAGTGTTTTATTCTTGTGAATGGTTTTAGCATTTAGCTAATAGTTTCCTGCAAATAGCCTCTCAGAACGAAGTTCCCTCTTGCACCTGTGAAAGGTCCCCAGCTAGCATTGCTAATGAGACAGCTGGAAGCTTCAAGACCATGTGTAGAATTTCACTGTGTGAGAACCAAACCAGAAAATAACAGGCCCAAAGAACCCCAGAGACTTAACTAAAACATAGAGGAAGCATTTTCCTGCAACCCTCGCCTTCATAAACCCTCTTATGAGAGCGATATTTTTGTCCTGAAAGTGAGAATACAGAGGTTCAGGAAGGTGGTGTTCTGTGTTCAAGGTCACACAGAAAGCAGCCAATGTGACCACGATCAGACACAGGTGTGCTCACTTTACCTTGAGACTGCGCTCCCTGCAGACAAGGGAGGGGCGGTGGACACCTGTGAAGCGGGGAAACGGAGGAACAGCGTTTTCTGGGAAGAGTGAGTGTCACAGCCAGAGGGCTCACACTGGGTGTCAGGTGACTTTTTCCCTCCCTCGCTTTACATCAAGGCCCCAGCCCAAATCCTAGGGGCACAAGATTCTCAACAGCCTTGTCTGCACCCAGGTATTAAATGTATGTTTCTTGGAGATGCCCAGAGACCAAGTGTCCCCAAGCATCCAGCTGAGCTTGCCAGCCCTTGCACCCCAGCCTTTGGCCCTAAGGAGGTCCACGCAGCTCAGCACTGTCAACCATGGGGCACTGCTCTGATGCACTGGGGCTAGAGGCAGAGATGACACACCCAGGGCCTTCTTCAGAGTCCGGGGAGTCCAGGGAGAAACATGAACGCTGCATTGGATTTTGCAACTTTGCTGGCAACTCATTCGCTTTCATCCACAAACACCTTGGAGCCTCCCCTGTGGCCAGCAGTGGGCTGGAGACTGGAAAGCTGGCAAAAGCTGCCCTGCCATTTCCACCATGCCTCAGGACAGGGGCAGATGGATGCCTCCAGGAGCCTGAGTGCTGATGCAGGTGCACCCCAAAGGGACCTGGCCCTGCCCGATCCAGGGAAGACTCCTTGGAGGAGGCGCGCTTGGAGCCGCGTGCTGAGTGAGGAGTAGGAGTGTGGAGAGGCAGCCAGGCCCCTTTGCCTGAACAGGGATCCAGGTGTCCCTCGAAGACACAGAGGCTGCCCCTGGTGTGGGTTAGAGTTAGGGATGGATGCCTAAAAAGTACAAGAAGAAAGAGGAACAAGTCCAGGATGTTTGAGCCACCTATCAGATATCTTACCGTGTGTGGCACTGTGGGCCCGTGGCTGTTGCGAGGCCATGGGGGAAAGTTGGAGACATAGAGAAGGAACAAGAAGCAGAAACACAAATGCTCTGGTGGGTGATTCTCACCGGAGCGGGGACCCTACTGTGACCTGCGCATGTGAGGGATCTGGGTTGCAAGCTCCTGATGAGAATCTAATGCCTGATGATCTGTCGCTGTCTCCCATACCCCCTAGATGGGACAGTCCAGTTGCAGGAAAATGAGCTCAGGGCTCCCACCGATTCTACACTATGGTGAGTTGTAGAATTCTTCCATTATATATGACAATGGAATCATAGTAGAAATAAAGTGCACAATCCAAGGAATGCGCGTAAATCATCCTGAAACCACACCTGTCTACCCTGCTCCGTGGAAAAATTGTCTTCCATGAAACCAGTCCCTGGTGCCAAAAAGGTTAAAATATGAAGACAGTGGAGATAGCGGTTCCTCCAACCCAGCATGCTCCTGGCTGCAGAAAGCACGGTGGAGATGGGTGAAGCACAGTGGAGATGGGGGAAGTGAGGTGGAGATGGGTGAAGCGCAGTGGAGATGAGTGAAGCGTGGTGGAGATGGGTGAGGGTGATCGTGTAGATTGGCCAATGGTTTCTGCTCAGCTTCAGGGGAATCAGTGTTTTCTCTAGGTCAAGTTCAGCAGCCTTGGAGTTTCCACGTGCTGATCATCAGGAACCCTGGTGAACATGTAGGTTGAGATGGCGCTGTGCCTGTGGGTGAATGTCAGGTGCTGCCATCTTCACTGGCCAGGGTCCTCGGTGCCTGTAGTGGGGTCAGCAGAGGCTGGCAGTGGTCGGGGCAGGTGGACCATGAGCACCTCCCTGCGCTGGTCAGCAGCAGGAGTCCATCAAGATGAATGGAGCAGAGGGGGTTCGCTCTCCTTGGCAGAGACATCGCAGTGCATTTCTTGGGAGCAGTGGCTCCAACCTTTTTAGCACCAGGAATCGGTTTCATGGAAGACAATTTTCCCATGGCCCGGGGGATGAAGGATGGTTTCAGGATAATTCAAGCATGTTTCATTTGCTGTGCACTTTATTTCTATTATTATTACATTGTAATGTGTCATGAAATATGATGCAGTGCACTGTCATGTAGAATCAGTGGGAGCCATGAGCTTGTTTTCCTGCAAGTGGACGGTCCCATCTGGGGGTGATGGGAGACAATGACAGGTCATCGGGCATTCGATTCCTATAAGGGGCATGCAACCTGGATCCCTGCCCGTGCAGTTCACAGTAGGGTGTGCGCTCCTATGAGAATCTAATGGCCCCGCTGATCCGACAGGAGGCTCCGGCGGCCATGCAGGCAATGGGGACTGGCTGTAAACAGATGAAGCTTCGCTGGCTCACCTGCCGCTCACCTCCTGCTTCGTGGCCTGGCTCCTAACAGGCCATGGACTGGTGCCGTGGGGGTTGGGACCCCTGCTTGGAAGAACCCAGCTAAGAAGAGTCAGAAATGGGTCTGGGGGCAGCAATGACTTTCTCCGATTTTTCCTTCCAGGGATCCCACTGGGAACTGCACAGTATTTAAGACACTGCTGGTGAAAACAGACAACTCTACCACGTACAGAATCTGTGAGTAGCTGCCAGGCAGCAGAGCCACAGTCCCAGCAGCTCCCACACTCCAGCATCTGGCCACCAGCCCTGGGGGCACGCGGACACCCATCCAGCAGCTCCTGGCAGGCTGTGCTGACTCACCTCCGCCAGCCTCCAGGGCAGGCACTCAGCCCTCCTGGGGTCCTGTGCCCTCCGCCTGATCCCCACTTATTACACAGGGAAAGAAGGACTCAGCCCATCCCTGGGTCCCATGGACAGCATTTCCTGGGCCCGTGGTCCCTCCCTGGCATTTTGGAGTCATTTACAAGGCACGTTCTCCTCGCCGGGCCCTGGCAGAGTCCAGTGGCCTCTGTGGCATCCCGGAAGCTGTGTTTTCATCAGCCCTGCAGAGAAGCTGTCCAAGGCCAGCATCTGACCCCTCTGACCTCCGTCAGCCAGAGCGGAGGAAGCAGCATCTGGGGGGGACTCTCACCGGCCTGGAGATGCACTTGGGGCTCACCCACTCACTGCCACCATCCTGCCTCCCCGAGTGCTCTCAGCTTCTGACTCGGGGCCCCTCCCATTTCCTATAGAGGGACAGAAATTATTAGCATTTCAGACTCATAGACTCAACTTAAAAAGGGCGCAACCACCCAGCTCACAAGAGCACATCCTCCGCCCCTCCCAGCGGGGGAGCAGGAGGTCTGCATCTGTCCGTGGAGACGGACCACTACTACATCATGAACACCCGGGATGAGAGGAGGGACCCGGCCGTGCACACAATGAACCTGACAGGCGCGTGTCCACGCTGATGTCACGGGGCCTGTGGACGGGGGCCTGTGGACGGGGGCGCTGCCCCTTGGAGTCCTCCCTAACTCAGCCATGCCCAGGTCTCTGTGGCAATGTGGGTGTAGCCCCCACGGTTCCCTCTGGCTCTCGCTGGGCCACACCTGGCGGGTGGCGTCCAAGGAGACAGGCAAGGGCTCCGTGATGTGGGACCCTGGGCTGCTGGCCTGGGAAGCAGCATCTCTACCAGGAGAGGCTGGGTCAAGGAGTCATAGGGGAAGTGAGGGGTACATGGAAGACCCCCTCCTCCAGGATGAGTGTCTGCATGGTTGGCAGAACAGGCTGGGAGACGGGGTCCCTCTCAGGAGGGCCTGGGGGCTGATTCTGGGGAAGGATCATTGACAGCAGGACCCCTGATTCCCCACCTTACCCCACCCACCCCCACCACCCCCCCCTTACCCCACCACCCTCGCCACCCCCACCTTACCCCACCCACCACCTTATCCCACCCACCCCCACCACCCCTGCAATCAAATGTCCCTCAAGGAGTAGGTGCGGCAGTGGGGCAGGGCATCCCCAAGCCCAGGAGAGCCCTTCTCTGCTCTGTAGAGGGGCCTGGTAGGACCCCTTCCTATGGAGACTTCAGGGAAGGAGAAGAGAACCACCCAGGGTGCTGTCAGCCACACAGGAGGCCCCTCTGCTCAGGTCCCAGATATACTCAGGCCTCTTTTCCAGCCTGGAGCTGGGCTGGCAAGGGCTTCTTCCAAGGCCTCTTCTTAGCCAGAGCCAGCTCGGGTGTCACCCAGAGTCCTGGGCTCACCCTTGGGGCCTTGGCTCTCCTGCTCCATGGTTTGGCCTGGGGTTGGGGCTGCTACATATGTAGACAGGTCCCGGGGACAGCAGTGCAAGTCCTCTCTGAGGCCAGAGGCCCTGGGAGACCTGTCAGCATCCGGTCTGAAGAGTGGGGCCCTGCTCCCCTGCCCTACGTGGGCCTGGGGACCCTGCCTCTCCCGACTCCCTACCCCATTTTGCCTGCAGGCCACACCCTGCATGAAAACCCAGAAGCCCTGATGATCTTAGAAGCGTTTATAGAAAGCCAAAACATAAGCAAAGGCAAGATCTTTACCCCCACTCACCTTGGTAATGAGCACATTTTCCTGCTTTTCTCCGGACGTTCATTTCCCATGGGGATGAAGGGCTGCAGCTGACACTGAGCCGGGGCACTCCGTGTACACTGGGGAAGCCTCAGCATCCTGGGGAGGAAGCGACCCCCTGCCTGTCTTTCTCTCTAGATTCCTGCGTGGTCGGCTGTAACTGAGGTGAGTGCCACAAGGCCTCTGCGTGTGTTCAGAGTGTCCACACCAGACTCCGGCCGGACTCATGGGCCCTGGGACTCCGCAGCCCTCGACCTTGGCAGCCTCCTTGCCTGTGGGTGCTTGAATGCCACGCAGCATCCGACACATCCCACAACCTTGAGTCTGCTATGAGTCAAGTGTGGTCGCTGTAGATAAGGAGGAAAAAAGATCATGAAAAAGAACAACAACAACAAAAAATCACTCATGGCCGGGCGCGGTGGCTCATGCCTGTAATCCCAGCACTTTGGGAGGCCAAGGCAGGCAGAACACGAGGTCAAGAGATCAAAACCATCCTGGCTAACACGGTGAAACCCTGTCTCTACTAAAAATACAAAATATTAGTCAGGTGTGGCGGCAGGCGCCTATAATCCCAGCTACTCGGGAGGCTGAGGCAGGAGAATGGCGTGAACCCAGGAGGTGGAGCTTGCAGTGAGCCGAGATCGCGCCACTGCACTCCAGCCTGGGCAACAGAGCAAGACTCCATTTCAAAAACAAACAAACAAAAATCACTCCTAAGCTCACCACCCAGGCCAATGTACTCCAGAAAAAGGGAGAAGGCTTCACCACCTCCCTGTGTGATTTCATGTCCCAAGCTCTGTGTCTCAGGGTGTAGGAAGCCCTCTGTTGAATAAGTCCACCCTCCCTGGCCACAGCCTTAGTCCTACTTGCTGTTTGGGAACAGAAGATCCCTGCCCGGTGCCTACAGAGGGGTGGGCAGAGGCTGAAACCCTCCTCCATCTTCCCTCCCAGGCCCCAGGAGCCGAAGATTCCTCTTCTCACGACATGAAGCTCCCCTCCCCTCCTCCAGTCCTCAGCTTTCCTTTCTAAGAGAGAAGAGACCGGGGCCTGGGCAGTGAGTGGACAGGACTGTCCCCCTGTCCTCCTCTGTAGGTGCACGCCCCTACAGGTGACACCTCTGGGTCCTCCACACCCTCAGTAGGAGCTCCAGGGCATGGCTGGTCTCCCAGCCACACGGGAAGCCACAGGATCCCCATGGGACATCCCCAGCCACGTGCCACACTCAGTAACCACCCGTGGGCTTGTGTGCAAATCCCTGAAGTCAGTGATGGCTCAAATGTCGTCTCTGCCACCGTGGAGGTTGGCCATGGGGGAAAGGTGACGGGGGCAGAAGGGTGAGGGCTCCAAGTGGCTCGAGGAAGGGGCCATGGTGTGAGCAGGGGCACGGGCGGGCAGTCAAGGAGCTGGGAAGGGCCAGCCAGTCCTGCCCTGGAGCCTCCGGGAGGAGCCAGCGCTGCGGACACCTTGGCTGTAGCCAGGGAGGCTCACTTTGGACTTCCAACCTCCACACCTGTCAGAGGCCACGAGTGTTTAGCCATTAAAGAAACCTCCAGGGGCTGCGGTGACAAATGACCACAGACTCAGGAGCTGAACACAACGCACATGCATTGTCTCACAATTCTGGAGTCAAAAGTCTAGAAACAGTCGGTGGGGCTGGTTCCTTCTGGAGACTTCTGGGAAGGGGAGAAGCCGCTTTCTTGGCTTTCCCAGTTTCTGGAGTGGCTGCATCCTGCACTCTCGGCCCCGCCATGCCACCAAGGCCTCCGTTTCTGTAGCCTCTGCTGCTCTCTGGCATCTGCACGGTTGCCCCGAAGCCGCTCCGCGACGGCCCTCCCTGAGCTGTGTAGCGCTGGGGGGAGGAGGCGTGGCCACAGTGGGCTGCATTCAGGATCTTGAAAGCCACTGAAGCCATGGCTGGCTCTCAGTCCTCAGGGAGCCTCTTCCCCTGCCTGGCACCAGGCTCCCAGAATCTGGGAGGCAGCCTCTTCATCTGGCTGCTGGTGGAGACCTGAGCCCAGCCCCAGGGTCCTCAGTCCTGCCCCTTGTCCTCCGCAAGCTCTCACTACATCCTACCTATGTCCAGGGACCTCGGCCCATGCATCTGCCCAGATCCCAGCCTACCCGAGAGCATGCATCCCCAACTGGACCAGCACCCAACACAGCCCAGGGCTCCCCTGACCCACATAAACCTTGTTAATATTGCCTCTGTGGTCTCTGCTTGTTGCCTGAGGGGTGGAGGTGGGGGGTATCTGCTCAGACTGGCTCCAGCGCGTCCTAAGGCCAGGCCCTTCCCAAAGGAGAGTGAAGCCAGGCCCCATGAGTCCCAGCTGGACAGGAAGGTACAGGCAATGGGGCTGGATCCCAGCCTGTGCACCATCCTTGGCTCCCATCCTGGGCACTTGCTATGGGAGCGGCACACGGGGACTGGGGTGCCCCCAGGAGTGACACGAAGGGACGGGGGTGCCCTCAGGAATAACACACTGGGACGGGAGTGCCCCCGGGAGTGACACGCGGGGACAGGGGTGCTCTCGGGAGTGACACGTGGGGACAGGGGTGCCCTGAGGAGTGACACGTGAGGACAGCAGTGTTGGGGGAGGGGCCAGGGCTGCAGTGTTGCCTTCTTTCCCCAGAGCAGACAGCACCACATTTGTGCAGAATCTGCTGGGTCCCCAGGCTGCCATGGGGCTCTCAGGCCCTCTGCCTGCCCCACAGGCGGTACCCCTGCCCCAGCTGTCCACAGTGCTGACCTCACACCCGCCATTGTCCAGGAGCCCCAACCCAGGAGGTGCTTACACCACTGGCTGCCAGTCTGGACCCAACCCAGGCCCCTCCCACATGAGGCCCTGCCAGGAACTGCCCGGCCGGCCGGGACACAGAGAAGGTTCCCATGTGGATGTAGGGAAGAGCCTCCCATTGTCCCAGTGGAGGAAGCTGCCCACCGGCAGAGGATGAGTCACAGGGTTGGAGGAATCACGTGGGGAGGCTGTGGGCGGGGCTCTTGTCTGCCCTCCTCCTACATAAGTCCCCCCAAGCCCACACTACCTCAGCATCCCTCTCACTCCAGAGCTCAGAGCCACCCACAGCCACAGCTATGCAGTGCCTCCTGCTCACCCTGAGCATGGCCCTGGTCTGTGCCATCCAGGCCAGGGACATCCCCCAGACCAAGCAGGACGTGGAGCTCCCAAAGGTTTGAGGTCGGGGGATGGGGCGCTTTACCGTGGGAAGCCTGGGGCTGGTGGGAGCTGCAGGCATCTGGGAAGCCCAGGATCTCAGAAACCTACAGGAAGCACAGAATTAGGCCACAGTGTGAGGGGCCACCTTGTGTCCCCAGATGCGAGGGGAGCTTGTTCCGCCTCTGTCCACCTGGGCCCTGAACCCACAGCTGCCCTCTCACCCCTGGGACGCAGCAGCCTCTGTGGTGCTGTGCCTTCGATGGGAGCTCGGGCGGGACGGCCCTGGGTTAGGCAGAGTGGTCAGGATGGTTGCTCCAGATACATAGGAACCTCCAGCCAGGCGCTGGCGCATGGCAGTTGGTTCTCAAACATGCCCTGAATCCTAATTCATCGCCTTCCGCACACCACCCGGGAAAGCTGGCCATACAAGGGACTGGGCCCTGCCTACACAGGGGGTGACCAGAGCCATGGTGGGGTGGGGACCTCCATGCAGCTCAAGGCCCCCTCAGTTGGCAGGGACCTGGTACTCCATGGCCATGGTGGCCAGTGACTTCTCCCTCCTGGAGACCGTGGAGGCCCCTCTGAGGGTCAACATCACCTCGCTGTGGCCCACCCCCGAGGGCAACCTGGAGATCATTCTGCACAGATGGTGGGTTCCTCGTCACTGGGGCTGGGGCTGGTGGGGGGCTCAGTCTCCCTGGGCCACGGGTCCAGGGCTGGGTGGGGTGGGTGGAGCTGGGGTTCAGCCCCAGGCATTTCCTGACATTCCTGAGGCTTCACTGTGGGCCTTCCATGGTGCCTTGGGCTGGGGTGGAGAATGGGGCTCAGGAGGTTCCCACTCCCCTTGGAGCCCCTGCCCAAGGGCTCTGGGCCAATGGACTGAAAACACAGCACAGCCCTGGTTCTGTCTTTGGGGAAGGCCAGGCTGGGCTGCTGTGGGCCGCAGCCCTTCTGGGACCTGCGCGGTTCCTGCCACGGCCCTGCCTGGGCCCCTGGAGTCAGGTGGCTGAGGAACTGGGGGTGTGGCCGTGATGGGGCCAGGATCCTCATAAACACTATGTCAAAGCCTCACACAGTCAGGGTCAGTTTTGAGCTGCCTTGTGGCTCAAACACCTGGCCAATGGCCAGCTCTCCTGCCAGGTCCTGGCTGCCTCCGTCCGCCCCACTGTCCACCTGGCTGCCTGTTCCGCCTTGGAGGCCCCATTCAGGCTGATGCCTGACGACCTGGCTGGGCTGGGCGTGCTGTGTCCCCAGGTCACTTCCTGGAGTGCAGCCTCCATCCCTGCACTGGGCCCATGGACAGCCCCACCTCTGTGCGGTTTCTCAGGGAACACCACAGATGCGTTGAGAGGACCGTCCTCGCCCAGAAGACTGAGGACCCGGCTGTGTTCATGGTCGACCGTAGGTGCCCCAGCCCCGGGCCAGTTCCACACTGTCCCCTGAAGCCTCTCCACAGAGCCAGAAGCCAGCAGGTTCCCTCCCCCACGGCTGGGTCCTGCTCTGAGCCTCGTCCCGTCCCAAAGGCTCCTGGCAGCTGAGCCTGGGGGTTGAGGCTGTGACCCACTTGGTGTAGGGACAGAGCCTATAGCATCTTGTTGACCTCAAACTCATCAGGACCTGAATCTGAGCTCACAACCACAGGTCTGGGTTGGGAGCATTTTCTGTCACCTCGGGCAGGCAGGTGGCAACCTCCTTGCTCGGAAACCTGCAGCCTGTGGCCCAGCTGTCTTGGATCCTTAAAAATAACCAAATTAACTAGACCTGCAGCTAGACACGCAGTAGATTGGCCTCTCAAATCTGGCACCTGCTTCTGGAACACCCTGGTCCTCACCGACCTCTTCCCCATCCCAGCAGCTCCCAGAGTCTCTTTCTGCTCCCCCAGTGCCCTGCCCCACCGGCATGGCCCACATCCCTGGCGGCCTCCCCCAACCTTGGCCTTAGCTGGAACACAAGCCAGGCCCCTGCTCCAGCAGGTGAGGCAGGGTCCAGTCTAATCTCCAGAGCTGTCCCTGCCACACATAGGCGGAACAACCAGGCAGCCACATAGCCCCCCATGTCTGCAGTTCCTCACCTGCAAGCAGGGACCCCCACTCAAGCTCACGTCTATCTGAGAAGGGGAGGCTGCAAGGGGCTGGAGCAGACATGGCTCTGTTTCTTTCCTCCATTCTTTGATGTCTGTGCACAGCTCCAACCTCCAGACTGAAACCGAGCTCCAGCTCATGAGCCTTCCCAGGCCTGCTGTGCACCTGCCCTGAGAGGGAGGCACCATGAATGAATGAATGAATGAATGAATGAATGAATGAATGTCACCTCCGGGTCACGGAGGAGTAGAATTCATCCAAGGAGGGCAGTAAATCTGGAGAACGGCTTCGTCAGAGCCGCAGTTTGGAAGAACTACCTTTGCAGCCTTTTGCCCACGCGGGGGTGCAGAAGGGGCTGGTCAGTGCCAAGGTGGTGCTGCCCGGACCCGCCCCTCCATCCATAGAATATGTCGTGCTGCAGTGGTGAGCGGCCAGCAGCCATCGCAAAGGTGGAGACTGAGCGTCAAGGAGAGGTCCAGGAAGGAGGGAGGCCGGCTGCCCAGGTGCAGGGAGCGGCTACTCCGTGGTCCCGTGAATGGCTGCTGTCAGCCCAGCACCCAGGAACAGAGGCCATAGGGAGGGACTCAGATGTGATTTCTGGTGTCTGTTTTTGTGTTTTTTTCCAGGTCGCGGGACAAGAAAGATCTCTGTGTTGGACACAGACTAGACGACAGGAGCTACGTGTTCTTCTGCATGGGGACCACCACACCCAGTGCTGACCACCACACGATGTGCCAGTACCTGGGGATGACACAGGGGCCCCCGGGCTTCATCTGAACAACCCCGAATCCGGTCCTTTTCTCAGTGGGAGGAGAGAGGGGCCGCCCTGCCCACCTCCCCAGGCCCCATTCGCCGGAGGTTGCCTGGTGTTGGTGTCGGAAACCAGAAGCCACCAGGGAAGATGTTGCGGTAGGGGGGATTTTAATGGGGGCGGGGGGCAGGGACTAGTGTCAAATTTGGGTCAGGCCAAAGGGGGCCGATGTGGTAAACGGGTCTGGCAGCAAGTGGAGGGGCCACATCTTACAAGCAGATAGAACTGGCCAATATTAGTCCATCAACCTTCATTAATGGAGATTTAAGTTGGATCTCAAATGTGAATGCAGCTTTAAAAGGTGATAGTCTAACCCCGGTAAAGCTCATGGTGCTGTTGCCTCTGTTCTTAAGGGTCCCCAGGGTTCCTAAATGGACCATTGGTGTTGGGGCTATAGATACATCCCCTGTTCTATAAATCCGCCCTCCTGGATTGCGGGAGACATCAGTGGGACTTCAGGGGAGGCAGGAACTTTTCGGAAAAAATATAGCCACATAGGCACAGCCCTTCCCCATGTTTCTGAGCGCACCATTTCCTCTGGGGTCACACAGGTGTCTTCTTGATCAGCCTCAGCTGTGCTTGGTGAGAGCCAGGCACCGGGGGAGGCAGGCACTATGCTCTCCTTCCGTGACACTGTAGACACCATCCTGAGCCCCAGTGCTGCCCAGAGCGGGCCCCAGTGCTGCCCAGAGCGGAGCAAAGGGGGCCAGGCCGAGGAGCGGGAGTTGGGGACAGGGAATCTACAGGCCAGGAGCCCTAGAGACCGCCCTGGGGACCTGCTCCAGACCAAACTCTGCCTGACCTCGGAGCACTGGGTCCTCCTTCCCTGCCCTCCCTCCCCAGGCAGGGTCCTTGGAGCTCCCAGGGCCCAGGACTGAGCCAGCGTCCCCCACAGCCAGGACCCTAGAGGCAGACGACAAGGTCATGGAGGAATTCATCAGCTTTCTCAGGACCCTGCCCGTGCACATGTGGATCTTCCTGGACGTTACCCAGGCGGAAGGTGAGCTCCACCCAAGACAGGCCCAGCCTCGGCTGGAGGAGAAGCCACCACTGTCCCAGCCCAAGCCCCCCGCTGGCCCTGTAGGACTCAGGGCAGCACCCGTCACTCCTCGTTGGCCCCTCCCATGTTCTCCCCAGGGCTCCCCTGGGGATGCAAAGGCACCCTGAGGTGGGGTCCCGTCCCCCTCCCATCATCCCCCAACCTCTGGCCCTGGGACTGCTGTGTCCCCAGCTAAGTCTCCCCTCCCACTGACGCCCCCACTGCCCCCTCTCCTCCCACAGAACAGTGCCGCGTCTAGATGAGCTCCTGCTCAGTCCTGCCTCCTGGGTAATGTACCAGCCCCGCCCATAGCCTGAGGTCGCCTTTCTGGGCTCCTGGAAGAGACCCCACTGTGTCCATTCCCCAGGGCTGACCCTGAGCGATGGGCTGGAATCCTGGGGCATCTGGAAAAGCCCAGCTGGCCATGTGCCCGCGTCTCTGGGGTTGGCTGCTCCAGATGCCATTTCCTGTGTCCTGGGCACAGGATGAGGCCTTCTCCTCCAGGGTGGGGGTGAGTGAGGGTGGGGGGCTCAGGGGTGGGCCTGGGATCATAAGCCCCTCCGGCCTGAAGCTGGGGGTGAGGTGGGGGCTCCTCTCACATAAGCAGGGGTCCCTCACTCTAGGACCTGCAGGGGCAGGGTCCTAGAGTCACAGGGGAGCCCTTTTGTGCACATCAGGTCCTGGAGCCTCGGCCCCTGTGCGGACGGAGAGGATGTCGCCTTCCTGGGAGGGACAAGGAGGCTGAAGACCAAGGCACGTTTCCTGGGACGCTGGGACCTCCTGGGTCTCAGCCTGGGGTCTCCTGTCCTAAGCTGTCCCTCTTTGAACAATAAATAACCCCGTCCCCTGAGTCTGTGCTGGCAGGCGCGTGGGGATGCAGCTGAGGGCAGGCTGTGGGGCTGGGGAACTCGGGGACTGGCAGACTCAGGGGCTGGGGGGATCGGGGACTGGGGGACTCAGGGGCTGGGGTCTCAGAGGCTGGGGGGCACGGGGGCTGGGGACTCGGGGGCTGGGGACTCGGGGGCTGGGGGACTCGGGGGCTGGGGGCTTGGGGCCTGGATGACTCAGGGGCTGGGGGACTGGGCTGGGGGGCTCAGAGGCTGGGGGGCTCAGGGGCTGGGGGGCTTGGGGGCTGGGGGACTCGGGGGCTGGGGGGTTGAGGGAACTGAGTTCATGGTTTCTGTATTGTAGGCCCTATCATATTTGGGGATCAAGACACTATAGGAGGCTTTAAAATTTTCAGGAACTAGATAAGAGTGCTGCTGAGATGGCCAGAGCTTGCCATTCATGTTGGAGGTCCAGGCCACACAAAGGACAAAATATGAAAAATCACAGACCCATTCATTGAATAAATATTGATATAAAAACTTAAATGAGTGTTTTACAAATCAAATTCTGCACTATTTAAAAAACACAAACCCCATGACCTCCAGGGCATCTCTCTGGAGCATAAGGGAAGTTGCTACCAGGAAGAGCTTTGCTATCAGCCTTCATCTGCTCATAAATGCCATTGATCTTTTCTGGGCTAATGTGAAATAAAGAGATTTCCCCTGGATTGAGGAACTGAACAAAAGAGGTGAGATATGGGAGAGGAATTTGTTTTTCATTATAAAATATTTTGAACATCACAAAAGGAAAAAGAATATGCAACAACAGAAATAGATTTGTCAATAATTGTAACATGCATAACTTTAAATTTTCAAAATATAGATGGCATGGATACATTTCCAATAAAATATCAATGACCAATATTGGCTCAAAAAGTAGAGGAAACTTAGAAAGAACAATCATCATAGAAAAAACCAGAATAGTTCCAGATCTTCTGTCTGTGGATGAGAATAAAAAACCTTTATCTGATAGTTCCTGGCTCATACGATCCATTCCAGGGCATAGAAAAAGACGGTGAGTTGCTCAGCTGCCCTGATAACAAAACTGGAGAAGGAAGATACAGGAAAAGGAAAGCTGTCAACTTTCAGAATCAAGACACAAATATCTGAATACCTTATTAGCAGACTGAATCTAACAAACGTATTTAATACATCATGATTTAGCCCAAAAAACAAAGAACATTTCAATATTAGAAAATGTATCAATAAAAGCCAGGTGTGGTGGCTCACACCTGTAATCCCAGCACTTTGGGAGGCCAAGATAGGCAGATCGCCTGAGGTCAGGAGTTCAAGACCAGCCTGACCAACACGGTAAAACCCCGTCTCTACTAAAAATACAAAAATTAGCTGGGTGTGGTGGCAGGTACCTGTAATCCCAGCTACTCCGGAGGCTGAGGCAGGGGAATCACTTGAACCTGGGAGGTGGACATTGCAGTGAGCCGTGATCATGCCACCTCACTCCAGCCTAGGTGACAGAATGAGACTCCATCTCAAATGTATCAATAAAATTAACTAACTTAAGACTAAGGGAGAAGTGCCATATAAGAATCTTTAATTAATTTTTAAAAATATGTTTCAAAAAATATAATATTCCATTCATGAAGGAGACCTTGCACATCAAGAGTGTCATTCAACATTAAATAGCATATGCTGTGCTTATAAGTAACCCTGAAACCCTGAAATGAATGAATCAATCACTGAAAGCACCAAAGAGTTATTTCTTGCTTATGCAAAATTTCCTTTGTGGCTTAGCAGGAGAGTTGACTCCTCATGGTCACTCAACAATCCAAGTGATCAAATAACCACCACCCGTGGTGTTGCTGGCCACCATGCCAGAGAGAAAACATAGGCATCAAGGGGCTTCAAACTGTCCATTCAGTGCCCTATCCTGAAAGGGACACCTATTACCTCCCTAGAAGGGGGCTGAAAAGTCCAATCCTACCTAGGTTTCCTACCTAAGAATAGAAAGGAACGTCCCTAAACTGATGATTAAAAAAAAAAAATCACCAAACTACAACTAATGCTTTATGTAAGCATTCAGCTAGACTGAATGCTTTCCCCCTAAGATTGAGAATAAAGCAAGGTTGTCCTTTCTCATTGCTCTTATCCAACACATACTGAAAGTTCCAGTGCAGTAAGACAATTAAAAGAAACAAAAAGCATAAACACTGTAAAGGAAACATGTAGTATAACAAAGAAAAAGAGAGAGAAGACACAAATCACTAATATCAGGAATGAACGAGGAGACATCACTACTGACCATATAGACATCAAAATGATAATAAGGGAATACTGTGAACAACTCTACACACATAGATTTTACAACTTAGATGAAATGGAACAATTCTTTGAAAAATACAACTTATCACAATTCATTCAATATGAACTACATAATTTAATAGCCCTTACAACTATTAAGGAAATTGAATTTTTAATTTAAAAACTACCATAAAAAGATATCTTGGGGCCCAGATAGTGCCACAGGGTATTTACACCAAGTGCTTAGAGAAGAATTAGCACTAATGCCACACAATCTGTTGCATAAAATAGAAGAGGCAGTAACACTTTCCAATTCATTTTATGAAGCTATTATTATTACCCTGATACCAAAACCACACAAACCCAGTAATAAAAAGGTGGAGGTAGGGTGACTACAACCTAGTGTTCCTCATGATTATAGATGTGACAATCCTTAACAAAATATTAGCAAGTAGATTTCAGCAATATATAACAATAAGTGTACACCATGAATAAGAAGGGTTTACGCCAGGGAGGAGAGATTGGTTCAACATTTGAAAATCAGTTCATGTAATCCACCATATTATCAGACTAACAAAGACAAAATATATGATCATATTAATCAATACAGAAAATGTATTTCACAAAATTCAATATCTGCTCATAATTTTTTTCAAAAACTCAGAAAAGTAAGAATAGAGAGGAGCTTCCTTAACTTGATAAAGATCATCTACAGAAAGCTTACAATTAATACTATACTCACCTGTGAACAACTGAATGCATTCTCTCTGTCTTAGTCAGTTCCAGCTGCTGTAACAAAATATGACACACTGGGTTGCTTAAACCACAAACATTTATTTCTTACAGTTCTGGGAATGGTAAGAAAAGGAGCACAGTGCTGGCAGATTTCACGTCTGGTGAGGGCTCTCTTCCTGGTTTGCAGATGGCCACCTTCTTGCTGTATCCTCGCATGGTAGAGAGAAAGGTCTCATCTCTCTTCTTTTTATAATGACATTTGGGAAATAAAAATGAAACCCTAAGCCCCACAACTGGCTGAACGGACTCCCTCTTGGCCAAGCAGGCCCCAAAGTAACCTTGAAAGCTGAGTTCTAAGCCATGACAGGATGAGGGGATCACACACTCCTCCTTATTACCCCCACCCCCTGCACACACACTAACTGCCATTGGACTTTATTCCCTAAGGGCTAAATAGAAACCAGCCCTTTCAAAAGACTCCACTGTGGATATCAATCAAGCGCCTGACACTGCTTCTCCCTTTTTTATGGTTTCAACACAATTGTCCAGCATTCCTTCCTGATAAGAGACCACTGACCACAGAGTGGTTCTAGCTGGTCTACGTGCAACAGCATGAAGCTCCATTGCCCATGTGTATGTTTCTCCTTTCATAACTCTTCCTATAGCTTATTAAATATGCATATTCAGTCACTCTACTGGGCATAAATTCCTGCTCCTTTTTCCTCTCTGTGGAAATCTCTGTTTCTAGCTCCTGGCCCAAGGCTACACTTCTCAGCCTGTCAGAATGGCCACCCTGCAGGCTGTAACCCCTTATGAGAAGGAAAACTCTCCTTTCCAAACGTATGAACCTCATCATTCTTCAGTTGACATGATTGGTAATGAGGATGGGATCTGCAGAGAGCACCAGTTTCTCCCAGCATGATTGGAAGTCAATGCATCAAGGTCTTCAGCTCAGCTGTCTCCCCAGCTGACCACACAGGGAGGAAGCCAGGTAAGGTCCCCTGGATCTGAGATCTCCTGCTTTTAGATTGAAGACTTCAGAGACTTTTATTTCTCTCTATCCCTTCCCTTTATTTCTTCCTGTTTCCTCCTCAGTCCCTGTCCTGGTTCCCTCCATCTGGACTCTGGAGGGAATGTCTTTGTTGGCCCAGGTTTAGGAGGGGAACTTCCCAGTCCAGTCAGATTCAGCTGGTCCATAAGATTTTATGAGGACTCTCACACTAAGGACACTCTAAGGAACCCTTCCTAAGGTAAGTGTAATTGCAGAGAACCCTAGTGCTAGGCAAGAACCTTAGTTCTAAAGGGAAAGCATAGAAAGCCTTAGTTCTAAGAGAAAAGTCTCTGTTCAGCCACCATAAGAGACCCCAGAGGCTTCCATGTTGAAAAATGATGGGGTGATCGGATTTCTTTTAAAAAAGAAAACATGATAGTGTCATGGCTAGCCTTAAAAATGCTCTTGAATAAATGAAAGAGAAAAATCTAACCTAAAACAAAGCTAAAATCTTTGGAGACTCAAACTCCTTACTTCAGATGGCCTGAGGGAATAACAAAAGCCATCGTTCTTTGTGGTCTAATAGTTAAAATTCTGCGATTTCACTGCCATGGCCTGGGTTTGATTCCTGGTCAGGGAATTCTTTTGGTTTGATATTTGTGTGACTTTTCCCAGTTATTGATGCTTTTCCATTCCATTGACGGCTTTTGATTTCCTGTCTTCTGCCGGTGAAGGCATACAGGGATTTGGGGCCTCTGTGTGTAGACCATCAGCTGGGAAGCTAAGACCCTAGAAAATATAGCCAGATAGAAATGTGGGTTGTGCCCCATTTATGGCGAGTGAAAGTTTCCTTTCTTGGAGCTGTGATATGGTTTGGCTGTGTCCCCACCCAAATCTCATCTTGTAGATCCCATAATTCCCACATGTTGTGGGAGGGATCCGGTGGGAGATGACTGAATCGTGGGGGAGGGTCTTTCCCTTGCTGATCTCCTGACAGTGAATGGGTCTCACAAGATCTGATGGTTTTAAACATGGGAGTTTCTCTGCGCAGGCTCTCTCTCTCTTTGCCTGCCGCCATTCACGGAAGATGTGACTTGCTCCTCCTTGCCTTCCGCCATGATTGTGAGGCCTCCCCAGCCACGTGGAACTGTGAGTCCAATTAAACCTCTTTGTTTTGTAAATTACCCAGTCTCAGTCTCAGGTATGTCTTTATCAGCAGCATGAAAACAGACTACAATACAAGCTGTCATTGAGGTGATTCTGGATCTTGTGACGACTACCTTGCACCTGTTTGGAGATGTCTCATGCATCCTTGGTTAAGTCATAACCTTGGTTAAGGTTTGTTGGTTTCACTTGGAAAGTTATCTTTGGTAAAGAAGTTCAAAAGCCAGAAATATAAGCTGTTTGTCCTGGCTAAAATCTGTTAATAAGATATTTAAATGGATTTTTTTTTCTTTTAAAGAGCTCCAAGGTTAGAAGTCAGATTAATTAAAAGCTGATTGCAAGCTATAATTATATTTTTTAAAAAGTCTTTATGCTGGCCAGGTGTGGTGGCTCACACCTGTAATCCCAGCACTTTGGGAGGCCAAAGCGGGTGGATCACGAGGTCAGGAGATCGAGACCATCCTGGCCAACATGGTGAAATCCCATCTCTACTAAAATACAAAAAATTAGCTGGGTGTGGTGGTGCACATCTGTAGTCCCAGCTACTCGGGAGGCTGAGGCAGGGGAATTACTTGAACCCAGGAGGCAGAGATTGCAGTGAGCCGAGATCATGCCTTTGCACTCCAGCCTGGTGACAGAGCCAGACTCTGTCTTTAAGAAAAAAAAAAAAAAAAAAAGCTTTTAGGCCTTTTTCCTTTTCAGATCCTGTTTTTGAAAAATATTCTTCTCAATCAACTGATTTTTGTCTGTTTCTCCACTTATTTGTGTCTGTCCTTCCTTCCTCTTGCCACCCCTAATGCTTACTTGAGAGGACCTGAAATAGTTTCTAACAGCCTACAGAGCTGAAAGGATAAAATAGAATGATGTGTATTTGCAGATGACATGACTGTTCACATAGAAAATCTCAAGGAATCTACAAAAAACAAACAAACAAAAAAATTCCTAAAACAAATAAATGATTTCACCAAGGTGGCAGGATACAAGATAAAGACACAAAAATCAATTGCCTTTTTCTACATTCTAGCAATGCACAGATGGACACTGAAATGTAAAATACAATGCCAGTTATGATCACTCAGAAAAAAGTGGAATGCTTAGGTGTAAACTGTATGAAATGTACACGATCTGTATGCTGAAAATAATGCTGATGAAAGAAATCAAGAAAGCTCTAAATAAACGGAGAGACTTATTGTGTTCATGGACTAGAAGACTTAACATAGTAAAGATGTAAATTCTCCCCAAATTGATAAATAAGCTTAATGCAATTGTCATCTGAATTCCAGCAATCTTTTTGGTAGACACAGGTAAGATTATTCTAAGATTTATGGGGAAAAAGCAAAGGAACTAGAAAAGCTAAACTATTTTAGTAAAAGAAGAATAAAATGGAAGGAATCAGTTTATCGAATGTTATTTCAAACATTATTATGTAGTTACAAGACTGTATGGTATTAGTAGTGTCCATCTGTGCATTGATAGTATGTAGAAAAAGGCAATTGATTTTTGCGCCTTTATCTTGTATCCTGCCACCTTGGTGAAATCATTTATTTGTTTTAGGAGTTTTTTTGTTTGTTTGTTTTTTGTGGATTCCTTGAGATTTTCTATGTGAACAGCCATGTCATCTGCAAATAGACATCATAGTAGAAGCACAAGACACATAGGTCAAAGGAACAGAGTAGGTAATCCAGGAATAGACTGACACAAATATGCCCAGCCAATTTTTGACAAAGGTGAAAAAGCAGTACAATTAAGGAACAAATTGTGCCATCATACATCCTTAAGCAAAAAAGAAAAGGAAAGGAAGAGGAAGGGAAGGGAAGTTCATAAGGAAGAAAGAACGAATATAGAAAAAGAACTTCAATCTAAGTCTCATACCTTATAAAAATATTAGTGCAAAATATGGATCTCAGGCTAAAATATAAAACATGAGACTATAAAACTTTTTTAAAAAATAGGAAGAAATCTTCATAATCTAGGGTTTAGCAAAGAGTTCTTACTTGACACCATGAGCATGACCCATAAAATTAAAAATTGATATATAAGCTTCATCAAAATCAAAAACTTTTGCTCTGCAAACAACTCCATTAAGAGAATGAAAAGATAAGCTTCAGACTGAGAGAAAACATCTCATCTCACATGAGCTCAGAGTGAGAATTCACTCATTACTGCAAGGAGGGCACCAAGCCATGACCCAAACACCTCCTACCAGGCCCCACTTCCAACACTGGGTACTGCACTTCAGCATGAGGTTTGGAGAGGACAAACATCTAAACTACATCATACTACTGCTTTGGAAAGAGATCAGCAGTGTTTTTCATTTCCAATTCACATACTTGCCACCCTACTCAGCAGTCCCACTCCTACGTATTTTGCCAAATCAAATGAAGACGTATGTTCACTCAAAGACTTGTACATGAACACTTGTAGCAGGCAGCTTAATTGATAATTGCCCCCAACTGGAAGCAATCCAAATGTCCATGAACTAGTGAATGGAAAGAGTCACCAGGAAAAAACTGCTGCAGGCAACAGGAAGGATATTCTCAAAAGCATCATGCAGAGTGAATGAAATTCATACACAAAAGGTCACATTAGCAGTGTTCAGGGCGTGGTTTAGCAGGGTTGACCGCAAAGGGGCATGAGAGAAATTTGGAGGGGGATGGAGCTGTTCTGTATCATGATTATAGTGTGGTTCCATGACTATGTGTGCATTTGTCAAAACTCGTAGAGCTGTACACTAAAAAGGGAGAATTTTACTAGCATCCTCACTAAATCTGACTTTTTAAAGGGCAAAGAAAGAGATGCAAGACTTCTAAACTGAAAAAATAGGCAACACTATTAGGAGAAATTAAAGAAGCTCTGAATGGAGAAATATACCATATCCATGGATTGGAAGGTTCAATGTTGCCAATACATCAATTCTCTCCAAATTAATCTGTAAATTCAATGCAATCCTGATTGCATTGAACGCAGTGGTTTTTTTGTGTGTAGAAATGGAGAAGCTCATTTAAAAAATTCAATTGTGATTGCAAAGGAGCAAGAATAGTAAGGACAACATTCAAAATAAATAAAAATGAGCCAGGTGCGGTGGCTCACATCTGTAATCCCAGCACTTTGGGAGGCTGAGGCAGGCAGATCGACTGAGGTCGGGAGTTCGAGACCAGCCTGGCCAACATGGTGAAGCCCTGTCTCCACAATAATACAAAAATTAGCTGGGAGTGGTGGTATATGCCTGTAGTCCCAGCTACTTGGGAGGCTGAGGCAGGAGAATTGCTTGAACCCAGGAGGCGGAGGCTGCAGTGAGTTGAGATCGTACCACTGCACTCCAGTCTGGGTGACAGAGCGAGACTCCCTCTCAAAAGAAAATTTAAAAGATAAAGAAATAAAAATGAAGGCATATTATAAAGCTACAGTAATGCAGACAGTGTGATGTCACACAAGGATTGGCAACTTGATCAATGGAACAGAAAAGAGGCTCACAAACAGACTCCACACAGCTCCAGATCAATGACGAAGGCAGAGCTGGGGGGTGGGGTGGGGGGCTAAGAAATTCTCTGTTAATGGTGTGGCATCACTTAGGGAAGCGTGAAGAAGATGCAGTTTTTTGTTGTTTTTGTTTTTTTGAGACAGAATCTTGTTCTGTTGCTCAGACTGGAGTGTGCAGTGGTACACTCTCAGCTCACTGCAACCTCCATCTCCCGAGTTCAAGCAACTCTCCTGCCTGGGCCTCCTGAGTAGCTGGGATTACAGGCATGCGCCACCACACCCAGCTAATTTTTTTGTATTTTTAGTGGAGACAGGGTTTCACCGTGTCTACCAGGCTGGTCTCGAACTCCTGACCTCAAATGATCCGCCTGCCTTGGCCTCCCAAAGTGCTGGGATTACAGGTGTGAGCCACCGCACCCGGCCTTGGAAGATGCGTTTTGAAACCCCCACACACACCATATGCAAAAATCAATTCCAGACGCACCAGGCAGTAAGGCTTCAGAGGAAAACACAGAACATCTTTGTGGCCTGGGGGTCTGCAAAGATTTCTTAAACCAGGCTCCAAAACAGCCCACCATGAAAGAAAAGTTTAGGTAAATTGGATTATGTAGTGATTAAGACCCAATTAACAGGGCGAAAAGGCAACCCACAGAGCAGTTGTTCACCGAGAGGATTTGTCCAAGAGAGGATTTCCATCCAGAATGGAAAGGAAAGGCAACGCCACTGAAAACTGACAAGCATCTCGAACAGAACCTTAGCCTAAACGGCAAAAAGAAAAAATGGGCTGGGCAGGTGGCTCACGCTTGTAATCCCAGTGCTTTGGGAGGCCGAAGCTGGAGGATTGCTTGAGCCCAGGAATTTGAGACCAGCCTGGGCAACATAGCAAGACCCCATGCCTACACACACATACACGCACACAAAAGAATATGAAAATGCTGGCCCAGCACGGTGGCTCATGCCTGTAATCCCAACACTTTGGGAGGCCAAGGTGAGTGGATCAACTGAGCTCAGGAGTTCGAGACCAGCCTGGCCAACACGGCGAAACCCTGTCTCTACTAAAAAAAATACAAAAAAACAAACAAACAAACAAAAAAACCTGGGCGTGGTGGCGGGCACCTGTAATTCCAGCTACTCGGGAGGCTGAGGCAGGAGAATCGCTTGAACTCAGGAGGTGAAGGTTGCGGTGAGCCGAGATCGTGCCATTGCACTCCAGCCTGGGTGACAAGAGCGAGACTCTGTCTCAAACAAACAAAAAAAAAAAACATTAAAATGTTTAATTAACATGGTTATTCATCAGGAAAAACGTAAATTAAAACTGCAATGCAACACCCGCCCACCAGAGGGCGAACAGGAAGGACGCTGCTTTGTAATCTATGGGGTGGCCTTTGAGTCCTGTGTTGTGTCATTACCCTCGTGGGGCAGCGTGGGGCGCAGGCGTGGGTGCCTTCCCCAGGTCGCGCTGGTCTTTCAGGATGTGTTCAGGACAGCAGTGGACATGGCCACTCCCAACAGTGTCCCCACCCTGCCGCTGACTCCATGGGTCCCTCATAAGGGAAGAGCCTTGTTTCCCCAAATCATCACCCAGTCCTGCTCTGGCAGCCGCCGCAGCACCCTGGAAATGCTGATTGTCCCATCTCACGTAACTGTCACAGCTGCTCCCCTAACCACTGTGCTCCCCCTCCCCTGACAGGGACCCCCGTGACCTGGGACAGCCGCCCCACTCCAGCCTGACGTGACCCCGGCTCCGCTAGGCCTCAGCATGGTTTTCTCCCCCATCGACCCCTATCCCTAAACAACTGCATAGATGATTAGCCATAGATTCCGCAGCCTCTGGACACCCTCCCCCTGGGGCTGCCTCTTTCCCAGGCTCGGGGGCCATGTGGCATCCCAAATCTCACAGGTCAGCATGCACCCTGCTGATGGGTTCCGAGTTACCCCCTCCACGGATGGCAGATCTGCCTCCAGGGTTTTCGCAACTTAATTCCGCTGCACAAGTCCAGGGGGGTTCTTTCTTTCTTTCTTTCTTTCTTTCTTTATTTTAATTTTTTTTTTTTTTTGAGACCGAGTTTCACTCTCGTCACCCAGGTTGGAGGCAGGATCTCAGCTCAGTGCAACCTCTGCCTCCCAGGTTCAAGCAACTCTCCTGTCTCAGCCTCCCGAGTAGTTGGGACTATACGTGTGTGCCACCACGCCCAGCTAGTTTTCATACTTTTAGTAGAGATGGGGTTTCACCATGTTGGCCAGGCTGGTCTCGAACTCCTGAGCTCAGGTGATCCACTTGCCTCGGCCTTCAGAGGTTTTCTAACCCTGGTGCTGATCCCTATAGAAGAGCAGGGAATGCAGTGACAAATTAGAAGCAAGTCCAACATTGCAGGCAGCTGGAGCTCCCGGGGCTGGAGCGTGGACAGAATGGATGCCGAGCCCACAGGCAGCCCCCGAGGAGTTTGTCACCTTGAATCCCGAAGGATTTAACTCATACAAAATTCGCCTCACCGGAGGATGTGCGACCCCGGCCGTTGACGTCCCCACGATGGCCACTTGGTGGCGCCCGAGTCCTCTGAGTGCGTGGAAGGGCCCTGGGAAAAATCGGGCCAAATTTTACAGAAATATTGGTGGAAAATGTGACCCAAGAAGTCCAGCCATCCTGCTTTCATCTGCGTTTATGACAGCCCTGGAGGACAGCAACTGTCGGGCAAGACTCGGAAGCCCCACCGAGTGGACCAGGTGGACTTCTACCAGGGAGTCTTTCTGTGGCCCTAACCCTCGTTCTGAGACACCTGCTGTGCCTGAGCCACCCACCCTCACTCTGCAGCCTAAGAGTCGCAGATTCTTCCTAAACCGGATTCTTCCGAGGTAGGCTTTGCTGTCACCGTTGAGCCGGATGTTCGCTGGGTCCATTGACCCGCCCACCAAGGCACAGAGACCATCACCGTGTGAGCTGTGCACGGCGAGCCCGGCTCAGAGGCCGAGAAGCTGAGACTCACACGGTTGCCTCCCGCCCGCTGCACCTGTCCACCACAGCACGCTCAGACCCCGCAAGGGCCTGGGGTGCCTCCGTGGGGATACCTCTGAGATCCCAAAGCGCACCCCTGGCCGTGCATGGGGGACACACTCCTCATGAGGTGGGGGCGTTTGGTAGGGGTTCCCGGGGGTGCCCTGTGCCTGTGGGTCAAGCTAATTTGGAAACGCTGCCACAGCACTGGCCTCCCCATGTCCGTGATGGTGCATTGAAGAAAGCAGCTTCACCCTTGGACACAGGTGGGCGTCATGACCATGACAACCAGCAGGCCAAGGGGGCGTTCGGGGCAAGAGGGATGGCGGACATAGGGCACCTCAGCCTCAGCCCCCAGCAGGCCCAGAGCATACAGCGGCCAGGTGGGTCTCAGCCTCCAGAGTGTTGCTGACTTGCTAATGAGGAAGGAGGAAAGGAGGGAAGCAGGGAGGGAGGGAGAGGGGAGGGAGAGAACTGCCAAGCACACCTGCAAGGCAGGAGGTCTTGAAGGAGAATCCTGTCGGTCCCAGGTCCCGCCTCCCTTCTGGTTCCTTCCGGGGTGACCTGCACACTGGGGTCCCGGCTCCCTTCCCGTGCCTTTCGGGGGTGGCCGGCACGTCCCAGTGCTTTGCTCGCTGTCTCAGCAGAATTCTTTTCAGTTTGTTTATTTTTTCCCACTTGTTTTCAAAAAGGAGTTCTGGCCTGGGTTTTCAGGCCTGTTTGCTATGGAAGAGCAGGTTCCTGGAGCACCGCCAAGGCCCGCTGCCTGGATGGAGGCAGCTTCCACGCGGCATGTTTGGGTGGAAACGTCCAAAGGGAGAATCTGCAGAATCTGGGGCACCTGACACCCGACGCTTCTCGGGCTTTCTGCCCATGTGGCCAGGCTTGGGCCCTGACTGTCTCCCAGGTGACCTCCATCTCTGACCCACCAGCCTGGCCTTGGTGAGTGATAGTGGGGTCCCCAGGGGGCCATGGGTGTCCCCAACACTGCCTGGGCCATGCTGGCTCCTATCCTTCACACCTGGGATGCAGGCCAGTGGCTCCTGATCAGCTCTCGTGTCTCAGGGTCGCCGGTGGCCGTGTTGGCTGGGACATCAGTGTGGCAGGGGAGGGTGATTGGCAACTGTTGGGCCTGCCGCTCCTTGATGAGTGGACCTGGCTCCCTCTGCTCAGAGCCTGTTTCCCCTCTGCCCTCCCCCTGTCCCCGTGGGATTCCCTGGGTGGAAGAGGCAGGACCTGATGGCATAGGCTGGGCATGGGGGCTCACACCTGACATCCTGGCTATTTGGGAAGCTGAAGCGGGAGGATCGCTTCAGCCAAGGGGTCAAAGACTAGCCTGGGCAAAACAGGGAGACCCCATCACTATGTAATTTTTTTTCTGGGGGGATGGAGTCTCGCTCTGTCGCCCAGGCTGAAGTGCAGTGGCACGATCTCGGCTCACTGCAGCCTCTGCCTCCCAGGTTCAAGCTATTCTTCTGCCTCAGCCTCCTGAGTAGCTGGGATTACAGGTGTAGCTGGGATTACAGTCGCCCACCACACCTGGCTAATTTTTGTATTTTTAGTAGAGACGGGGTTTCACCATGTTGGCCAGGCTGGTCTCGAACTCCTGACGTCAAGTGATCGGCCTGCCTCAACCTCCCAAAGTGCTGGGATTACAGGTGTGAGCCACCGCGCCCAGCCTGCTAGTTGTTTTCAGTGAACATGTGTTCTCTCCAGGCCACAAGGGGGTCACCGTTCTGAGGCTGGAGGTGGCAGCCTCACAGGGTCCCCGTGGAACGGCTCCCAGCTGGCCAGGAAGGTGTGCAGATGGGGTGGGGCAGGAATAGCCCACAGCAGAGCAGTGGGGCTTCAGGGACTGGCTGCGGCTGCCACCCCACAGGCAGGCACGGGTCCGGTCTTCTCCTCCTCCACTGGGACCCTGGCCTGCAGAAGGCCCCTTACCACGCCGACAGGGGCCTGTGAAATGCAAACCCAGCTGTATCCAGCAACTACTCCCACCACGCAGGTGAGCCTGGCTTCTGCCCATGGGCCAGGAGCTCACGGGGCCTGGCCTAGCCACTTGGTGACTTCATGGAGCACCACCCACCTTCACTGAGCCCCCAGAGCCCTGGGCCTCTGGGACCCACCCCGGCGGGGCTCGCTCGAGTAGGGGGCTGGGCTGTCGCTGGCTCCGCTGGGTCCCTCACACATGCTGTTCCCACCTCTGGAACACTGTTTCTGACTACTCCTGTCACCTCGCCCCACTCAGAAAGGCGGACAGCTGTCACAGCCCCACCCCCACCTGGGTAGCTCTGTGTGGGGCCCCAGCTGCGCTGCAAGTTCCAGAAGCCTCTATGGACCTCACGCGTGGCCATCTCTCCCCATCCTGGAGGTGCACGCGGTGTGTGCCAGGTGAGCTGATGTCTACAGAGCTGCCACCTGCCACTCTGCTGTCCGCCTGCATCACCAGGTTTCTGGGCCTTTCCTCCCATTTATCCTTCAGATGAACGCAGTCGCTCTCCTCCTTCCCGCCTTTTCTCTACTCCGAAAGCCCCCTTGCTTCAGTGTCTGGGATCTGATGGGTAAAGTCTGATTTCACACTCAGCCCTTTGTGGTACCACAGACCGTGCAAGGCCTGGTTCTGTCGGCCCAGCCCCACCCTCAGCTCTCGGCCAGGCCCCTGAGCACTTTGCTGACCTTTATCAAGGTTGCTTCTGGGAACAAGCGTGTGGCTTTCTGAGGAGAATGTGAACATTCCCACAACATCCAGAGAATCTCGAGTTTCCTCTCGTGCACAGAAGGAAACGCGTACTCACGGTCACACAAACAGAAATGTGTCTGTGGACATGCATCACACGCGTGTGCTCACACTCATGCACACGCACAGGCTCAGGCACGCGTGCTCACAGGCGCACATGTGTGCACACAGGTCAGAGTAGCAGGAGGGCTGCCAGAGCCCCCCAGGCAGCCATTGTGGGGACACAACAAGGCCTCTGCTCAGCTCCCCTGACAGCCACTGCCCCACCTGTCCGGCTGCCATGGTCCAGAGACCCAGCTCACCCACGTGGTGACAGCCATTCTATGTCCCCAAAGCAGCTGGAAGCTGCTTGCGCGTGGAGACTGGGAGACAGGGTCCAAGGCCCCAGGGGCAAAAGTACGGCCTCATCTCCAGTGGTTCTTAAGCTCGTGGTGGCCACAGGCTCTTGGGAGTCTAGGGAAAGCCATGGCCTCTTCCCAGAGAAACATGGAGAACCCCCACCAAGCGACCCGCAGTGGGGCTGAGATTTCAGGGCCCTCAGGTGTGCCCTGGTCTAGATCTCTCCCAGGCCCATCCCAGTCCCGTGAGGGCAGCCCAGCCCCGAGACCCCGCCTGACCTTATCAGCAGAAGCTGATGTCACCCGAGGCTGGCAGCGTCTGGAAGGCCCTGGCTCGCCACATGTTTTGATTCCGGCGGGTGGTGCAAGGTGGGGAGGGAGCTGGTGGGTGAGGAGCCTGGGCCTATTCTCTTTGGGCCACCCTGCCTCTGAAGCAGCGCATAGAAGCACCTGGGCGAAGCCATTTATCCACCCTGCAGCCCCATGTCCCCGCAGCCCCATGTCCCCAAATGGCCATAATCAGGGACGATGAGGCTGTGGCCCCGCAGCATGGGGCTGGGCCTGGCCTGAGCCCTGCGGTATGACAGCCAGACTTCCATCCTGAGCAGGAGGTGCTCCAGGGGTTCTGGGGGCAGGGTGTGTGGGGGCAGCCGATGTTCCCGAGGCCTGTCCTGGAACCCTGCCACCCCACAGCACACTGTGCACTCCATGGCACTCTGCAGGCGGAGATGCTGAGGCACAGGCCTCCTGCTACACGGGGAGGTGGCAGTGAGGGGACAGCTGAGTCAGGCCCGTCGTGGGCACTGCACTGAGAACTCACAGGGCTCTGAACGTGCTGACAGAGGGAGACCTGCAGAATGATACCCCTGGAGAGGGCAGGAACCACGGGACACTGACCCTCACTCCTCTGGGCTCCCCTCAGGGTGTGGGCCACCTGAGACCTCCCCACGGGCTGGCCAGGGTCCAAGCAGGGCTCAGAACCTGGGGCCCTTGGCCAGGCCTGCCTACCGTGTTCCCCACAGCCACAGACCCAGCAGCCCCAGGTAGGAGAAGATGCAGGGAAACCCCACCACCCCCTCAGCGTCACCCGTGGCCCAAAAGGGGCCACACCAGGCTGGCCAGCCCAGCTGGGGAGGGGGTTCAGAGTCAGCGGCCCCCAAGACCCCGGCCCAGAACATGACATGAGAGAAAGTGCACACCCACCCTGTGCACACCCGGCCCCCATCGCTGCTGCAGCCCAGGACCTGGGGACGAGGGGCTCAGCAGGCCTGCCACGGGCTGGACACCAGGCCTTGCTGCCTCCAGGTGGAGGGGCCATGACATTCCGTGAAACTCGGTGTCACCAAGGACCATCACTGAGGGCGGAGGCGCCCCCGCGTCTGTGTTTCATGTCAGACATCAAACTCCTGGAAAACGGCAGCTCGAAGACCTACTCCTGCGTGCGACAGGGGCTCTGATGGCCGCCCACCCCGCCCCCAGGTCTCCACTTCCGCTCCCCCTCCTCCCCTCGGAGAGCCCAGGGCTGAATCCCCGCACCCAACCCCTTCCCCCTGGGCTTCCCTACTGCTTATGGCTCCCCCCAAGCCCTGAGCCCCCAGGGGGGCCTTGATAACAGGGCTCAGGGCCGCCCGTCTGAGCTGCTCCCCTGGAAGGTGGGATGGCAGCCCTCGGCTCCTCCTGGGTGAACCCAAGGCCGGCGACCTATTCACGCCCCAGGTGACCCTAACAGCGCCAGCTCTAGCAGGCACGCCTCACAAGGAAGGCTGCTTCTGTTTTAGAAAAAACAAAGTGCGTGAAAGAATTCTACATGGGAGAAGACACCCAGGGGACTACACTTTGATCATGAGTAGAAGTCACCGTGGCTCCCAGGTGGCTCACATGGGGGTTGGCGTGAGCTAGTTGTTGATGTAAATGTGACCTGGTGGGAAGGTTCCAGAAGGGGCAGTGAGGTGAGGTGGGGCAGGAATGAGGAGATGACACCACAGAAATTCAAAAACCCCGAGCAGTGGCTCCACAGCTGTGCGTCTCAGACTCCCAGGGTCCCGCACACTCGGGCAGGTCCCCTCCCCACCAGCTGAAAGTCTGAGACAGGCGGGGTGGTTGGGGGGAGGCCGCTGCGGGGAGGGGCACGCCAGGGTCTGGGGTGCACATAAGATTTCCCTTTGGGAATAAAAGTCACGGCTGGAAGTTTGAGGAACAGAGGGAGGTGAGCTTCACGCTCCTGGGTGCTCCATGGACGGGCGTCCTGTTAAGCCAGGGCCTGGGCTGGGTGAGCCTGAGGCAGAGAGGCACTGAAGGCAGGATTTGCTAGAGTTAGGAAGGTCCTTCCGCCCCCTCTTCCATGCGTCTGGCCTGCCATCCTTCTGACCTAGAGAGACACAGAGAAGGAGAGACAGAGAGAGAGAGAAACAGAGATGGAGAGACAGAGAGAGACAGACAGAGAGACAGAGATGGGGAGACAGAAAGAGACAGACAGAGAGACAGTGATGGAGAGACAGAGGCAGACAGAGAGATAGAGATGGAGAGACAGAGACAGGCAGAAAGATGGACAGAGGCAGAGAGATAGAGATGGAGAGACAGAGACAGGCAGAAAGAGATAGAGGCAGACAGACAGAGATGGAGAGACAGAGACAGACAGAGAGACAGAGATGGAGAGACAGAGACAGACAGAGATGGAGATAGAGGCAGACAGAGAGACAGAGATGGAGAGACAGAGACAGACAGATGGAGAGACAGAGGCAGACAGAGATGGAAAGACAGAGACAGAGAGACAGAGATGGAGAGACAGAGAAAAAGAGAGAGAGACAGAGATGGAGAGACAGAGAGAGACAGAGAGACAGAGAAAAACAGAGAGAGAGACAGAGATGGAGAGACAAAGAGAGACAGACAGAGAGACAGAGACACATGACGTCAGTGGTCTGGGTCTGTGCCTGTGGTTTGATCCTGGGCTCCAGGTGCCCATCGAGGACTGAGCTGTGAGGGAGATGGGGGTCGGGGCTGAGCCAGCTGGGAGGGGCAGGGCACACTGGGGTGGGAGGTGGCTGGTGGATCCCCACATCTGTGAGCTGTTCCATTTTCTGTCATAGAGAAGGGCAAAAACGATCTCACTCTCATGGCTCTGACTTTGCCATGACTGACACGGAAAATCACAAGGGAGGCAGCCTCCCTGTGGCAGAGGCCTGAGGTAGGTGCTGCTCGACTCCTGGACAGGAGCACCCATACCGGGACAGTGGAAGGAGAAAAGGAACAGAGTCCAGGGGGGTGGGCTGTGAGGGTCAGGGGCTGGAGCCCCCTCCCACGGGCTGGTCTCCCTCCATGGAGATGCCAGGGTACCCTCTTCACCTGCCATCCTGATCACAGATGGTTTTGGTCACCTGTGACCTCCCTGGCACCCCACCCCCTCAACCCCATGCACCACCTGGTGCAGCCCTGGTGGCCGCAGAAATGGCTGTGTGGGTGAGCGTGGGCAGCAGGTACATGAGACCCGCACACCTACAGAAGGCATCAGGAAGGGACAGCGTTGGGGGCCACTTGTGTAGCCTCGGGTCTTGCTGGGACCTGAACTGTAGCAGGCTATGGGATGACCACACTCCCCAATAGGAAATTCACCCTGACAGCACGTGTGCCAAGAGGCAGCCAGGAGACCAGGGGCCGTCTGGGGTGGGTTTAGCTGGTCCAGGGCTCTGCAGAGTCTGGGACTGGGCTACTGCTGCTGTGGGCAGGGCTGGGGGGTCACTGAGCTCCAGCAGTGACTTCTGCTTTCTGCTTTAATCCACACCAAGGTGCACAAACTCCAGCTGTGGGTGAATTGACCCCTGGCCCTGTCCACATCTGCTGCTCTGGGCCAGCGGCCTTTTCCACCAGAAGGGATGGGGTCTTGCTCCAAGGATGGCCCTCCCGGTGCAGTCCCCAGTCCACTGGGCCAGAGGCCAATGGGCGGTGCTGGTTAAAGATGGCTGGTCCAGGGCCTGGCCTGTCAGAACATCCAGGTAGGAAGGGAATCTGCAGACCGAGGAAGACCCTACTCTCTCTACCCAGGTGTGCAGGGCTCGCAGAGCAGGTGGGGACCCTCCAGAAGCTCCCACTGAGGTCTCAGGAAGAGCCACAGCCTCCTCCCACCCCAGATGGCATGAAACTGGCACCTGGTCTTGGTGCCCCCTGCCTTGTCTCCAGTCACCCCTTCTGTCTGCCCCCTGCACACACAGCCCTGCACACATATACACTTGCACACTCACACACCCCTGCACTCACACTCCTGACTTCACACTTGCACACACATCTGCACTCACACCTGCACACACCCCTGTACACACACACCCCTGCACTCACACACTTGCACATACATCTGCACTCACACCCCTGCACTCACACCCCGACCTCACATTTGCACACGCACCTGCACACACACGTGCACACTCACACACTTGCACATGCACACCCCTGCATTCACATCCCTGCACTCACACATGCTCGCACACACACCCTACACTCACACACACCTGCATACACACACCCCTGCACTCACACACTTGCATACACACCCCTGCACTCACACACACACCCCTACACTCACACACACCCCTGCACTCACACACACACCCCTGCACTCACACACACCCCTGCACTCACACACATCTGCACACACACCCCTGCACTCGCTTCACATACCCCTGTACACACATACACTTACACACTCACACGTACCTGCACTCATCCCTGCACACAGATCTCAGGCCAGCACCCAGACACCAGGGAGGTTGGGAAGTAGGGGAAGGTGCCCAGAGGCAGAAATCACAGACCCAGGGCAGCAGCTGGGCCCTGGAAGGTCCACAGGGAGCGCTAGGACCCCCTAAGGCCCAAGCAAACAGGCAGACTTGAGGTTGACTGTGGCTGCTGTTGAGTGACATCCTGCACCCAGAAGGAGGAAGAGGGATGGAGGCCAGAAGCTGTCGCGCTGCGCTGAGCCCTGCCCAGCCATGGCCACTTCTGGAACCTGCATGCGGAGCTGAGCCAGTGCAGGGTGGGGCCTCCCCAGGGCCCCAGGGGGTGTAGGCAGGATGCAGGATGCTGTATCGGTCCCCGGCCCCTTGACTCAAGCATGGCCAGCTCAGCGCTGGAGGGTGTGTGGGAGCTCAGACTGAGTCAGCCATGGGCGGCAGCTGCTGTGTCTTCCAGGACATAGGGGATGGGCCTGAGGTCTCCTCAGGCCCACCTGAGTCCCTGTGCCTGTGGCCAGGGGTGGGGAATGAGACTTCATCTTCTAGCCTGGCCATTACCAAGGCTGACCTGGGAGAGCTGCCTCACCCTGGCCTGCTGATGGAAGCCTCCAGAAAGACCCCACAGATCAGGCCAGGCCCTCCCTAGCCAGGGCTTCGGAGCCTCCCTGATGGGCTGGGTGCATTTCCTGTAAACCTAACCGGACCCTCAGCCAGGACCTCTGGCTGGGAGCTGACTTCACAGCGAGCTTATGGGGAGCAGGCACTCAACTAAGCTCTTTCCTTTATTACCTGACTCCGTCCTCGGAGCACCCTGCACAGACCATGGCATCCCTGCCCGCTCTCTATCTTTGGAGATAAAACAGAAGCTCAGTGGGTGGAACTTGGGACTGGCCACATTCCATGGTTGGAGGGGGCTGGCGGGGCATCACTCGTGCAGCACCAGCCCAGAGTAGCCCCTCAGTGTCCATCTAAGAACCCTGAGGCCAAGCGAGTGGTCACCCTGAGGCCAGCTGTACTCCCCACACCAGACTCCAGACTCCCTGGAAGCTGGGACCTGCAGCAGTCAGGCAGCCTCTCCTTGGCCCCATGCAGCCCCAGGCAGGAGGAAGGAGGGCAGGGCGGGGGCGGGGTACAGAGGCAGGTGCCACATTCAAGGGCTGGCAGGCATCTCTGTGCGGCTGCAGCAGGGAGGGAGGGAGTGGGGAAGGGGTAGACCACAGGGGCTTTGTGGCCTGGAGATCTGCACTTAATCCAGATGGCAAAGGAGGACCCAAAGACGAGCAAGCAGGGAGCACCTGACCCGACCCCACGCTGGCCTATGCACACACAGGGGCAGGAGGATGGGGCAGGAGAGAGGCTCATGGCGTGGCCTGGGAGTGGCTCCAGGGTTGGAGAGAGGGGGCTGGTGGGAGACGTTTGCAGTAAGCAGGAACAAGGGACAGACGCCCCGTGACGAGTGCCTGGCGTGTGCCGAGTGCCATCCCAGAGCTGGTCTGTGTCACCCCCTCCACCCTCCCCACACCCGGGCAGGCCCCACCGTGAGCATGAGGTGAACAGAGATGTGAGAGTGATCCTGGCATTCGTGGCTCCAGCAGCCGGTGGACAAACACACTGGGGGTCAGGGGGCCTGGGGAGGAGGGACTGCAGGCCCGAATGAGCCCACGTCCTCCTCTGCCCTCTTCTCAGCCCCCCTCAGGCACAGGCCTCATCCCAGAATCCAGGACAGACGTGCAATGCAGTTAAACTGCCCCGACAGCCACTCCACACCCAGTCCAAACAACAGCTTCGCATCACTTTAGACATGGGGCGGTGCCCAGAGGCGGTGTCATTCCTGGGGTGGGATTGCGGAACTTTTAGGTGGCAGGTGGGTCCGGGCAGCGCAGAGGAGGGAGCTGGCTAGGGACGCTCCCCCTTCCCCGGAGCCATGGCCCTGGAGAAAGGCCCGCTCCTGCTGCTGGCCCTTGGCCTGGGCCTGGCGGGTGCCCAGAAGGCTCTGGAAGAGGTACCGGTACAGCCGGGCTTCAATGCGCAGAAGGTACGTGTCATGGGTCCAGTCCCCAGACTCAGGCCTGGAACAACGGCTTGAGTGTCACATTGAGGAGGTGCAGGGGGTGGGGCAGACAGGGGGGTGCCGGGGTTCAGATCCTGCCTGACCCTGCAGCAGCTCTGGAGGGTGAGCTGCACCTGGGTCCAACCCAGGCGGGAGCGGGCTCTGTCCTCCCGCGCAGCCAGCACCAGCGGCCACTGATTAACCTCGGGGCCTTTCCCTCTCTCCGGGCTGCGGAAGCTACAGCACAACAGCAGGTCGCAGGAGAAGGCTGCAGGGCGGCAGCCGGAGAAACAGAGCGCCCAGACACTGGGCCCAGGCAGGGAGCAGGGTCCCAGGGGACCCAGCCGAGCAGGGGAGGGGTTCACCCTGGGTGACACGAAGAGGCCAACCCTGGATACAGGGAGGGTCCCAGCTCCTCCTCCCTGTGTGGCCCCTGGGGTCCTGGTGCTGCTGGTGGGAGTGCAGGGATGGAGGGACACCCGGCACAGCACCAGACCCTCCCCTCTGCCCTCCCTGACCAGGGGAACAGAGCTTGGACCAGGCAGAGGCAGGGGTGCAGGGCTGAGGGAAGTGGGGGCAGCAAGTGGGGAAGGGGACTGGACAGAGACCTGAGACAAGGGGACGGGAGGTGACTCTTCCCAAGAAGTAAGCACAGCTTATCCTCCACCTGGACCCACAGATGGGCATTTGCCAATAGAGACCAGGAAGGGGGAACGTTTGCCAGTGCAGCCCCCTGGGAGGGGCACGACCACCTGCTGACCATGCTCAGTGCCGAACCTGGGGCCTGAGAGCCCAGAGGGTGGCCTGCTGGGGCTACACAGCCGGGCACTAGCCAGCCTCTCCTGTCCCGGCCCACGCCCCTGCAGGTGGAGGGGGTGCCACACAGCCGGGCACTAGCCGGCCTCTCCCGACCCGGCCCACACCCCTGCATGTGGAGGGAGTGCCACACAGCCGGGCGCTAGCTGGCCTCCTCTGCCCCGGCCCACACCCCTGCAGGTGGAGGGGCGCTGGCTCACCCTGCAGCTGGCAGCCAACCACGCAGACCTGGTCTCCCCGGCCGACCCCCTGAGGCTCGCTCTCCACTCCATCCGGACCAGGGACGGCGGGGACGTGGACTTCGTGCTGTTCTGGAAGTAAGCACGGCTCCTGCCGCCCCTCTCAGGCGCTCATTCTCAGACCTAGGGACCCCCAAGCAACAGTGACAGTGTTCAGAGCCAGAGGAACACATCACACCAAGCTGAGGCCCAAGACCCCGCTCCAAGAGGGGTAAGCTCAGAAGCTGCCAGAGGCAGGTGGGCAGGAAACACACAGCCCGGCCCCGGAGGCAACGTCCAGTCCCAGCAGACACGCCCACTGGGCCACGGGCCTGTGTTCCAGCTGTGAAGGAAGCCCGGGTCTGGAGTTTTAAATGTGCGATCTCCAGTGTTTGAAAGTTGCCTCATTCCCAACATCCCTCTCCCAAGGACCACAGCCACCCTGGGCCCACACCCCTTCCGGCCCCGATGTAAGCCAGGGAATCCCGAGGACGGCTGCACTGTCAGCAAAAGAAAATCGGCCCTGGGGACAAGCTACGCTGAGCGCAGTGACACCGACAACAAGCTTCCGTTATTCCGCCTGCACCCACAGCTCCGAAGGCAGTTAGACCCACATCCTAGCAGACGCTCAGTCGTAGACACACCGCACGGTGGCCTGCAGAGTCCCAGGGGTTGGTGGGCACCCACCCCAAATGAGAAACTGAAGACCCCGGAGCAAGGGGCATGGGAGTGAGGGGGGCTCTGTCTATGCACGGAGGCAGGAGCATGGGGGCGAGGGGCCTCTGTCTATGCACAGAGCCAGAGCAAGTGGGGACAGGCAGGACAGTCAGAGTCCCAGTCCCCAAAACCTGGAGCTCAGAGCCAAAGCCAGACTGGGACCCATCTGTTCCAGGAGGCTTGGTGTCATCCCAGAAGTGAGGAAGACTCCACTTCGTCACTCCAGTCCCATCCCCAGCACCCCCTGGGCATCGCCACCTCCTGGCTGCATGACCCTGGTGCCTGTGCCAGGACGAGGCTGCCCTTGAGTCTGGGGAGCTGACGCCCCGGGGAGGACAGGAGGGCTCTCAGCTGGTGGCAGCCACAGTGTCCCCTGGTGGAGAGCCCTGAGAGGGCCACCACGTCCTGGGAAAGGGCAACAGGACACAGTTGGAGGCTGACCAGGCCCTGGTTCCTTTCTCTTTTCCCAGGGGAGAAGGGGTGTGTAAAGAAACAAACATCACCGTCCATCCAACCCAGTTGCAAGGCCAGTACCAAGGCTCATGTGAGTGCCCCTGTCCGGGATCTGGGCTGGGCTCTGAGTGGGGAGGGGCGAGCAAGGGGCGCTCGGATGTCCAGTCCCGGCCGCAACACTCAGAAGGGGTTGTCGGCTTTGGGGGAAGACCGGGTGCTGGAAGGAAGCTGTGCATCCTCTTGGTGGCATTGCAATGTCCACAGGGCATGGGGGGGTCCAGGGCCTGGGGGACGGAGGAGAGAGGCATCGTGCATCAGCTGGCCCGGGGTCTCCAACAGTCGAGGGCGGCAGCATGCACGTATGCTTCGTCAGCACCGACTACAGCAACCTCATTCTTTACGTGCGCTTTGAGGATGATGAGATCACCAACCTGTGGGTGCTGCTGGGTAAGTGGCCAGCTCTCCCCAGCACTGGCAGGTGCAGTGCCTCAGACCCCAGACATGAGGGCGGAGCTGCTGGACACTCCCGGCTCTGTGCAGAGACTTGCTGTCCTGTCTGGGAGGGGGCCTTCTGTGCAGGGTGTTCTGAGGGCACAGGCAGCCTTGGGCCGAGACGCAGCTGAGCTCTTCCTCCGACACATGCCCCTCAGGGAGGGTGTCCCCATGCAGGACGTGCACTGCGGGCCTGCTACAAGGCGGGCATTGCTCTGGGCGCTGCACTGGGAGCTTGAATTATCAGTGGATAAAACTGAGAAAACACCTTCCTTGTCTTCCTCCTTATCAAGCAATGTCTCGGGGTCCTGGGGGGCTCCTGAAAGTAAAAGCACCATGAGAGAAGGGCTCGAAGGGCACAGGGGACTGAGTGGGGGACATCGAGGGGCTGCAGTGTCCTGAAGACGAGGTGGAGATAGATGGGGCTGGGGGCATTTCAGGGCAGAGGATCAGCCGGAGCCCGAGCCCAGGATGGGGTGGGGGAGCGGGGCAGCAGCAGCCGAGAGGCCCCAGGGCCAAGAAGGTTGAGGGGTTGGGAGGGGTGGCACCAGGCCGGAACTTGGGACTCTCTGGGGGTCTCCACTGAGGCAGGCCAGGCCTGACTTCCTCCTTCCAGGGGCATTTTACCTGCCGTGCTCAGAACAGACCTGTGTTTAGAGGAGGCAAGGTTGGGGCCGGTGCAATCAGAGCTGGCCGGGCCTGGGAGGTCGCAGAGGGGGTGCTGCCGTGGTCCGAAGAGCCCCCAGACTGTGTCGTGGCAACTTAGTGGTGGGGTGGCCGATGCCCAGGGCCTCTGCCTCCCCGTTGTTCTCCGCAGAGGAGGAGGAGGACAGAAAAGACAGAGGCTCCAGGCCTCAGCCCCTCACTGTCAGCCCCTCTGATTCCAGCGAGAAGAATGCTGGAGGACCCCAAATGGCTGGGAAGATACTTGGAGTACGTGGAGAAATTCCACCTGCAGAAAGCCCCGGTCTTCAACATAGATGGTGAGCACTGTCCCCCAGCCACATCCTGGAGCCGGACGGGAAGAGGGCCTGAGGGTCTGGGGCCTCGTCTTCCCAGCCAGCACCACTGAGGGTGTAGCCCATCCGCACTCCCCTTACGGCCAGGCCTGTGCCGGCTGCTTCAGGGGCTGCCGGATCTTACCAGCCCCACATGACACAGTGATATGGGTCCAATGCCGTCTCCACTCTACAGATGTGGCTCAGAGACGTTCGGTAACAAGGCCAAGTTGCACAGCCAGGAGGAGGAGCTGGAAGGGATCCAGATCTCCAGCCTCCTGAGCCAAGTGCCCAGCCAGCCTCTCCCCTCTGCTGCCTCCCAACGCATCATTCAGTCAATCAACAAGCACACGGGCCAGGCCTGTTCTGGGAGTTTGGGATTCACTTAGAACAAGACAGACACATCATCCAGCCCTAGTGCAGGTTACATTGCAGCAAGCATTGTCATTACCTGATTTGTTAGAGGCAAGTGCTATGGGGGTGGGAGTGGGGGCTAGAGCAAGGTTTGAGGAGCATGACCGTGCTGTGTGAGCACGGGCCGCCAGGGTGGGTGGCCCTGAGATGAGGTGAGGGAGGAAGGCTCCCTGGAAGATGGGTCATGCAGCTGGAACAGGAGCCAAGCAGAGGAGGGCAGGGATGAGATCCAAGGCTGAGAGGGGCAGTGGGTGGGGCCTTGTGGGCCCCCAAGGGGAGTGGGTTTCCACAGAGCACAGGGCCCTGGCAGGACACAGCCAACATGGGGAGGCAGAAGGCCCAGTGATGCCAGTGAGGGATGGCTGTTTTGTGCTATGTGATTGATTTACTGATTGATTGATTTCAAAATGAATGAGTGAAGTCCTCAGAATCACCACCTTTTTCTTTTCTGCTCCACAGGCCCATGTCCCCCACCCTGAGCCTAGGTCTGGCGGTTCTGGAGTCTTCCTGCCTGGGCCCCTCACCCCTCTGCTGCCCTCAGCCTCCCTTCCACCTCCTTCACCTTGGCTTGTGGCCTGGACTGTCCCCAGGTCCCCCTGGAAGCCCTTTTGCATCTCAGGGACTCAAGGAAGCTCCCCAGCTGAGCCCAACCCTGCCTCTCTCCTGGTCCCCTCCCCTGCTGGGAAGGCCTCTTCCCTCTGTGCGTCTCCAGGTCCTGCCAACCACCTGCCAACCAACAGCCAAGGGCCAGCAGTGTGCCCCAGCCTGGCCTGTGGGCCTGGAGCACACCCAGGGTGGTGAGGAGGGGGCACATGGCCCCCTGAGCTCCTGCCCGCAGCGCCAGAGGCCTCCAAAACTTATACAATGAGTGGAGCACTGTAGTCCCAGGTGCCTCCGATGCACCCCCCTCCCCAGGGCTGCTGGGGTGGCCCTCAAGTGTCCTTCAGGAACATGACCCCACGGAGGCTGTTCTCAGACTCCAGCTCCCCTCCACTGTGACCCACCTCACCTGGGTCTGCTGGGGACCCTCCAGAGAGGTGGCCTCCATGCTCCGTGAGCAAACGCATATGTCCCCACTGAGGTCCAAGAGCCCTAAGTGAGCCCAGCTCCAGACCCTGCTCTCTGCAGAAGCCCAGCGGGGCTGCCAGGTAAACACAGACAGCTGTACCTGTGTGGCAGGTGAGACCAGCCAACGCCCACTCCTCGGAGCCCAGGATTCTGAAGGGCGGCGCCCACTTCTGCACCCGGTGAGCCAGGGCTGCCCATCGGCAGGGCAGGCTCTGAGGAAATTGGGTCAGGGACTCAATACTTGTCGTCTGGAACTCCCAAGACAGGTATGTCCAGAGGCTGCCCCGAAAACGCCTCCAGTGAGGCCTTCTCCCCCTTCTCCCCCTTCTCCCCCTTCTCCCCAATCTCCCCCGTCTCCCCCTTCTCCCCTGTCTCCCCCATCTCCCCCTTCTCCCCCTACTCCCCTTCTCCCCCTTCTCCCCCATCTGCCCAGTATCCCCTTCTCCCCCTTCTTCCCCTACTCCCCCTACTCCCCCATCTCCCTCTTCTCCCCTATCTCCCCCTTCTCCCCCTACTCCCCCTTCTCCCCCGTCTCCCCTGTCTGCCCAGTCTCCCCCATCTCCCCCTACTCCCCCTTCTCCCCCTACTCCTTCTCCCCCTTCTCCCCCTTCCCCCTCTACTCCCCCTTCTCCCCCTACTCCCCCGTCTCCCCCGTCTCCCCCTTCTCCCCCTTTTCCCCCTACTCCCCCTTCTCCCCCATCTCCCCCGTCTCTCCCGTCTCCCCCATCTCCCCCTTCTCACCCTTCTCCCCCTACTCCCTCTTCTCCCCCGTCTCCCCCGTCTGCCCAGTCTCCCCCTTCTCCCCCTTCTCTCCCTTCTCCCCCACGTGGGAAAAACACAATGGAACGAAACCCAGAGCTGGTGATGAAGCTGGTGACGAAGCCCCACGGGTCTCCTGCAAACCAACAAGCCCAGCTGGAAAAACACAAGGAAAAACGACAATCACAAAGCACACGTTTAACAAGAGGTTTATGGAATTTGTAAGACCATAAAAAATAGCCTTTTCTGGGGCCCTAAAATGACCGGGATAAATAGCGACGTGAGAGTGCTGTGTCTCTCTCAACATCGTAGAGTTGATAACCTCAGCTTCACCCATAGACTTCAGCAATTCAATTACTCTTCCAGTGGGATTTTTCCCCAAACTGCAGATCTGAATCTAAAATTTACATGAAGGAACAAAAGTTTGGAAACATTTTTAAAAGAAGCGTCATGCAGATGGATCTACCATTCTACCCTAATATAAAACAGCAATGATGAGAAGCATGTGACATTAGCTCGGGGCAGAACAACAGCAATGAAACTGGGTATCAAGTCAAGGAATGAACCCGAATATATACAACAACTTCATAGACAGTACAAATGGCCTGTCCTAAAAAAGCATTATTTATTCAATAACTAGTGTTGAGGGAAATGGGCAAGACAGAAAGGGGGAAATAAGATTAGCTATCTCACCCTACACATTACCTTAAAATTCATTCCTGATCAAGTCTGAATAAAAGGAAACCTTGAAACTTCTATATTTTCTATAACTTGAGGATGGGGTGCCTACACAGACAGTATCAACACCACGGGAAAGGATGAGAGCTTTAAACTCGGCTCGTCAAAATCATCATCAACACAATCAAAATGGAAAGAACAATCTGAAATTAACATTTGCAGCAAATGTGATGAAGGGTTCATATCACATATGTAAATACATATGTAAATCAAAACTCCTTGAAGGGCTGGGCATGGCAGCTCATGCCTGTAATCCCATCGCTGTGGAAAGCTGGGGGCCAAATGATAGCTTGAGACCAGTCTGGGCAACATAGCAAGACCCTGTCTCTACAAAAAAAAAAACCAAAAAAAAAAAACCTTAACAAAAAGCAGCCCCAGACAAAAAGAAAATAAAAAGAAAAAAGAAAAAAAAATTAGCTGGGTATTGTGATATGCGCCTATAGACGCAGCTACTTGGGAAGCTAAGGCTGGCAGATCCCTCGAGCTCAGGACTTTGAGGCTGCAGTGAGCCATGGTATCACACCGCTGCACTCCAACTTGGGCAACAGAGTGAGATCCTGTCTCTAAAAGAAAAAAAAAGCACTGAGCAAAAGATAGAAAAAAAAGGATATTTGCATAGATCAAAAGGCTGATTAAAAGAAGGTTTGACTTCATAAGTAGTCAAATAAAAAAAAAGAGAGGTTATTTTTGCTCATCAAATTGGCAAAATTAAACTTCTTTTAGAAATCAATTTAGCACCCACCATGAGGGAGGCACACGCTGGCTGGTGGGGACAGATGTTGGCTTTTCCGGATGACCTGGTTTCTAAGTCTCCTAAGCAGGCTTGCCTTGGGACCTGGAAGTTCTCAACATTGGCAAGCTTACCTGTTGTTCTGCCATGCAAATCAAGACATTTACAATGCTTTAATATTGATTCCGTAATTTTTAAAGATAAAACTTCAGAAGCCTTCTCAGTAAGTCTTCTAGCCTTATCCATAAATTGGCAGGAAAAAAAAAAGTTTTGTTTAGTTCAGTATACCCCCACCCTTTCCAGATCTGGCCCAGGTAATTACTAATACTGTATATATAGGGCTTGTGGCTAATGTAAGATCTATTTTCATCCTTTTGAAACTTTCATAGATTTTTTTTAAAACTGAGAGCTACTCTGTGAGATGCAAGAATGAGTCTCCGAAAAGATCACCTTCTTTTAGTCAAAGGAGATGACAGCAAAAAAGAGGGAGGGTGAGCTAAGCCTTGACAGATAGGTTCTTTAAGATGGTCCCTGGCATGAACTGGGCATGAGGGGGAGGCTGGGAGACATGACAAAGGGGACCCTGAGGTGGTAGCCCCAGGTCTAATTCTGAACCCAGGGAGGCTTTTCTCAGCCTCCGTCTTCCATCCCAGGAAACGGTGGTCAGCCCTCCTTGCAATCTGGTGTTTGAACTGCTGTTATTTTTGGGACACCTACTGGAATAGTTTGCTCAGGCCACCGTAAAAGAGTACGACTGACTGGGCTGGGCAGCACCAACAACAGCAACGTGTGTCATCAGAGTCCTGGAGGCTGCAAGTTCCAGATCAAGGTGTTACAGGGTTGGCTCCCCCTGAGGCCTCAATCCTCAGCTTGCAGACACCTCTTCTCCCTGTGTCCTCACAGTCATCCCTCTGTGTGTCTGTGTCCTCAGCTCTTAATAAGGACACCAGTCCTGTGGGATTAGGGCCCACCTCAGTGACCTCATTTTACCCTAATGACCTCTTTAACGGCCCTATCTCCAGACACAGTCACATTCTGAGGTACGGAGTTAGGACCTCAGCATAGTAATGGGGTGGGCCGTGACACTTACTAAAGCTGTTGATAGCTGCCACTGCCCACGGACTTAGGAACACTCTCCCTGTGTGACACACAAAGCGTCTGGTGGAGATGATGGCTCCCTGACCACCACAGAGCTCAGGTGACCGTCTTCCTTGTCACTTTTAGCACCCTGAACACGCACTCCTAGCACACAGACTCAACCTCTGCCAGAGTGTGGGCTGCCAGGGACACAGGTGTTCCAAACTCTTTTCTATCCCTGTCTGCATCTGGCAGAGCACCTTTACCGCTGAGCTCAGTAAATATCTTTTTTAAAAAAATAAAATACCTACAGATTTTTTTTTTTTGAGATGGAGTTTCACTCTTGCCACCCAGGCTGGAGTGCAATGGCTCAATCTCGGCTCACTACAACCTCCGCCTCCCAGGTTCAAGCGATTCTCCTGTCTCAGCCTCCTGAGTAGCTGGGATTACAGGCATCCGTCACCACACCCAGCTAATTTTTTGTATTTTTAGTAGAGATGGGGTTTCACCATGTCAGCAAGGCTGGCTGGTCTCGAACTCCTGACCTCAGGTGATCCGCCTGCCTCGGCCTCCCAAAGTGCTGGGATTACAGGCATGAGCTACCACAACCGGCCAATATCTATAGCTTTTTAACAAAAGGAACTGAATATCTCACTTTGAAACCGTAATAGTAAGACGTGGCTTTGGCTGGATTCCTCTAGCTCACCTGTGTCGAATCACACACCGAACAGACTGAGACAATAGGCGAGGTCGACCACAAGCCACACATATCCCAGTGTGGAAAAACACAGTGACTACTCAGTGAGTGGCCTGGCATTTATTTTTTCCTTTGCGTGAACTACTTTTCCATTTTATGAATGTTTTTTCTCAACTAGAGTCTTTCTCCATTAAAAATATTCATTCTATGTCAAATGTATTTTCACATTGTCTACAATACATAGATAATAACATTACTGTGTATTAACATTAAGTAATTATCCTTTTATTCTTTATCCTACATTAGCCAAATAAGATGGCTCAAAATGGCAAGAAGAAACATTTATTTGGGAAGGATGTAAATTTGTATGTCTCTAAAAAATGGAAGGTCTTAAGACTTCCCTCATTTATAAGAAATTGCCGTGATTCATTTATTCGTCATAAACCTCATGGCGTAATTCATAATTTCCTCTGGGAATCATGTGCGACCTTGACGTATTGGATCTGTGGAGGAGGAGAAAATGCAAGATCCCAGCTGTATGCTGGTGATAACAGCTAGGTGGGTTTATTGAGGTAAAAATATTTGTTAAGGTGCTTTTCATAAGTGCTATTGAGTCCATTTTTGATGTCATGAATAACTCCGTTCAGATATTCTTTGATGAAGTCTAAAATATTATGGGGTGTGCCACCAACCATCAAGTTGCCATAATAGAAATCTCCCTGTCCAAACGGGATGCAAGCTGCTGAGGTCGGCCTCCTCTCATAAGGGAAGTTCTTGGTGTTTCTGAAATACCACCAGGCGTGGAGCTGGGCCACCAACGGGCCCAGGGTCTCCACCCCGAACTCATTCTGGAAGACCTGGTTGGCAGCCATGCTGAAGAGGAAGTCCACCTCGTCCTGGATGTGACTGGCGATGTGTTCACCCAGGCTCTTCACATGCACCAGGGGGCCATCGAGCCACCACCTCTCGGTGCCCACTTTAAATGCTTTGAACGTTCGAAGAGGACTGGGCTCTATGTCAGGCAGCTTGAAGAAGGCGTCCACCATGATGTAGAAGATCACTCGGTAGCCTGTCATGAAGTGCTTATTTGCGGAGTGTAGGAACGGCCTCAGGTACTCCTCTGCAAACCTAGGAAACACACAGTGGGGAAGAAACTTACTTTTCTCTTTTTTCTTTTCTTTCTTTTTTTTTTTTTTTTTTTTTTTGAGATGGAGTCTCCCTCTGATGCCCAGGCTGGAGTGCAGTGGCGTGATCTCGGCTCACTGCAACCTCCACCTCCTGGGTCCAAGCAATTCTCCTGCCTCAGCCTCCCAAGTAGCTGGGACTACAGGCACCTGCCACCACGCCCAGGTAATTTTTTTTTTTTTTTTTTTGTATTTTCAGTAGAGATGGTATTTCACCATGTTGGCCAGGCTGGTCTCGAACTCCTGACCTCAGGTGATCCCACCCACCTCGGCGTCCTAAAGTGCTGGGATTACAGGCATAAGCCACTGTGCCCGGCCGACACTTACTTTTCTAAACATGATCAGGAGAAGAGGCGGCTGAATGCACTCACATGGGTGTGTCTGATGCTAAGGAACTCGGGATGTACAAGCGTGGAGGAGTCGGGCCCACAGCTTCAGCTGAGTTGGTGAGTGGGAAGGAATGTCCTGACCTGGAGGGCCTGAGAAAAGCCACCATGTTTTGGAATGGCTGTTGTGAAGAAAGGGAGCAGGAGCTAAATGGGTATGAGTCAAAAGGTTCCCACTGGTGTTAAGGACTCGGCCATCGACAGAGAAACCCAGCACACCTTTTGTACAGGACAGCCAGAAATTGAAGGAAATCGTGTCTATAGTAGACCATCTCCAAGACAAAGGGCCTTAAATCGGCTCAGGTCAGCAAACTACAAAAGAAACAGGATATACTAGGTCCCCACTTAAATAGCCAATGCCTGCTTGTCGGCCTCCTGCCTTAGTTGCCCTCACCCAAACCAAAAAAGTTTAGTCTAAGATAAAACTTTACTAGTCTGCAAAATAGCTCACTTTGTCTGTTCTTATCAGCCTGCTCAGCTACTTAGGTCATAAGTCAGATACTTGAAGAGCCCCTGAGCTCACTAGGATTGCAATGCATTGTGGGCTGCAACAAAATGCAGCAAGACCACCCTAAAGAAAACACCTAAAGCCCCTGCCCAACAACAAATAGGCGACGTCTGGGAAGATTGTGACCCCAAGTACTCAGCCTATGAGGAACTGAGGGAGGGACCTGTGCACTAGGGGATAAATTGCAGTTGAAACTGTGCTGGGTGTGCCTGCCCATCAGACATCCGATCTTGCAAGACTGTCACTAAAAGTCTCACTTTCACTGTTCTCCAGGTCTTTGAGTCCCTTATTTGGGTTTGGACAGGTAAGTTTGTTTCTCCCCAGAAATCGTGGCTATTGTTATCACTAATTATGCTTAATTATGGTTGGCTCTTTGGAGGTTAAAGGCTCGTGAATGCTGATCCACATTTTCCCAAAATAAAAAAGGGCAAAGGTGAGTGGCACCTACCTGCCAGTAGCAAAGACGGCCAGGCCCACAGTGATATTCCGCCTTCTGTAATGTTTTTCCAGGACCCGCCTGTCGAAAGTCCCTTCCCATAGGACAGGAGCGAGCCAGTCTGTTTTCGTTATAACATCAGGGCGTTTTCTGTGGAACAAGAACCAAGTTAAACAGGGAGTGCTTTACTGAGGCGCCGGCAGCAGGTGCCGAGCAGTAATGCCTAATGCTTAGAGAGCACCTAGTGCGCGCCCAGCTCCGTGTTTGAGTGCATCATCCCACTGGATTCATCCTTGCAACGCCCTATGCAATGAGTGCCACCACCCCTGATCTCCACGTGGGGAAGCAGAGGCACACACGGTTGAGTAAGTTGCCTGACACTGCAGTTAACACGTGGGGATGCCACATCCAGCCTACCTGGCTCCTGGGTTTGTGCGTTCCTCCCCCAGCCACTGCCTTTGAGCCCAGGAGCTGCCTTTTCCAAGCTCTGACTACAGCTCAAAATTAGGCAGCCGGGAGTCAGAACACTCTCCAATCATTCGCTGAAGCCAGGATGGGAGGCAGGAGATCACCTCCCTTACACAATGCCTTTATTTTTCCCTCCTTCTCTGCTTTCTTTTTCTCTCTCCCCTTTTCCTACAAGTTTCTGGGGATGCCCTTTTTTTCAGCTTCTCCCTCATGCTTTAGGCCCACCAGTGCAATCCAGCAGAAATGAGAGATGAGTCCAAAACCGGAGCGAGCCATCCGATTTGCCTTCAATACAACAAAACAACAGCAGGATTTAAGATAGGCTATTCAACATCTGAAAATCAATGAATGTAAACCACCATATTGAAAGCTAGAGAAGATCAATCACATGCTCAACTCGGAAAAAGCACCCTACAAAGTTCAATGTCCATTCATGATAAAAGCTCCCAGAAAAAAAGTAATAGAGGGGAATCCCCTCAACTTGACAAAGAACATCTACAAATATCCTACAGTGCACACACTTCATAGTGAAAGACTGAATGCTTTCTCCCTACAATGAGGAACGTGGCAGTACCAACATAGTGATGGCAGTTCTAGCCACTGCAATAAGGCAAGAAAATGAAATAAAAGCCAGCAGATTGGGAAGGAAAAAAACAACACCGTCCCTATTTGCAGATTACATAATTGTCTACATAGAAAATCCTAAGGAATCTTAAAAAAAAACCAATATCTCCTAGAACTAACAAGTGAACTCAGCAAAGTTTCAGGATACAAGATCAGCACATTAAAAATTAATCTCATTACTATGAACAATGAACATGCAGAAAGTAATATTTAAAACACATGCTATTTACAGTTTCTCCAAAGAAAATGAAATACTTTGATATATCACTACCCAAAAGCAGTCACTCCCCATTCCCTTCTCCCTGCAATCCCTGCAACAACTCATCTACTTTCTGTCTCTGTAGATTTGCCTGTTCTGGAAATATGGCTGAATAATATTCCATTGGATGGCTAGACCACATTTTGTTTATATGTTCATTAGTTGATGAACATTTGAGTTATTTACACTTTCTGGCTATTACAAATACTACTATTAAAATTCATATGTGAGTTTTTGTGTGAAGATAGGTTTTTAATTCTCTTGGATATATATCTAGAGGTAGAATTGTTGGGTCATATGGTAATTCTATGGTTAACTTTTTGAGGAACTGACAAACTGTCTTCCATAAAGGCTGCACCATTTTACATTCCCACCAAAAGTATATGAAATTTCAAATTTCTCCACATCCTCACCAACACTTTTTTGTTATCTTTTTTATTCCAGCCATCCTACTTTATACATCTTTATACATCATAGAGAGTGAAGTGCTATCTCATTGTGACCTTAATTTGCATTTCCCTGAAGACTAATAAAGTTGGGCATCTTTTCATGTGCTTATTGGCCATTAGTATATCTTCTTTGGAGAAATGGCTATTCAGATCCTTTGCCCATTTTAAATTACTATTTGTCATTTTGTTGTTTAATGATAAGAATTATTTATATATTCTGGATATTAGGCCCTTATCAGATATATGAATTGCAAATGTTTTTCCCATTCTGTGGGTTGTCTTTTCATTTTCTTGATAATGTCCTTTGATTCATGAAAGTTTTTAGTTTTGATGAAGTCCACTTTACCTATTTTTTATTGTTGTTGTACTTTTGACTCATCAGGTTGAGGAAGTTCCCTTCCATTTCTAGTTTGTTGGGTATTTATATTTTTTTAAGTGTCGAATTTTGTCAAACGCTTTTTCTGCATCTATTGAGATGATCCTGAGGTTTTTATATTCTGTATTCTATTAATACAGTGTATTACATTAATTGATTTTCATACATTGAACCAACCTTGCATTCCTGGAATAAATCCCACTATGTAGTTTATGGTGTATAATCCTTTTTTATATGTTGCTGGATTCAGTTTTCTATAATAGTATTTTGCTGAAAAGTTCTGCATTTATATTCATATGGGATATTGGTCTGTAGTTTTCTTGTGATACCTTTGTCTGGTTTTGATATCAGGGTAATACTGGTCTAGAATGAGTTGAAAAACACTCCTCTTTTAATACTTTGAAGAGTTTGTGAAAGATTGATATTAATTCTTCTTTAGCATTTGACATAGTTTACCAATGACATTTTGTATTTCTAGGCTTTTCTTTGTAGAAAGTTTTTTATTACTAATTCAATGTATTTACTTATTATAGCTCTATTCAAATTTTCCCTTTCTTCTTTAGTCTTTCTAGGAATTTCTTCATTTCATATAGGTTATTTAATTTGTTGGCATACAATTAATCACAGTATTCACTTATAATCCTTATTATTTCTGGAAGTTGGTGGTCATGTCCCCTCTTTCACTCCTGATTCTAGTAATTTCAGTTCTCCCTTTTTAGCTAGGACAATCAAGTTACACTTTTGGCAAATTTGTTTATCTTTTCAAAAAACCAATTTTGGTTTTGTTCATTTTCTCTATTATTCTTCTATTTTCTATTTAATTGATTTGCTCTTCTTTTTTTCCTGTGCTTGCTTTAGTTTTATTTTGTTCTTCTTTTCTGATTTTCTTAATGTATAAATTTTCCTTAGTGTATAAAGTTTAAGACCAGCCTGGTCAACACAGCAAGACCTCATCTCTACAAAAAAATTCAAAAATTAGGACGTTATTGACTTGAGATCTTTCATTTTAATGTAGGCATTTATAGCTATAAATTTCTCAGTAAGCACTGTTTTTGCTGCATCCCATAAGTTTGGCATGTAGTGTTTTTATTTTCAATCACCTTAAAATTTTTTAATTTCCCTTGTGATTCTTTTTTGATTATTTAGGAGTGAACTGTTAAATTTCCACACATCTACAAATTACCCAAATTACTTTCTGTTATTGATTTTTAATTTTAGAATTTAGAAAAAAATGATCAAATAACATACTTTGTATGATTTCAATCATTTGAATTTACTGAGATTTTATTGTGCAACATATGGCTTATCCTGGAGAATGTCTCATGTGCACTTGAGAGTATTCTTCTCTTGTTAGGTGGTTCTATAGATGTTTGTGAGGCCTCGTTTGTAGTATTTTTAAGCCTTCTATTTGCTTGTTGATTAGTTGTTCTGTCTCTTATTGAAAGTGAAGTACTGAAGTCTCCAGCTATTCTTGTTGAATTGTCAATTTCTCCCTTCAATTCTGTCAGTTTTTGCTTCATATGTTTTAGGACTGTTATTAGATGCAAATGTTTATATATTTGATGTATCTTATTGATGGATTGATCCTTTTGTCATTATAAAATGCCCCATTTTTTTTCTCTAGTAACAATTTTTGTCTTTGTCTATTTTGTCTGATATTTGTATAGAGCCACTTTGGGTCTCTTTTGGTTGCTGTTTGTATGGTATACACTTTTCAATTCTTTTAGTTAAACCAATTTGCATCTTTGAATCTAAAATGTCTCTTGTAGACGGCATATAAATATGTTTTTATACATTCTAACAATCTCTGCCTTTTTTAATTGGAGAGTTTTACCCATTTACAAAATGTAATAAAACTCGACATTTTATTTTCTATATGTCATGTAATTTTGGCCAGGCGTGGTGGCTCACACCTGTAATCCCAGCACTTTGGGAGGCTAAGGAGGGTGGATCACGAGGTCAGGAGATCGAGACCATCCTGGCTAATACGGTGAAACCCTGTCTCTACTAAAAATACAAAAAAATTAGCCAGGCGTGGTGGCAGGCGCCTGTAGTCCCAGCTACTTGGGAGGCTGAGGCAGGAGAATCGTGTGAACCCAGCAGGCAGAGCTTGCAGTGAGCCGAGATCACGCCATGCACCCCAGCCTGGGCAACAGAGTGAGACTCTGTCTCAGAAAAAAAAAAAAAAAGAAGACTACACAAAAGATGAAATATGAATGAATAGTAAACATATAAAAAGATACTCGGGAGGCCGAGGCAGGTGGATCACCTGTGGTCAGGAGTTCAAGACCAGCCTGGCCAACATGATGAAACCCTGTCTCTACTAAAAATACAAAAATTAGCCAGGTGTGCTGGCAGGCACCTGTAATCCCAGCTACACGGGAGGCTGAGGCAGGAGAATCACTTGACCCAGGAGGCAGAGGTTGCAGTGAACTAAGATCACACCATTGCACTCCAGCCTGGGCAACAAGAGCAAAACTCTGTCTCTACAAAAAAAAAAAAAAGATACTTAAACAATTACAGACATGCAAATTGAATTGAGATGCCTTAACTAGCAGCTTTGCCAAACATGAAAAAGCTGGTAATACTTTAGTTTATGCACTGTAGACAAGAAGATAAAATGGTACCATTATTAAAAGTAAATTTAGCAATTTAAAATTTACATCAAAAATTTTAAATGTCTGCATTCTTTGGCCTAATAACTTCATTTTAGAAATGTGTCTCACACCGGAAGTCATATATCTGTGTAAAAAAAAAAAAGACGGGTTACATTTAGTCACCAGAACTTTGCCTGCAATAGCCCCCAAACTGTAAATAACCCCAAAGCTACATAGGAACACAACACAAAGTTGAAACCACATACACTTTACAAAGGATGAGGCTGCCCCTGAGTGCTGCCACCAAAGTCAAGCAGCGTCATCAGTGGCATATTCAAGCTGGTTCCGAAGAGACTTTCTCGCACTGCATAAACCAGGAAAGCTAAGCCAGGTAGAGAGCGTCTGCTTCTTCATGACCACAATCATCGCCTGGTTCTTGATCAACAGACCCTGGTTTGTTTATAAGAGCCTCGAAAATAAAACTCCAATTCTGGAAACGTCCCAGGAGAGCTGAATTTGGTGACTGGGGAAGAAAAACCTGTTACTTCCAATTGAAGTATATTGTTTGTGTGTGCATGTAAACAGGCATTTTTGTTCTTACCTAGGATGAAACCAGTCTGAGAGCCGAAGTTCTTCTACTTGGTGATTCCTGGATACAAAGAGAAAATCAAGTGATTGCAAGGAGCCTGTTCAATGTTTATTGAGCCTGTGATAGGCAGGCCCCGTTTGGTGTTTCGTCAACATGCATCAACCCAAATCAGAGTCAGGGGAAGCCTCCCAGAGAAGAGATATCTCAGCTGGGTGGGGAAGGGTATGAGCTAGTCTAGGAAAGAGATGTAGGGAAAGGAGGTCATGGCCAAAAGCAGAATATCAGGAAAGAGTATGAGTGTTGGGAGGAAGATTTTTTTAATAAAAGGAGATGAACAGATCAGCTAAGAGAATGTATATTCAGACAAAAACATAGATTCAATTAATTTATTTACCAAACATTAGTGGTTCTGCTCTATGTTGTAAAGAGGTGGGGAGGAGGCATCCAGAAGTTCATCTTTGATTCTGTTTGCATTTATTTTATTTATTTATTTTAAGAGATGCGTTCTCACTTGCATGATCATAGCTCACTGCAGCCTCAAACCCCTGAGCTCAAGCCATCCTCCCACCTCAACCTCCAAAGTATCTGGGACCACAGGCACAAGCTACCTCCCTTTGCATTTCAACACTGCGTTCTTCTAGAGTGTAATTGTGCTTTTAAGCTAATTATTAAATTAGCAAGCTTATTAGGCAACCTCTGTTTCATAACCCTGGGAGCAATTTTTTTTTTTTTGAGACAGGCTCTCACTCTGCTGCCCAGGCTGGAGTGCAGTGGCATCATCACAATTCACTGCAGTCTCAACCTCCTGAGCTCAAGCAATCCTCCCACCTCAGCCTCCCAGGTAGCTGGGACCACAGGGGTGTGCCATCACACCCGGCTAACTTTTAAATTATTTGTAGAGACAGGGTCTCCCTGCGTTGCCTAGGATAGTAACCCTGGGATATTTTTAAGTGAAAGAAATGACTTCAAGACTGTCCGTCCCCCTTTCTGGCATTATCATGAGTATCCTTAGCCACAGACATTCCATGATTGGATTCCCCAGGCGTAGATTCATCAAAATCCAAACTGTCCATGCCAGACTTCATCAAAAACATGAAACGAAAAGGGGGAACTTAATAAAAAGTCCCCATTCTTTGACCGTGCTGGTCTTATTAATTTCTGGGGCCCTGCAGAATGACCAGAGCAGAGAACATCCTTGGCTGAAGAGGGTTATTGTAACCTAAAGAAAAAAATCACCCTCGACAGAGATTTTTTTTTTTTTTTTTTCGAGACAGAGTCTTGCTCTGTAGCCCAGTCTGGAGTGCAGTGGCGCAATCTCAGCTCACCGCAACCTCCACCTCTTGGGTTCAAGTGATTCTCCTGCCTCAGCACCCCCAGTAGCTGGGATTACAGGCACACGCCACCACACCCAGCTATTTTTTGTGTTTTTAGTAGAGATGTGGTTTCACAATGTTGGCCAGGATGGTCTCCAACTCCTGATCTCAAATGATCCACCTGCCTCAGCCTCCCAGAGTGCTGGGATTACAGGTGTGAGCCACCACGCACGGCCTGTCCTGTCCTTTCTGTAATCAACCCCCAAATCCTCAAGCTCACCACACACACGTGCACGCACACACGCAAGCACACATACACGTGCATTACATACAAATCAGCCTACACATACGCAGACAGTGGTGTCTTCAGGGATTAGAGCTGTCTTTGGTTTGCCGTTTCCCCTGCCTCTCTTGCCATTAGTACCCAGTTGACCCCCTCCAGCCTTGCTTTGCAGTTTGTGGAATATTTAGACAACAAATATTCTCGCCGGCTGAGATGACTTTTCTACTTTTATTTTTATTTTTATCTTTATTTTGAGAGGCAGTCTTGCTCTGTCTCCCAGGCTGGAGTGCAGTGGTATGATCTCAACTCACTGCAACCTCCACCTCCCGGGTTTAAGCAATTCTCCTGCTTCAGCCTCCTGAGTAGCCCAGATTACAGGTGCCCACTGCCACGCCTGGCTAATGTTTTTTTAATATTTTTTATTTTTGTATTTTAGTAGACACGGGGCCAGGCTGGTCTCAAACTCCTGACTTCAGGTGATCTGCCCACCTCGGCCTCCCAAAGTGCTGGGACTACAGGTATGAGCTACCACACCTGGCCTGAGATTCCTTTTCTATAGAGGAGTTTGCTAGACAAAACACAGGACATCTCTTCAGTTTAAGATAAGCAATGAATAAATTTTTAGTGTAACTATTGCATAGGACATACTTCTGCTAAAAAAGATTCACTGTTTCCCTGAAATTCAAATGTTACTGAGCATCCTGTATGTTTATTTCCTAAATGGATCAACCCAACCAGTGAATAACTCCTTATTCTTTAAATAAATGAAAAAAAAATCATTCAAGTTTTAAATTTGAACAAAGACCCATTGCAATTTCAACAACAAAATATCTAGAATCAAGATCCATTTATTTATGCATTTCTTACCAAATAATGAGTGAGCACCTCCTACATGCCAGGCCCCTGGCTGTGGTTCCGGGGTAGATGGTAGAATCCGTGCCATGGATTAGCGTATGGGTCCCTGTCCCCTTTCTGCTGAAGATTACTCCATCATTATCCTCAAACAGAGCATCTGAAACTCTTTATAACTGGCCATGCATCCTTTTCATTAAGGTACAATCCTCCAGGAGGACAAATGACACAAAATACATGGCACCAAAGCAGTGGGGGTGGTCATTTTGTTTTGCTTTTTGAGACAGAGTCTCACTCTGTCTCCCAGGCTGGAGTGCAGTGGTGCGATTTCAGCTCACTGCAACCTCCGCCTCCCAGATTCAAGCTATTCTCCTGCCTCAGACTCCCAAGTAGCTGAGATTACAGGTGCCCACCACCATACCCTGCTAATTCTGGTGTTTTTAGAAGAGACAGGATTTTGCCATGTCAGCCAGCTGGTCTCCAACTCCTGACCTCAAGTGATCCGCCCGCCTCTGCCTCCCAAAGTGCTGGAATTACAGGCGTAAGCCACCATGCCTGGCCTTGTTTTTCCTTTCCTTTTTTTTTTTTTTTTTTTTTTGGCATGATTTATTTTTACTTTATTTCCCCTTTTTTGTTTCAATCAACTTTATTTTTAGAGAAGATTCAGCTTTACAAAAACGTTCTAAAGCTAGTATGCGGAATCCCCTGCACCAACCCAGTTTTTCCTATTATTAACATCTAGCTTTAGTAGGGTACTTTTGTTCCAATTCATGAAGCAACACTGATGCTGTATTGTTAACGAGAGTCCATACTTTGGTTGGATTTTCTTGTTTTCCCCTAATGTCTCTTTTTTTTTCAGGATCCCACCCAGCATGCCACACTCCACTCAGCCTCCTGTCTGGATCCCACCCAGCACGCCACACTCCACTCAGCCTCCTGTCTGCACAGGATCCTCTTGACTGCAGCCGCCTCTCAGACCCCATCATGACTTCCTATTGATGCTGACCTTGTTCACCTGGCTAGGGTTCTGTTTTCGGGCTTCTCCACGCAAAGACTGCTCTTTCTCCCCGTTTTCTTTATAAGAAAGCGCTGCGCGCAACCCAAACTTCAGGACTGGGGCGTCAGGTTCTGTGTCGTTGGTAGTGGAGAATCTACAGACATGATTTGGAATTCTTCTGCATATGGGAGATTTGTCTCTTCTCCCTTCTTCCTTCCTTCTATCCTTCCAACATCCAGCCAACCTGTCTTCCTTCCTTTCTTCCTTCTTTTTGCTCCTCCAATCATTCATTTACATCAGTATGAACTTGTGGAAGTTCGTTTCATACTTTGGGTTATAATTCAATGTTACTTTCTTTTCTTGCTCAAAAGGCTTCAGCTTTGGCCATCGGGAGCTCTCCCAGTTAGCTCCCATGTCCCATTTAAGTGACATACTCCCTTCAATATAGAATTTGTAAAAAAAATCCCTTCCATCCCTCCTGGCACTATGAGATGCTCTGGGCTCATCTTGTAAATCTCCTGTCCGAATCTAGAACCATCCACTTCTCCAAGAAGCCTTGGTCGCTTTCCTGGAGAATGGTGCCAGAAACCAAGATCTGTTGCTTTCCTGGAGAATGGTGCTAGAAACTAAGGTCTGCTGCTTTCCTGGAGAATGGTGCTAGAAACAAGATCTGTTGCTTTCCTGGAGAATGGTGCTAGAAACCAAGATCTGTTGCTTTCCTGGAGAATGGTGCTAGAAACCACGATCTGCTGCTTTCCTGGAGAATGGTGCTAGAAGCCAAGATCTGGGTACCAGGTGTGCTCATTGCTTCCAGGGTGTCCTTCCTCCGAGGCCCTCTCAGCTAACAGAGCAAGGAAATAGACACTAACCTGTGCGTATTTCCACATATCTTTAAACACGTTGACACGTAAATGTCTCTGTTCATAGTAAGGTAAACGTGAGTTCACGCTGAGGTCTCCAGCTTCAATCCATTCCCACGTGGATCACTGTGGCCCCCTCTCTTGCTTAACTATGAAGTTCCCTCCAACAGCAAGAAACTTGCTCCCCCATGCCTCATCCATTTATTTAATTGATTCAAATATACATGTATAGCAGCAGCAGAATTGTTAACTCATATTCCTGTGGGAAAAAACCTTTATTGACCCAAATACATGTACAGTGCTCATGTACAGTTTCTATTGCCTTTACTTTCAAACTCCACTCATACCCAGCTGGGCACTGTGGCTCACACCTGTAATCCCAGAATTTTGGGAGGCTGTGGCAGGCGGATCACCTGAGGTCAGGAGTTTGAGACCAGCCTGGCCAACATGGTGAAACCCCATATCTACTAAAAATAAAAAATTAGCCATGCCTGGTGGCATGTGCCTGTAGTCCCAGCTACTAGGGAGGCTGAGGCAGGAGAATCGCTTGAACCAAGGAGGCAGAAGTTGTGGTGAGTTGAGATCGCTCTACTGCACTCCAGTCAGGGTGACAGAGTGAGACTCTGTCTCAAAACAAAACAAAACAAAAAAAACTCCACTCATTCCTAAGTTATTTTAGGTCAGCAGCTTTTTCCCTGACCCCTTCCAGTGGGATTGTTCTGTACATTTGGGATATAGATTATGTTCTCACAGTCTGCATTGCTTCCTAGGATACCTCGAACCTCCTAGCTAATTTTTTAAATTTACATATGTTAATTTCACTCTTCGTGCTGTAACGTCCTGTGGGTTTTTTTTCAAATGCAAAGTTACATGTGTCCATGGTTACACTGTCATACAGAACAGTTTCACTGCCCCCCAAAATTCCTTTGTGCTTCACCTATTCATCCCCTCCCTCACCTCCACCCCATGGCAACCACTGATCTTTTTCCTGCCAATATAGTTTTGCCTTTTCCAGAATGTCACATGAGAATTATACAGCACGCAGCCTTTTCAGATGGGCTTTTTGCACTCAGCAATATGCATTTAGGGTTCCTCCATGTCTTCTAACAGCTTGATAGCTGATTTCTTTTTTTTCTTTTTTTTGGGGGGATGGAGTTTCACTCTTGTTGCCCAAGCTGGAGTGCGATGGCGTGATCTCAGCTCACCGCAACCTCTGCCTCCCAGGTTCAAGTGATTCATCTGCCTCAGCCTCCTGAGTAGCTGGGATTACAGGCATGCACCACCATGCCCAGGTAATTTTGTATTTATAGTAGAGATGGGGTTTCTCCATGTTGGTCAGGCTGGTCTCGAACTCCCGGCCTCAGGTGATCCACCTTCCTCAGCTTCCCAAAGTGCTGGGATTACAGGCATGAGCCACCGTGCCCGGCCAGCTCATTTCTTTTTACTGTTGGGTGTTATTCCGTTGCACAGATGAGCCACAGCATGTTTATCCTTCTCCTATTGAAAGTCGTCTTGTTCGTTTCTGGTTTTGAGCACTTCATGAACCACAGCTTGTTTATCATCCACCTGCTGAAGGGCATCTAGTATGTTAGTGGTTTGAGGCATTTATGAATAGAGTTTCTATAAACATCTTGTGCAGGGTTTGTGTGGACATAAGTGTTTTAATCAGTTGGCTACATGCCTAGGAGCACAGTTGCTCTGTGGCATGATAAGGCTCTATCTAGCTTTCTAAGGAACTGCTACACTGTCTTCCACAGTACCTGTAACATTTTGCATTCCCACCAGCAATGAATGAGAGTTCCTGTCCTTCCACTTCCTCACCAGAAGCTGGTTTTCAGATTTTAGATTTTTGGGTGTTAGCCGTTCTAATGGGTGTGTAGTGGTATCTCCTTGTTTTCGTTGCAATTTCCTGATGACAAATGAGACTGAGCATCTTGGCGTTCGCTTATTTCCCATCTGTATATCTTCTCTTGTGAGATTCTATTCAGTTCTTTTGCTCATTTTTAAATGTTTTAAATGTCAATATTTAATTTTTAAATTTAGGTGTTTGTTTCCTTATTGTTGAATTTTAAGAGCTCTTTGCATATTTTGGGTACAAGTCCCTTACCAGATACATGTTGTGCAAAGCTTTCATTTTTAAAAACTATTATCTGTCATGATACTACTGCTGTTCAAATAGCCTCTGGAAACACTGCATTGCTTATGAAGAAGACCATGAGGAGTGGTATGGAGAAAGCTAGAATTTGAGTTTTTCTAGACGGGAAAATATTAGCAGGTGTATTAGTCTGTTTTCACGCTGCTGATAAAGACATACCCAAGACTGGGAAGAAAAAGAGGTTTAATTGGACTTACAGTTCCACATGGCTGGGGAGGCCTCAGAATCATGGCAGGAGGCAAAAGGCATGTCTTCCATGGCAGCGGCAAGAGAAAATGAGAAAGACGGAAAAGTGGAAACCCCTGATAAACCCATCAGATCTCATGAGACGTATTCACTATCATGAGAATAGCATGGGAAAGACCAGCCCCCATGATTCAATTACCTCCCCCGGGTCCCTCCCACAACACGTGGGAATTCTGGGAGATACAATTCAAGTTGAGATTTGGGTGGGGAAAGAGCCAAACCATACCAGCAGGTTTACAGATGCGTCCTCTAGTACACATGCTTCTATATGCATAGAATTAGGTTGACTTTAGTCTTGTTTACATTAAACACAAAGATGGAACCTTTAGTATTATTTATATTAAACACAAAGATGGAAACTTGAGATAGTTTATAATTCATCTAAAATGGCATTGTCACCTTTATTTTTTATTATGCTTGTTTTATAAAATATTATATCCCTGGCATTGTCTTTTATGTGTATTTATTGTCTACCTTCTCCAAATAGAATGAAAGCTCCCTGAGGACAGGCACTTTCATTATCACTGCATCCCCAGCACCTAGAATACAGCCTGGCACCTAGAAGGCACTCTGTAAATAATTGTTGAATGTTTAACAATGAAATAATTAAAATATGTATATTTTCCTTTGTCCCACAAAGAGAAAGTAACTTCTGATTTATTTAGAGAGTAGTATTGATATCTTTGGACAAAACTCAGCAGTTTAGATTATCTCTGCCAGCCTGGACAACATAAGTCTCTACAAAAAAAATTCAAAAATCAGTTGTTTGTGGTGACATGTGCCTGTAGTCCCAGCTACTCAGGAGGCTGAGGTGGGAGGATCACTTGAGCCTGGGAGGTCAAGGCTGCAGTGAGCTAATATGGCACCACTGCACTCCAGCCTGGGCAACAGAGTAAGACCCTGTCTCAAAAATTAAATTAATTAATTTAATTAAATTAAAACCACCTCTGCCAATCACTAAAGATCATGATTTATCAATACTTTATATTTACCTGAAATAACGCTCAACCAACATCAGTGAAAAAGCAAATAAAACCAATAACAGCATTCTTTTAGAATTCATTCTCTCCTAGGGAAAGAAGGAGAAAAAATTAGATTTTAAGCAATAAAAAATGACATATTTGTCATCATCTAACAATGGGTTAATGTATGGGCATTGGACACCAACCTTAGAGGTTGCTTCTAGAATGTTCAGCTGGCAGGAGACAGCGACTTGAGTTAGGGAAGCCTCTGTTCTCCTTCAAGTGCCCGGGGCTGACTGTTCCCCGTGGGTCAGCTGCACGTGCACTGTCTCTCCCCGTGTTCACATCAAAGTCTGCGTTGATTGCATGAAAGAAACGCAATAAATCTCTCCACTGCAGGGCTGTGCAAATAGAATGAGGTCTTGATGAGGAAGTCTTCTTGATCTAGGAGAATGTATTCTGCCCCCGAAGTCGACTTTTTATTCTTTCTTCCTCACTAAGATAGTAAGATGAATAATTTGTTCCAAGACTATGCCAGTCTAAAAATTTACAAGTGCTCTCAAAGGTAGATCTTGTAAACGGAGAATGAAGTCTACATTAAAGGCATTAGACTTTACAATGGAAGTCTGGACTCTCACCAGTGCCTGAGCTTGTGTTGGAGGCTTCACGTGGGATTTGGTTTACAAGCCCATAGGGAACACGCCACTGCGCTGTGTGTCCACACAAAATGCAGGTCTCTGATTCTCTGATTTTCACTTTTTTTTTTTTTTTTTTTGAGATGGAGTCTCATTCTGTCTGCCAGGCTGGAGTGCAGTGGCACAATCTTGGCTCACTGCAACCTCCGCCTCCTGGGTTCAAACAGTTCTCCTGCCTCAGCCACCACATCCAGCTAATTTTTGTATTTTTAGTGGAGACGGGGTTTCATCATGTTGGCCAGGCTGGTCTCAAACTGCTGACCTCAGGTGATCCGCCCACCTCAGCCTTCCAGTGATTTTCAATTTTGAACACTCATTTAACAAACATGACACTTTAGCTCTGCACTGATAGCCATAGAGTAGCCACTTGCCACATGTGGTCCCGAGTGTGTGAAATGCAGCTGCTGTGAAATGAGGTGAGCTGCAAGTGTACAAAACACATGGGGTCTCAAAGTCAAACACAGTGCGAAAGAAAATAATTTACCATCTCACTCATAACTTCACATCGATCACAGGTGAAACGGTAACAGTCTGGGTGTCATAGTCTGGAAAGAATGAGTTAAATGAGAAATAAATTATGAAAATTAATTCACCTGTTTCTTCTTACTGTTTGTAATGTGGCTACTAGGAAACCGGACATTGATAATGTGGCTCACAGGCTGGGCGTGGTGGCTCACACCTGTAATCCCAGCACTTTGGGAGGTCGAAGGGGGAGGATCACGAGGTCAGGAGTTCAAGACCAGCAGGACCAACATGGTGAGACCCCCGTCTCTACTAAAAATACAAAAATTAGCCAGGTGTGGTGGCTCACGCCTGTAATCCCAGCTACTCAGGAGGCTGAGGCAGCAGAATCGCTTGAACCCAAGAGGCGGAGGTTGCAGTGAGCCAAGATCGCACCACTGCACTCCAGCCTGGGTGACAGAGCAAGACTCCATCTAAAAAAAAAAAGAAAAAAAGGAGAGAAAGAAAGAAAATGTGGCTCACATTATATTTCTATGGGGCAGTTCTTCATATAATCCCTTCCTGGGCAGGCTTCGGTTGGGCCCAGTTCTTGTACCTCTGCAATTGGAAACTGACCACCTTTTAAGTTCAAGATCACTAGAAATGCCATGTGGATGGGGTAAGACAGGCCCATCTAGCCAGGTTCTCTACAGCAGTGTGCCCTCCTCCATGACATCATCCCTGGGCATGCTACTAGCTGTATGTTGATGAGCTGCCTGTCTGTCAATATCTTTCTGAGGTCAAGGTTAGAGGATGACCCAAACCCTGATTTTACCACAATCATCCAAACTTTCCTAGATCCCTCTTTAAAAGTCCTTTACCTTGGGTTAGAGTGATGCAAAGAGATGGCCAAAGATGTTCCACAGGGACAGGGATCTTCTAAGCATATCTTTTGGTCTGTGTCGTGTCACAAACCAGCTGCCATCTACTGCTCTCCTAGCGCTGGAGTCTTCCGTTGGTGCTGACGTCACTGGGCACCTTTGATGATGCAAGCGTCACAGTGATGCCTCTGCCCACAGGTTCTTCCCATGGTTATGAGGACAAGACTTTGTCCCATTTGAAAAATTAAAGGGTAGGCCGGGTGCGGTGGCTCATGCCTGTAATCCCAGCATTTTGGGAGGCCAAGGTGGGCAGATCATCTGAGGTCAGGAGTTCAAAACCAGCCTGGCCAACATGGTGAAACCTTGTCTCTACTAAAAATACAAAAAATTAGCCGGGCATGGTGGTGGGTGCCTGTATCCCAGCTACTTGGGAGGCTGAGAACAGGAGAATCGCTTAAACCCAGGAGGCAGAGGTTGCAGTGAGCCAAGATCATGCCATTGCACTCCAGCCCGGGCAACAGAGCGAGAATCCATCTCAAAAAAAAAAGAAAGAAAGAAAGATTAAAGGATATTTCTAAATATCCTTTTGCTTTTCATTTCCATTGTTGTGTCTCCTTACTTCCTAATGACTGATTCTTACTTATGGAGAGATATTTTGAATGACCTATGTTTACGTTCATAAAACAGAGGAAAAATGCAGCATCCTTCTCCTCCTTCATCCTCTTTGAGGTTCTATCTGATCACTCCCAGAGAGTAAATCCCTTCTTATACTGTCTTAGAATGTCCTTGAAGTACTTATTTTCCTGATTACAGAAATAGCGCATTTTTGTGTTATGAGTCAGATGCCTCGCCACACAAAGGAAATGACAATCGTACACAATTCCACCATCTTCAGACAGCTGCCTTCACTCGTGATCATAATGGGAACATTTATTTATTTCACCCCTCTCATTTGAAAATAAAATAGTTTTTCTTATTGGAAAAGGAGGCCTGGCGCCGTAGCTCATGCCTGTAATCCCAGCACTTTGGGAGGCTGAGGCGGGCAGATCACAAGGTCAAGAGATGGAGACCATCCTGGCCAACATGGTAAAAACCCATCTCTACTAAATATACAAAAATTAGCCAGGCGTGGTGGTGCATGCCTGTAGTCCTAGCTACTCAAGGAGGCTGAGGCAGGAGAATTGCTTGAACCCGGGAAGTGGAGGTTGCAGTGAGCTGAGATCAAGCCACTACACTCCAGCCTGGCAACAGAGCAAGACCCTGTCTCAAAAAAAAAAAAAAAAGAAAAACTAGCATATGTACATGTTAGTTTTGCATAGCTGCCATAACAAATTAAACTGAGTAGCTTAAAACAACACAAATTTATTCTCTGACAATTCTGGAGGCTAGAAGTCCAAAATCGAGCTGTCTCCAGCATCTGATGCTGCGGCCGTTCTTGGCCCCCTTGGCTTGAGTACGCGTCCCTCCTCTCAGCCTCTGTCATCAAACGGCATTTTCTCTCTCTCTCTCTCTCTCTCTCTCTCTCTCTCTGTGTATGTGTGTGTGCATCTGTGTCTTTCCTCCTCTTCTTAGGACATCTTCATGTTGCATTAAGGGCCACCCTACTGCAGTGTGACCTCATCTTAATTTACACCTTAACTATAATCCTCAAAGACCCGATTTCCAAATAAGATCACATTCACAGATACCAGGGGTTAGGACTTGGGCATATGTTTTTAAGGAATACCATTCTACCCAGCACACTTGGTAAAAAAAAAAAAAAAAAAAAAAATCAAAATAAAGCATCTGCCAGGTGTGGGGGCTCATGCCTGTAATCCCAGCACTTTGAGAGGCAAAGGTGGGTGGATTGTTTGGGCTCAGGAGTTCAAGACTAGGCAACATGGAGAAACTGTGTCTCTACTAAAATAGAAAAATTAGCTGGGTGTGGTAGCACACACCTGTAGTCCCAGCTGCTCAGGAAGCTGAGGTGGGAGGCTCTCTTGAGGCCAGGAGGTGGAGGTTGCAGTGAGCCATGATCAAACCACTGCACTCCATCCTCAGTGACAGAGCAAGATGTTGTCTCAAAATAAAAACAAAACACTGAACAGTACAAAGGGTTCTGCAATGCACACCAAGTCTACTTCTTTGCTGGCCCTGGCTCTCCTCCTCCTCCACCCCAGGAGCACACACTGTAACAGCCCTTGGGTTTTATCCCATAACCCTTCTATGCATGTAGAGACACACAGAGTTTTGTCTATAGTTCTCTTTTGGATACAAGTGGTGATGTGCTACACTCTTCAGCACTCTGAATTTCTCTCTCAGTATATTTTGAAGATCATTCCATTACATCTCATTCAAATTGAACTCATTATTTACAGCTGCACTGTATTCCATTATATGAGTATACCATAAGTTATGTAACCAGTCTCTTATTGACAGACATTCTGATGGTTCCGTCTTTGCTGTTACAAGAAATGCCACCACAACAATCCTGGGACATGCTCTGCGACCACATGCTGGCTGACACTGACTTGATCCCCAGAAATGTATTTGCTGGTGTGGATGAAAAGAGTCAAACTGTAAAATATTTGAAGAGATTTATTCTGAGCCAAATATGAGTGACCATGGCCTATGACACAGCCCTCAGGAGGTCCTGAGAACATGTCCCCAAGGTGGTCGGGGTAGAGCTTGGTTTTATATATTTTAGGAAGGCATGAGATGTCAATTAAATACATTTAAGAAATACATTGGTTTGGTTCAGAAAGGTGGGACAACTCATAGCAGGGATTTCCAGGCTATAGGCAAATTTAAACATTTTCTGGTTGAAAATTGGTTGAGGTTATCTGAAGACCTGGGATTAATGGAAAGGATGTTCAGGTCAAGACAAAGGATTGTGGGGACCAAGTTTTATTGTGCAGAGGAATCTCTCAGGTAGCAGACTTCAGAGAGAGAGCAGGTTGTAAAATGTTTCTTATGGGACCTAAAAGGGAGCCTGGCTCTTAGTTGATTATCTCCTGGATCTGGAAAGGAAGGAAGGAAAACAAAGGGGGAAGCAGATTCTTTATATGATATGGATTTTTCCCACAAGAGATTTTGCAGGGCAATTTCAAGGCATGGCAAGGAAATATATTTTGAGGTTAAATATTTTTTTCCTTGGCTCATGATATTATGCCAGAGTCAGATTGAAAAGCAAGTCACAATATACAGGGTCAAATAAAACCCATCTGATGAGAATCCATGATCTGTAGGGCATGACTCCCCAGATCCCTTAGGTAGGAATTTGGGCAGGATAAAAATTCAGAGGTTAGTTCTCACTAGGTTGAAGCTTCTGCCCATTTAGAATTTAAGCAGCTATTGTCAAGGTGCTTTCCACAGAGGTGGGACTGGTTCTACTGCACCATCAATGGATGGAAGCGCGCTTCCCTATGTCCCCAGCAACACAGATGCTGTGAACACGGTGCGCACTTGGCAATCTGCTGGTGTGTGTCAGATACAGTAAGTTCCTCTTCAAAGGTTTAATTTCTGACTTCCTTGTTCTCAAGATCAACTTCCTTGTCCCTTCTCCTAAGCTACTTGCTCTGTAAACTTCTCCCACCAGTCCCAATCTGTAACTCACATCTCTTCCTTATTTGGAAAGAGTCCTCTTTTACTCCTGGCTACCCATTCTGTAAACTGCCCCTCCCACCAAAACAGTTCTTCCAGCCGAAACTACCCTGCCTGCCTTTGCCGCACTCTGACATGCCCAAACATGCCTTGTACCATAACAGACAGCCTCTCCCTTCCTGCCTAATTAGCCGTATTCAGTTTTAAACAGTAGCAAATCAGGTCAGTTTAGATTGTGCAGTCCGACTCCAGCCAATGGAGACAGGACACAGAAGCAGAGACTAACCACGTTAGGGATAAAAACTCTTTCCCTCCTTTGTTCAGTGTGCTCTTGCAGTGGCCAGAAGCACAAGCAGCACCCTTCTGCAGAAGTAAGTTTGCCTTGCTGAGAAATCCTTTGTTCCAGTGCTCATTTTCCTTGTGACTCTGAGCTCTTATTTCTAACATATGAAATGTTCTCTTGTTGTAGTTTCAGTTTGCATTTATTTTACTATGGCTGATGTTAAGCATCTTTTCACCTGTTTGAGAGTCATTGCATTGCTTGTCTGTAAACTGTCTGTAGCTTTTTTTCCACTTTCTGTTAAGTTCTTTGTCTCTTTACATTTTAAAAGCGTGGTTCATCCTGGGTTGGCTGAGCCACACCTGTCCAGACCTGTCCATTCAGGGGCCCCTACCTCCAGCACTTGACACTAACTCATAGGCTGCAGACCCTACCCTTATCCACAGGCAACTTTCAGCCCTTTCCAAGGTCAAATGCCATATTGATTGTAGTATTTACGTATTCCTTACCATTTTCATTAGGTTCCTCCTTTTTATGTGTTACTGATGAAATTTTTGAACATTGTGATCCTAACCCCTATTTTTTCCCACCAGCCATGTGATTTTTTGGCACTAGTTTGCAGAGCATGGTGAATGTCACATTATAACAGAACTGATTGTATAGCAAATGGAAATACAAAGCAAATGGACAGAAATAAGTTTTCTACAACAGCAATGACAGCAAATGTAATTTGGTTATTCTTTCTAGTTTAAAGAAAATGACCCTTAGACAACATTTCAAAAAGTCAATAACATATTGTTTATAAGAGATACCAAAAAATGGGACATTGGAAGTAAAAATGGAGAACACTTTTCTATCAAATAAGAACCTAAAGAATGTTGAGAGTTGTTTGTTTGTTTTGTAGTTTTCAGCATGCAAATTCTGAACATGTTTCAGTAAAAATGTACATCTAGTATTTCATTTTTGGTGCTATTTTAAATGGTACTTTCTTTTTAAAAAATTGATTTGTGAAAGGAAAATAAAAAACTTGGGACCTCAATTCACCCATCCAAAAGAAAAAAAATTAAGCTGGAAGCTGAGTCATAGAAGAAGCTGCCTCTCCTTTTGTTCCTAAGCAGAAAGCTACAGATAAAAGGTTGAGTATCTTCACAGGTAGCTGCTCCATGTTCACCTGACCTTATGAAAAGCGTGGATTACTGAGCACAAGACAAATATATGATTGACTGTTTCCCTACATGTTCCTTTTCTCTTGCCACCTGTGGATGACCACACCCTCCTTCTTTTCCCCACCAGCCCACTTCTCCCTTTTAAATATTGAGGCCCTCAAAGTCATCTTTGGAGAAAGACACAGACCACAGACTGTTTCTGTGATTCTGGTTTTCTTTTCCTTAACATTGGCAAAATAAACTTCTCAATTGATTAAGACCTGTCTCAGATACTTTTTGACTTACAAATTGTGACCAACAGAAGGAACTCTGAGTGGAGGTGGTCCTTTGACAAATCTCCTGAGGACTAAACTCTGATTTTTTTTTTTTTTTTTGAGACCGAGTCTTGTTCTGTCACCCAGGTTGGAGTGCGGTGGCACGATCTCAGCTCACTGCAACCTCTGCCTCCCAGGTTCAAGCTATTCTCCTTAAACTGATTTTTTATCATGCCCAAATTCCTATCTAAGGGACCTGGGGAGTCATGCCATACAAATCATAAATTGTCATTAGCTGGGTTTTATTTCACCCTATATATTGTGACTTACTTTCCAACCTGTCTCTGGCATAACATTGTAAGACAAGGACGAAAATCAAAATGTTTGACCCCCAAAACATGTTTCTTTGCCATATCTTGAAATGGCCCTGTAAAGTTGTCCTTTGTGGGGGAAAATTTGCATCTCTAAATAATCTGAATTAATATAGCTAGATCTTTTTCTTCCAGGCCCTCCCAATCCTAAAGAGATTAACTAAAAGTCTAGCACCTTTTAAAGATCTGAATAGGAAACATTTGCCATCTATTGTCTCTAAGGGCAGCCACTATAAGACTCTAAAACAACCTTGGTCTCCACAATCTTTTATCTTAACCTGAATATTTCCTTTCTATAATCCCAGGTCTTTAGACAAACTCAACCAATTGTCAACCAGAAGATGTTTAAATTTACCTATAACCTGAAAGCACCTGCTTTGTCCACCTTTCTGGTCCAAAACAATGTATTTCTTAAATGTATTTGATTGATGTCTCATGCCTCCTTAAAATGCATAAAACCAAGCTTGTATAAAATGTATAAAACCAACCGCCTTGGGCACATGTTCTCAGGCCCTCCTGAGGGCTGTGTCATGGGCCATGGTCCCTAGTATTTGGCTCAGAATAAATCCCTTCAAATATTTTACCAAGTTTGATTCTTTTTGCAGACACTCCTATCGATGCTCAGTATCAGTTTGGGCTATCTTTATTGCTCAAATTAATAGGACAATTTGCTGAAGTCCGATTTGCTGAAGTCCAGGAGTATCCCCTTCTACCCCAGAGAATCCCTGATCTCCCAACATTCGGTTGAGATCTGAGGTTTCTTTTGCTGAGCAACTCCTTTTCTGGAGTTTCAGCTCGATTCCAACAGGGAAGGCGAGTTTGGGACTTTTCCTGTTTCTGAGACAGTAGAGAGCAGTCTTCAGCCTGGGCCCCATTTCTAGGTAAGTAGCTGAATTGGAGTTTTGTCTTGAAAATTCTCCCTCATGACTAAAAGTTAAGATTGACCACCGCCTGGTCTTCATTTCTGCTTCCATTAGAGAGCTCAGTAATCATATTGCCAGAAATTATAAGTTCCTCTTCAAAGCTTCTTTGGTCTTTCTTGCTCTGTACACAGCCCTTCCTGCTTAATCTGTAATGAGCACTTGTTTTTCTGCTTAATCTGTAACCTGCAAACCTCTTACTCTGTAAACAACTCTTCCCACCTAGTTGGTAAGGAACAGCCTCTCCCTTCCCGCATAATTGGCCTTATTCAATTTCAAACACTAGCCAATCGGGTCAGTTTAGACTGTGCAGTCCAACTCCAGCCAATGGGGAAAGGACACAGAAACAGGAACTGCATCAGCCAATGGGGAAAGGACACAGAAACAGGAACTGCATTAGGGGTAAAAACCCCTGCCCTCCCAGCTTGGTGTGCTCTTGCGATTGTGACTGATGCAGGCAGCACCCTTCTGCAGAAGTAAATGTGCCTTGCTGAGAAATTTTCTGCCTGGTTTTCTTTGCAGCACCAAGCATTTTTTTCTAACAATATAGTTTGGTTTCATTGTCGTTTTGGTCTTTCTCCCATTGGATTTGACCATCTCTACCTGACTTGGCCAAATCTGAATGAGAATTCCACACTATGGGTAACAAGCCCTCTGGATTGGCTAAAATTCCTTGAAGCTGCAAAAGAGAAAAAAAAAACATTCACTTGATTTCTCTGTGTGCTTCCTTTCTTAAAAAATTATTCTTTTATTTTTCTTCCACCCTATTTCTCCCAAAAAGGGGAAGCCCTTTTGCCATCTTTGGTACCAAGTGAAAAAAATGTCTACAGAAGGGTTCTAATTGAAGCGGCGTTGTTGTCTGGGGTAAATACCTGAGGTTTGTCATCTCACACCAGGGAAGTTGAGGATGCAGACACACAAGAAGTGAGTTTAAGATCAGAGGCTTAATAGGCAAAGGAAAGAGAAAAGAGGATAGCTCTCTCACCTGCGGAGAGAGAGGGGCGTCTGAGTGGGTCTTCCAGGTCCTTGGTGAAATGCACGAGGTTTTATAGACGAGCTTGAGGAGGCAATATCTGATTTACATAGGACATGAGAGATTGGTCAGACTAGGCATGCCATTTGCATAGTGCACAAAGAAGCTGGCCGACCCACCCTAATCTTTTATTATCCAGATGGGGTCTCTACCTGGCCAGTGTCATATTGCCTGCCTTTTACCACACAGGTGGCGACCAAGAAAAGGGAAGGGGGATCCTTCATGTTGAACAGACTTGGCTTCCAGGTATCCCTCTTCTATCACCACAGCTGCTAGCATTTACCTATGTAAGCTTTTAGCTTGTTTATCTATACTTGCAGCTTGATTTTTCAGGCTGCTTTTTGTTAGGAAAGAAATGATTGGGGGCTGCTTTTTATTAAAAGGAAACCTTGCTGAGGACTCTCTTACCCTCCTTATCTGCCTGAATTTCTTTCTCACTCCTGTATCATAATGACTTGGATCCTTAAATAACTCAGAATAAAGGCACCACTCACCCTGTGCGGGGGTGTTCTGCTTTCTGTGTGGAGTTTTCAGAGTCATGGCAGGTTTTTCTTAGGTCTAAAGTTCTGCTTTCCTGTATTGCATTACTTGACTTCTTTGACTTTTAGAGATACCAGAGATTACTCTGTACTGTGAGAATATTTGACCTTGGTGTGTGTCATGGCAGATGAGAGCTACAACGTTAGGGAAGGCTGAGGACAGTTTACAGGAAATGGTCATTACTACAGGGGGCCACTCATTGCACATTTAGATCAGAAAATTGTGCATGCTTTCTTGGCTCTGTTCCTTAGAGGGCTCCACCCTAAAGCCAGTGACCTAATCAAGCTCCGCTGAAAATACTACCTATCAAACTAAGTCACTTCAATAAAATTCTGTGTAAAGGAAATTTATGTCTTTAAAGGAAATTTCCATTTTGTAAGGACATCTCTGTCTCTGCGTCTAAACCACTAGGAACTTTAACTAAGGGGGAGACAATGGCTTCATTTACATAACAGACCTTGCCTTTTTTAGATCCAAGTCTGTGCCTTTGAGATGTACATTTTTTACCTTGCTTCACCTAAGTCATGTATTTGGAGATGTAAATTTAGAGTTACCTAGTTAACAATTGTTTAAGACATGGAATAGATAATCAAGAGATTAGTGGTATAAAGTAGGGAAGAAAAAAACTTTGAAAACAGGCAAGTGAAACATTTTAAATCCCTAAGATTTGCCTCTGTCTGTGTCTGTTAAGTCTGTGTGTTTATGTGTCACATGGAAACAATATTTCACTACCAATCATATGAAAGAGCTCTAATTAGTTGGCTTAAAGAAAAGTAAGTGTTTGTAGACTAATAGAAGCTAGCCCAGAGGCCTTTCAGCTCACATGACTTTAGTAATCTTTGGTAAGATTAATTTGGTAAATGTAATCTCACAATTCTCTCCAGTAATTGAAAATCTTAAAGTCATGTTGTGTTAAATTAAGTCATCCTAGGTTTTTTGCTGGAAATTAGGGTTTCTAAGAGAATAGTAGGAAAGTAAGATGCATTTTTGGTGAAGTTTATTTAAAAAACATGAGGATGTGGTTTTTGCTCAATGAAACATATTTTTTTTCTAGTTTAAAGGACCTTTCTGCTGGTGTCGAAGATAAAAACCGCTATTCACATCCAACCGTTCTTTTGTAAACTGGTGAGTTTGCATTGGTACCTCCTGGCTGGAATTCCAAGGCAAAAGCTATGGGACCTTTATTTGTGTGTGTGTGTGCGCGCACGCGTGCACATGTGTGATTGTGCGAGTGTGTGTGTGAGTGTGCATGTGTGTGGTGTGTGTGCGAGTGTGTGTGTGCATGTATGTGAATGTGTTCATGTGCATGTGCAAGTGTGTGGTGTGTGTGTGCGCAAATGTATGCATGTGCGTGTGCGAGTGTGTGGTGTGTGCGAGTGTGTGTGCACGTGTGTGTCATGTGAGTTTTGTGTGTGCGAGTGTGTGCATGTGTGGTGTGTGCATGTGCGAGTGTGTGTGCAAATGTGTCAGTGTGTGCATGTGTGTGTGCGTGTGGTGTGTGTGCATGTGTGTGAGTGTGTACGCGCGTGCATGCTTAGGTGTGTTTATGTGTGCATGCGTGTGTTTTGTTATGTGTTGTGACCACAAGGTACCAAATTGGCTTAAAAAAAAAGGAGTGCCAATAAATTAAGTAAATAAGTGCAAATACTTTTCAAGTTCATATGACTTCAGTAAATCTTTAATAAATAACCTAACTTTAAAATAATTGGTAAAATAAAATTAGAAATGTCTTCAGAATTGTCAACATACATTATTATTTAGATTTATTGGTCTAATGTTAATTTAATAAAAACAGTAAATCCTGTGTTATTGGCCAAAAAATTCATTTATTTAACCTTAAGATTCTTACTTAGGTAAACACCTGAAATTCACTGGCTATAAAAATGGTCAACAAGGAAATAACTTTAAATGATGACTGTAAGCCAAAATATATCTGAGACAGGTCCCAATGAATTTAGAAGTTTCTTTTGCCAAGGTTAAGGACATGCCATGTGAGCCCCCAAAATCTGAGACAGGTCTCATTTAATTTAGAATGTTAATTTTGTCAAAGTTGGGGACATTTGTCCACGACACAGCCTCAGGAGGTCCTGATGACAGGTGCCCACGGTGGTCCAAGCACAGTTTGGTTTTATGCATTTTAGGGAGACATGAGACATCAATCAACATACGTAAGATGAACATTAGTTCAGTCCGGAAAGGCGGGACAACTCGAAGCTGGGAGGGGGGCTTCCAGGTCATAGGTAGATAAGAGATAAATGGTTGTATTCTTTGGAGTTTCTGATGAGCCTCTCCAAAGGAGACATCAAATATGTATTTAACCCAGTGAGCCGAGGGATGATTTTCAATAGAATGAGAGGCAGGTTTGCCCAAAGCACTTCCCAGCTTGACTTTTCCCTTTAGCTTAGTGATTTGGGGGGCCCAAGAGATTTTCCTTTCACACCCATGACGCAGCCTCAGAAGGTCCTGATGACTTGTGACCAGGCTGGTTGGGCCACAACTTTTTCACACATTTTAGGGAGACATACGACATCAATCAATACATGTAAGATGTACCTTGGTTCAGTCCAGAAAAAGCCAGACAGCTGGAAATGGGGCCTTCCAAGTCATAGGCAGATGCAAAGATGTTCTGATCAGCAGTTGGTTATTACCTAAAGACCTGAAATCAGTAGAAAGGAATGTCTGAGTTACGATAAGGGGTTGTGGAGACCAAAGTTTTATCACGCAGGTGAAGCCTCCAGGCGGAGGTTTCAGAGAGAATAGATTGTAAATGTTTCTTATCAGACTTAAAGCGTCTGTCCTCTCAGTCTGAAGGTCTGTGTTGATGGTAATAAGGTATGTCCAACTCCCTCTTCCCATCTTGGCCTGAGCTAGTTTTTCAGGTTAACTTTGGAATGCATGTGGCAGAGAGGACAGGTCCAATCGGATGGTTGGGGGGCTTACAATTTTACTTTTGGTTTACCTGACTATCATAATTTTCATAAGCAATCTAGGCAAACTATTAAAAATTAATTAATTAAGTGTAATGGACTAAATGCTTGCAAATAAACATCATAGAATTTAAAATCTAAAGTTATAGCAAATTAAATAATATTTGTTAAATGTCTGTATCGTTTCCAATTTTTTTAACAAAAATTTGATTATAGGAGAAAACATTTTTCTGAAAAATAATGTGTTTTTATGAAAAGGAAATAATTTTTGTCTAATTCAAAGGCTATTTAAAGGTCATTTTTGAAACAAGGTGTATTAGTCAGGGTTCTCTAGAGGGACAGAACTAATAGGATAGATATATACATATAAAGGGGAGTTTATTAAGCATTAACTTACACAATCACAAGGTCCTACAGTAGGCTGTCTGCAAGCTGAGGAGTGAGGACAGCCAGTGTGAGTCCCAAAACTGAAGAACTTGGAGTCCGATGTTCAAGGGCAGGAAGGATCCAGCACAGGAGAAAGATGTAGGCTGGGAGGCTAGGCCAGTCTAGTCTTTTTATGTTCTTCTGTGTCTGCATTTTTTTTTTTTTTTTTGAGATGGAGTCTCGCTCTGTCGCCCAGGCTGGAGTGCATTAGCACGATCTTGGCTCACTGCAAGCTCCACCTCCTGGATTCATGCCATTCTCCTGCCTCAACCTCCTGAGTAGCTGGGACTACAGGTGCCCGCCACCACGCCCGGCTAATTTTTTTGTATTTTTAGTAGAGACGAGGTTTCACCATGTTAGCCAGGATTGTCTCGATCTCCTGACCTTGTGATCCGCCCGCCTCAGCCTCCCAAAGTCCTGGGATTACAGGCTTGAGCCACCGCACCGGGCCTGCCTGCTTTTTATTCTGGCTGTGCTGGCAGCTGATTAGATGGTGTCCACCCAAATTGAGGGTGAGTCCGCCTCTGCCAGTCCACTGACTCAAATGTGAATCTCCTTTGGCAACACCCTCACAGACACTCCCAGGAACAATACTTTGCATCCTTCAATACAATCAAGTTGACATGATGTATTAACCATCACACAAGGTAAAAGGAACCAGTACATAAGAGAGATATAAAGAATGTTATAAATATGAAGAGGTATTTTTGGTAAGAAGGGAAAATAATTTTATATGAGAAAAAATCTTATGTGGTAATTTTTTTGTCCTAAAATAAAATGACTGGTTGTTTAAGAAAGAGGGATGTTTAGGATAAAACACGAACTCCAAGCATATTGTAAATGGTTTGTGTAAGTGGTAATAAGGTTTACAAAAAGGGAATTTATGAAAAAACTTTACATAATCAAGTTGGTTCTAATTAAAAGGAAATTACAATAGTCTCTCTAGAGGTTGGGTTTTGATATTAAAATACACTAATTAAAGAATTGGTTAGAACAACAAAATTTTCTTAAGGTATTGATTTACTCAATAAAATTACAAGAGATTTTAATTTTTTTAATGCAAAAGTTTAACTTTTATTGCATCTCACTGTTTTCAGCTTTCTCTCCCCTTCAAGAAGGCCTGAAATAAGTTTCTCCTGCAAATTACTCATCATCTCCCGTAACTAGTTTCCTCAGGTTCTAACTGCTGTTGTGGCCTGATGCCACAGAATATTTTATCTTAAGGATCTCAGCCAGGCACAGGGGCTCACACCTGTAATCCTAGTACTTTGGGAGGCAGAGGCAGGCGGCCCTCATTAGGTCAGGAATTCAAAACCAGCCTGATCAACATGGTGAAACGCCATCTCTACTAAAAATACAAAAAAATTAGCCAGGTGTGGCTGGCACCTGTAATCCCAGCTACTTGGGAGGCTAAGGCAGGAGAATTGTTCAAACCCGGGAGATGGAGTTTGCAGTGAGCCAAGATCATGCCACTGCACTGCAGCCTGGGCAACAAAGCGAGACTCCATCTAAAAAAAAAAAAAAAAAAGATCTAAAGGAAATGTTTTCTTTCAATATAACCTTCTGTGCTCTTGGCTTCAAATTCTTCTATGAAGTTGGAAACTTTCATTTCTGACCCAGGACACACTCTTCCTATGTGTCTAACTAATTCAAGTCCTAGGAAAGCTGAGATTAAAAAAAATAAGGTTACAGTATCTGTGTAACTCTAGGTATTGCTTTTAAAGACCTTGTGCCATTAAGTTACAGGGCTTTGACTCCGGTCTAGAAAGGACACAAAGCCTACTAAACCTTAAACACGAACAGCAGTTAAAGCCTCCTCTTCAGACCCATGAGATGACAATCAAAATAACCTGCATTCATGAGACACAGGACTGGATATTAACACTATCCAGCGCCTCTAGAAGAGGTGAGCACGTGAGATTCTCAGGGCTGATTATGAGAGATAAAATTAGTTCGGAGTTTCTCTACAAATTAAATATTAATATCAAGGCCACACTGATGGAAGACCGGCATAAAAGCCCCTTGGAAAAACTGGCCCCATGTCACTGACATGTGACAAGTAAAGACTGTCACTTCCTGACAGATCTAGGAATCCCAGAAACTGTCTGTGGTCTGTGTCTTTCTCCAGAGATGACTTTGAGGGCTTCAATGGTTAAAGAAGAGAAGCGGGCTGGCCCCAGAAAGGCACCCAGATCCTTCCTCCCGCCCCTTTCCCAACGGCTCCTTCTACTCCCATCCCTCATTCATCCTTTCTTTCATATTGATTGAGACCTGTTGTGCCTGTGTGTGCCAGGAACTCAGCCAGACCCTTGGACTTATGGGTGCCCTGCCCGCCTCTCCTGTGCATTAAATACCTTACAGGCTAGGGCTGAAGGCAGGTTTTGAGTACGAAAATAGAAGATCTCTAAAAGTTCCTAAAACAGAGACAGAGAAGGGATAGTGATGGATTTGGGGAAGGACATGGGTGCCTAGAGAGGCCGGCTAATGATGACTATCTCTTGGGTAGGGAAGGGGTGGGGGGGACTCCTCCACCAAACAGATCCCTGTCTAAGCACAGCAGGGGAAGATGCAGGGAAAAGCCTCCATCTACACCCCAGATAACATCTACTGTCACTTTAGCTGCAAATCCACCTGCCAGAAAACCTTCTTGTGAAAATCTTGTGAAAAGGGAATTCATCTACTCAGATATGCCCTTGTCAGTTCCACTCTGTTTCAACAGAAGGGAAACCAAGCAAGATGCAGGAAGGCACAGCCCAGGGGCATCTAGTGCTAAGGCAGCTGCTGCAGGCTGTGCCCTCTGTCCAGCTGGCCGGGACTCAGCGGCTGGGAAGGCCTGTCTGGATGGTGCTGAGGGCTCATCTGCCTAGCAGGCTGCTCAGTCAGGAACACCCTGTTGATTCTCCAGGGAGGGCAGAGCCGGGGCAGCCAGGCAGGCTGGATCCAGCCCCACCTCCCAAATGCCCTGTCCTGTGGAGGAGTGACTCGGTCAGGACTGCTTCTCAGCAGCCATGGGCAAAGCTCAGGGCAGGTTCCACTTCTCCGCAGGCCTCCCGCCGCACAGGGAATGAGAGGAAGCCCCCGCCCTGGCTCTCTGCCCTCCACCTCTCCAAGCTTAGTTCCGACCCCGCCCGCCCCTGGCTCACTGGCCTCTGCCTCCTCTCTGTGCCTGGCCATGCACCACCTCATTGCTGCCTCTGCAGCACTGCACCTTCCGTCCCTCTGCCTGGTCACCCTTCGCCGGGTCTTGCTGAGGCTCCTTCACAGAGGCCACAGCACGAGGGGCATCCTCCCCTCTGACGTCTCAGGAGGAGGCTCTGCTGCCCCCGAGTTCCTGAGAATCCCTCGCCCTCACCCAGACCCTCTGCCTGGGGCCCTAAATGCTTTCACATCCCTCCTCTGTCCTCAGACTCAGAAAGTAGAGCAGGGTGGGAGCTGGTCAGAGGGGGCCACTGCCACTCATCAGGTTTCCCTGGGGAACTTGACAGAAGAGGGCTTGGTGGGGGTGGGTGCCCCTCTCTAAGCTCGAGGGGTCAAGCAAGTGGATCCCAGATGGGAGGGCCCCAGGGTGCTGTATGCAGAGCGGCCCTGGGCTGGATCCCCCGGCCAGGCCAACCACTAAGCACACCCTGCTCACCAGGGTCATGAATGTCCATCCTCTGGGCCACTCCTGGAACCAGGCTTCGGCCTCTCTCCTGGGACACTTATGTTCTACATGGGTCGCGGCCTCTGCAGGTGTGCACCTGTGGGCAGCATCGTTTTCCTGGCTGATGAAAGAGGAGATGGAGTTAGGGCAGGTGTGGCTCCGCGCTGTTGTAGCAGGTCAGGTTTCACTAGCAGCTGAACAGGCAGGCCCCCATAACAACTTTCAGCACTGACTGAGTGATTAAGTTAAATATTAAAAGCTGGCCAGGCGCGGTGGCTCACACCTGTAATCCCAGCACTTTCGGAGGCTGAGGCAGGCGGATCACCTGAGGTCAGGAGTTCAAGACCAGCCTGCCCAACATGATGAAACCCCGTTTCTACTAAAAATACAAAAATTAGACAGGCGTGGTGGCACGTGCCTGTAATCCCAGCTGAGTACTCAGGAGACTGAGGCAAGAGAATCGCTTGAACCTGGGAGGCAGGGAGGCAGAGATTGCAGTGAGCCAAGATCACGCCACTGCACTCCAGCCTGGGTGACAGAGCAAGACTCTGTCTCAAAAAAAAAAAAAAAATTAAAAGGTGAGAGAGCCAGCACCCTTCTACAAAGGTTAGAATGTAACAAAAGTCCACCAAGAGTTTTGCCCAGGCGTTTCCTGGGCCTTGAAGCATGACAAGATAACAAAGGAATTCTTAACAGGACCCATTTAGGATTAAACAAGTTTTATTGGGGTCTAAAGGAACGCCCCAAACCTCCATGATTTAGCAGGAGACAAGATAAGGGTAATCACCCCAGCACCTGGACCCCTCCAGATTAAATAAATTTACTGAGGCTCCAGAGGAAGATCTTCAGGACTCAGGCGTTCGTTATAGATTAGAAGAAGTTCATCACTTATGTCTTAGGGGAATGCACACTTACACATAGACATACAGCTTTGAAGGTATATAAGCTCTGGAAAACTTAGTAATTTTGAGTTGGTCTGGTGCTATTATCTCAGTACCCATTTACAGAAGCAAACTCTCTTCTTTCCCAGTTCATCTGCATCTCGTTATCAAGCCGTGAGAATTAGCTGCCCAACCCCGGGTTCAGTCTGGGTACAATTTGGCGAGCCAGCCAGGAGAAAGCGGCTAAGCAGCTTCACAGATATGGCCAGATTTTGTCGGATTTGGATTCCTAACTATGGATTAATGGGAAAGCCCTCATGTGAACTGTTGAAAGGGGCCGACCACGATCTTTTCGAGTGGGAAGAAAGGCACCATCACTCGATCAACAACCGAAGTGTAAGTGAATCTTCACCCCCGCCTTAGGGCTTCCAAATCCTCCTCAGCCCTTCCAACTGGATGTGCACGAGAGACTGGGTTTGGCACTTGGAGTCTTAATGCAAAGGTGAGGCGAAGCGTTACAACCCATAGCACATGTTTCAAAGCAGCTTGACGTGGTAGCCAAGGGCTGGCTGGGCCTTCCACCTTCGAGCAGTTGTTGCTGCTTGCCTGCTACTCGAGGGAGCTGAGACGCTGACCTTGGGGCGGCCTGTCACAATACATACGCCCCACCACATGTCAGTGTTATTGCAGCACAAAGGAGGTTACTGGCTGACAGCAGGCCAGTTGGGTAGCTATCAAGCCATCCTTTTAGACGACCCCGAAATAAAGCTGCAAACCACCAGAACTCTAAACCCTGCTCCACTATTCCCTGCCACCGAGGAGCTGGAGAAACTCTACATAACTGTCTAGAGGTCATAGACCAAGTGTTCTCCAGCCACCCGACCTAAAGGCTGTAGCCCTCCCGCGTACAGACTGACCTTGTTTGCAGGTGGGAGTAGCTTGGTCACCGACAGGAAGAGCAACACCATGTATGCCGTGGTGACCTCCTCAGAGGTAACAGAGGCAAGAACTTCGTCGGCAGGAACCTTGACACAGAAGGCAGAGTTAATCGCCCTTACAACTGTCCCAAGTTAAGAGCGCCAACATACACGCTAATTCCAAGTACGCATTCATGATAGTTCACGCCCACAGAGCTATCTGGAGGGAAGGAGGGTGGCTAAGAGCGGATAACACCAAAGTTAAAAATGCTAAGCAAGTGTTAGAATTGTTAGAGGTGGGCCGGGTGTGGTGGCTCACACCAGTAATCCCAGCACTCTGGGAGGCCAAGGCAGGTGGGTCACCTGAGGTCAGGAATTCGAGACCAGCCTGGCCAAAATGGTGAAACCCCGTCTCTACTAAAAATACAAAAATTACCCAGGCGCGGTGGCGCGTGCCTGTAATCCCAGCTACTTGGGAGGCTGAGAATCACAAAAGAATCGCTTGAACTGAGGAAGCTGAGGTTGCAGTGAGCCAAAATCGCGCCACTGCACTCCAGCCTGGGCGGCAGAGGGAGACTCCATCTCAAAAAAAAAAAAAAAAAAGTTAGAAGCGATAAAGGCCCCACAGGAAATAGCCATAATGCATTGCCCTGGCCATCGACGCAGTAATTCCGAAGTGGCAAGGGGTAATGTTTTCGCAGACTGCACCGCCGGGCATTCAGCCAGTGACAGCATCGAAATCCAGGCGCCCTTAATTTCCCAAATAGACTTCACGGCCCTCGAGCCCCGGTATGCTTCTGAAGATAAAAAGGCTGCAGAAGATAAAGGATTCAAACTAAAGGAGGAAGGGTGGAGGCTAGAGAGGAAACAGCGCAGGCATAGGCTGGGCGGCAGTGCATCTCGTCCACCCGCTGTTAAAGTACGTTCACGATAGCCTGCACTTTGAGAGAGTCGCTTCATTGGCCTTTGTACAAAATTATTTGAAAGGGAAAAGACTAAAGGCCCACGTAGAGAATATCATTCAACACTGTCATCTGTGCGCCCGGAATGAGCCTAATAATCATAGCCGAGGGCAGCCTGGGCAACAAGAAAGAGGCAGTCACTCACCAGAAAACCAGCAAATAGACTTCACACAGATGCCACCAGCCCCTGGGAATGCAAATACCCCCTAGTTCTAGTGGGCACCTTCTCTGACTGGGTGGAAGTGTGCCCATGTCACTCCGAATGAGCAACTGAAGTAAAGTTTTGCTCAAGGAAAGCATACCACGATACGGGCTCCCCGACGTAATCCAAAATGATAATGGGCCTTTGTGCACCTCTGAGATAACTCAACAAATGAACGAAGCATTGGAAATGAAGTGGACGCTGCAGTCAGTGTGGAGACCTCAATCTTCTGGACAAGCTAAGAGAATGAACCGCAGCCTAAAAACATTCATTGCCAAGTTGTGTCAAGAGGCTCCGTTGAAATGGACTCAGGTACTTAGCATTGCACTGCTCCCTGTAGGTGGGATTAAAATAAGTCCCTGCGAAACCGTCTTTGGGAGACCCTTTGCAGCCAATCTGTCTCGGGCCACCAAAGTGCCCCTAGGTAGGGAGTCGGCTATTCAGAATCATGTTGCTCACTTAGGACAAACTCTTAACGTTTTGCATAAGTTTGCTTCCAACACGGATGCGGTGAATTCCACAGACACCTGCCACCCACTCCTACCTGGCGATCAAGTGCTGCTGAGGGAATGGAAGGAAGCTGCCGCGATGGGAAAAATGGAAGGGCCCTACCACGTGCTCCTGACCATGGACGCAGCATTGAAGCTGGCAGGCATCAAGCCTTGGGTCCATCACACATGAGTGGAAAGATCCCTGCCGGCCAAGAGCCCTGCAGCACAGGAATCTCTGGCCACGGCTGGGAAGCAGAACCCCTAGAAGGCCTGAAGTTTCTATTCAGAAAACGCTAAGACTTTCTCTTCTAGCGCTCCGTCTTGCAATGCCTGCTCTTACCTCTCATCTTCTCTTACGCTGGGCACAGGACTAGGCAGATAACCTGCAGCCAGCCTCCTTCAGGGTCTGTGGCCTCTCACCCCTCTCTAGCACCTCAGGGTTGCCTTGGCGGGGGTCGCCCATCCAAGGGAAGGACTGGATTTACCTGCAAACCTTTTTGGGAAATCTAAAATCTTGGACTGGGTCACAAATGACAGGAGTAACCAGCGCAAATGTCTCAGAGTGGCCCATAAACAAAACTTTAGAAGGCCCAGGGCACAAAAGGCCATTCTCAGTAAACAAAACAAGGGATGATGCAACCGCTTTAGCTATGCCCTTGCTGAGTCCGAAGGTGGATGTCCAGGCTATTGTACCACAAAATGTCCAGTATAAAAACGGCTTTCTTCGAATTTGGAATGGATTTATTTGGCTAACTGCCTCCACCGGACATTTAAACCAAATAGCCCCCTTACGCTACAAACGACAGAACCCCTCCCTTGACCACCGACTTTAACATAAGTCGAATCATGAGACAGATTCCGCCCACCGCACATTGACCACTGGCCTAACAACTCGAATCGTGGGACGGATTCCGCCGCACATTGACCACCGGCCTAATGTAACTCAGGTTATGAGACGGATTCCGCCACACATTGATCACCGGCCTAACGTAACTCGGATCATGGGACAGATTCTGCCGCACATATTATAGTGCTACAACAAAGAGATTTGGGTTTTGTTTGTTTTTTTTTGAGACAGAGTCTCTGTCGCCCAGGCTGGAGTGTGGTGGCGCAATCTCGGCTCCCTGCAACCTCTGCCTCCCGGGCTCAAGCGATTCTCCTGCCTCAGCCTCCCATGTAGCTGAAATTACAGGTGCCCGCCACCACGCCTGGATAATTTTTATATTTCTTTTGTAGAGACGGGGTTTCACCATGTTGGCCAGGCTGGTCTCGAACTCGTGGCCTCAAGTGATCCTCCCGCCTCAGCCTCCCAAAGTGCTGGGATTCCAGGCGTGAGTCACTGCGCCCGGCCCTCAGTAAAGAGATTTGTTTGCCACCAACTGGTCCCAATGGCCTTGCCTACACTGGTATGCCCCTGACGGAAGCCAGTGGCTTTGTGGCACCATTTTATGGCCATGGCTGGCCTCGGGCACGTTGAGACACTGCACTCTAGGCCTCCTATGGGCACAGGGACCTTGGTAAAAACCATCCAAAATCCAGTCAATCTCCCACATATGCGTAACAGATGGACAAGGCCAGTCTTTCACAGGTACGGTCATCTGGCCGTAATATTTATGCCCTCAATGGGCTTAGAAATGGTCATATGGCACACAGAGGCACTCGCTAGTTTTACGCAGTGAGGCTTAAACGACAGTCTCCAAAGTGTTTCCCGTGTGAATGCTGAAACATACCATAGGTGGAAAGCTATCCTGCAAAATCAAATGGCCCTAGACATTCTAACAGCGGCCTAGCAGGGACCCTGCACCCTCATCAGAACCGAATATTGCATGTATGTACCTGACAATTCCGGGAATATTTCTCTGGCATTAAAAGCTATCATCCACCGGGCGCGGTGGCTCACGCCTGTAATCCCAGCACTTTGGGAGGCCGAGGCAGGCGGATCACGAGGTCAGCAGATAGAGACCATCCTGGCTAACACGGTGAAACCCCGTCTCTACTAAAAATACAAAAAATTAGCCGGGCATGGTGGCGGGCTCCTGTAGTCCCAGCTACTTGAGGGGCTGAGGCAGGAGAATGGCATGAACCCGGGAGGCGGAGCTTGCGGTGAGCCGAGATGGCACCACTGTACTCCAGCCTGGGCGACAGAGCAAGACTCAAAAAAAAAAAAAAAAAGGGCTATCGTCCACAGATGCAGGTCATCTCCAGCCCTAGGTTATCGGTTAATGACCGAACCACATCATGGCTTAGCAGAGGGTCTCCCTCGGGGCTGAACGTCCTCGCAGTCCAGGCCGTCCTTGCAGGCACCGGCATCATGTTACATTGTGGAATGTATTGCTGTTGCACATTGTTCCAAAACATCCCTCCAGCTCATACTATTTCAACAGGCGCTTTCTCTAGGCCCCCAAAACAGAGAGTACTACTGGGAACAAATCAACATCTTTCACTCCAACACTGCGTTTGGTGCCCCGTAACAATGACCTCCTATCAGCAGGAAGTAGCCAGAAAGATTATAATGCCCCATCCCCCCATGATTCTCATAAGAAATAAATATACAAGCATGATAGCAATCATGCATAATTTGACAGTGGGGATTGTGGCAGGCCAGGTCTCACTAACGGCTGAATAGGCCGGCCTCCACGACAACTGTTTCAGCACTGACCGGGTGGTGAAGTCAAATATTAAAAGCTGAGAGGGCCAGCGCCCTTCAACAGAGGCTGGAATGTAACAAAAGCCCACCAAGAGTTTTGCCCAGGCCTCTCCTGGGCCTTGAAGCATGACAAGATAACAAAGGAATTCTTAACAGGACCCGTTTAGGATTAAACAAGTTTTACTGGGGTCTAAAGGAACGCCCCAAACCTCCATGATTTAGCAGGAGAAAAGATAAGGGGAATCACCCCAGCACCTGGACCCCTCCAGATTAAGTAAATTTACTGAGGCTCCAGAGGAAGTTCTTCAGGACTCAGGCCTTAATTATAGATTAGAAGAAGTTCATCACTGTGTCTTTAGCTGAATGCACACTTACACGTAGACCTACAGCTTCGAAGATATATAAGCTCTGGAAAACTGCAATTTTGAGCTGGTCTAGTGCTATTTTCCCGGGCTTCTGCCTGTACCCGGTGACAGAAGCAAACTCTCTTATTTCCCAGCTCGTCTGCATCTCGTTACTGGGCTGAGAGAATAAGGAGCGAATAAGCGCCCGGCCGTCGGTTGAGTCTGGGGACGCTGTGACTCACCATTGGCTCCGGCCCCAGACGCTGTGCTGGGGAAGGAGCGGGAGGGGATGGGAGGGGAACAGGGACACCCTGTACTCCACAGACACAGCCACCATGGGTCCTCTTGCAGGCTGAGAGAGAGGCTGTCCCCTGCATTTGGGACAAGGTGCCTGCCTCCAGTGAGGGGACAGCAGGTTCCTTTGCCCATGGATCCAGGAAGCTCCCACAAGGGAGTGGGGTGATCTTCCCCAAGGTAGAGAGGGCAGCAGCCTCGGGGCCTTTGGCTGCATGCCCAGTGGGCACAGGATGTGTGTGGACGGGCCACAGAGTGGGCCGCCCTGCAGGGCTGGAAGCCGCAGGGCAGCAGGGTATAAAGGGGGTGGGCCGAGGGCTGAGGCGTCCACGGCAAAGATGGCTCTGCTTCTGCTGAGCCTGGGGCTGAGCCTCATCGCAGCCCAGGAGTTCGATCCCCACACCGTTATGCAGAGGAACTACAACGTGGCCAGGGTGTGTCTGCGTTGGGGTCTGTGGGGAAGGGGCCAGGCTTCAAGGCACCTGTCTTCCCCCAGCCTGGGGTCTCTGACCTGTGACCAGGGCAACTGGTCCAAGGGGAGCCCACCTCTCCTCCCCAAGCTGTGACAGCAGCCTGGGAGAGCAGGGGTTACTCCGGGAGGGTCGGGTGGGAGAGGCCTGGGAGAGTGACTGGGGCCCTGAGAGGTTAGAGGGGGCCCTGGGAGGGCAGAGGGGAAAGCTGGAGAGTGGAGTGGCGGCCAGCAGGGAGATGGGGGCCCTAAGAGGACAGAGGGGTTCCTAGAAGTATAGGGGAGACCTAGGGAAAAGAGGGGGACTCAGTGGGAAAGGGTGGAGCGGGGGACCTTGAGAGGACAGAGGGGGACCTGGAGGGGCAGAGGAGAGACCTGTGGGGCAGAGGGGGCCCTGGAAGGGCAGAGGGCATTCTGTGAGCAGAGGGGGGACCTTGGGATCAAAGGGGGGATCTGGGGACATAGGGGAGACCTGGGGGGCAGCGGGGGCCCTGGAAGGGCGGAGGGCATTCTGTGAGCAGAGGGGCGACCTTGGGGGTAAAGGGGGGATCTGGTGACGAGGGGAGACCTGGGGGCACTGGAAGGGCGGAGGGGTTCTGGTTGGGAGCCAGATGCTAAGGGGCCGGGCCCTGGGAGGGAAGACTGTGGGCGCTAAGCATCCCCAGGGCTGTCCCGCGGCCCCCCACCCACTGGAGCTCTTTGTCTTCAGGTTTCAGGGGTCTGGTATTCTATTTTCATGGCCTCAGATGACCTGAATCGGATTAAAGAAAATGGAGACCTGAGGGTCTTCGTCCGGAATATTGAACACTTGAAGAACGGCAGCCTAATATTTGATTTCGAATACATGTGCGTGTTGCCCATCTCAGCTGGCATCAGGAAGACCCATGCCCCTGCCACCCCAACGCATACTCTCACTCTTGCACACACACGCTCGCACACTCACTGACTTGCACTCTGGTGAGAGCCTGAGCCTGTGCGTGTGACCCTTGGGGGCAGGGTGAGGTGGGAGCAGGGACTTGGTCTGCCTGGCACTGTGCTCTTCCCTGAAACATAGAGATGAAATCGCCCCCTTCCAAGGCTGGGGTGAGGTTCGAGGAGATGAGGGTGTCCGGTGGGCTGCAGCAGGGCCCAGCCCAAGAACTTGGGGCTGTGGAATGAGGCCTGGGCATTGGGAGGGTGAGCCTGTGCCCTGGAGGAGGGGTGCTCTCTGCCATCGCACGTCCAGGGGGCTGGAGCTCCACTCCCGGCATCTTCCTGGCTGGCTTCCAGGGTGCAGGGGGAGTGTGTGGCTGTGGTCGTGGTCTGCGAGAAGACAGAGAAGAATGGGGAATACTCCATCAACTGTAAGTGGAAGCCAGGCTCCTCCTGGTCTCACAGTCGGGGGTCTCCTTTCTCCAGGGCCTGGGCCATATTCTGGTGAGCACTGACTCTGGGGATTTTAGTTAAGCCCCTGACAGCTTGACCCTGAACTGGAGGGACCCATCCTGGCACCTACCCAGGGGGGCTCCTGGCCCAGGGGAAGCAGGGAGGCAGGTGTGTCATGCTGAGCTCTGGGGGGTGAGCCCACTGAGGGGCCACCAGGGTCTGCAAGCCAATGACAAGGAGGGAGGGGGCTGTGCCGCTGCTGCCCGCCCCCTGTGCAGGGGTCTCCGCTGGGTGAGCACCGTGGGCTCCTCCCCTCCCGCCTCAAAAGGCCACTTGACCCCCCATCCTCACTTGCGGCCACACAGCACGTGTCACAGGACCCTGAGGGTGGCGGGGCCAGGCCACGCTGAGCCATGTCTCCACGCAGATGAGGGCCAGAACACAGTGGCCGTCTCGGAGACTGACTACAGGCTGTTCATCACCTTCCACCTCCAGAACTTCAGGAACGGGACCGAGACCCACACGCTGGCGCTCTATGGTACCTCCGCTGTCCCCCTCTGACCCCCTCGGGGACCCCACCTCCTCTGAAGTCCGGCCCAACCCTGGGCGGAGGAGGGTCTCGCAGTGGCCCTGGGGTTTGGAGAGGTGGTTCCCGTTGGCTATTCCTTCCCACAGACACACCGTTAGGGTGCTGGGTGCTTCAATCTGTCACCTCCCATCTCACTTGGCACAAAGCCCCTCTCTGGTCAGGGCGTGACCCCCTGCCCAGCCTCAGCACTTCCTGAGCACCCCCAGCAAGGCCCAGCTTCACACAGAACCAACTCTGTTCCCAGCACGGGTCCCATAGCTGGAACCCTCCTTCCTGAGCAGATTTGAAGAAACCTGCGAAAAGTACGGACTTGGCTCACAAAATATCATCGACTTGACCAACAAAGGTCAGCCCCACTGCTCCCGGACCAAGCGGGAGCCGGGACAGGGTGGGGATGGGAGGTGTGCCTGCGGGGTCCCTGTCCCTGCGCTGAGAGCCCCCTCTGTCCTTCCAGATCCCTGCTACTCCAAGCATTACAGGAGCCCGCCCAGGCCTCCCATGCGTGAGCTGCGACTCGGGACGGGCAGGGGGCTGGATGGGGAGAGCTTGGGGCCAACGTCAGAGGCTGCGGGGTCCCACCCCAGGAGGTGCCCATCCCTCCCCCTGGTCTGGGAACCGAACACAAGGTGCTTTGGTGAAAGATGCTGTGAAAAGCATCCTGGAGTCGGGGCAGTGATGGGGCCTTCCAGGGTGGTAAGGTCTGAGCAGGAAGTGAGATGGGGCCCTGTGTGAGTCTCCAGGGGCTGATGTCACCATATGCGGGTGACTAGGACAACCAGGATTTACTTTCTCACAGCCTGGAGCCCGAGGTCTGAAACCCGAGGTCCGCAGGGCTGTGCTCCCTCCACCAGCTCCCGGGAAGGGTCCTTCCTGCCTCTTCCGGCTGCTGGGGGCTCCAGGCATCCCTGGCTTGTGGCTGTCACTCCAGCCTCTGCCTCTGTCTGTGTCTCCTCTTCTGTCTCTTCTAAGGACACTTGTCATTGGATTTCGGGCCCATCTTCATGCAGAATGATCTCCCGTCAAGACCTCAACTTCACACCTGCAAAGACCCTTTCCCATCAGATGCCCTTCACAGGCTCCAGGCACTAGGAAAGGAGCATGTCCTTTGAGGGACACCACTCAGGTCACCACAGGCTCCTTCTCCGAGCTGCCCCTCCCTTCTCAGACATGGTCCCAGCCCAGTAAAAACCCCCAGGGCCCCCTTCCCTTCCCAGAGCCTGAGCCTCCCAGAGATACGCCTCTGAAGGCACCTCTGCATTTCTGCACGAGGGTTCCTGAGGGTAAAGGAGTGGATGTACCTGTGGTGCGTGGTGGCCCCAAGATGCGGGTGAGATGAGATGGCAACCGGCAACCAAGGCCCTACCCCTCCCCTCTCCGCCCCTCCCCTCGCTGACCTTCCCCTCCCTGTCCCTCCCCTCTCTGCCCCTCCCCTCCTGTCCCCTCCCTGGGCTCAGCCACTGCCTTTGGGGGAAGATGATCAACAATGTCACAGCTGAGGCAGGTGCCTGCGCCCCCGCCTCCATGTTTTGGTGAATAAAAGGGAGGTACCAGCCAATCTGCGGTGACTTTGTGGGTTAAAAGTGATTGTTGGTTGGGCCTCTGTCAGAGATGTGAAAACGACTGCATTTGTATGATGCTCTCGAAATCACAAAACCGCAGAGGGGGACATGAGTCGGTGATTTCCAGAGGTTACAAATGGAAGGTAGGAAGTCAGCCAGAAAGGGGCACCAGGAGGGGCCCTGGTGACGATGGAACGTCCTGCACTGTGACCCTGGCGGTGGACATGACCCTGCACGTGCAGCAAAAATGCGGCTCTGTCTGAGGAGCCGCTGGCCCTGCCCCCTGCCCGGGGGAGAACATTTTGCAGCCCGAGACCCAGAAGCGTCTGTGCTGGGGGTGTGCGCTGGGCGGCCCCAACTCTGGCGTCTGCGTGAGCTCTCCAAGGGGTCATCCTGTGGGTCACAGTCCCGGGTGCTCAGGAAGAACCTGTCCCCAGAGCCAGTGCCTGCTTGTAAAGGAGCTAAGTGGAGCTGTCTTAGGATGAGGGTCTGGATGCCACCCCCCACCCCACCTCCATTGGGAGCTCCAGGCTATAGGGTGAGGCTGGGTAGAGTTTTAGTGCCCGCTGTATGGGTGCCAGGCTTGGGGAAGGAGCAGCTCCATTGGGATGGGAGGGAGTGGGAGGCACCTGGCATTCCCATGGCTGCCCAGCTTCCGGCCCCTTGTTTGGATCTGGGCCCAGCCTACTGAGCTGCAGCGGGAACGCGAGAAGCTGCCCACTCGGCGGGGCCCGTTGGTGCACAAAGCTGGCCTCGGAGGAGCAGAGCCAAGGCTGCCAGAAAGGGGTGCTGGGAGGCCACTGCCCATTGGTGCAGGGGGAGCCTCTGGGCCCCAGAGGAGGCCTGGGCATGGGGGTAGATGTGGACATAGGCAGAAGCCTTTAGCCCCACCCCAGAAGACAGCACAAAGGGGAGCTGAACCAGAGCTGAGTGTCCCCAGCACCCACCCCACCATCAGCTGCTCAGCACCAGGCTGGCCCTGGCCTCAGACTCCTGCAGCCTCAACACCAGGGGCCTCAGGTGGACAAAGGAACAGGGCAGTGGGCAGGGCATGAAAGAACAACCAAGAGACCACCCTCGTTGTTTCCATTTGGGGTGGCACTCAGTCAAATAAAAATCTAGTGAGGCCGGGTGCAGTGGCTCATGCCTGTAATCCCAGCACTTTGGGAGGCCGAGGCAGGTGGATCACCTGAGGCCAGGAGTTGGAGACCAGCCCGGCCAACATGGTGAAACCCCACCTATACAAAAAATACAAAAATTAGCCAGGTGTGGTGGCGGGCACCTGTAATCCCAGCTACTTAGGGGGCTGAGGCAGGAGAATCGCTTGAACGTGGGAGATGGAAGTTGCAGTGACCCAAAATCATGCCATCGCACTCCAGCCTGGGCAACAAGAGTGAAACTCCATCTCAAATTAATTAATTAATTAATTAATTTAATTAAATGTATTCAGACCCCGACTCCTCATCCTCCACTGCTCCCTCCTGGTCCAAGCACGCCCTCCTTTCCCTGATGATGAAGAAGCACCCCAAGGTGGTCTTGCACTTCCGTGCTGCACCCCAGGTTATTCTCTCCCAGCAGCCAGACCATCCCTGTTGAAACAGAAGTCAATGTTCTGCTTCCTGTGATGCAGAGAAGCTCCGAGCAGGCCCTCTCCCACTACACACACAGGTAACAGCTAGGAAGTTTGAATCAAATATAAACAACTTTCTAAAGGTACTCGAGTGTGGAGGAAGGTTGACTCCCATGACATCTACCATGACCCTATTTTCAAATATGGTCCCATTCTGAGGTGCATCAACAAGCATTTTGGGTGCTTGGGGAGCACAATTCCGTCACAACACCCTCCAATCACCATCTCTGCTCTGACAACCCATGGGACTCATCATATGGGTGGGGACACCTTTGGCACAATTTGGCATCATCTTCTGGAGCCCAGAACCCCCTACCCTCCACCCCCCAACCCCAGTGCTCAATCCCAGGCTCTCTCTGTTTAGGGCCTGTGTCCCCCTAGCTGTGTTCCAGGAGGGTTCCCCAAAGTGACTGATATGGTTTGGCTGTGTACCCACCCAAATCTCATCTTGAATTCCCACATGTTGTGGGAGGGACCTGGCGGGAGGTAACTGAATCATGGGGGCAGGTCTTTCCCATGCTGCTCTTGTGATAGTGAATAAGTCTCACGATATCTGATGGTTTTAAAAAGAGGAGTTTCCCTGCACAGGCTCTCTCTCTCTTTGCCTGCTGCCATCCCTGTAAGACCTGACTTGCTCCTCCTTGCTTCCCACCATGATTGTGAGGCTTCCCCAGCCACGCGGAACTGTAAGTCCAATTAAACCTCTTTGTTGTGTAAATTGCTCAGTCTCAGGTATGTCTTTATCAGCAGCGTGAAAATGGACTAATACAGTAACCAACACACAGGCCCAGAAAGTTGGCCCAGCCCAAGATTGGCTATTGATTTTGGAAACTGGCTTTGTGGGAGCATAACATTTTGGTGTCTAAAGCCACAGAGAAAGAACAGACTGGCTCACATTTCCCAAGATTAAGCCCCCTCTCCAAGTCAGGGACACCCAGGGACACCTCACCAGGCACCCTGACCACACAGCTATATAGACAGGCCAGGGCCCAGAATCCCTGCAGCCAGAGAGTCCCCATTTGTCCCTCTGCCCCAACTGCCCATGCCTGGGGATGCAGCTGATTGTGGACCTGGCACTGGCTGGTGGCCTCTGAGCTCATGGGGTGCACTCCCAAGAGCAGGCGTCGGACCTGTCGCAGGTGAGACAGTACCTCCCAAGGGGCTCCTGGGGGCTCCCAGAAGGCAGGGCCAGGGACAGGGCTGGGAGGACAGTCCTGACATCCAGTCAGCATCATGGCGGTCAAACCCTGAGTGAGCCTTCTGGACAGTGGGCCCACCTGGCTCCTGGCTGGAGTAGAAGTGTCTCCCATCTCCCACACCTGCCTGGAGATCTTTCCGGAGAGCAGGACTCTGAGAGTCCCTGCCTCAGGCAGCCATGCCACCCCATCTGAGTCGGCGCCCAGGAAGCAGGCCTGAGAGGCCCCCTAGTACCACACTCCCTGGTCAGTGTAGCCAGATGCCCACGGGCACCGCTGCCCACAGCAGAGCATGGACACCATGGGCACCCCCAGACCAGGATGTGGGGCTCAATCCCAGGGTTGCCCTTTGCACAGCTTGTAAATGGCTGAGGGGGATTCCAAGGGTAGCTGTGGGGTTGGAGCCTCTGCTGTGGTCCTGGAAGAAGCTCTGAGCTCAGTCCAGCAGGGCTCCAGGGACCCCAGCAGTGGGGCAACACCAGGCACTGGAGATGAACAAGGCTGACCATCCTCCCCACTTGCTGTTCATGAGCCACCATCCACAGGAGGTGCTAGGGAGGCCGGCGATCCCTTGGCCAGGGCATAGGGTCAGCCTGAAGGCCTGGAACCCACCAGCTTGGCCAGCACCTCAATGCGTTCCTGGGCACAATCTCAGCAGGACACCAGGCGCTGACTGCTGGTGTGGACGGAGCTGGACGGGGGAGGAGAGAGTTCTGGCCCCCCCATCAGCCTCTCTCGCTTCTGCAGCTCTCCGGGGGAGGAGGGGGTTCTGGCCCCCCATCAGCCTCTCTCGTGCCCGCAGCTCTCTGGGAGCTGGCACACCTCAGCATTGGCCTCCAACGACTCTGCCCAGATCAAACCTGGTGGGCGCTTCAGGTTCTTCATCAACACCTTGGACCCGAAGGACGGGAACCTGCATGGGGAAATCCTTGTGCCATGAGTCCAGAGTGCAAGGCGGGCTCAGGATGGGTGGGGTGCTGGGTGGGCTTGGTCAGCCCTTGGTGGAGGGATGCTGCTTGACCACCAGCTGGTCTGACTCCCGCCTCCAGCCCTCTCGCCTGCAGTGTGGACTCGGCCACCCACCTGCCTCTGCCAGCCATGCCCGGCTTGTGTGGCCCCTCACCATAGCCCGCCCAGGGTCTCTCGGGCATCGAAAGGACAAGCTTAAGGGTCGTGCAAATGCACCGCGTGTACAGGACGGCTGTGTGCACACGTGCACCGGGGCGAGGGGCTGTCGATGCCACTTCCCTTCGCAGTGTTCTCTTAGTTACCGACAGCGTGGCAGCCTGCAGTTACCAGGGAAGCCGGAGCTAGGAGCAGAGGCAGGCGAAGCCCCAGGAGGGGAGGCATGTCCACTCCCCACAGCCCCTCCCATACCAGAGGCCCTTGACAATGCGCCTGCAGGTCAGGCGACCAGCTAGGTGTGGGGTGAGCCCCCGCCTCTGTTTCCCCAAATGACTGGTATGTTCCTGGGCACACATCCGATGGCTGCCAGCCTGCACGTCACGCCCAGCTGCCGGAGCTACTGCGGGATTCCAGAACAAGGAACGTGACATGCTCGGCCTGGAGCGGAACAAGGCACCTGGCTCCCGCACCCTCGACGGGGCCCTGCCCAGTGGACACGACCACGTGGAAGCCTCTTCCTCCTGGCACTGCAGAGCGGATGGCGGATGCAGATCCCACTTTGGGGATGGCGGGCACTGCTGGTAAATTCTAGGCACAGGAGCACCCTCTGGACAGGGCTTCCTAACCTGGGGCCTCTTGGCATGGGGCACCCACAGCGCAGTGCCAGGGCCAGGAACCGCTCACTCAGCAAGAGCAGCAACTTCCCACCGAGTGCTTTTCAGGCAAGGAAGCCACTGGATTTCTCCATGTGCTCTAGGGCTCCGTGACCCAGGAGAGAGAGATTTCTCCCGGGAATGGGGTGTGTGCCGCTGAGCGCCGGCTGCAGACGCCCAGGGACCGGACCAGGCCCAGGCAAGCTGGGGGTTTGGGGTGGGACGGGACCATGAGGAGAGGAGGGGATGGGGACCCAGTGCCTCAAGGGGGCGGCAGCGGGCATGGGACGGCTGAGCAGATGTTCCCACCGCTGGCTGGAGGACTCTAGGAGGCGGGGCCATCTGAGCCTTCACGGGAGTCTGAAGGAGGCTGGTGACCCCTGGCCTCTCTGACAAGGAGCGGCTCTGCCCAGCACAAATGGGTCCCTCAAAGCTCTGGTGTCACCATCTGAGATCAGTCTGGCCAGGCTGAAATGGAGCTGTTGGCAGGGCCATGCCCCCTCTCGAGGCTCTCGGGGAGACCCTGCTTCCTCCCCTTTCCCAGCTCCAGCGCCACTTCCTGCCTCCTGGCCCCTTCCCCCTTCAGAGCCAGCAGCGTGAAGTAGCAGCTTCACCTCTCCCTCTGCGTCTTCCCTCTTCTTGCCTCTCTCTTATGAGGACACTCGTGACTGCATTTGGAGCCCACCAGGCAATCCAGGGTCATGCCCTCACCCCGAGATCCTGAACTTCGCCACAACTACAGAGCCCCCTTTGCCATATGAGGTGACATTCACAGGTTCCAGGGTTTAGGATGCGGACGTCATTATTCAGCCAATCACAATGTATATCTCAAAAACACAAAGAATAAGCAAGCTGGAGTGGCTACATTTATATAAGGAAGGGGACCATTCCCAGGGATCAAGACAGACATTTTGGATGGGATCTCAGCAGTTTGGGAGGCCAAGGCAGGAGGATCACTTGAGCCTAGAAGTTCGAGACCAGCCTGGGTAACATAGCAAGACAACATCTCTACAAAAATAAAAATTAGGCGTGGTGGCTCACACCTATAATCCTAGCACTTTGGAAGGCTGAGGCAGGCGGATTGCCTGAGCTCAGGAGTTCAAGACCAGCCTGGGCAACATGGCAAAACCCCATCTCTACTGAAAATACAAAAAAATTAGCTGGGCGTGGTGGTACACACCTGTAATCCCAGCTACTCGGGAGGCTGAGGCACAAGAATCGCTTGAACCCAGGAGGTGGAGTTTGCAGTGAGCTGAGATCGTGCCACTGCACTCCAGCTTGAGCAACAGAGCGAGACTCTGTCTCAATAAATAAATAAATAAATAAATAAATAAAAATAAAAAATAAATAGCTGGGCATGGTAGCCTGCACCTATGGTCCTAGCTACTCGGGAGGCTGAGGCAGGAGGATCACTTGAGCCCAGGAGGCGGAGGCTGCAGTGAGCCAAGATTTTGCCACTGCACTCCAGCCTGGGCAACAGAACAAGACCCTGTCTCAAAAAAAAAAAAAAAAAAAAGCAAAAGCAAAAATATATATATATCATAACCATAAAAGGGTAAACTCGTTAAAAAGACAGAACAATTGTAGATGGCTGTGCACTCAATAAATGCGAGTCAAATACAGGAGCAAACAGCTAAAGATCACAAGCGAGAGACAGACAGATGAATGAGTCAAGGATGTTTAACTCTTCTCTCCCAACTTCTATTAGTTCCTGGAGCTGCTGTAACCAAGGACCCCAAAGTAGGGGGCTCAAAACAACAGAAGTTTATTCTTGCACAGTCCTGGAAGGCAGCACTCCAGGATCAGTGTCACCAGGCTGAAATCCAGATGTCGGCAGGGCTGTGCCTCCTCCGAGGTGGGAAGGGAGGATCCTTGCTGCCTCCCCAGCTTCTGGTGACTCCAGGCTTCCCTCGGCTTGTGGTTGCATCACTGGGATCTTCCAGGCTAGCATCTCAAATCTCTCTCTGCTCCATCTCCACATCCCTTGGTCCCCTGCGTGTGTCAAGTCTCTCCCCGCCCCCAGCTACAGAGGCAGTAAGAATGTCAGGGGACTGCCAGGAATTAGGGAGAGGGAGGGATGAAGAGGTGGAGTACAGGGGTACTCAAGAGGCTGAGGTGGGAGGATCAATTGAGCCCAGGAGGCAGAGGCTGCGGCGAGCCAAGATCGCACCACTGCACTCCAGCCTGGGTGACAGAGCAAGACCCTGTCTCAAAAAAAAAAAAAAAAAAAAGATGTTCCTAATCATGGGTCATAGAATAAGCCTCAATATAATTTAAATAATGTAAAGGGGATTTAAATAATATAAGGAGAATTCATTTACTTCATCACTAAATTTTCCCACTGAATATCCCCCAATCAAAGAACAAATATTCAAATTACACACACATGACAAAGAGCTCCTTGCAGAATATTTGAAGAATTCCTACAAATCAATAGCAAAAAAAAAAAAAAAAATCCCAACTTAAAAATGGAAACCCACAGGAACAGACACTTCACAAAAGAGGACACGATAGCAGCCCGCAGGCACAGGAAAGGTGCTCACCGTCGTCAGAGAGATGCAAATCCAAGCCTCAGGGCCAAGCCGATCCACACCCACCCTGTCGCTGCTGGCAAGGATGTGGGCGGCTGGTAGGAATGCAAAGTGGTACACCCGCTTTGAGAAAAAGTAAAAGCACATCTACTTATGACCCAGAATTCCACTCCTAAATATTTAACTTAAAAATGGAATTATAAGTCACCAAAAGACTTGGATAGTTAACAGCCCAAAACCAGAAGGAACCCAAATGTCCATCGAACAGCAGAACGGATGAATCAATTGTAGGATGGTCACATAAGGGAAGACTCCGCAGCAATGGAAGTGAACCAACAGCAATGAAACGGAACGGACATATTTAATAACGGGCATCCAAAGGGGAAAGGAAGAAGTAAAGTGATAGTTCTTTGCAGATGATATGATCTTCCATATAGAAACCCCTCGAGGGCCGGGCGTGGTGGCTCATGCCTGTCATCCCAGCACTTCGAGAAGCCAAGGCAGGCGGATCGCTTGAGCTCAGGAGTTCGAGACCAGCCTGGGCAACATGGTGAGACCTCGTCTCTACAAAAAATATACAAAAATACAAAAGTAAGCCGGGCATGGTGGCTCAAGCCTGTAGTCCCAGCTACTCAGGAGGCTGAGGTGACAGGATCTCTTGAACCCAGGAGGCAGAGGCTGCATAAGCCAAGACCGCACCGCACCACTGCCCCCGAGCCTGGCGACAGAGCCAGACCCTGCCTCAAAAAATAAAAATATAAAATCTTAAAGATTAAAACAAAAACTATTAGAACAAAGTCAGAAAAGTTGAGGCTATCATATCCACACTCAAAAAAAATCAGTTGTGTTTCTTTTTTCTAATTTCCAACTGAATGACCACAAAGGCTGAGGTCCTGGACTCTGTTTCCATTTGAAGACCATCTTAGGGGCCTACTGCCGCCAGGCTGGTGTCTTCAGGCCACCTCACTCCCGGGGCCCCGATTCCCCCTCCCCTTCGTGATGGCTACTCAGGGTCTCCGGGGCTGTGGCAGGGGTTGGAGTGCAGCTCCCCCTTCATCACTCTCCCCACCTGTGCAGGTCGGGTTCCTGCACACCTGTGGCTCCAGGAGTATGGATGGCTCATCACGGCTCACACTGGGCCTTCCCTGTCGGACTTCCCTTGTCGAAGGTGGAGATGTAAATGGTGCAGCCTCTGTGGAAACAGCCTGGCAGTTCCTCAAATAGTTAAACACAGAACCACCTGTGACCCAGCAACTCCACTCTTGGGCCCGATAAACGATGTGAGGGGCTCATAAACACCCGGGCGCACATTCCCAGCAGCAGCACTCAGGATAGCCGAAAGATGCAGCAGGCCCGCAAGCCCATCCACACAGGCACTGGGTAAACAAACAGACATGGATCAGCCAGGAAAGGAAGGAAACTCTGACCCACACGAGGACAGGGACGAACCGAGAAAGCATTCTGTTGAGTAAATGAAGCCAGACACAGGCCGGGCTTTGCGGTGGCTCAGCCTATAATCCCAGCACTTTGGGAGGCCGAGGCGGGCAGATCACCTGAGGTCAGGAGTTCGAGACCAGCCTGGCCAACATGGCAAAACCCATCTCTACTAAAAATACAAAAATTAGCCAGGCATGGTGGCAGGCGCCTGTAATCCCAGCTACTGGGGAGGCTAAAGCACGAGAATCACTTGAACCCGGGTGGTGGAGGTTGCAGTGAGCTGAGATCACGCCACTGCACTCCAGCCTGGGTGACAAAGCGAAGCTCTGTCTCAATAAAAATAATAATAATAATAGGCCGGGCACAGTGGCTCATGCCTGTAATCCCAGCACTTTGGGAGGCCAAGGCGGGTGGATCACCTAAGGTCAGGAGTTTGAGACCAGCCTGACCAACAAGGTGAAACCCCATCTCTACTAAAAATACAAAAATTAGCTGGGCATGGTGGCAGGCGCCTGTAGTCTCAGCCATTCAGGAGGCTGAGACAGGACAATTGCTTGAACCTGGGAGGCAGAGGTTGCAGTGAGCCAAGATTGCACCACTGTAACTCCAGCCTGGGCAACAGAGCAAGACTCCGTCTCAATAAATAAATAAATTAAAAAATTTAAAAAAACAGACAGGAAAGGCTGCATATTGTGTGAAATATCTGGAATAGGCAAACCCACAGAGACAGAGAACAGAATGGTGGTGATGCAGAGGGCTGGGGGGTGGGGGCAGTAAAGGCTCATGGCCAGAGTTTCATTTTTATTTTTATTTTGAGACAGGGTTTCACTCTGGAGTGCAGTGGTGTGATCTCTGCTCATCGCAGCCTCGACTTTCTGAGCTTAAGTGATTCTCCCACCTCAGCCTCCCAAGTAGCTGGGGCCACACACCCCCATGCCGGGCTTATTTTTTTATTTTCTATTTTGTAGAGACAAGGTCTTGCTATATCACCCAGGCTGTATCACTCCTGAGCTCAAGCGATTCTCCCACCGCAGCCTCCTGAATAGCTGGGACTACAGGCTCACCACCACACCCAGCTATTTATTTTTCGTAGAGGTGGGGTCTCGCCATGTTGTCCAGGCCAACCTCAAACTCCTGGGCTCCTGATCCTCCTGCCTCTGCCTCTCAAAGTGCTGGAATTACAGGCGTGAACCATATGCCCAGTCCCATGAGGCAGAGTTTCTGTTTGGAGAGATGAAAGTTTTTCCGGGTAGATGGTGGTCAGCGTTGCACAGCTTTGTACACGTAGCTAACGCTACTGAACTGTTCAGCAAAAATGGTTAAAATGGCACATTTTATGTGACACATATTGTACCACGATACATTTTTTTAAATTCTTTGCTGGAATTCCTGTGTGGTTTCCTCCTGGCCCTGCCCTGACACAGAAATGGGGTCCGGTCCGTGGGGCTCCCACTGTCATCTCGTCCCTGTGATGAGGAGAAGACAGCCTGGGAGGCCGACGGCTGGTGTGGCCATGAGGCTTCTAACCCGACAGCCCCATCTCCCTCGTTCGGGCTGACGGCAACTGAGCTGGAGGAGTCTGTGGCCCAGGACCCAGGAGCTGGCATGGGCTGGCATGGGCTACAGGACAGGGCTTTCGTGGGGCAGAGCCCGCAGGTGTCCAGCTCCCGCCCAGGGACACAGCTGCATGTCTGGGATCAGCCTGGGTTCTTGTTCCTCAGCACACACCCACCTGACAGGTAGGAGTAAGCTGATTTAGACAAACAAATCCATACAGCAAATAACAAAAAGATCAGCCTCTTAGATACAGCAACATTGGGAAGATGATATGAAAGGAAAGTTCAGAGGTGCTGAGCTAGGGCAGCCTGGGCACCCAACAAGGCGTTCCTCTATTTCCCAGTGAGGATAGAAGGAAAATGCAGGGGGCCAATTTGAATTTAAAAATACCCAACCCAGAGTAAAATCTCAGCTGCCTTCCTACAAGCAACGCACTGACGGTGATCCCCACACATCGGCATCACCATGGACAAGGTCCTCTCCACGTGGAAATCCGCGCTTTCCTGCTCGCAGCTTCATGAACATTTTCTTGGCTCCTGTGTGCGCCGTGGTCTTTGTGCACCATGGCCTGTGTACACCATGGTCTGTGTGTGTCGTGGTCTGTGTGCACCGTGGCCTGTGTACACCGTGGTCTGTGTGCGCCATGGCCGTCTGCCTGTCTTCGGCACTGGAGCCTCCCTTTGGCTAACGGAGCACCTGGGCGCCTGCCTTCTGCTTGTCAGAGAATCAGCACTTTGTGATCCATGGATGATGCTGACCTGAAATGCCCACGAGCCCAGGTGCCTGTGCTGACGGCAGCGGGCAGGTGGCGGCGCCTCCATGCTGTGGACAGAATGCATGGCCTCTACTGCACGCGCTCTGCAAGGTGACCTTGGAAACGCTCTTGCAATGGTGACGTCACAGTCCCAGGAAAAGCCAGTTCCAGTTTTCCTGCCCACTCCATCCGGCGGCCTCTCCCCATCCCAGCCTTGCACCAAGACGGGACCTGGGTCTCTTGAGGCTTTTGAGTCTTCCCCATCAGCATTTCTTTCATTCAAAATAAAGTTAAAAGAACCCCCCAGGACACGAGGGACTCCAGGCACCCCAAGCTCAGAGGCACAGTTTTGAGGGGAGCTCTCTCCTCACATGAAGTGTGGCCTTGAGGTGCCAGCAGCCCAGGGGGCTCAAGGCTGTGACAAAGCTTGCAGACTGGAATGTGCTGGGACTGGGGCTGGGGTTGGGGTTGGGACTGGGGCTGGGGCTGGGGCAGTGACGGGGGCTGTGGCTGTGGCCGTGGTAGTGACCATGCCTGGAGGCTGTGGTCACAGCCATGGCTGTGGTTGCAGTGACCGTGGCTGTGGCCGTGGCTGTGGCCATGTCAGTGGTGGTGGCTGTGGCTGTGGCTGGGGGGTGGGTGGCCATGGCTGCGGCCGTGGCTGTAGTTGTGTCTACGGCTGGGGTTGTGGCTGAGGTATGACCGTGGCTGGGGCTGTGAAATGTTAAATCCAGCTACCTGCCCCCTGCTTTCTTCCACCCTGGCAGGCCACCCATCACCCATGCCAACATCAGACTTCGACGGCGAGAGAGCATTGACCTCCTTTCAGCAAATGTCGATGCCAGGTACACACAAGCACAAATCCACTTGGCCGGTCCCAAGGTGCCACGCACAGCCACTGTCACCCCCTTCTCCCCCGCAGAGCCCCTCACTCCCCAGCTCCTGGTGGGCCACCCTGCCCCCATCCCTCCAGGCCTTTGCCTGAGCTCCTGGCAGCTTCCCAGGCCCTCTGCCCGCCCAGCCTTCCCTGAGGCTGTGTCTCCCGCAGTCAGGCCAGGCCCAGGCCTTCTCTCCCCTCCCTCACCTGCAGCCCCCATATCCCCAGGCCCAGTGAGGCCAACCCAGCCTCTGCTTCCGCGCAGAAAAAGTGCTCTGCAAATTCAACCGCTGCTGCTGCTCAAATCTCCTATGAAGCTGAGAATTAGAGGAAGCTTCCAGAACCTGGCAGCCCCAGCAGCGTTCCCAATGGCAGAGCCCAAGCCCTCGGCTCTCCTGCTCTTCCTCACCTTGCACAAGATCTGCTCTCCAGATGGGTCATGAAAAGGCATTGGGGACAAAAGAGAAAACCACTAGGGAAAGAGGGGAGCATCCACAAACCCCCTTCTGTTCCTGAGGCGCCGAGTGGCTGAGTGGTGGCCGAGCAAACCCACCCAGTGGGGCTGCGGGCACCTGGCCTCAGGGCCCACTGAAACCACTTCTGGGCTGGCCTCCCTTGCTTCACCCAGCCCCATGCCACCCTTCCCCGTGCAAACACTGCACCCCCAAAGCTCTGCCCACACTCAGGCCCAAATCAACCTCTTACCAGCGCTGGGGCCTCCTGTCTACTTATTTTTGGCAGCATGTAACACACAAAAACATCAATGCACAACTCACTGAATTCTCACAAGGCATACACGTGTGCAATGGCCACCCAGCAGTCCTTCTGCACCCCCAAACCTATCCCCACCCCTCCCTAGAGGTGAGCACTATTCCCTCCCCCTCCCCACAGGTCAGCACTATCCCCTCCCCTCCCCACAGGTGAGCAGTATCCCCTCCCCTCCCCACAGGTGAGCAGTATCCCCTCCCCTCCCCTCCCCCTCCCCACAGGTGAGCACTATCCCCTCCCCTCCCCACAGGTCAGCACTATCCCCTCCCCCTCCCCACAGATGAGCACTATCCCCTCCCCTCCCCACAGGTCAGCACTATCCCCTCCCCTCCCCCTCCCCACAGGTGAGCACTATCCCCTCCCCTCCCCCTCCCCACAGGTCAGCACTATCCCCTCCCCTCCCCACAGGTGAGCACTATCCCCTCCCCCTCCCCACAGGTCAGCACTATCCCCTCCCCTCCCCACAGGTGAGCACTATCCCCTCCCCCTCCCCACAGGTCAGCACTATCCCCTCCCCCTACCCCCAGGTCAGCACTATCCCCTCCCCTCCTCACAGGTGAGCACTATTCTGCTGTTTCAGGTTGTTAGGTATATTTTTAAAATCCTCATCTCTGAGAATCACCCAGTTGTTGGTCTCAGCTGTGATTTGTCATCTCCATGGCTCTACCACTGCTGTACAGAACGTCCCTATGCTTCCTCTGTCTACTCTTCCAAGGATGGACACTGAGTCATCCCGTTTGGGTCGCTGGAGCCACGTGTGCACTGTTGGGGTGGGGCTGGCAGGCGGTCTCTCCGGTGGCCGGGGCTGCCCAGGGGCTCGTCCCAGGTGATGCTGTAGCAGGAGGAGCTGCAGACAAAACTCTTCAGACACCGGATTAAAGAAGGAAGAGGTTTTTATTCAGCCGGGAGCGTCGGTAGACGCACGTCTTAAGAGCCGAGGTCCCCGAAAAAGAAATTCTTGGCCTTTTTAAAGGCTTACAACTTTAAGGGGTCCACGTGAAAAGGTCGTGATACATCAAGCAAGCGTGGGAAACGTGACCGGGGGCTACACGCATCCGCTAACAGAACAAAAAGTTTCACAACGCTTTTTTCATACAGCGTCTGGAATTTACCGATAACACAAGTAGTTTAGGTCAGGGGTTGATGTTATTATTATTACTTTTTTTAACTCCTAGGGCTGGGTAGTGGTGACAAGGTTGTCTGGCTGTTTATCTTACTTTTGTTTTTTTCCACTTTTCACTTTTTCTCTCCTGTCTTGTGAACTAGGCAAGGTTGGGGGAGGAGGGCAGCAAGAGCAGTAGTGGTCTCCTTCCTTAATGCCACACAGCTTCCCGACACACAGGGCTCCAGCAGATTGACCCAGTGCCCCTGCCTTTTGACGGCCATGCTTTAGCCACTATGGTGAGGGAGATTGTGGGGGGCCCCCAATCATGTCAACTAAAGAATGACAAGGCTCATACATTTGGAAAGGAGAGCTTTATTGCTCATAAACGGTTGCAGCCTGCAGGATGGCCCTTCTGACTGGCTGGGAAGTGCAGCCTCAGGCCAGAAGCCAGAAACAGACACTTTCACATGGAAGAGAAGGGAAGAAGAATTTACACTGCATGGGGAGCAGCCCCTCCCTCCCTACCTGGAGACCTTTCCTGTGTATCCAACAAACGATTGAGCCAGGACCAGTGTGCTCTGTGGGCAGGGGGCTTCTCCCCAAATCCCAGGGCACCAGGTGCTGGCCACCAACCAGTGCTGCACCCAAGCTACCACCCACCCCTGGTGACCAGCAGGTTCCACACCAAGGGTCAGCTGCTCCGCAGGAAGGCACAGGGGCCCTGAGAGCTGGTGGAGGGACCCCCAGGCCGAGTGTCCGATGGGGCTTCCCAGAGGGGACACCTCACCAGGACGGGGCAGGAGGCAGGGTGTGGGGCCGCACAGGGCCTCAGCACAGACACAGGGTAGTGAGGGCACTGAAGGGGCTGTCACTGTATCCCAAGGGCTTGGGGAAAGTGGCACATTTTTTAAATGAAAAAAATATATGTTTTTAAAGAGGCAAAGATAGTCACCTTTTTAAGTTGGATTTGACTCAGCAGAGACCCGTGAAGCCTTCTCCAATCCCCGAGCCGGGCATCCGTGGTTCAGTCGGGGAAGCCCCTGCTGCTGGGGACTGGGGTTGGGGGGGGGGTCACAGTCAAGTGTGAGACCCAGGGTCCAGCAGTGACCTGGGACCTAAAGTAAAACAGATACAGTGCTGGGCTGGGCTGGGGAGTGTGACCCTCCAGGGGAGGCAGGGACCCCAAGCCAGCATCTGCCCTCAGAGGCTGCCAGGGAAGAGCAGGTACCCTTGGGAACCGGCGCCAGGGGCAGGCCCATCCCCATACACCCTCCCTGGCATCCGGCACTTCCTCTCTCCACCCAGGACCCCAGCTCTGCAGACTAGATCCAGGACCCCAGGATGCCACCCTGTCTCTGCTGCAGCCTGCATGGGGGACCCCAGAAAACCACCCCCATCTCAATGCCTCCCCGTGGAGGCCAGCGGGACTCCATGACAGGACTCCAACGAGGACGTCAGAGCAGGCAGTCACGTCTCCGGACCCTCCCTCCAGCCCCAACTGGCCTTACAGTCCCTCCGCTCAGGCCCCTCTCCCCCAGTGGCTGCCACCCTGCCTCCAACCTGAGACCAGCCCCAGCGGGTTGTACTTTTTTGGATATTTATTATGTTTATTCGTAATTTGATTGCTTGTTTTTCCAGTGCTTAGTGGACAGCACATCTCAGGGAGCCTCAGCCCAGCCCTCCCTCTGCCACCGGGGGAGCCTCCTCATTCACATAACACCCTCCAGGGGCACACCTTGCCCTGCAGGATGAACTCTAAACACGTGCTGGTGTCCAAGGCCCTGCCTCTCCCGTAGCCCAGCCTGGCTGTCCCTGTCTGCAGCCCCCAGTCCCCTGAGGGGCAGAGCTTGTCCTCAGTCCCAGGCCTCTACATGTGCTCAGCCACCACGTCCCATCCTCTGTCCTTCACGGGTGATTTTGTTGTTGTTGTTGAGACAGAGTTTAGCTCTTTTTGCCCAGGCTGGAGTACAATGGCACAATCTCAGCTCACTGCAACCTCTGCCTCCTGGGTTCAAGCGATTCTCCTGCCTCCGCCTCCCAAGTAACTGGGATTACAGGCACCTGCCACCATGCCCGGCTAATTTTTTTTTTTCTATTTTTAGTAGAGACGGGGTTTCACCATGTTGGCCAGGATGGTCTCGATCTCTTGACCTCGTGATCCGCCCGCCTCGGCCTCCCAAAGTGCTGGGATTACAGGTGTGAGCCACTCCACCCGGCCCTTCATGGGTGACTCTTACACAGCCTCAGCTGCACTTCCCCTTCCAGGTAGCCTTTCCTGAGCCCCGAGTCTGACAAGGAGCCCCTGCCCAGGCGTCCACAGCCCCCAGTGTCGTCCTCATCATTGGCCCAGCCCTGAACCCCCTCTGTGCATTTCTGGGAGGCTGGAGCCCCAAGTAAATCAATGAATGAATGAAGAATGAGTGAGTGAACACCTTCCCTGTCTGGGAGGCCTGAGGCAGGGGCGGGAAATGGGGAGGCCTGGGCAGCCTCCTACTGCCGCATCCTCTGCACCTGTCCCCGCCGGCCAGCCCACACCTGGGCACACCCGACCCAGAAAAGTGAGGGGGAGGAGAATGACGAGGAGAGCAAACGCACCTCTGAGCCCAGGCCTTCTGCGAGGAAGAAGATGCTGGAGAAGCGGCCAATCTAGGAAGAGGCCGGGTGGCCCCCATCTCCCCAGCCTCACACCTAGCCCTGAGTGGGGGCCACCCTTGGATCTGACCCGGGAAAATGACACAATTCTGGGCAGGGCCAGCCAGGAGCTGGGAGTCCTGGGTGCAGCCAGTCCCTGCCCTCTCTGTGCCTCAGTTTCCCTCCCGTAGGACCAGATGTTTGCTGGGGTCCCCGCCAGCCTGACCCTTGGCTGGACCCACTCCTGGGACAGCAGGCCCCCTGCAGGGGAAGGAGCAACCCCAAAATGTGGAGGGCCTAGGGGGTGCCCCTCACACCTCCCCACTGGCCACTGCAGGGGAGCCGAGCAAGGGCCGAGGCTGGGCTCTCCGAGCAGGACCCAAGCCAGGCATCCACCAGGCCACTGCCCGGGGCCTCCCGCCCTCCCTTCCCGCCTGCCTCTCTCCTCTTCTGCTAGGGACCTGGCAGAGACGGGGCCTGCGCTTGGGATTTAAGAGAGTCACCGCTCCACACCTGCACTGTGCCCCTCCCACCCCAGGCCAGCCCTGAGGGGGAGCAGCTGTCACCCTGACATCCAACAGAGTCCCACTTCCGAGGCCAAGGTGAGCACAGCATGGGTTTGGGGGACTCCCAGGAGGGCTCATGTGGGGAAGCCAGGAGCATGAGTGAGTCATTAGCCCCATCACAGCCTTCTCGGGGAGAGAACACACAACTGGGGGTGCCTCCCCCTCCCCTCCTCTGCAATGACAGTTCTCTGTCCCTGTGCCTGACGGGTCCTCCTTGGCGACAGCCTCCTGCCCCACTACATGGACCTGCGCACCCTTCGAGTAACCTTGCAAGCCCCTTAAAGGGGCTGGCCCTTCTAGTTCCCTTCCTTCAGCTCCGCTCCTCTGCCCAGGGCTCTTACGTGGTTGGGGTCTGGCCCTGCTGGGGGATGGGCCCTTGGAGGAGAAGAGAAGAGACAGCCCAGCTTATGAACTTGGCAGTTCACCCAGGAAAAACGAGTCCCCTCCCTTGTCCTGGCACCAAAGTGGCCTCCCAGCACAGTTCCTGGGCTGAATCAACGTCCACTGACTGTAGAGCCCATTCCAGGTCCTGAAGCACGTTCTCTGAGCACATGCTGTGCCCAGAACCCTGGAGCTCCAAGGAACCCCCAGGGCTGGGCTGTGAATGCAACATGGAGAAGTCCAGGGCTGCTCCCAGCCACCTGAGGACATGGCTGCTTGCCCCATCCTGGCAGGGAAGAGCCATGGCGGGCAGTGCCCAGGCACAACACAGCCTCAGCAGCCGGACTGCCCATGGCTCCATTCCACCCCAATTCCACCCCAACACTCTCCAGGGAAGGGGGCCGCAGAATGAGGGGAAATGGACCCCATCTTACCATCAGAGAGCTAGACGCTGCTCCGTGGCCCTGCCGAAGGTGGTTTCAGAAATCCTGATTCCAGAGACAGCAGCACCTGGTGGGGAGGGTACTGGGATGCACTTCGGGGCAGCCTGGTCCCCTCTGGGGAGGAAATCGATCACAGAGCCCCCCGCCTGGAGGGCACAACGGATCCCCACTTTACAAGAGGCAGCCGACTGGGGCCTCTGCATCCCCCCACTCGCTCCTACCTTGGTTCACCCATGTTTATGGCCACGCGTCACAGGCGTGGGGGGCTGCCAGCTGAGCCCAACCAGGTCGGGGCGAGGCAGGTGCTGTTGGAAGGGGCATTATGACACCCCAGCACTGCACACACGCCTTCGGCATCTCCCGCTTGGACCCACGGGTGTCTGTGGCAGGGATCACAGCCCTATTTTGGGCATCAGACGCTCCCATAAAAGGACAGGGAGGCGATGGGGGTGGCTCTTTGGTGAGTGCTGGGCCCTGACACCACGGAGAGGAATCACCCCCTCCTGGGAAGACCCTCAGGGCTGTCCTTTAACCCTCCCTGAGCCCTCCCCTCCCCCCAAGGTCACAGCTCCCACTCCTCCCACTCGGGACCCCAAAACTGCACCAAAGACGTGATGGGGGTCAGTTTTTGCCCCTGACAACCCCACCCCATTTATAAGGCAGACGCCAGTAAAGTGACCAGTGGTTCACAGGAGGGAGACCCTCCCCCCCGCACTCCCACCCCAATCCCCGTCTTCCTCAAAAATGCCCCTGGAGGGTCAGACTCCAGCCTGTGGTGCCGGGGACACATCCCCCAGGAAACCTCTGGGCTGAGGCAACACCAAGTGCAGAATAGGGGTGACCTGTGTCTGCGGTGACCTGTGGCTGTGGTGACCAGGGATAGGGTGAGCCAGGGGTAGGGTGAGCCGGAGATGAGGTGAGCCTGGGGTGAGTTGAGCCAGGGATGCGATGAGCCGGGGGTGGGGTGACCGGGGGGTAGGATCACCGGGGGTAGGTTGAGCCAGGGATAGGGTGAGCCAGGGGTAGGGTGAGCCGGGGGTGGGGTGAGCCGGGGGTGGGGTGAGCCGGGGGTGGGGTGAGCCAGGGATAGGGTGAGCCTGGGGGACGGTGAGCCGGGGGTGGGGTGGCCTGGGGGTGGGGTGACCCGGGGTGGGCCAGCGTGGGGTGACACTCGGGGGAGAAGGTCAGCAGGGCGGTGAGGGGGTAGGAATCGGAGCTGCTCAGTGGGCCCAGCTACCAGGAGCCCCGGAGGGTCCTCGACGGATTTGTGCATGAGAAACCAGATCGCTTCTACCTGGGGTGGGCAGCTCTGCTCCCGGGTGGCCTTGGCGCTCCTTGGCTGGCTCCCTGGAACTGGAAAGGGCAGCCCTGGGGCTCCTGGTCACTGCAGGGGGAGTGCGTGGGCCCCTGCACAGCTCTGCTCTAGGAGGAGTGGGGTCAGAGGACCCTCGGCGGACGGGCCTCTCCCAGCCCCCTGCAGTGGCGCCAAGGCTCCAGGAGCCGAGGCCTCTTCCTGAGTGTGTGCTGTGCCACTCATGATCCTTTGAAGAGCCCCCTCCCCGGCCTCGCACCCAGCCAGGCCCACAGTGCACACAAGCAGAGGCCCCATTCATGTCTCTGTGAAGCTCGGGGCCTTGTGTCTTTGGGGGCAGCAGCCGCAGGATGTGCATCCATGGGAACACAGGGAGGGTGGCCCTGGAACAGCGGTGGCTGGGAAAGGTCTTGCCTGCACACAGCAGCCTGGCCTGGCTGTGTCTGACCTGGTGGAAGCCCCAGGCCCCTAGCCCAGCTCCTGCTCCTCAGAAAGGCACCTGGGGGCCAGACCTCGAGGTCCAAAGTTCATTGTCTTTGCCAAAAAGCATCTGCATCTTGGTGGCCACTGTGCTGTTATCGGGGCCTTGAGGTCCATCCAAACACAGACACAGGGCACTTTAGGAGCAGTGACTGGAACAGCCTAGAGGAGGCTAGGCAGCAACAAATCACTCAGAAAACCCAGCAAAGGAAAGCGCAGACCCCACGGCCTGTCCCCGGGGAAAGGCAGTTCGCACATAAAGGCTGCCCCTGGCTGGCCCAGCTCTGCCCCCATCTGCCCCAGGGGGTGGCCAGGTAGGGAGGAGCTGGCTCTGGCACAAACCCAACTCCACCTGTCTGTGGCCTGCCTTGGCCAACGTCTCTGCCTCTCAGGCTGGAGGGCTACAGGCAAGCAAGGAAGGTATAACTGACCCTCGTGCTCGCTAAGGAGGAAACCCCACCTCTCCAACGAGCGATTCCATGTGGCTTCAGCTGCCACCCCCCTTGAGGATAACACAGAGCATCTGTCCGTCCTGCTAACCCTTCTGGTCCAACCTGGAATCCCTTAAGTCAGCAGAGGAATGAGGAAACTCACATTGATCCAGAACGTCTCTCTCATCACCCCCAAGAAGCCGAGACCCTGCTACTCCAGGAGGTTCTGGGAGGACCCAGAACCCATGTTCCTTAGAGCTGGCACCATTGAGTACATCCACTGTGGGCAGGGGGGGTCCTCGCCCTGGATAAAAACCAGGCGGCCACCTCAGTCCTTGAGGACACGCCCCTCCCTTGGTGCCAGGCCCCTTTGACAGCCAGGGGGGGCTTCCATGGGTGAGTGCAGCACCCTCCTCCCCGCCTCACAAGTGGCTTTGCCCAGACCCCCACACCCTCCCAGTGGAAGGTGCCCCCGGCCAGCGCTGTGACCAGCATGTGATGGGTCATGGCCTGCTGACTGCGAGCGGACTCGGCCTCTCGCGGGTGGGCCCACCAGCCGTGCAGTGTGGAAAGGTAGGCACGTCCATCCTAACTGCCGTGGGGGCAAGGTGGGCAGGTGAGGCCAGGGCGGGATGGCGTGGGGAAGCAGGAAGGAGCACCGAGATTTCTGGCTGTTGGGGCTGGGCCCAGGGGGACACCCCTGGGCAGACAAGGGCTGAGGTGGTGGGTCCCCTGGGGGTGCCAGGACCACGTGGTGGGAGTGGACCAGGGAGACAGGGAGCCCAAAAGGAGGTGTCACCCCTTCCAGGGTCAACACATGGGCCTGCCCTAGTTCACTGCTTTGGGGACCAACCTCAGCATCTTGTCCCAGAGCCAGTGGCGGGTGGGGCCTTCCCTGCCCTCAGGGCCAGGCTGTGCTTCAGAACAGCAGAGGCTGACACCCTAGGCTCCAGGGAGGCCTGGGCCTCAGAGGCCGGTGGGCTCACCTGGGGTCCAGCTGATCCCTCCAAGCTCTGTTTCCCAAGAGGTACCCCAGGGAGCCCCACATCTGCTTCTCTTTCATGTAACCTGGGGACACAGCAGTGCCCACCTCCCAGGCTGACCAGGGTGGTGATGTCTGACCGACCACACTCCTGCCAGCCCCACCAGCCGTACTTCCTGCCTTCCCGCCGCTCCTGGCCAAACAGGCTGGGAAATAGCTGGCGGCCTCCCAGGGAAGGACTGGCCCAAACCCTCCCGATGCCCCCACTCCCCCAGTGTCTTCTCTCAGGAAGGGGTCCGTGGGCCACACTTCAGGAAGGCGGTCCCAACGCAGACCAGAAGTTTCCGCAGCTTCCCGGGGCTTCAGCGTTCTAAGAGCCCACAGAGGGCAGGACAGGGCTGCCTCCTGGGTCAAGGGCTGGGTGTTAGTGCCTCTCTGGTCCCAGGGAGGAGCCAGCAGGGGCATCCAGGGAGGCCAGGACTGGCTTGAACACAGTGGAGGTGGCAACGTCGCTGCCTGGAGCCAAGGGAGCCTTGACGGTGCAGTGACCACGGTTCTGGGGACCATGGGGCCAGGAAATCCCACAGCGTTGAGGGTGTGGCCGTCAGCCCTGAGGGCATCCCCTGGAAGCCACTGCTCCATGTCAGCGAGGCTGGACCCCCGTCCTGCAGGGTCACAATCCCTCCAGCCAGAAGCCACTGCTCCATGTCAGCGAGGCCGGAGCCCCGTCCTGCAGGGTCACAATCCCTCCAGCCAGGAAGCCACTGCTCGATGTCAGCGAGGCTGGACCCCCGTCCTGCAGGGTCACAGTTCCTGCAGCCTGGAAGCCACTGCTCGATGTCAGCGAGGCTGGACCCCCGTCCTGCAGGGTCACAGTTCCTGCAGCCTGGAAGCCACTGCTCGATGTCAGCGAGGCTGGACCCCCGTCCTGCAGGGTCACAATCCCTCCAGCCAGAAGCCGCTCCCAGGTCGAGCACAACCTTATTGTCAATCACTGTGACACAATTATGTGTCAATCACAGGCCACGTTCTTGATCAATCTCCTCTGTGGCCACCCAGGACCCTGCAGACCTCACAAGCCAAGGAGATGAGTGGAGCCCGGACATACTTGTAAAAGCAGGTGACACCGTCATGTGTGATGTCAGGCTCATGCTGGGCACCGTGAGGAGAGCATCCTGCAGGCCCAGGACAGCGCAGGGAGACCAGGCAGGTAGCTGCCACCTCCATGCAGGTGAGGGACGGGGGTGTGGAGGTGGGGAGGAGTGTGGAGAAGCAGGCAATGTGTGCAGTATGCTGATGGCCCTGGATGGTGCCTCCAGACACCAATCACATTGCACGGGATGTGAATTCCATCTCAATGCAGCTGCTGAAACAAAACCCCCGGGTGCGTGGAGCCCTCTGCCTGCGTCTGCAGCTGCGCGTTCATCAGCTCAATAAATCCTCCCAGAGATGAGTCTGAAACCCTATGAGGTGTCTACTTAGCATCAGACACTACTCTGAGTGATTTAGCTCTATCCACTCTCACTCCTCCCCTCTCTACCAAGCCCATTTGACAGATGAGATATGGGCTTGGTGAGGCTGCGTCGCAGGCAGCATCCAGGACAGGACAGAACTAAGCCTGGCCCGGCTGCCAGCTGGGCCAGGGGTTGTGGGTGAACCCGGAAGGCAGAGCCAAAGGAACAACTCACAGGCCAGGCAGGGCCCAGGGCAAGGGGCACTCATGGGTGCCACCAACGGAGGCCTGAACTTTGGGGACGGCAGAGATAATGGGGAGCAGGGAAAGGAGAGTGAGGGCCAAGGGCCAGGCCCGAATGCTCCGCTCCTATGTCTGAGGTGTCCAAGGGCCCAGATGTGAATGGGGGCCTCCACAGCAGCCCAAACCCGACACGCACCCACCGCCAGCCTCCCCCTCTCACCTCCCTCACCAAAGGACAGAATCCCGCACCTCCCAGACTCGGATGTCCATTCCCAAGGCCCATGGGAGGGACACACTGGTGACCCTCAGGCAGACAGGCATCCAGCCCACAGCCTTGGGGGTTCCTCCAGGCAGCCCACCTGCCCACTCCCGCTCATGCTGCGCACGGAGATGAACCTGGAGCCGGCTGACGTGGTCCGGCTGTGTCCCCACCCAAATCTTGAATTGCAGTCCCCGTAATCCCGAGTCCTGGGAGGGATCCAGTGGGAGGTAATGGAATCATGGGGGCGGTGACCCTCATGCTGTTCTCGTGATAGTGAGTTCTCACGAGATCTGATGGTTTTTTAAGGGGTTCTCTCCCGCTTCGCTCTGCATTTTTCCTTGCTGCTGCCACCATGTGAAGAAGGATGTGTTTCCTTCCCCTTCCGCCACAATTTGTCAGTTTCCTGAGGCCTCCCCAGCCAATGCTGAACTGTGAGTCAATTAAGCTTCTTTCCTTTATAAAATTACCCAGTCTTGGGCAGTTCTTTATAGCAGCATGAAAAGGGATTGATACACCTGCCCACCCCACCCCTCCCCTCAGGGAACCAGGCACGACCCCAGCGTGGACGCCTGGAGAGAGAATGTAGCTCCCAGAGGGGCAGCTGAGCATGTGCGTCTCGGAGCTGGGGGCCTCCTGCACCTCCTGGGTGAAGAGATTCAGAGACAGCTGAGGGCAGGCAGGGGGAGGGCACCCCACTCCCGTCTGCATGCTGGTTCCCACTGCCAGCCCCGAAACCCGTTGGTGGAGACCCTTCAGATGGGCATCAGAGTTCACTCCTGGGGCCTCCCTAGACCCCACCTCCCACCCCACCCTCATGTGACCCAGCACCTCCCCCAAACCGCCTCAAGGGTCCAAGGTGTGCCATCCTCTCCTCAGGCCTCCTCTTCCAAGGAGCCCCCGGACATTAAGGAGGACCAAGGCTTCTCACACACTGTGGGCCGAGGAGACACACACACAAGCCATGACCTGGGCACCGGGAACCACTGCAGGGACAGCTGATGAGGGTCAAAAGGCCAGAAAAGTCCAGGAGTCAGGAAGATTCTGGAAGTTTCTGGAAAGAAAGGGGAGGGAGGGCCTCGTGCTGGGCTGTGGAAGGTGACTAGGTGCGGCCCTGACCAGGGACCCCCGGCTCCCAGTTGGGGTGCAGCATGGACTCTTCCCCCCATGCTGGCCATGGAACAACACTGAGGGGAAGCCAGGCAGCACAGTGGCCCACCCTGCCGCGCCACCCCATGGCCACCTTCATGCTTGGACAGCCACGCCCCACTCAGCTCGTGACAGCCAGGGGCAGCTGGGTGCCGACCGGAGGGGTGGTAGGGTCTCCTTGGTCAGCCGGAGCAGGGCTGATACATACACCCAGTGCAAATATAGGCATGCACACCAATAGTCACAACCATGTACGCACACCAACACACACGGGAGCACAAACACATACACACCAACACAGTGCACATACATGCACACACACCAGCACAGTGCACACACACACTGCGAACAGCACACACATATGCACATGCACACACCAGTGCACACACGTACACACGAGAGCACAAATACATGCATACACACCAACACAGTGCACACAATGCACACGGGCCGACAGTGCACAAACATGCATGCACACACCAACACAGTGCACACACGCATGCACACCACAGTGGAGACATCACACACATGCACACCACAGTACACACACATGCAGACACCAATACCGTACACATATGTGCACACTGCACACAGACATGCACATACCAACACCTGGCACAAGCACCCATGCACACACACAACTGCAGTTTGCACAGTGCAAAAGCATGCGTACCAACACAAATGGGAACAGAAACGCACATACAACACAGCACACAAACGCACACATGGCAACAGTACACACACACAACCACAGTGCAAACGTGGACACACACCAACACATGGGACACACACACACGCACACCAACATATGGATGCGCACTCGAGTACTAGCACGAAGCTGTGCATACCCACGAACGCGTGTGCACACACATGCACACACGGTACTACAGTCTGGACGTCTCCTCCAAATCTCATGTCGAAATGTGATCCCCAGTGTTGGAGGTGGGACCTGGTGAGAGATGACTGGATCATGGGGGCAGGTCCCTCACGAATAGCTTAGTGCCAGCCCCTTGGTGATGAGTGAGTCCTCGCTGTCAGTTCACGTGAGATCTGGTTGTTGAAGAGTTTGGGACCTCCCTCCTCTCTCTTGCTTCCACTCTACGTAATGTGCTTGCTCCCGCTTTGCCTTCTGCCATGATTGGAAGTTTCCTGAGGCCTCCCAGGAGCAGAAGTCACTACGCTTCCTGTACACCCTGCAGAACCGTGAGCCGACTAAATCTCTTTTCTTCCTCCATCACCCAGTCTTAAGTATCGCTTTACGGCCGTGCAGTAGTGAACACAATGGTCTTCTAGGAGACACTCTTGAAATCTGGCTGCCTGTGTCGACCCCTAATGAACAGAACACGGAAGAGCAGCCTCGTGCTCCCGGCTGGGCCCCGACCACCACTCTGTCCACCAGAGGTCTGAAGGCTCCTCCGCCTCTGTCGCAGGGTCTCAGCAACACGGGCCATCAGTGCCCGGTGGCATTGGCAACCCAGGGATGCTGTTCTGCAGCCAACAGCCTCAGGCATCCAGCTGGACCTGAACCTCCTTCCAAGGGACCACGATGGGTGCTCAGAGCCAGTCCTGATGGCCTTGGGCCCCTCACCAAAGCCCCCTGGGGTCTGCCCGCCACCCACAGCCTGGTGTCTGCACGGCGCTTGCTCCCTGGAGCCTCCTAACCTCCTGCCCACGGCAGGCCCTCCTAAGCCTTTGCCTGAATGACTCAGAGGAATGAATGGAACATTCTGGCTGGCTGCGGGGGCGGCTGCATGCAGGCACAGGGCTGCAGCCTGGTGGGGCTCTGAGCCCACGCTCAGACCTGTTTCCTCTACCTGGGCGACAGAGACTGCGCTGGCCCCTGGAACACTGCCCTGGTGGGCGTGCTATCCAGATGGGGATAGCAGGGTGAGACCCTGAGCATCCGGGGTCGGAGACCAGCACCACCTGTGCTGTGGCTGAAGAACAGGCGGGCACCTAAGCACCATCCAAAGAGCTCGGCCCTTCCTCTAAGTAACCTGCCCACCCCGACCCCGAAGTAACCCAGCTCCCCTCCAGATCTCAGGGTGTAGGGCTGGGAATAGGACCAGACACTGAGGCCAGGTGACCTCTGCCCAGGGTCCCCTATTCCCCATGCACAGTGAGTGCAGAGATGACCAGCAGTGGAGGTGGAAGCCAGCCCTTCCCTTGGAGCCCCCTGGGCTGGGAGAGGACAGCAGGCTTTTCCTAAAGGACTCTCCTCCCTGCAGCTCTGAGTGGCAACGAGCAGGAAAAGCAGCTCACAGAGCAGCCTCCAGGCACCAAGACCGTGAGGCCACATCGCCTCCAGGGAGCAGGTCCCACAGCACCCCTACCCCAGGGCACCAGGACTGGGTTATTCCGGGATTTCGCAGTGCTGAGAACTTTGGAGAACAAAATCCCCGGCAGCTGCCTGAACGCTGAACGGAGGTGGCGCGATCCGCCTGATGAATCAGGCTAATTACACAGAAGCCACACAGGTTTTGCTTCCTCCAGGAAAACTGCTTTCCCTCTTTAATATTCACTATCCTCTTCTCACAGCCTGTAAGCCTCGCTCAAATTAGGGTGCAGCTGCAACCCAAACCCAAAATAAAATGCCCAAGCACGCGACAGGGACACACACGGCTCCAGATCCACCGGCCCCGCCCGCCTCCTCTCCACAGCCTGGCTGCTAGCAGGCAAAGAAGTCAGGGAAGATGCTCTCCACCTCGTCCTTCAGGGCCAGGCCTGCACAGTCCACATCCAGGCCCCACGGCTCCAGAGGGCTGTCCTGGAGCTCCTGGGAGCCAAGCTCAGGGTCCCCTAGGAAGCCTGGCTCTCCAACATCCAGTGGACTGCTCTCAGCTGGGGCCCATGCAGGGCCACTGCCTCCTCGACCCTCCAGAGACCCTGGAAGCAAACAGGACACATCGGCAGGGCAGGCAGGTGCTCTGGGAGCTTGAGGCAGACAGGTGGGGTCGGAGGAACAGAGCTCCCACCTCAGTCCGTCTGCCCTGCCCTGTCCCCGCTGCACAGAGGCTGTGATGAGGTGGGTGAGCTCATACCTGGTGGCCCCAGACCCAGGACACCTGTTGGACCAGAACCAGGAACGGGCTCCCAAACACTAAATCCTAAATGGAATGGACACACGCCATGTCACAGGGCCATACACCTTTGCCGGCCAGCACGGGCTGGACCAGGGGCCTCGCTGACACAGGGTCAAGGGGAAGAATACAGGGCTCCAAGCACCGCCAGCTCTCATGCAGGCTCGTCCACATCACGTTCACTCACACACTCACATATCACCTATAACGCTCAATACCAGACACGGCCCAACAGCTAAGCACCAACGGTGGAGAAAACGGGGGCTCAGACACAGACCCTGGGGCCCCCTGACACACGCTAGGCCTGAGTCCCAATTCCCCAGCTCATATCAGGTGCTTACGCGGGGGGACCAGCCCTGAACCCAGGGCCCCACTCACCCGGCCACGAGCTGGGACCAGCAGTCAGCAGGAAGGACGTCCCATCGTCCACATCAGACCCCAACGCAGACCTGGAAGCGACAAGCTCTTCCTCAGTGGCCACAAGCGGACCCAGACCTTGGAGCTCAAGGAAACATTTGGGCCCAAGTCCTGCAAAGGCAGCTTCGAATGCAAAGATCTAGGCACCACTCCTGACAGGCTCCACCCTGCCCAGCGGGGAGAAATGCAGAGGCCACAGCCGCTGAGGACACGGGCCAGCGGCTCTCGCGGGTCCCGATCCGTCCTGCAGAGCATCTCTGCCGGTTTCTCTCCAGCCACAGTCTCGCTCTTCTCGTCCCCTCCCTCCCCCTCCCCTCCCCCTCCCACACCCCAGCTGGTATGTGCTCACGAAACACAAACTCATTTTACTATCAGCCAAAACAAATGACAATTAGGAAGACAAAAGTGTTTCCAGAAACACACATTAGAAAGCCACACGGCAAGGCTGGCTGGTCCTGTCCTGGGCTGTGGCCTTGGCCTCCCTCCCACGGGCACAGAAGCAGAGACGGAAGCTTCCAGATGCCGAGAAAGTGGGCCCAAGCAGGACTGGGAGGAGGTGGGACAGGCTCACACACACATGCTCGCTCACGCACACACAGGCGTGCACACCACCTGGGCACTCACCCGGCCTCCTGCGCCAGCATGGGGTCCTCCTTGGCTGGCTCCCCCAGAGGTGCAGCCCCCATGGCCAGGGGCCCAGCCTGGCCCAGCCAGCCAAGGGCCTCCCCGCTCATCACGGGCAAGGTCTGCTGCTGCGAGAACGGAGGCCAGGACAGGGGTGGCCTCACAGCCTTAGGAAGACTCCGGCCTGGGGGCCACGGCACCAGGCTGGAAGGTTCTGGGAGAGAAGTCAGATGCGGGTCAGCCTTCCCTGCCCAGCCCCACAGGCTGCCCCCGAGGACCTCGTGACTCACGGGCTCGGTCCACTCACACTGACCGAGCACCTGCTCTGCTGCCTGCACCCTGCAGCAGGGACACGTGGGAGGAAGCTCAGAAGCGGGTGGCACACAGGTAAACAAGGAAAAGATGAACACCCAGAGGTGGGGTGCCCAACACCTGGGGGCCAAGGGCTTCCTAGAGGGGGTGCTGGCTTGGCCAGCCGCAAGGGGCTTGGATCTGGGGACCCTCTCAGCACCGCCTCCCGGACCTCGAGCTCTGCCCTCAGACCTGCTCGCTCCCCACGTGCCTGGCTGACTCCTGGGTTTCCGGAGTGCCCTGATGACCCCAGCTCTGACACCAGCCCTGCCAACTGCATGACTGCTCCCAGCCACAGCTGGGAGCCAAAAGGCACAGCCCTGCCTCTCATGGCACCTGGCGACTTCCAGACGCTACCACAGCAGGGGCCGAGGGGAGTTCGGTCATCAGAGGCGCCCTGCAGGGCCACCCACAGAGGGACCAGAGCTCAGCTGTGGGTGGCATTAGGGACAAAGGCCCCGGGTGGCAGAGGGAACAGCTGGGAGGCCTCGGGCCCCTGGCTCACCCCAATTACAGTTCCTGCCATGGCCAGGCAGCATAGGCGGAAGGGCAGATGGGGCGCCCCGGGGAAAACAGATCTCCGGCCACATCCAAAACACACCAGCCACAGGCGGGTGAGAGAAGCAGGGCCACAAAGCTGGACGGAGCAACCAGGATGGGGCCGAGTCCCTCTACCTCCCCACTTCCCACAGACCCAGGACAGAACCAAGTCCCTCTACGTCCCCATGCTTCCCAGCAGACCCAGGGAGTGACCAGGATGGGGCAAGTCCCTCTACGTCCCCATACTTCCTGCAGACCCAGGGAGTGACCAGGATGGGGCCAAGTCCCTCTACGTCCCCATGCTTCCCAGCAGACCCAGGGACCCAGGGAGGAGAAGATCAGGCCCTCCCTTCCCTGGAGCACATGGAAGTCCCAGGAGGAGACAGGATAGAAGGAACAGCTCCCATGGTGGCCTTTGCCCAGGACTCTCCCTTCCTCGAGCCACACTTCCTCCCTCCCGAGAGCACACGTCCTCCTTTTCACAAAAGCAGGCACAGCCCGGGGGCCTTGAATCAAGCTCATCCCTCAACACGTGGGTTTCTCACCAACACAAGGGCCTGGGAAAACTTCGAACCCCGTTTGCAAACAGCCCCCATTGTTCTTAGGGCTAAAGCACAGCCTGGCGCCGCTCCCCAGGCCAAAGGCACCCCACATGCACACCCAGGACTCACCTGAGAAAGGGGGCAGCCCACCCCGCACCTGGCACAGCCCCAACAGTGCCTCACACTTGTCCGTGCCCAGGGACGTGCAGCTCGCGGGGTCCCACTGCCTGGAGGACGCAAGGATGTGCGGCACGGGCTCTGGGCTGGCCGACGCTGGATCCAGGGACCAAGGACTTTCCAGAAACGCCTTCACATCTGGGGTTCTAGAAGGAGCAACATGACAAGGATCCTGGGTCTATTCCCCAGCCCCCTGGAAGGCTGCCCCCACCCACCCCAAGAGCAGAGGGCTGGACCCATCCCCAGGACACCCCAGGCACCACCCAGCATCAAGCCAGCCTCTGCCCAGGGGCCCTGGGCCAGCCAAGCTCCACAGCTGTCTACCCAGTTTCCCTCTGCCCAACTCCTCCGGTTCTAGATTCTTCCACAGCTAATTAGCCACCAGTCCCATGCCCCAGCCTGCTTTGGGGTAAAATGGGTACATTTAAACACAAGATGCAGACAGTCCTTCAACCTGGGGAGCTGCCATTCTGAAAAGAACCAAATTATCTTGACTTCAGAAAACTGCATTCCTGAAGCTGCCCATGGGGAGGAGTATGACACCTCACTGACCACCTGTAAATTCCCCACACACAGGAGCAGAAGAGATCCTCCCGGGCACCTCCCACCTCCACACCAGCCCAGGCCCTCAATTCTGCTGACCGCGCTCCCCCCTTGCTGGAGCTCGCCCATGTTGGTCACCTCACACCTGGCCACCTGAGTTGGCAGGGCCCTGGGCAGGTCACCACCTGCGGAGGCCAAGCCGGGCCTCCAGGCCACACCCTCCCGAGGACATGCCAGGGGGCTTTGGGTCTGCTGCTCCCAGGGTCACCCAGCCCTGGAGAGCGGGCCCCAGGAGACACTAACCGAGTCCCGCTGGACGCTCCCGTCCCAGGGTCTGGCACACCTGCTTGAATCTGACTCGACAACGTCAACTGTAAAACATCCTCCTGCAACGAGTGCCACATTTCCTTGGAGGAAGCAAGAATCTGAAATTTAAGTAAACATGTAAAACAAAGACAGAGACAGTCAGCTGAGAAACCCAAGACACGGTGACAAGACTGCTACCCCAGGGCCTGGAGGGTCACTGTGAGCTCGGTCCCCGCTTGGAACTTGGGGGCGAGAGTACAGGTTGACAACGAGGCTGAGGTTCCACCCCCGAAAGGCCCCACCATTCCTGAATCAGGCTGTGCATACCCAAGGGCCTCACTGCAAATGCTGGGACCCCTGACCTCACAGATGACAACACAGTTTCATTCCCCACACAGGTCCTCAGCCCCAGCACTCACGGGGTCAGCCAGAGCCCCCAGAGCCTTGGAGAGGGGAGAGGAGCCTCTCTCTTGGAGACGTGCAGAGAAATGATCTAGGGGGTGCTCAGCCAGGGAGGATCAGGAGACCCCAACTCTCCCCCAAATTGGCACGGAGCATCTCGGCAACCCATCAATGAACAGGACTCAGGGGCACAGGAGGGCTGGAAAGGAAGGCTTGCTCCTTTCCAGGAACAGAATAACAACAGGTAAGGCTTGAACAAATCAGGAAGTGCCCTGCCGAAAACGTGGCCTGCTCTAGCCGTGGAGACCCAGAGGGCTGAAGGAGACGGGGATGACAGGGGACACACTGCCTGCAAGGTGGTGAGATGTCCCATCACCGTGATGCCGGAGGACTGACGGCGTCTACCCTTACAACTCACAGCGTGCTGCTCCTGACTGGGCCCCAGGGCGCTGGCAAGCCGCAGGAACTGCACAGACATCTCCAGGACCGAGGCCATGTCCTCCCGCCGGCCATCGAACTGGGGCAGCAGGGCCCGCAGACGCTCACAGCTCAACGACATCCGCTTCCTGGTTCCGGTCAAGAAACAAATACCTCTGGGCCCTCCTGCCCTCCCCGAGAAGGGACAGCAACTGCTAGAACCTGCCAGATAGACCCTGGGCGCTTGTCAGGCAGAGGGGGCTACAAGATGACTCAGAGCTGCCCCCGTGGTCTGAAGCCCCGAGATCCACATCAGAGCACAGCCTGGGCCTGACCCCTGGACCTCGGCGACAGGCTGTCCAGCCCAGGCCCAAACCATGGCTGCTTTGCGGTGTGGAAAAGACAGCGAGGGTCAGAGGCAGTCAGAAGCACAGAGGGTCACAGGTGCACAGCCTCAAGAGGCCAAGGCTTCAGGATAAAGAGGGGCTGCAGGATGTTCCCCAACAGGGCTTTTCTGGTTTACTTGGAGATGTGCAGTCTGTCCTTCTCCTGGGCACAGGCCACGAGCCCCTCCCAGCTGCCTGACACCTGGTGGCAGCCCCGAACATAATCTCACCCGCTCCACCCCTTTACAGCGCCCTCACCCCTGGGAGGCACCACCACTCACCTGCGCTCCCTCTCGCTGATCACGTTCCGCCGAAGGCAGGAGCTGGGACCCTCGGCCACCGTAGGGGCCTTGGGCGGGCCCGAGCCCCGGGCCGAGTCCTCGCAGCAGGAGAGGGCACCAGACAGGGAGCCGCTGCCGAGAAAGCCAAGAGCACCGGGCCCTGAGAACCCCAGAAAAGGCCACCAGGAGTCCCAGATGCCAGAATGGGCGTCTTTGGGGTGCGGGTGGAAGCCAAGACTGGGTCACGTAGGGACACGGCCCGGCCCTCTCTGCACCCCTTCCCCTCTCCCAGGGTCCAGGGCTCCGCCCCAGGAGGCCCAGGATGGGTGGAGCCCAGCAACTTGCGGAAGAACCCCTGGGTACAGGCCTTGGGCCCCCAACCCCTTGGCCGCCAGCCCAATTCCTCACTTGCATCCCCTGACGGTAGGGATTCTGGAGACCTCCGGGTAGGGCTCGGAGCACCGGGACGCCATGAACTCGCAGCTGCGGAGCGACCCCACGCGCACGGCCCCTTCCGCAGGCAGCCCCGCCCCCTCACGTGTGCTCTGCCCACCTGCCACGTGCTTTCCACCTAGCCCACCCCACCCCCACTTGCAATCCGCCCCCATAGCGCATGCGCTCTAGCCCTCCCCACGCAGCCAGCCCGGGGCCCACGTGACCCGCGTTCCTGCAAAGAAGGTGCTGGAAAGGGACTCGGGGGGTCCACCCACTCTATGCCCCCGCAGGACGCCAGGGGAAGGGGCCCCAGCCCAGGTGGCCCTGCCTCTACCCTTACCTTCCCGGGGGTCGCCTCGGTTCCCACTTATGCGGTGGTCTCGGTGCCCTTGGGCACTTTGGAGATGCGGGCTCTGCCCTTAGGAGCCCAGCCCCTGGTGGGAGTGGGCGGGCTGGGCTGAGTTGTTTAGCCCAGGCCTGGGGGACCCAGGGACACAGGGAGGGGGAAGGGTACCCGCCTGCTCCCCAGTCGCCCACGCCTCCATTTTCCCCCAAATCTAGTACGCTTGCAGACGCTGCGCCTCAGGGTAGGGTCACCATCCACACTTCTGGGTCGCCCAGAACCAGGGGCATCTTGTCCCCACCCCAGGCCACCATCGTCCGTGCTCTTCCTCCCGCTGAGCTCTGCCGGGCACCCTCGGAACCGTCTGTCCCTTCACCTGGCCCTGCCCAAGCACCATCCCCGCTTTATGCCCTGGGGCCCCAGCTCGACCCCTCACCTCACACTCTCAACAGGTTTCTGCGGGATCGCGGGGGTCCTGCCCATCCAAATTCAGAAAGCTCCGGCGCCAGGTGTTTGCTCACCTCCCCGCTGAACTCCAGGAGCCGCCCTGCGCTGGGCTTGAGTCCCCCAGTACATACTTTTGGGGGGATGACGGAGGGAAGGGGGAGGTGGAGACCCTTCCTCTTTCACGGAGGTTGCGGGGGGCCCTCAGGGAAGCAGAGGGGACGAGGGTGGGGGGTGAGGCTGGACTGTTGGGAGGACATCCCTGGCCTGGCTCGTGCTGAGGTCGTAGCGGGAGGAGGTGGGGTGGGTGGCAGGGGCTCTCCTCCCGAGAGGGGAGGCAAGAAGGAGCCCGGGCAGGTGCCACCACACGGGGACGTCTGTCCGGGGTGCCCCAGTCTCCTGTGGAGAAGGCGCGGCTCTGGGCCTCGGGCTGGCATCCTGGACTTTGGGCCAAAGATGGGTGAAGGGTGTTTGGAGCAGAGGGAGGTTATGTAATATAAGGTGGTGTCTCCATCCCTGCTCCGCCCAGCCTTGGCTGCAGGTCAGACATGGAGGAGGACGGGGTTGGAGAGGAGGGCAAAAGCTCTCGGGGACCTGGGCCCCTCTCCCGGCCCTGCCCCTGGCCAGGGAGGGATGGACGGGCTGGCGATCTGGGGCTCCTCAGTGGCAGAGTGGGGCCAAGTTTTTGTTTCCCTAAAGCCCTCGGAATGTCATCAAACCTGTGACTCTCCTGCCGTTGACAACACGTGTAATTACTGCTAATTAATCACAGATGCAGATGGTGCGGCCTCTCAGTTTTTTCTGAGTTCCCCAGGCAGGAGGGCGTTGGCAGAAAGGCCACCATCTTGCCCCGGCGGCACCCGCCCAGGGGTGGTGGGACCCCGGCAGCAGCACCGGCCAATCTAGGGACCTGAGGAAAAACCCCCAAGATGCCCACGAGCTGTGTGGCGGGGGCACAGGCTGAACCTCTGCTGGGGACTTAGCATCCTAGACTTCCCCGAGTGTTCCCCACCCACCCCTCAAAAGCATCTGTGTTCAGCCTGCTGCCTCCTGGAGAAACAGGGAAGGACCCTCTGGAGAGACACTGGGGAGGCCAGGGACCACAAAGTACATGGCATGCGCCCTCCAAATGGACCTGGCCCTCCCCCTGGCCCTCGTGGGCACAGTCCTGGCTTAGTGAGGGGCCTGGTCCACCCTGCAAACCAACAAAGCTCTGGGGACAGAAATCGCAGTTCTCCAGAGCTCTGTGTGAGGCTGAGCCAGGGTGACGCATGTGTAACAGTGTGAGCACGTGCACGGGAAAGGGGGCCCGCAGGGGGACCCTCTGCTTCCTAGTCTTTGGCCTGCAGCATCTTAAGTTGGGGCCCCTCCCCACCCGTCTAAAGGTGCTGTGTGTGCCCGTCTGGGTGAGAGCACAGGGCGGGGTGCAGTCATCCCCCTCCCCCAGGCCAAGCCCAGGATGTGGCGCCCACCCACAGATGCCGCAGCCTGCGGGGGGTGTGGGGGCGGGGGGGCGGGGAGTCGTCTTGAATCTGGCTTGTGTTCAATGACCAGTGTTGACCACGGCAGAGCAGCACAAGCGGGAGGTGCTGACGGTCCCTGGGCGCAGCGGCTGGACGCTGGCGGTCCGAGCAGCGCATGTGCCCTGCTGCCCGCCAAGGACCCAGAGCCCCCTGAGCCCCCGCCCACCACGGAGCCCTCCCAGGGGTGTAGGGCCCGGTGGCGGCGCGCTTGGGCTTTTCTAGCCATTGACGAACCCCGTCCTGTTTTTCGGAGTTTTGAGGGCTCAGAGGGCCGCGGCGGGAGCGGATCGCCCTCCCTACCCCGCACCCCCGTCCCAGCCTGGGCCAGAGCCGCCGCGGGTCCCGGCGCGGCCGGCAGGGGGCGCGCGCGGACAGACGCCTGCACCCGACCCTGGAACTGGCGTCTTTTCCTCGCTAATCTGCGAGGAAAAAAAAAATGTTTTTCAGGGCAACGCGAGGGAAGAAGGTGGCGGCTCCCACTCGCTTCTCCCTCGGGTCGGGTCCGAGCTGCCAGGCCGCATGCCACTCCCTGACGGGGCGCGGACCCCGGGGGGCGTCTGCCGGGAGGCGCGCGGCGGGGGCTACACCAACCGGACCTTCGAGTTTGACGACGGCCAATGCGCCCCCAGGTACAGTCTGCTGCGCCCTCCCCACGCGGGGAGGCCCCGGTCTAACCTAAGACCCCCAAGTTCCCCCTCAGGCTCCCGCACCCTCCAGGACCCGCCATTCCCAGGGCCATCCAACTTCCCCAGGACCCGCGAGTGCCCTCCCAACCACCTTGGGGAACAGGGGCGCCCCTCAGGGTGGGCCGCACTAATCAGCAGGTGCCGAGGCAGCAGCGTCCGTCCCCATCTGTCCTCGACCTGGTAAGAAGCTGGGGGGAGCGGCCGTGGCTACATGGGGGTCCTGAGCATCTCCCAGGTGTGGGGAGTGGCAGGGAGGCTGGGGGCGGTGCAGGGCCTTCCATCTCCCCCAGCCCCTGCCCCACCCCAGCTTGGGGAGGAAGGTTCCATCCTTCTTGTGTGGCATGGCAGTGCTCGGCCAGGGTGGGGTGCCCGGCGAGGTTACCCCACACAGTAGGGGGTTTCCAGAGCAACCTTCCAAGGAAGAGTCCCCAGTGGGAAGTGGGCTAAGTGGCTGTCAGATGAGGGCGGGAGTCCTGGGTTCTGGTCACTCCTCGTTCCCCGCTGGCCTATCCCTGGGAGGAGAGGGCCAGTTGAGAATGGCATTCAGGTGACCTGGAGCTAGCTGTTCCCTGTGCAGTGTCCTGGGATGCCATGCGTCTGCCGTCCACCCAGTGACCAGTGCAGAGGCACGGACCGGCAGCTGAGTGGGACAGTCCTGAGCGGAGGTTGCCCCAGGGTCCAGGTTCCCCATCCTCTCCCCCATCCCTCAGCTCTTGAAAACAGGCAAGTCTGCCCCTCACCCTGTCCCCAGAGCCAGACTCCAGGGAACCCTGGGCAGAGCCGGTCACTGCCTTGGGCGAACCCCTCCCCACCAGGACAGAGCCCTTTCTTCTGGATCCTGCCCAGTCTCAGGCTGTCCTGAGGCCAGAGAAGGGGGTGGAAGAGCATACCTGAGAGCGGGAGGCCTGGTGCGGCTGCCTGTTTGTTCTATGGGACTCAGTTTCCCCGAGTGTAAAATGAGGAGGTAGGGCGGATGGTCTTTAAGGGCTGCCTCTGGTGAGGGACCAGGCTGGAGAGGAGGTTCCCAGAATCAAGAGGCAGGCACAGCACCCACCTGGCACCCGGGGGAGTCCGGGGTACAGCGTGTGTGAGGAGCAGGTGCTCTGAGGGTGGACAGTGACTTGGTGATGTCCTTGGGAAGTGGGCACAGCCTGGACGTGCTCTGAGGGACTATCCGGGGGATGCCTGTCAGGCACAGAGAAAATGACCCCAAGGGGGTCCTGGATTGCCCTCATCTTTGTGGGCTGGCCGGCCCCTACCATCTCCCTCCCCAGCCTAGCGTTGCCCTCCCTGGCCATTCTGCTGGAGTTTATCACCTACCCTGCTGGGCCTGACCTGCTCCAGACGAGCCGGCAGGACAGTGTCCTCAGGGTCCAGCCTTTAGCTCCAGGCCTCATCCTCCGGGTCCTTCCAGACACCTGTCTCTCCCAATTGGCCCTGCCCACCGGCCCGGGACAGCTCCTCCTCCCCGCTGGACTGAGCTGGCCTCCGTTGCAACAGAGATTCCCTGTCACACTGCAGGCAGAGCAGCCGCCGGCAGTGGAGGGATGTCAGGCGTCAGGCTTGGGGAGGGAGCAGGACCTGGGCTTGGCTGGGCTCGGGAGCGGGGAGCTGAGCTCCAGGTGAGGCCAAGGCTTGCGGCCCAGGCAGGTGGCTTCAGCTGCAGAAAGAAGAACCTTCGTGCTGCCTGGTGGTGGGGGGAGCTCTGTGGGGCGGGTTTCCCCACCAGCTCTCACATGGGGAGGAGGGTGCCAGGCAACAGCGTGGTCAGAACCCAGGCCCTGGAGTCCATAGGTCTTGGTGCCAGGCCTTGAGCAGGCCTCTGTCTTTCCTGGGTGCTGGAGGATGCCAGCCTTGGTGCTATGGTTCAGAGGGGCCAGGAGGTGCTTGGACACCCCACCCCACTCCAGTGCCCCAGCTCAAACCCCCAGCTCCACGCTAGTGGTGTCCCTGAGTCAGCCTCAAGGCCATCAGGCCGGAAAGTGGGGCTCCAGAGAGGAGCTCCTGGCCTTCCAGTTTGCAGGGGTCTTCACGGGCCTCTGGCCTCCAGGCTCCCTGCTCCCACCTCCATGCCATGGAGTCCCAGGCCCTCAGCTGCCTCCCCACAGGCCCTGGAGATGACAGCTGTTGTAGGACAGGGAGGGACCAGTGGCCCTGGTGGCCCCAGAGCTGGCAAGTGCCCACCCCCTGCCCAGCGCACTTCGCATCAGAGCCCCTGCCAGGCCTTTCCTGGAAATACCACTTCCCAGCAGCTGTGCTCCAGGGCGGGCCTGGGACCCTCTAGGCCCTGATGGGATCAGGCCCTGGCATCCTGCCAGGGTACATGCCTGGCCCAAGGTCCTGGCCAGCCCTCCAGGCCCATATTAGGGAGCAGTGCCTTCAGCAGCAGGAAGTAGCTCAGGGCTCATGGGAAAGGTTTGAGGGCCCAAGATACCGCCCAGCACTGGCCGGCAGGAGGGACGGCTCAGGCCACAGGGAACTCAGGGGTCTGCTGTGGCCCAGGAGTGGCCACAGTAACAGCTCAGGAGGACAGAGGTGAGTGAGAAGGGAGCAGACAGGGTCCCCACGAGGGCCTCTGCTTCTGTTCCAGTGGCTGGCCTGGGTGTGGCCTGTGTCCTCGCACCCGGCAGCCTCCAAGTGTGCTGGTCTGGTTCACCCACCGTATGGGGAGCTCTTGATTAACACAGAAAATTACTTGGGACGAGCCTGGTGTGGCAGTAGTGGGGCCTTGCTGTGGGGCCATCTCATGCCCTCGGAGGGTGTTGGGGGGCATCTCGGGCTCTCCCCTGAGGCTTTTTGTCCTGCTTCCCCGGGATGCAAACTTGCAGGCTTTGACCCAGGTGCCATCGGCCCTGGAAAGGGTGGCACTTCTGTGTCTCCCACAAACAATCCCAGGTTTCTCTGCAACAGGAAAGTTTGTCCAAGTGTGTCCCAGCCCTGCATGGGTGAGGGATGCTGAACGGGTATCGTGTACCCAAAAACAAGTGCTGTGTGTGCATGTGAACCTGGGCGCTCCGTGAGCCAGGCAGGCGCACCGTGGGCACGTGTGTGAGAGCTGGAGGAGGATGTGTGGGGCCCGCCAGCCAGCTTGTGTGACCTTGAAGTCACCGGTCATGAGTCTGGGGAAAGGCAGGCTGGGCTCAGCGTGCCCGTGCTAGGTGGCTGGGTGCCAAGGCCCGGTTAAATGGGCATCTTTCAAAGGTGTCTTGGGACCTCTCCCAGCTGTGTGTGTGGATAAGGCCACCCATGTTCACCCAGACCCACTTTCACCTGTGGAACTTGGAAGTGAGCCAGCGGGGCTGGAACTGAGGCCAGGATGCGATTGGCCCAGGGAGGTGAGACCAGTACTAGCAGCTGGCAAGTGTAACAGGTTTGCAGGGGACAGTGGCAGGGCAGAGGCCGCGAGCTTCCTGGGGTAGGTCCCTGGGAAGGCCCTCCTTGAGAGGGGGCCTCCAGCTGCTCCCTAGATCGGGGGCGGGAGGTGGGGGAGGTGGGAGAGGAGGGTGGCCTCACTGGAGCAGAGGTGGGGGCATCAGGAGATGGAGGGCATTGCAGGACCAGGGTCTGGACTGGCACAAGGCGGGCGCCCCGGGAGGAGCAGAGGGCCTGGAGGAGCTTCTGGGAACTGTGTCTGTGAGGTTGGTCCATCCCAGCACTGAGATGCAGTAGCTGTGTCAGCTCTGGCGAGTCACTTCACCTCTCTGGGCCTCAGTTTCCTCATCTGTAGAATGGGAGTGCTAGCATGGACCTTACGAGGTTGTGTTGAGCCCATGCTGACAGCACATACTTGGTGTTTACAAAGCTGTGTTGGCGTCGGGAGCTTGCACACCAGCCAGTTCGTCTTTGCCTTGTCACGCACCAGCCTGTGTTGACACGTCAGAGCTAAGCATTTGTCCGGTGACTTCCCAAGATGGATTCTTAAAAGTGGAATTGCCCAGTCAAAAGATTCCCACAGTGTTAATGTTTGCCGCATGGCCCACGGCCCCCAGGGGTGAGAATGGCTCCTCCTCACAACAGTGCCGGGGTGTGGTGTGTGCCAGCTGCCACCGTCTCCTCCTTGGCACCGTCGCCCTGGGGCACCTGTGTCCTGCCAGGCACCACTCAGGCCTCGGAGGCTGAGACACAGCTGGCCCCTTGGTGCCCAGGAAAGGCACACAGGCCTCCTCCTTTGTAGCCACTCTGGGGCACTCCACAAGAGGGGCAAAGAGGGCTTCCATCTGCCTGTGACTCCCTCCAGGGGCCAGAAGTGGGTCCTCATGCTTCACAGGCACCAATAGTGCTTTTGCCTGGGGCAGACCCCAGCTGTGACAGACAGCCAGGGCTCAGACCACCACACCCAGCAGCTTTCCAGTAGATTTTCCTGACCCCAGCCACATTGAGGGAGGGGGCTGGGGCAGGTATTGGGAGCGCCAGTGAGTTGGTCATTTTCTGAGCATGATGGCAGCTCAGGGTACGGGCCCCTAGATGGAGCAGGGGCCCTGTGCCTCAGCCTCCCTAAAGTGGCCCAGCCCTCCCAGAGTTCATTGGTGCTGAGGAAATGAAGCCTCACTTGTGCCTCAGTTCCCAGACAGGCCCAAGGCCAGGCACGGTGGGTCATGCCTGTGATCTCGGTGCTTTTGGAGGCTAAGGCGGGAGGATTGTTTGAGGCCAGGAGTTGGAGACCAACTTAAGCAACATAGCAAGACCCCTGTCTCTACAAAAAAAAAAAAAATTAAAAATTAAGATCAGATAAGGCCCGGTGCACCCCTGCAGGCCATGCCAGCCCTCAGGTGCTCAGCATGGCCAGCCCAGGGACCTGGCACAGTTCTCTGGGGGAATGAGCAGGGGCATGGTGGTGCCTCCCATAGCTGTGGGAGAGGGGCGGCTTCTCCTCCAGGTGCAGCCCCCACCACGGCCTCCCCACCCTCAGGCTGTCCACCCTAGGAGGGCTGTCCCCAAGGGTCCCCTGCCGGCTCCAGGCTGTGCTCCTTGCTATGATCACCATTGCCCCCAGCAGCCAGCTCAGCTCGAGGGTACTGACAGCTGACGTGTGCAGTCACTAAGCATCTCCCAGCAGCCACAGCGTGGCCGGGGGCAGGGGCTGTGGGCCGATGCAGCTGGAGAACAGGGTGTGGCCTGTGAGAAGGACCAGCCAAGGGTCCTGGGCACCCAGGGCCCAGGACCCTGAGATGGACTTGCCATCTGACCCTGAGTGACCAGCACACTGCTGCCTGCTGCAGGGGGTGGGGACAGCAGAAGGGCTCGCCTGGCGTCTGGCCCAAGCCCAGGCTTCTGCCTCCCCCGACAACCTTGGGCACGGGTCCAGGGGTGATGGCCCCCACAGCCTCGCCTGGGGCCCCTGTGTCCACTGTGCTGCTGGCCTTCCCCTCTTCCCGCCGGGCTGGGAGAAAGCTGCTCTGAAGTCTGTCTGGATAAATCTACAGCTTGATTTCGGCTCCTCCATGTGTTCTGAGCTTTCACTTTGGATCCTAAAGCATCTCAGGAGATGGTGCTGAGCAGCCACCCTCGCATGGGCAAGAAGCCCCTCCCCTAAAGAGAGACGTCACCGAGGACGCTTGCCTGCCCAGCTGCCTGGGCATCTCGAGCAGCTCTGACTTTTTAATCATCGTGCAAAGGAAGCGTTGAGTTTTCTGCCATGGTCAGCAGAGAGGTTCTGCAGCTTTGCACTTGCTGGACACTAAGCCCAGCACTCAGACACCCCCACCACAGTGATGCTATGCCTGCCTGGGGGACTCTCCTGGATGCAGGGTAGGGATGCCCACACACATACAGGCACATGCACACAGATCCATGTGCATGCACACATATGTCCACATGTGCACATGTATACATATGCCCATGTACATGTATGCATACATGCACATTGTACATACATGCATGCAATCCCATCCACACATGCATGCACATATTCGTACACATGCCTCTGCATGCAAATACATGCTCATTTACACACACATCAGCATGCATGTGCGTATTTACGTGCTTACATGTGCTCATCTCCCTCCTCCCTAACTTCTCTGTCAAACATGGCTCGCCCAGCTCCTGGAAATTTTGAACTGAGTGTGAACAAGAATGTATTTTAGGAGAGAAACCTCATTCCCTTAGCCAAAGACAGTCACAATCTTTTTTTGTTGTTGTTGTTTCAGACAGAATCTAGCTCTGTCACCCAGGCTGGAGTGCAGTGGCGCAGTCATGGCTCACCGCAGCCTCAACCTCATGGGCTTAAATGATCCTCCCACTTCAGCCTCCTGAGTAGCTGGAACTACAGGCACCATGCCTGGATAACTTTTGTTATTTTTTGTAGAGGAAGGTTTTTGCCATGTTGCCCAGGCTGGTCAGGAACTCCTGGGCTCAAGTGATCTGCCTACCTCGGGCTCCCAGAATGCTGGAATTACAGGCGTGAGGCACCATGCTGGACCACAAGCAATGTTAAGAGAAGTCTTTGCGGGAAAGGACATTTTATCCAGGACTTCCTATGCTGATCCTGAGAGGCAGGCTCCTTGCTTCTTTCTGAGCCCCACCCGGGGCAGAAATAAGGGCCTGGTGATGCTGGAGTTTAGGGAAGGACATCTTTAGCCCTTAGCTGTTCCGTTTGCCATAACACACATCGTGCATGATGTATTCACTTTGCAAAGCACAATGGGTGAGACGCTGCCCTAGAACCCCACCCTGCCCCCAGCACTGTGGCTGCCAGTGTGTGGGGACAGTCTCTATATCACCTACAAGCTGGGTGCCCAGAGAAACCCACCTCTTCTTTAGGGTTCTGTGGAAAGCGGTCGTGTTTAGTTTTTAAATGGGGTTCATTATATGCCATTCTGTTTGTGTAGTGATGCATCCACACGGGCTCACGCAGGCTCACAGAGACCTGTGCCTTCACAGAGCAGTCTTGGCTGTAGCTGTCAGTCGCTCCTCAGTTCAGGGACGTGCAGGCTGTTTTCAGTGTTCACCTTCACACATGAGGCCGTGATGAAAATCCATGCCTGGGCCTCCTCGGCCACAGATCAAAAATGTCCCCAGGTAGAGGTTCCAAGTTGGAGAGGACCCACGATTCCATCATAATTAATCCACTGCTCCCAGTCGGCTGGACACTACATGAGAGCCCTGGCTTGCAGAACCCCCCGTTCTGTAACCACAGCCGATCACTGGCGCAGGAGACCGTCCAACTCTGCATCTCTCTAATTATTAGCTAGGTGGCTTGTCTTTACTTGTGCGTTGTTTTCCATTCCTCTTCTTTGAACCTCACTCATCCATCCTTTGAGTCGTTTTCTTTTTTGAGATGGAGTCTCGCTCTGTCACCCAGGCTGGAGTGCAGTGGTGCGATCTCAGCTCACTGCAACCTCCGCCTCCTGGGTTCCAACAATTCTCCTGCCTCAGCCTCCCGAGTAGCTGGGATTATAGGTGTGTGCCACCACAACCAGCTAATTTTTGTATTTTTAGTAGAGATGGGGTTTCACCATGTTAGCCAGGCTGGTCTCAAACTCCTGACCTCAGGTGATCCACCCACCTTGGCCTCCCAAAGTGCTGGGATGACAGGCTTGAGCCACTGCACCCGGCCATGTTTTCTGCCAGATTGTTTTCCTTTCCACGGGACCTGTAGGCACCAGGCTGTGTTCTGATGATTATTCTGTTGCAAATATGTTCTTCCTGTTGGTCGCTTATTCTTTCCTTTTGCCAGTGATGTCTTTTGTTAAACAGCAGTGTTTTGTTCAGATGTAGAAGCTTTTATAAATCTATTCCTCTTGGAATAGATGATTTTTGGGTTTCGTGTATTAAATAAAAGGCCTTCTCAGCTCTGAACACTTTTCCCTGTATTTTCTTTCCATCTTGTCCTTGGTTTGGGGCTGCAGATGGGGTCTAATCTTATTTTATCCAACAGAAGACACTGCATAGCATAGGCTGGAGCCAGGTACTGGGTTCAAGCACCGGCCCTCCCAAGGCAAGGGGACAAGTGATAAACAAGGACAAATAAGGAACAAGGTCAAGTGCATTTCTGAAGTTCTCCGGCCTCCATTTCTCCATCAACACAATGGGAAGGATGTCGCCCCTCCTGATATTTGCAACCGTGACTTGAGTCAGGACAGGTGGAGCTGCACTCGTTCCAATACCATAGGACGAGGAGTGCCCCCCGCCTCCTTTCTCAAGCCTGGATTCCAACGTGGGCTTCAGCTGGTCAAGGCACTCTGCTGTGTCTCCCCACTCTCTGTCTTTTCTTGGGCCAGACCGCAGAGTGTCAGCTGCTGTGGCTGGACATTGGTGCTGGCAGCAGAAGACGAGGGCCCTCTCTGTTCCTTTTCACAACTGCTGTGGCTGTTCTTGCACGTATAGTCTTCAGGATTAATTTTTGAAACAGTTCATCAAATTCTGAGAAAATAGTGATGCGCTCTTGATTGGCGGCGATTCCCTTTACCCGTGTGTTTGGAGAAGGGACTGTTAGACCCTCAGGAAGAAGACCTCCGTCTTCCGCCAGCGACAGCTTCCAGTCCATCTCTCAGGAACGCTGTGCGCCCCTGTGGGTTTGGGGCTCCCGCGCCTGCTGTGAGCAGGGCTTTCTCCCGGTGGCTCTCTGCTCCTGCTCTCCATGGTGCTCCTGGGTTGGCCGCCATACTAGGTTCCGTATTTGCTCTAGTAGGTTTTCAGTTGATTCCTCTTGGGTTTTCCAGTAAGCAATCATGCCAACTCCAAACAGAGCCCCCTTCATGACTCCTTGCTTTTATCCTTTTTCTCGCAGCAGTGCACAGATGAGGCCTCCTTTATGATGGCAAGGGCAGCCTCACATTCCCAACTGGAACGGGAATGCCCAGAGCCTTTGGCGGGAGAAGCTTGTCTTTAAGCACTTTGTCAGACAGCCCTGGCTCCATGGCCACCGGGAACAGATGCAGGGGGAGTGAGAAGCAGGCACTCCTGGCTATCAGAAGAGCCCCCCAGCTGGCCAAAGGCAGCACAGCCCAAGGTGAACCTGGACCTGGCCCCCACCCCAGTGCCTCTGCCGGGACCTCAGTGACGCTCCTTGGGCTCTGGGAGCCACTTGTCCTTGCCAGGAACTAGGGATGGAGACTGGCTTCTGAGAACTGTTCTCAGGATTCCATGCCACCACCTGGCTTGCCAGGGTGCCTGGCGTGCAGCTGGCTCTCAGTCCATGGCAGCTGGCACTGAGCACAGCTGCCGGGCTCCCCTCTGATGGGGTTGTCAGGGTCAGTGCACGTGACTACGTGTGCACCAAACAGCTGACGGGGACTTCCTGTTGCCGTGCCCAGGTGTGGACTGCCTCGCTCATTCTTGGCCTCTCCAGATGGATTCCAAAAGTCAGTGTCCCAAGCCTGAGCTCTCTGATGGGCCTCAGCTGAGCGGAGGGGGCACGCTGGGCGCCGGCCACCCTGGGTCATAGCCTTTGTCCATAAGAGCTCAGCCAAACTGCTGGCCACGCTACACCTGCTGTAGCTGAAGCACTCACCTGCAGGCCCTGTTCCGCGTGCCTCAGGCATGCTGTCTGGTTACATCTTCACACTCTTCCTATAAGGGAACAGGCATCAGTATCTCCCTTCACGCATGAGCATACAGGCTCAGGGAGGTGAAGTGACTCGCCGGGGGCCGCCCAGCAGGACTGATGGGCCAGGACTGAACTCATGCCAGCGGGACTCTTGCCACTCTCTGGGCCTGCAGGGTGTGTGCTGACAGCCCAGAGAGTCCCCAAGAGGAGCAGCGGGGTGCTCTGAGCCCCTGGGCTGCCCCGGCCTTGTCTAGGGGGTGTGCTGTGTCCCGTCACCTCAGCCCTGGCTCCAAGGGGTGTGTGAGTCCCACAGGTTGAGCTCCACACCTTGTCCAGAGAGTAGTGTAAGGGCTGAGGAGAGGGACACCTTCCTTAAGCCACCAAACACAGAATTCTTATGGAAATTGGTAATTATTTGGCACAGCAGTCACTCAGAAAATAAAAAGATCATGGATGTGGCCTTGGGGGTCCTAGATTTCCTCCAGGGCCCCTTGGGTCACACAGGGAGGACAGCGCAAGAGAAGAGGGGGTGCAGAATTCGAGGTGGGCCCCAGGGTCCCCGTGTCTGGCTATGCCAGGGTTATGTTCCAGTTCCACCTGAACCAGCTTCAACAGGGACCAGACCCCCCAACACTCCCCTCTCCCCCTGTGCCCAAAAAAGCTGGCCGATGTAGGCCTTCCTGCTTGCGAAAAGTCTCAACCAGACCCCGAGGACACGGGGAGCAGCTGTTTTGCTGCTGTCCTCCTGCGATGGGCCCCTTTCCCAGAGACCCTGTAGCCCCGGCCCTCAGTCCCAGCCCTCAGCCAACACAACAGCCAAGGATTTTAGCCCCGGCCCTCAGCCAACACAACAGCGAAGTATTTTCAAGGTTTCTGGCTCTGTGGGGGGAACAAGGCAGGATGCCAGGAGGCCTGCAGGACACCTGCTTATGGCCGTGTGCTCGCTCAAGTGTCAAAGCAGCTTCCCAAGGGAAGAAGGGCATCTTGTCCTTGTCACCCTCCCCAGGCCACATCTGGGGAGCAGGGGTGGGGCCAGGTCTCTGGACTCCTGGTGCACTTCCTTCCCCTGGTGACTCCTGAAGCAAGCCAAGGTCCAAGCCCCTGAGCTTGTCCATGGGCCCTGCCAAGACTGGGCCTTGAGGCCAGGAGGAGGAACCAGAGCCGCTCAAAAGGCAGACGGGGTGGGGACGGGAGGAGGCAGCCACGCCTGAGGAGCCGGCAGTCTCTTGGGGTTTTGCCATTGAAAGGGGCTTTCAGTGAGGAAGGCACAAAATCAAGAAAATAGAGCCCCGACCCCTGGCCACGTGGTTCCCCTGCCTGCCTGCACCTCCCCATGGCCCAGCCAGCTTGTGACTAAGGAAAAACATGCAGCTACGCTGATGCAGTTAGGAAAATGTTATTTTTTAAATGCTGCCAGATCCTGGGGGTTGAACCTGTGACCTCAGAACAAGGAGCAGGGTTTGGGGCACGCACCTGCTGCCTGCAGCTTCAGCCTGGGGTGCCCATAGCTCCTTGCCTGCTGCTTGTCTGAGGGTTAGGGGACACAGGAGAGGCACTTGGTGGGGGCTCAAGGAATGTGCCCACCCCTCCCGACTTGAGGAGAGAGAGGAGAGTTTTGTAGCATCCCTGGACCTGGTGTTCCAAATGAGTGGCCTCTGTGCAGGGCCTACGGGCACAGCACGGGGAGCTGGGTATGGTCAGAGCCTCCTGCCCCTGCCCGTGGGGGAGCCAGCCCCCTCCATCCCCCCTCTGCTCTCCTGCTGGCCTCGAAGCCTTGAACAAGGGCCGGCCTGGGCCAGGTAAGGAGCTCCCTGCCCCTCAGCTCCTGCTTCTCCTGGAGCAGCCAAAACTCACTTCAGTGGGGGACATGGGGACAGGAAAGATGCAAGACCCCTGGAAGACACCTGCTTGGGCCCCCAAGAACTGCAGACCACCAGGGGTCCTCCCACTCTACCTGGTGTGCCACGATGCCCCTAACCTGCGCTGCCAGCTCTCTGTGTCCCTTTGATCCCTCACCTGGTGACAGTGGCAGGGCAGCTCAGGGCCCAGAGGGCCTGGCAGCCCCCCGGGGTTCTGACCTGAGCTGAGCTGCTCCGCCTGGGGAGGCTGCAAACAAGGGTGTCTTCTTAGGCCTCCTGGTCACTCCACCCTCACCCCTCAACAGCCTGAGGGTCTGAGACGGGGGTCTCTGGGGCTGGACCCTGAAGGAAGATTGAGCAGCCGGCCTCGGCAAAGACCCTGGGGACGGGGAGGGGAGCTGGGGAGTTGGGAGGGGTTGCAGGGGTGTGGCGGGGCTTCAGAGCAGGGGGAGGGCCTCCATCCTGGCTCTTGGGGGATCAGGGAGGAGTGGTGCGCGCCTGTCCCTGAGCTGGCCATGACAGCTCCCGTCCCCCTTACCTCCTGCCAGGCCCCGGGGCCGCTTTGGAGGGAGCCCCGCCCCCTGCCCCTGCGCAGCCCCCGCCCTAGCCCCAGCCCGGCGCAGCCGGTCCCGCGCGCCCCCGCCCGCATGTGCCGCCAGGCCCGCCCCCGCCCGGCCGCCCGCCCGCCCGGTGGGTCGCGGTGGCCGCGGGCTGCGCTGCGCGGGCCGGGCCTGGCGGGCCGGGGGCTGCGCGCGTCCGCGAGGGCGCCCGACGCGGGCTGAGGGGCGCTGGCGTGTGCCCGCAGGCGGCCCTGCGCGGGGGACGGCGCGCTCCTGGACACCGCCGGCTTCAAGATGAGCGACCTGGACTCCGAGGTGCTGCCCTTGCCGCCGCGCTACCGCTTCCGGGACCTGCTGCTGGGCGACCCGTCCTTCCAGAACGACGACAGGTAGGGACCGGGCGCGGGGTGGGGGCTGGGGTCGCCGTCCCGGCGCCGCCGCACGCCCGGAGCTGTCCGCGGTGCTGACGGCCGGTCCCGCGCGCCCCCGCAGCCGCCGGCGCCCTTCAACTTTTCCCGGCTTCTGGGGACGCAGAAGTTTCGGAGGGGGTGCGGGCAGGGGGAAGCATCTTCTCGGGAGGGGGTCTCCGGAGGAGGGCGCGGGATGCTCGGAGCTGCGGAGTCTTCCAGAGCCCGACTTGGGGCGCGGAGGCGGAGGGCGGCCTGGCCTTCCGGTGTCTGCTCCCAACCCCCAGCACCCCAGTTTTTCTGGTTTTGGGGGCAAGCCAGGGCCGGAAGCGCCCCGGTGGCGGAGCCCGCAGCCTGGCTGAGGGCTGGCGTCCTCCAGGCTCAGGCAGCGGTCCTTGATTAATTATTCAATGAGGGAGCTTGTCCTTCAGGTTCGTGACCTGGTCACTTATTCCGAGTCACCGTGTCCCCGTCCCCTCAACATCTCCTGGGCTAAAAAGGCAAAATGAATTGTGTCTTTCAGTTAAGGACCAACAGGATGAGCCCATGGGAATAATTCATCCGCTGAGGGGGCTGGCAGGAAGCTGGAAGAAATGTTGCTTTTCTCTCCTCCTTTTCCCCAAATAGCTGTCTTGGGTAAACACCCAGCACTTTAGCTCTGCCAGGCTCTGGGGAGGCGCTTTTTTGCCTGCAAGTGAAGGCAAGTGCTCTGAGGACTCACGCGGAGCTGGAGCCCGCGGGGGCTTCAGGTCAGGAACCGCTCCTCTTCCAGCGTGTAGGGTACGGCAGGGTCGGGGTTGTCACTGTCTCCAGGGCTCCGTCACCACCCAGCCCTGGGCTCAGCTAGCAAATCCGCACTTTCCCCCAACAACGCAGTTATTCCGGTTAGCACACAAAGTACACGAGGTTGAAAATGGTCAGGACACAAACAGCTTTCAGAATAATCTACTGCTGAAACCGCAGCTGAAAAAGAAATCATGTTTGTAACTAGAGTCAGTCCTAGGGACTGTATCCATGAGGACCATGAAGATTTGTAAAAAGGGGGTCTTAAAACCCCTCTGCCTGCGGGGAATGGAATATTCTACCAGACCTCCCATAACATTTGGTTGTGTGAACCAAGAGTCAGGAGTGGGGACTGAGCCCAGTCTTCATCCACTCAGAATCAGGGAGTGAGCGTCCTGCAGAGAGGCCTTTTAAACTTGGTTTTTCATCTTGTTGAACTCAGTGCTCTAATAATGAGCCCACCTAAGTGCAAATGCCCAGGTGAAGAGTTTAGTTTATCTCCCTGTGTGGGCAGAGGGCAGTCAGCCAGGCTGGTCCCAGGGCGGCGTGCGTGGCTGGGAGGCTCTCCTGGGAGCCACACAAAGCTTCCCTAGGCCGAATCCGTGGACTCAACATCTTTCTAAGCCAGCACCAGCCCCTCAGATGCCTGTTCAGCTGGGACTTGGTTAATTCTTGAAAACGGCAGCCCTGGGAGATCCTTCCGATATTGGGCAGGAAGTGGTGTCCATCCGCCTAATGGTGCCTGGGGCTCCCAGATGACTCGATAACGCCTGTGGCTGTGGTTGATCAAATTGTAATGCTGTATTCCTGAGTGTTCAGGAGTGGACAGCAGAGGCTTTTGCTGTCCGCCTAGAGAGAACCATGCCCATCCCTGGGAGAGGAGAAGCTGGCATGGGATTTCACAATGAGTCCCTGATCCTGGGTGTGGTTTTTTAAAATTGTGGTAAAATACATAAAACAGAATTTACCGTTAGTGACATTTAGTACACAACACTGTGCCACCCTCACCACTGTAATTCGAGAACATTTGTATACCCTAGAAGGAATCTCCTTAACCACTGGGACTCACTCCCCAATGCCCCCTTATCCCCCAGCCCCTGGCAGCTACCGATTTGCATTCTAGCGGTCTTGGCGTGCTGTGCCCACTGGGCACATGGGTTGTGTGCCGATGGTATTAGGAGGTGGACCGCTGGACGTGTGTGGCTGTGTGTGCTAGCTAGTGCGTGGCTGTGGGTCCTCTCCAGGAAAGGCCCATGGGGTACAGGGCATCTGTGCCACCCCCACAAGTGCCCTGCTCTCTCTGGTTGGAAATGAAGTATACAGTGAGGTTCTATTGGAGGGAGAGTGGCCAGGGATTAGAGCTTCGGGGCTGTGTGGTCGCCATACCTGTCCTGTGGCGCTGTCCCTCAAGATGGCCTCAGAGATGCTGTGCTGCATACCTTTTCTCATGTGTGAAGGATGGGAGTGGACCTGGCCCTGTGGTGGTGGTGTGCATAGGACGGGAGGGGACCTGGCCCCTGTGGTGTTGGTGTCTATAGGACAGGAGGGGACCTGGCCCCTGTGGTATTGGTGTCTATAGGACGGGAGGGAGGGGACCTGGCCCTGTGGTGTTGGTGTGTATAGGACAGGAGGGAGGGGACCTGGCCCTGTGGTGTTGGTGTGTATAGGATGGGAGGGAGGGGACCTGGCCCCAGTGGTGTTGGTGTCTATAGGATGAGAGGGAAGGGGACCTGGCTCTTGTGGTGTTGGTGTCTATAGGATGAGAGGGAAGGGGACCTGGCTCCTGTGGTGTTGGTGTCTATAGGATGGGACAGGGAGGGGACTTAGCTTCCCTCTGAGAGTGGTTCCCCACTTCTCACCTCTGAGAGGAAGCTTGGGCCTGGTGGAGATGGTGGCCTTGGGCACCCCGAGATCTGGAAGGTGGGGGGCTGCTGGTCGGCTGGTGTCCAGCCCGGTTCCCAGCAGCTTTGCCTGGCTCCCCCTGGAGGCTGCGGGGGCTGGTGAGGCTGGCTGGGCACAGTACAGGAGTGGGCAACTTTCCGGGGGCGCAGGGGCAAGTGAGTTGGGGGCTTCTGCCCAAGTCACCTGCCAGCTCGCCAGCCGCTGCCCGGCACAGCTGAACCCGCTCCTCACGTGGACTCAGGCCCTCCTGAGAAATTGCCTCGACTGGATGTAAGAGAGGGTGCCCTAGAGGCCTAGGAGCCCGGGGAACCCCCACTTACCCCACCCAGGAATGGCAGCTCCTTGGTCTCAGCAGCAGCCTGGGGGCCTCTCCTCTTGAAGGCAGCTCAGGGAGCCTGGCCTGAAGGGTTTCTCTTCCTCAAACCTTCTTTGCCCAAAGGGGCTTGCTTCAGCCTCCATGGTAGGGTTGGGTGAGTCTGGCATGGCCTCTCTCATGACCCCGATGCTGGAATGGGTGGGCAACAATGAGGGAAATCAGGATGCTGACAGGGGTCCTGAGGTCACCCAAGCCCTCCCCTATCCATAAGGACACGCACGTGGGGACCCCAGCCCTGGCTCTGTGGAAACCCCAAGCTGACCTGGAGGAGGGGATCAGCCGCTTGGAGGACCCTCCTGGGTGCTTGGGGTGGGGTCTGATGCCTCTATCTGCCATTAGAAGCCATCCCATATCTCCTCATCTTCCTCCTCATCCCCAGTGCCTGTGCCTTCCCCTTCCTGGAGTGGAGACCAGGGGTCGTCTGCCTGGCCTGGTGGGACCCCCTTCCTGTGTACTGCAGTGACTCACAGGAGCCGTGTGAGGTGGGAGGACGTGCTTATCTGAATGCAGGAGGGAGTGCAGGCGGGGTCTGGAGGCCATAGGGGGCCCAGGTCTGAAAGGGCTGAGCCCAGCAAGACCTGCCTGCCGGCTCTGGGTGAGAAAGCCCTTAGGTAGAGGGGAGGGGACACTGGGATGGGGTCCTGGGCTGTGGACGGAAGGGCTGGTGTGCCCGGACACGGCAGCACAGGCTCCACTCGGGCCCCTGAGGGACCATCGTGGTGGCCTTGGCCATGGGGGTGTCTCAGGTCTGGGTAAGGTGGAAGTGCCGCTTGGTCTCTCTCTGCACCAGGGGAAGAGATTGAGGGGCAGGGAGACCCAACCATCAGCACAGGGCAGGTGCAATGTGGGGGCTCAGCACAGACTGGCACCCCTCACGCCCTCCCTATTTCTACCCTGGGGCAGGCTCTGTGAGGGAAGCGGGTGCTGCTGCCAACCCCTGGCAGGCTGTGAGCGAGCAGGTGGGCGGGCAGGACTCGGGCTTCCTGTTTCCCCCGGGAGTAGAGCCTCTGGCAGTGAGTCACCACAGCCTCCATCGCCCGTGGCCTTGGACAGAGAAGAGCTCGGCGGGCCATGTGGGCAGAGGAGGCTGTACTGCTGGGCAGGCCGCTCCCAGCGGGGATGACCCAGCCCATCGGTACCGCCCGGTGGAGGAAGTGGACAGAGTTGGGAGCTCACTCACCTCAGGGACCTGATGGTGGACCCTCACCACTGCTTACCAGATGGTGTCTCGGGTGCTCCCATGGAGCAGCATTCAGCCACAGTCCACCTGCGCCCAGGCTCTGGAGCCCCTTGAGCCATGCTGACAGTCTCACTGCCCCTCTGCCTGGGAGTCCAGGGGCAACTGATGGAGGCCCTGGCCCTCCCAGCCAGAGCCAGCTCTCAAGAGTGTCCCGGAAGCCTAAGTGAGCGTCATGGCCCTTGGAGGACACAGACTTGGGCTCTTCTTCTGCAGAGGGGTTAACAGCCCCCAAAGGGCAGCTCGAGGAGCCAGCGGGACAGGGGCTGCCTGAGGGCTTGGGTCCTGACGGTGTCCCCGAGCTGGGTCCCAGGCACCTTGTGCAGACTCTGGTCTGTGGCAGTGGAGGTGCGGCTTCCATCCTGCCCTGCACTGAGGCTCAGGAAGATGCTGTGTATGTCGGGGGATGCATGCTTTGGGGACACTTGGGGCTGTCACACCACAGGCCCATCTCTCCAAAGGGGCAGATTCCAGACAAGGAGTCCCAGTGGGGAGGGGTGGGGCAGGCAGCCACCCCCCGCCATGCTGCACCAGGACCCAGCCCACCGGGGCCACTGAAGCCACCACTGGAGGCAACGTCAGGGTCGCCAACACTCCCAGGCATTAAGCAGGACATGAGAGGTGCCAGGAAGGCCCTGCCCACTGGCTGGGGCTTCCGGCAGGCAAGAGGAAGCTTCGTCCCTGAGCATGGCCAGGGCCACTGCCTTGGCTCCTTGGGCCACCCCAAGCTGAGTGCCCCAAGCTGGTGCCATGGGGCCCAGGCACCAGGGTCACCTGGGAAGGGAGTGGCCGCCTTGCCACAGAAAGCCCGGCCCCAGTGCAGGCCTCCCGGGGTCAGAACACTGCCCCAGAGCGGCCTGACCAGGCTGTTTCATTAGCTCCTCTGACAACAGAGAACGGAACTTGACTTGGTTCTCTGGAGTTGAGCAACACCAAATATTTTTTCACACAACAAGCTGAGAAGTGGACCACAAACAGGGCCCGGCATTGCTGGGAACACGGGGCAGCGGGCCTGCGTGGAGGATGGACCCCTGCCGGCCCCACAGGCAGCAACTGTGGATGGGCCAGGCAGGGCCAGCAGGAGCAGGAATGGGTGCAGAAGGAGGGGGCAGCCCAGACCCCTCCCTGGCCCTGCTGGATGCACCCCTTCCATTCACCCGACCCTACCCCACAGTGAATCCAGCTGCCCCGCAGGGACAGGGTAGCTGGGAACAGAGAGAGGCTTCTCTCACAGGGTGAAGGCCCCACCAGGCCTCCAAGCAGAAGGGGTTGCGGTGGGGATGTCTCTAGGAACAGCCCTGCCCTCCGAGCCCTCATCTGTCATCCTTAATAGCTGAACAATTTCTCAGCTGGTCGGGGAAGTGCCTTGAGACCTGGGTGACTCGGTGTGCTGAGGGCCTTCTAGAATCATCCCTCCTGCGAAGAGCCTGGGATTGCATAAGTGCCCTCCTCCTGCCCAGCCCTCCCAGCTCCATCATCTCTTCCTATCCCCTCCCCACCCCCATCATCCTGCCCCCACACACCAGCCTGGCCCCTGCTGAAGAAGCAGGGGGCCCAGGCAGCCTTCCTCCAGAGGGAGCTTTGCTCCGCCTCTCTTGGGGCTGGGGGCGGGGGTCCTGCCTGTACCCCCAACCCCACCTGCTCTCTGAAGGCCACTCTGGGACCCTGAGCTGAGAAGGCCCGGGAGCCAGCCCCAGCTCCCTGAAGGGCACTGAGCCCAGAGTTTCTGCGTGAAGGCGTGAGTGGCCTGGGCAGGACCTAGGGCACAGGTCAGCTCTCCTTCGGGGGTGCTCTGGGGAAGCTAGGGCTGGGCTGCGCCTGCACCACCCTGCTCCTGCCTTAGGGCCCCAGGTCCCCATGTGACAGACTCAGGTGTAGCTGGAGCTTTGAAACAGAGGGGGACAGTCAGGAGGAAGGGTGTGGCCAGGCCTGACCCAAAGGTGAGGGTGGGGCACGAGGGACACACGGCCGAGCCCAAGGGGCAGTGGTGGTTTAGGGGCCGTGAAGGTTCGAGGAGGAGTCGGGGAACCATGCAGGGTGAGGGCTGGGGTGGGAGAGGCCTGGAGCTGAGTTTGGGAAGGGTGGCCCCTGGACTGGGGGACCCCCAGAAGGGGCTGAAGTGGCCCCCAACGCTCTCGGCCTGAGCTGCTGGGCCAGCCCCAGCCTCGAAGCCACTCCGCTCCAGCACCGGGTCCCCTGGCGTGCCTCCTGCCCAGAGCTGCTGAGCTCAGGGAAACGCCAGCCTGCTCAGTCCCTGGGGGTGGTGGGGTAGGGGGTGGTTATATTTAACATTCTGCCCGGGGCCATCCTGCTGTGTGCAGGCGTACTAATAGGGCAGGGAGGGGCCAGGTGGGATCCCAGTCCTGCCCCTGGCCCTTCTCGCCCTGGGGCCCTTTCCAGAGCAAACACCCACAGGCTTGGGAGGACACGGCCAGCCTGAGAAATGGCCTTGGCCAGGCCGGTGGGGCCCAGGCAGGCTGGGGTCTCCTGGCCGGGGGAGGGTGCCGGCCATGCGCATACCAGGAGCCAATCCCAGAGCCTCGGGGCCGCCTGTCTGTCTTTCCTGGACCCCCTTGGTGTGCCACCTGCATGATTGAGTCAAGGTCTGGTTTATTGGAGCAGGAAAGGCCCGGGATGGTGTCCAAAAGTTCTGGCAGGTTCCATGTGCTTTACGGTGTCCTGAGTGAGTGAAATGCATGTCATGATTTCTCCAGTCCCTTTCCAGCTCAGGGTCGGTTTGCCTGTGTTGCCCCCACTCGACTGTGGACAGGGCTGGAGGCCAGGCCTGCTCGCCCTTGTCTCCTGGGCCCCCTACCAGGAAGCAGGGTCCTGGAAGGTGGGCCTGAGTCAGGGTGGGGGAAGGTGACGCCTCTGCTGTGGAGACTGTGGCTCCCGGGTGGGCTGCACCTTCCTCCTAGCCCTGTCCCTCCCTCCGACGGTGGGTTCCAGGGGCTTGCGTTGCCTCCAGCCCTGGGTGACCAAGGAGTGGGCAGGATCAACAGGAGGGCCACAGAGGCTGTCGGTGACCAGGGCCCATCACATGTGAACGGTGTCTTGTGGGGCATCACCTGGCTGTGGGGGCATGGAGGAGGGTCCGTGATACCCCTGGGCCCAGGGCTGGCTCAGTCCTCAGCCTGTGCGTCTTTATGACTCAAGCGGGGGGCCTCTGGCTCCCCCAAACACACCCCCAGGATATCCAGGGAGACCCTGAGAGGGCGAATCCCGCGTCCCCTGGGGCTGCATCCCCCGTCCCACCCCTGGGGCCGGCACAGCGGGGCACACGGCTTCATCACCAAGCCCATGTCCCAGGGACTCATGTGTGTGACACAAAATGAAATTCCTCCCGCATTAGTGTAAAACAGAACACAGATGCCCAGTGGGAGGGGCTGGCATCCTCCGCGTCAGGAAGCCACCAACCGTTTGGGCTTCAGGTTGTAATTCCCAATGCGCTCCCTCCACTGTTCCGTTTCCATCATCCGGCGCGTCCAGCTGAAATGGAATGGGTGTAAGTGTGTTTATGCCTCGTCTCAGTCTTCCCAGCTGCTATGGAAAAGCACCACAGACCCGGCAGCCTCAGCAACAGAGATTTATTTCTCAGTTCTGGAGGCTGGAAGCCCAGGATCAAGGCGCCGGCGGACCAGGCTCCTGGTGAGAGCATCTCTCAGGCTTGCACGTGGCGTCTTCTCACTGCGCCCACGGGGCAGAGAATGCAGGCTCTCTGCTCTCTTCCTGTGGGGCACTGCTCCCATCCCGAGGCCCCACTCTCATGAACTCGTCCAAGCCTACTCACCTCCTGAAGGCCCTGTCTCTAAATACCATCCCATCAGCGGTGGGGGCTTCAACAAGGGAATCTGGGGGTGCAATTCAGCCTGGAGCAGGCTTGGAGGGAAAGAAGGGGACGCTGCAAAAGATGTCGTGGGAAATCCTCCGGGGGATTAAGTTGCCCCTTCATTTCAAATTCCTTAAACTTCAAGGGCATCTGCCAGGTCCCTCGGGAGAGCCTCCTGCATGCAGCTTTCCTCTCCTCTCCAGCGCTCATCACAACAGCGGCCACTGTGTGAGTGAAGGCTGAGGCCACACTGCCTGTGCCTCCCCAGCAGTCAGTGACGGGCGTGGCTCTCCGAGGCAGTGAACTTGCAGAGTGCAGGAAGCTGGGGGCTGCAGAGCTCGCCTGCAGGGCAGCACCCCAGAGGCCTGGCAGGGTGGGTGAGCTGTCCCGTGACCCGTCACCCCTCCACCAGGTCCCAAAAGCAAAAGCGTTGGTGGGGTGTCAGGAGTTCCAGCTGTACCTAGAAATTGTCCTGCATCCTGTTCCAGGAGATATCGTCCATCTTGGGGTCAACATGGAATGCCACCTGCATGAACAGGGCCGGCGCCGGCATCCACTGCCATTGCCCGAGGCTTGGCTCCACAGGGTGGCAGGCAGGGAGGAGAGGCTGCTGCTCCCTGGCAGGAAGTTCTTGTGCACCACGTGAGCGTGTGGCTCCCGAAGGGGCATTTTGTGCCTGTGCGACCGACAGCTGTGCCCACGCGTCTGCTGCATGGCCATGTCTACACGGGGCCTGCTGCCTCCAGAGGGACCCTGGGGCTTGGGGGGCCTCAGAGCCCTGTCAGTAGGAAGGGGGCCCTGGCTCTCCTGGTGGGTGTCCGGAGCATCTAGAGCTGTCCCGGGAAGTGCCGTGTCCCAGGGACCTTGTTACTGATGATTCTGCCAGTCTGGCAAGTCCATCAAAGGCATCACCGCCTTCAGTGCCAGGCCACCCCTCGGGGCTTGCAGGCCTGGTGTCCGGCTGCCCCCAGCCCAGCACAGGTACCTCATGTCCTTGAACACCCCCTCCTCCATCCAGTCTGAGCGCCATGGCTCAGCGCAGCCCCGTCCCAGACCAGTGTCCGTTCCCCTGAGGGTGCTGTGGGCTGGGGAGGCCCAGGTATCCCTGCCACCTTCACTCTGAGCCCGTCTCTTCCTCTCCAGGTTTTCATAAGAGGCCCCGGGAAGCTCCATGCCCTCCTCCCAGCACTCCTGCTTTCCCCTCTGAATTTTTATCCATCATGGGCCCCTGAATAAGAGCTGACTGTGGGATCCAGGCTCAGAGGCTCGAGAGGCACAGGGGGAGGGCACCAAGGGCCTTGCAGTCCAGGCCAGCCTCAGGGTCAGGCCTCCAGGGGCCTCAACTTTGTGTCCTCCCCATGGGGTGCTTTTCATCCCCGGAGGCCAGGCTGGGGGTGGCTCAGGGGGCACCATCTGCACAGGTGGGGGCAGCCGTGGGCGGGTAGAGACAGCGGGCCCCGCGTGCACTCCCATCCTGAGCCCCCTGAGCCTCAAACAAGAGTGAAGGCAGTGCCCAGGGAAGCACAGGCCAACGGGGGCAGGCACAGCCTTGTGGTGGCCAGAGAACCAGGTCCTCACCTGCAGGATCCAGGCAGGCCAGTGGTCGGCGAGGGGCGTGGCCAGTCTGCCTGTTCCTTCCTCCACGTATGCAGGCATTCATTCATTCAGTCATGCAACAGAGGTCAAGTTGAGTGTCTGCTGTAGGCACCAGATTCAGCAAATACAAATACAGGATGCCTGGTTAAATATGACTGTCAGATAAACAGTGAATCATTTCCCAGTGGAAGTGTATCCTATCCAATATCGGGGACGTGCTTATACTTAAGACAATTATTTTCCATCTGACATTGAAACCTCACCAGGTGTGTCATGTATTTCATTGGGATCCCTAGCTCCGGCTGGGTCGGCTGGGCTGCCCCGAGAGGCCCAACATGAAGGCCCCGGCCACCCACCTGGATTGGAGCTTCCTCCGCCCAGGCAGAGCCTGGGCTCCTGCAGGCACAGATGGGCCCCCCACCACTGGCTTCGAGGATGACCCTGAACCTTCCCTCTAGCAGACAACAGATCTGACAGGGTCTTCCCCCCATGAGAGGGGGTGCCCCTGGGCTCCCCCATGTGATCCTGAGGGTAATCTTGGTGGAAGCAGCGCTGGGGCCTGTCCCTGCCCCACCCAGGAGGCAACTGCGTGGGGGGGCGTGTGGTGGACACATGACAAACCCAGCCCAGGATCCCTTGGTGGCTCAATGGCCCAACCGCCTCCCTGCACAGACAGGAAAACGGAGTCCTCAGAAGGGCGGGGCCTGTCGAGGGCCACACAGCTGCCGGGGGGGACCTCAGAAGGAGGGGTCTGTGGAGAGTACTCCAGGTCCCCTATAGTGTTTGAACAGGGCCTTCGAAAGATTCCTGTCCTCCCAGAACCCCAGAATGTGGCTTATGTAGAAACACGGTCTTTGCAGATGTGATTAGTTGAGGATCTCAAGGTGAGGCCATTCTGGACCGAGGGGCTCAGATCCAGTGACTTATACGAAGAGAAGGAACAAACCCAGAGACACAGAGAAGAAGCCACGCCGGGACAGACGCAGAGATCAGAGTGACGCTACCACGAGCCCAGGGCCACCAGGAGCTGGAGACGGCGGAGGACCCGCTACGCTTGCGGGGGAGGGTGGACCTGCCAACACCAGGATTTTGCATTCTGGTCTCCAGAACAGAGAGAAGAGACCGCTGTAGTTTTGGGCACTCAGTTTGTGGTATTGAGCCCCAGGACACCCATGCACAAATGAGAGGGTGCAGGGGTCACTCTGGGACAGCACCAAAGCCGGGGGGGCCCCAGGGGCCACTAAGGAGGTTCCCACGTGGAGCTGTGGCTGCCCTTGCTGGGTTTGGGACCCTCAGCCGGGTCCAGGCGGACAGAGTCTGTTTCCAGCACAGCCCCGTCCTTTTGCTGGGCGGTTTGCCTGGGCGTGTCCTAAGTTGATTGAATATATGCTGGAAAGCAGAAATGCCGGAAAAGAGGCCCCCTCCCACCCGCCCTGGGAGCCCAGGTCTGGCAGGAGGAACCACCTGGGCGATAGGGGTCTGGGGAGGAAGAGGGGTTGGTGGGCAGCAGCCTCCCCGGCCACCACCCAGGAGCCATGGCTGTGGGGGCTCGGAGTGGCCACCCCACCCAGGAGGAGGGGCCTGTCAGGGCAAGAGACCCCCACATCCTCCCCTGACCTTGATCCACAGAAGGGCCGGCAAAGGACTGGGGAGAGGCCTGCAGTCGTGGGGGCAGGGGGATGAGGGGAGGGGACAGGAGGAGCCAGGGCGCTGTCTGGGCTGGGGGCTGGGCTGGGGCAGGGGCAGCTGAGGGCCTGCGGTGGATGCTCCCAGCCCCTCTCCACAGCACTACGTGGCACAGGGCCAGCAGCCCCCGGGGGAGACTCCCGGCCTGCAGGGCCCTCTGGGGCCTCCCTGGGTCTCGGATCCCTTCCAGGGACCTGGATGAGGCCGTACCCCCAGGGACAGAAGTGCCCCTGGGAGCAAAGCCAGCCCAGTCTTGGGTGGCCTGAGCTCAGAGCTCCCCCTGGCTTCTGTGGCTCGCCATGTGGCCAGGGCCGCATCTTTACCCCCACCCCGTTCCAAGCCTCAGTGGGTCCCTTGGTAGGTAGAACCTGTTGGGAGGGTAAAGCGAGGCACCCCAGGTAAGCCAAGTTCTGCTACGGACGGGGCCCCTTGGAGACCCAGATCAGACTCTGCCAAGGCCTCGCCCTACTCCCGCCCCCAACCTGATGATTAGCTAATTAATTCTGTCTCTCCCTCCCTCTATCTCTCCTTCCCTCTCTCTCTCTCTACCTCTCTCCCTCCCTCTCTCTCTCTCACTCTCTACCTTTCCCTCCCTCTCTCCCTCCCTCTCTCCCTCTCTCTCTCTTCCTCTCTCTCCGTCTTTCCTATTCTCTCTCTCTCTCCCTCTCTTTCCCATTCTCTCACTCTCTCCCTGTCTCTCTCCCTCCCTCTCCCTCTCTCTTTCCCATTCTCTCTCTCCCTCTCTCCCTCTTTCCCATTCTCTCTCTCTCCCTCTCTCTCTCTCCCTCCCTCTCCCTCTCTTTCCCATTCTCCCTCTCCCTCTCTTTCCCATTCTCTCTCTCCCTCTCTCCCTCTCTCTTTCCCATTCTCCCTCTCCCTCTCTTTCCCATTCTCTCTCTCTCTCCCTCTCTCCCTCTGTTTCCCATTCTCTCTCTCCCTCTCTCTCCCTCTTTCCCCTTCTCTCCCCTCTCCCTCCCTCCCTCTCTCCCTCCCTCTTCCTCTCTCCCCCCCTCCCTCCCCCCTTTCTCCCTCTCTCTCTCTTTCCCATTCTCTCTCTCCCTCTCCCTCTCTCTCTCTCTTTCCCATTCTCTCTCCCCCTCTCTCTCTCCCTCTTTCTCCCTCTCTTTCCCATTCTCTCTCTCTCCCTGTCCCTCTCTTTCCCATTCTCTCTCTCCCCCTCTCTCCCTCCCTCTTTCTCCCTCTTTCCCATTCTCTCTCTCTCTCCCTCTCCCTCTCTCTCCCTCTCTCTCCCACTCTCTCCCTCTCTTTTCCCTTCTCTCCCCCCTCTCCCTCTCTCTCTCTCTCTCTTTCTCTCTCTCCCTCTCTCTCTGTCAGTTTCCCCACTCTCTGCAGGGTCCCCTCCACAGTGATTAGTCAAGGCCCAGCCCGAGGGGCCTGGGAACGGGGAGGGGGAGCCCAGCCGTGTGTCACCTTTGGGAGAGGAGGACCTCTTCCATGCCTGGTGGTACTGTTGTGCCTTTGAAGGGAGGTGTGGCACCAGGCCGGGTGGTGTCCGCCATGCCAAAGGCCACTCTGCATCCCGGCCCCCAGCCCCTGGGTACTGCTCCTCCAGCCCCCACTCGCTGGCCTGGATTCTCCGGACAGAGGTGGGGCCCACAGGGGAGCAAAGGACCATCCAGAGAGCGTGGGTCTGTGCCAGGGCCCTTCTCAGAGCAGCCGAAGGATGACCATCCTGACTGACCGTCCCAATCTGCAGCCTGGGACTGGGACCTGCTGTGCAGGGCTCTAAAAAGGCGAGTGAGGGAAAGATGTTGCAGTGGGGAGGCCATCCTGGCCCAAAACGCAGTCACAAAGTCCTTAAAAGAGGGCGGCAAAGAGGGTTAAAATGGCAATATTTGTGTTATGCACATTTACTACAAAAACAAGCTTGCCTTAAGAAAACTCAAAAAAGAAAAAGATTAACAGGCAGAAGGAGATGGCCGTGTGAAGGCGGGGGCAGAGACTGGAGTGATGTGGCCACCGCCGAGGGGTGCCTGGAGTCCCCAGAAGTTGGAAGAGGCAGGAAGGACCCTCCCTAGGGCCTCCAAGGAAGCGTAGCCTTGTGACACTGGACTTCAGCCCAGGGACACTGATGTCCAACTCTGGCCTCCAGAACTGTTGCTTCAAGCCCCCCGCTGTGGTACTTTGTTATGGCAGCCCCAGGACACCCCGACACCAGGAAATCGCATAATTGTTTGGAGGGAGAACATCGGGGCAGATTCACCTGGTTTCTATGTGGGGCAGAAAAGAGCCAGCGGCCAAGCCACCCGCAGGCCCCTCCTTGGGAAGTGAGACCCCCACAGCCTCACTGCGGATGTAACAGCCACCCACGGCCTGCCTGGGAAAAGCCCAGATTTCAGGAGGCCCTGATTAGGTCTCCCAAGACTCACGCCCTGTTCCGGGGGAACAGGAAGTGGGAGGCATCTCCCCAGAACTCAGGGAGGCCAAGGCCATGCCCACGGAGGGGCAGAGAGCCGGGGGCCGGAGAGTGAGGGCCGCAGCCACGGGCTGGGAAGGGGAGAGGGCCGGGCAGGGGTCCTGGGAGAGGGGCAGCCCAAGCCCAGCTTGGAGAGACATCTCCCCAGCGGCCCCGGCATGTGCTCAGCAGCTGGTGAGCTCAATCCAGGAGTGTTTTGCCGGGTCTGGTTATGGTGATTCACAAACCCCTTTTTAATCTGGAACAGCTCCCACCAGGCGGGTCCCCCAGGATTTCCCACCCTACCCCCGGGATTGTGAATCTGAGACATCACACCACGATTGTCACGTGACATGGTGTTCGGGATTGAACTGTGTCCCCCAAGATTTATATATCAAAGCCCCAACCCATGGTACCTTAGACTATGACTGTATTTGGAAATTGGTTCTTTAGAGGTAATTAAGGTGAAATGAGGTCATTCAGTTGGGCCCTAATTCAATAGGACTAAGGCCCCTCTTTATACAAAGGAGGAATGGGGAGACAGGTATACACGGGAGATATAATTAAGTTCGCTGAGCAGTTGAATTTGAATTAATCAAAGGGCGATTATCCGAGTGGGCTGCGTCTACTCACACGTGCCCTCTGAAAGCAGCGTTTCCTCTGGCTGGCAGTGGAAGAGGTGAAGTGACTGGAGGCAGCAGGGAACTGAACACATCTGTACTTGCTTTAGAGATGAGGGCATATGCCAAGGAAGGAGGTGGCCCTGGGGAGCTGAGAGCAACCCCCTGCCAGCGGCCAGCAAGAAAGGGGGTCCTCTGTCCCACTGTGCAGGAGGGGATTCCGCAGATGGCGGGAATGAGCCTGGGAGCAGATTCCTGCTGGGCTCCAGATGCGGGCCCAGCCCTGCGGATGCCTCCGTCTCAGCCTCATGGGACCCTCTGCAGAAAACCAAGCTCAGCTGTGCGCAGACTTCTACCCTACAGAACTGAGAAGTGATAAGTGGGTGCTGCTGTGAGCTTCCAGGCTGGTGGTGGTTCGTTACGCAACAGAGGTAGCACGTACACCAGGCCTCTCGTCCTGCAGAAGTTTCCACCGTCTGCACGTGTCCGGTGGCCTCTCTGTGGGTGGTTCAGCTTGTTCTTCTGCCTCCAGTATTTTTTGCAAAGTGGAAGTTGGGTCTGCAGGCCTGCTGGACAGAGCTTACTTGATCGAGGCTTGAAAATGTTGCACGTGCCCTTGGTGTCTGCGTGTGGCCTCAGGTCCTGGTTGCCCGTGTCAAAGATGGCCTGATGGACCTGCTGGGGCCAGCCCAACCCCACCACTGGGCAGGTACTTCCCCCTGGTCACCTCAAGGTGGCCTGTGGCTTTACGAGCACCCAGTGTTCCCTCTGTGGCTCTTGGCCCCCTCTGAAGGCCCTTCCCAAGCCTGTCCTTCCACTGGGACCTGGGAGGTGCAGGCTGCCTTTTTCTCTTCCTCCCTCCATCAGCGTTACCCACATTCTCCTCTGCACTGTGCTGATCCTTCATCCATGGGAGCTGTGCACCCCCAAATATAATTCCTGCTGGAAACACCCTCGACCCTTTCTCTTTAATGACAGATTTTCACAGTAAGGCAGTGTTGAATTGCAGCCTCTAGTGGCGACAACAAGGAAAGGGGTTCCCTGGACTCCCCCTTCGGAGCATCAGGTGTGGACCCATGGAGTTCCGTGGACCTGCCGTGTGTGGTGGGCCAAATAATGCTCCCCTGAAGATGTCCATGTCCTGATCCCAGAAACCCATGACTATGTAACCATGCGTGGCGAGGGGGACCACACGTGGTGAGGGGGATTAGCAGATATGATTAAGTGGAGGGCCTTGAAGATGGGAAATTATCGTGGATGATCTGGGTGAGCCAAGATCATCACAGATTCCTAGGGGAGGGAGGCAGAGGTTCAGAGTCGCTGGAGAAGGAGATGAGCAGGGGAAGCAAGGACTGGAGCGATGGGAGGAGGGGCCCAGCCGGGGAGGGTGGTGGTCACCGGAAGCTGGAAGAGGCAAGGAAATGGACCCCTCCCTGGGACTCCAGAAGGAGCCAGCCCTGCCGGCACTTCAGGCTTGGGATTTCGGACCTCCGGGATGGTGTGCTTAAAACACTTGTGTTGGCCGGGTACGGTGGCTCACACCTGAAATCTCAGCACTTTGGGAGGCCAAGGCAGGCAGATCTCTCGAGCTCAGGAGTTCCAGACCAGCCTGGGCAACATGGCAAAACCCTGTCTCTACAAAAAATACAAAACTTAGCCGAGCATGGTGGTGCATGCCTGTAGTCCCAGCTACTTGGGAAGCTGAGGCAGGAGGATCACTTGAGCCCAGGAGGTCCAGGCTGCAGTGAGCGATGTTCATGCCACTGCACTCCAGCCTGGGCAACAAAGTGAGATCCCGTCTCAAGGTAAAAAAAAAAAAAAAAAAAAAAAGTGTGGTTTAGCAATTGAATTTGTGGTCATTTGTAACCACAGCAGCAGGAAGCCCACACGCCATGTTTGAATCATTGTCCCCTCTGAGATCCCACCGCCTCCACTTTGGCCAATGGGAGCCCTTCCCACTGGCTTCCGTACCCTTGGACATGACCCCATTCCTCTTTGCAACTTCCTTGTTCTCTAGCAAAACTAGATTTTCCACACTCTCGAACCTTCCCTGCCCTGAGTCAGTCATTCTCTGGGGATGGGTCTTTCAGCGCGGCTCGCGTTAGAATCTCAGTCGCCTGGCGTGTCTTCATTTTGGATCACAGTGTCCTGCATACCCACAATGTTACTAATTTTATCATTGTTTTTACTCCACCAAGGTTTAAATGCTTACCTGTTCTATAACCATATTTTGTGTAATTCTCTAACGCTCTGTAGCCACCTCAGTGGGCTTCCCGCTGCCCACCCACCCTTTCATACGGCTTCTTCACGCTGGAATTCTTTCTTTGGCATTTCTTTTAGCAGCTTCATTTCATCTTTGAGGTGGCTGTGGTTGTTTTTCTCCCAACAAGGGCGTGTGCATTTGTGCCGCGTTCTCTCACGTTCCTTTGCGTTGGAGGACATCGCCCCTGTGTCTCTAGACTCGAGTGACATTTTGGCTGGGTATAATAGTCCTAGACCTCATTTTTTCCCATTAGAACTTGATCAGCATGGGACCGTCATCCTCTGGTGCTTAGTTCACTGCAGAAAATCTGCAGCCAGCTCACTTCACCCCCTTCGTAGTGACTCACTGGTTCTGTCTTGTGCACCTGCAGAATCTTCTTTACCCTCAGCTGAGGAGGTGGAGTAGGAGCCATATCTGGATGGAATGCATCCTGTGTCTTGTTTTCCTGGGACTCCGTGCACAGTTCTTTCTTTGCTTCATCATCACATATCTAAATACTTTTCAAATATGCGTGTATATATATATATATATATATATATATATATAGAGAGAGAGAGAGAGAGAGAGAGAGAGAGAGAGAGAGAGAGAGAGAGAGGGAGTCTCACTCTGTCATCCAGGCTGGAGTGCAGTGGCATGATATTTCAGCTCACTGCAACCTCCGCCTCCCAGGTTCGAGATTCTCCTGCCTCAGCCTCCCCAGTAGCTGGGATTACAGGTGCCCACCACCACGTCCAGCTAATTTTTGTATTTTTAGTAGAGATGGGGTTTCACCTTGTTGGTTAGGCTGGTGTTGAACTCCTGACCTCAGGTGATCTGCCCGCCTCAGCCTCCCAAAGTGCTGGGATTACAGGCATGAGCCACCGCAACTGGCTTCAAATATATTTTAAATACCAAAAACTAGTTGAGGCTTCTACCCAGGGGTACAAGCAATCCTCCAGTGGAAGTGTCCTCACCCTTCCTCCGGTGCCTGGATCTTGTTGTGCCTTTGCTGTGCTGGTCAGAGCCAGCCATCTGTGTCTATAATCCAATTTCAGCCATGCCTCTCCTGTTCCTCCTGGCTTGGGCTCATTGAGTCATAACTGTATGGCGTGTGGGCTCTCCGCTTGCTTCTGGAGTTCTGTGGTCTCCCCCTCTGCCACTGGCTGCTGAGATGAACAGGCTCATCTCATCTTCGAGTGTGGCTTCCATTGCACCTTGTCCTTATCAAGTTGACACAGTGCCCAAATTCCTCCTGGGGAACTTCCTTCTTCTCTGGGTTTTGTTTTATTGTTGGCCGGGTTCTTTGTCTGCTGAAGTCCAACCTATCTCTCTCTCTCTCTCTCTCTCTCTCATTCTCTCTCTCTTCTCTTTTTTCTCCCTTCCTTCCTTTCCTTCTTCCTTCCCTCCTTCCTGGGGCTCCATGCCCTTCTCCCACTGGGGGCAATCAAGAGGTCTCACCTCAGTCCAAGGGTCAGCCCTGGTGTCTCCCCAGCCAGACAGTGACCAAAGTCAGGACACACCCCCTGGTTGCCTCCTGATGAGGGCTAAGGGTGAGGATTCCGGCACTCCCAGTTTGGACTCAGAAGACAGGAGCAGTGTGGGGAGCAGCACCGCCTGTACCTCCTCTGTGACTCCCCTGGACACCCTCCAGGAGGTCTGTGATGCTGACCTGCCCTCTCCTTGTCGGCTCTGAGTCATTCATCTCCAGTTCTTACTATGCTTGTTTGTTGTCCTGGGTTAGTGCAGCCCTCATACCTGCCCCCGCACCTGCCCCCACACCTGCCTTCACACCTGCCCCCACAACTGCCCCCCATACCTGCCCCTGCACCTGCCCCACAACTGCCCTCACACCTGCCCCCCACACCTGCCCCTGCACCTCCCCCCACACCTGCCAGCACACCTGCCCCCACACCTGCCCTCACACCTGCCCCCACACCTGCCTTCATACCTGCCCCCACAACTGCCCCCCATACCTGCCCCTGCACCTGCCCCAACTGCCCTCACACCTGCCCCCACACCCGCCCCCACACCCGCCCCCACACCTGCCCCCACACCCGCCCTCACACCCGCCCCCACACCTGCCTCACACCTGCCCCCACAACTGCCCCCCATACCTGCCCCTGCACCTGCCCCCACACCTGCCCTCACACCTGCCCCCACACCTGCCTTTGCACCTGCCCCCACACCTGCCCTCACATCTGTAAATGTCACACTGCCCAGCCCTGCACTCCTCTCCCACTTGGCCAGTTTCAGGCTGTACCACTCCACCGAGGTGACCCCAGCTAGTTTGGGGCTTCAGATCCCACTGCTGAGCCGGAGACCCAGATGGGTCTCAGACTGACAGTCTCAGACTGGCAGCCCCCCATAGCACCAGGCGTGGGTGCCCACCCACGAGATGTCACCTGGCAGGCACTTTGAGAATGTCCAGAATGGGTGTCATAATCCACCCCCCGCCTGCTCCTTTTGTCTTCCCCACCTTGGGGTGTCACCACCTGCCTGTTCCCTCCCCCCAGCCTGGGCGCTGTCCCTCCCCCCTAGTCCTTCAGGAAGTCTAGCCAGTGCCACCTTCAAAACACACCTTGGATCCACCTGGTCCCCTGTCCTCTGTCCAGCCCGCAGTCCCACTCAGCTCGCGGTAGGCAAAGCGAGGCCCCACCCTCTCTGCAGGGCTCTTGGAGACACGTTTGAACCACAGCGTCTGTGTGCTCTCTAAAAGGGCAGTTGTTATTTTTTCCTGAGTTTCCAGGATGTCTGCCCCTGTGTAGCCATAGGGTCGAGCCTCTCCAGGCTCCATGGGAGCAGAAAGTGCTGGGGACACCTCAAGGCTCACGTGGCTCTGTGGACCCCGAGCCTGGGGCCCCAGCCCACCTTCCCCTCCGTGCCTGGCTCCAGCCATGGGCCCTGCACCCGTCCTGGTGCCCTGAGGCCAGGAAAGGGGGCTTCTGGGACTGCTGCTCGATGCCGAAGGTATTGTCCTTCCCACATGGGAATCATCTCACTGGACTTTCTGTGACAAACATAGACAGTCATTTCAAAATAAATCAAACTTCAGACGTGGTACAGCAGCAAGTTGCGAAGATCCTCCTCCCCTCCCCGCACCCCAGGCGGCACCTGCTGCAGCCGGCTGTGGGCACTCCATGGACAACACGGCACAGATGTTCTCTTGTCACATAACTCTCATCCTGTACTTCAAAGGCCACGAGTAAGTGAAGACCCACTGCACTCTCGAAAAGCAGGAACGGAAAAAGTCACAGCACTGCATCATGGAGCAGCCGCCCCGGGTGGGCGCGCGCGTTTGCCTCCTGCGTGAGGCTTCCTCCAGCACTGCGGTGGGCTGTGGGTTCGTTCCCAGGGAATGTGAGCGAGCCGCATCCGCAGCCCAGGCACCCTCCCTCCCAGCTTCCTCCCCGCCCCAGGGTGACCATGTATGGGCAGCCCTGATGTCCATCGGCCCTTTGTGCAGTCATGGCGCGGTGAAGGGCCCTGCAGGCGGCGCCCAGGGGTGGTGCGGGGCTCCGCCTGGTCTGTTTACTCACAGCACAGCATGGGGCTCACTCAGCAGCACGCCCAGGAGAAGAGCCCAGCCTCATTCTTTACAGCCGTTCTGGGGCACTCCACAGGAGGGTTGAAGGGGGCTTCCATCTGCTGGTGCTCCCCAACACCAGGGGCTGGCAGAGGGTACTCGTGCTTTGCAGGTACAAACAGCGCTCTCCCCTGGGGTAGACCCGAGCCACGACAGGCAGCCAGGGCGACATGCATAGGAGCGTGTGCTCAGACCACACACAGTGGCTTTTCAGGGGATTTTCCTTACTCAGCCACATCGGGGAGGGCGCTAGGGCAGGTATCGGGAGCGCCAGTGAGTTGGTCATTTTCTGAGCATGATGGCGGCTCAGCGTTTGGACCCCCAGAGGGAGCAGGGCCCTGTGCCTCAGCCTCCCTCGAGTGGTCCAGCCCTCCCTCAGCATGGGTGCTGAAGAAATGGAAGCCTGTGCTGCCTGTCAGGGACCTGCCGCTGGAGTTTTACCCCCACCCCATCCGCGTTGGCCACCCAGGCCCCTGTGGCACGGGTGCATGGAGGCCTAGTGAGGTCAGAAACCGTCCAGCCAAGGGTGGGGGGATTCAGGGTGGGGGAACAGGCAGCCGGCTCCGGGAGGGCTTCTGGTGTGAGTTTGGGGCGGGCCGGCCCACTCCCTGGAGTTGGTGCTGTCAGGGGGTCCTAGGCCCACCTGCCTCCCACAGGCCTCTGTACTCACTGGGCCCTGGCTGTTGGTTGGGGGAAGAAATAGAGACAGATCCCTGGCTTGCAAGGACTCCAGGTCTGGGGTCAGAGCGTGGACAAGTCCGGAGGGCTCTGCCACCCGGCACTGCTGAGGACAGGGGCGCATCTGACAGCCTCCTGCCTCTACCGAGCTGGCTTCGGGGCAGCTGGGCCTCCCGGTGCCAATACCCCCCGGCTGTTACCTGCCTGTCACCTGGGCGAGTCACCTGGAGCCGCGTCTGTGACATGGAAGGGAACGGTTACAAAAGCCACATCATGTGAGATGTGCGGGCCCAGCCAGGCATCTGGGGCAGACCAGCGCTGCACACACACAGGTGGGATCTGTGCCCGGTGCCCAGCCTGGCATACAGGCACCATCCCGGAGTGCCCCCATGGGCTGTGCCCTGACAGCTTTGGAGGTAGGAATTGGGGGGTGAGGACCCTGGTGAGGACAGGCAAACTCAGCCATCACCCCCCTGGCCAGGGTACTACACCCACCCCACACCAGGGCTGGGGGCTAGGGGTGGGCACAGCTTGGGCAGGCCATCCTGAGCGCCAGGCCTGGTCCGCAGGCCGGCTGGAGGGCCCTGCCCTGCCAAGCGGGACTCCGGCTCCTCTCCAGCATCTGCCGCCCGGGGTGGGCGCCCAGGGCCACCAGCCCTCGCGGCTCCTCCCCTCCCCCCGTGCGCGACTGTCATTGTTACCATTGCTTGGCTTCTGCCAAAGCAGCCGCAGGGCCACCGGGTGCTTGAACCTTCTCCATGGGGCGTCCTGGCGGTGGTTTGAGCCGGGCAGTCCTCCCCGCCCTCCCCAGCCCCCCAGCCCCGGCACCCGGCCGTTCCACTGCGCGGCGGCGTGGGGAGGGCGCGGCGCGAGCTGAGATGGTTCCGCCCGGCGCCGCCCCCGCTGCCCGCCGCCCGCCGCCCGCCGCGCCGAGCGCTCCCGCAGGATGGCGCGGGCCAAGCTGCCGCGCTCGCCGTCCGAGGGCAAGGCGGGCCCGGGGGGCGCCCCAGCCGGCGCCGCAGCCCCCGAGGAGCCTCACGGGCTCAGCCCGCTGCTGCCGGCCCGCGGCGGGGGCTCCGTGGGCAGCGACGTGGGCCAGAGGTAGGGGCGCGCGGGCCTGGGACCCCGCTTGTCAAATCGCGCTTGCATCCTGCTCGGGCTGCGCTGGCTGGGCTGCACCTGCGTTGCCTGCAGCCCGGGGAAGGGGGGAGGCCAGGGTCTCCCCTCCTAAGCCCACCACAGCGCCCTGCTTCCTGCCGTGTCTCCAGCCTTTGAGAGCCTGCGGGACCCCCCACTCCCCCCACGTAGGGGCTGAACACGGCGGGGCTGCAGGTGAGACTGCAGGGGAGGGAGGAAGTGGACCCAGCTCTGTGCCAGGCACTGGGGGCCCCTGCCCGAGCCCTGTCCCACAGGAGCCCCGATCTTGTTGGTGCCAGCGCCACTTTGGGGGAGACAGGGCCGGCATCCGTGTCCCCACCCCAGAGGTGAGTGAGGCCGAAGCCTGCACAGCAGGTCAGGGCTGGGACACAGGGCTCAGGCTGCCTGGGGAGCCCTGCTGTGGGGTATGCTTGGGCTGGTGTCTGGTGCTTGTGGCAGGAGGGGTGCAGGTGGCCGTCCTCTGGGGATGGTTGGGCAGGTGGAGCAGCGCCTACCCCTCCTTGGCTCTTCCGCAAGCTCAGGGTGGGACACAGCACCCCCATTTCACGGATGAGGACACCAAGGCCTCATCTGCAGCAGCAAATTCCTAGCCAGCACCTTTCCCGTGCCAGGAGCCGTTCTAGATGCTGCGGGGGAAATGAGGATGAATCAGACCTGGCCTGGTGTGGGCACATGTCGTGGGCACGGAACCTGTTCCTGGGAGAGAGAGGTGCAGGCCAGGCCGGGACAGAAGAGCCGGGGACTCCTGGGGTGCTGGTCCTTCCGGGACAAGCATGGGGAGATGGGCAGGGGCCTTCCAGGTAGCGGAAGCAGTGAGGGCTGAAGTTTCATCAGGGCTGGGGGGCAGGGCTGGCAGAGCAGGGCCTGGCAGATGGCAGGGCCAAGGGTGCCCAGGAGCCTCTCCCTTACCCCTCCTACCTGGCTGTGGGCTGTTGGGCCCCTCCCGGCACCCCCATTTCTAGCTCTTCACAGCAGCCCTGGGGGGGCACTGCCCAGCTTAGTCCCATTTGCAGAAGAGGCGGTTGAGGCTAAGGTCAAGCACCTGGCTGCAGCCTCCTGCAGCTAATGGGCAGCCTCCGCCAGGGAGGCGAGCACTGGCCAAGGCCCTGGGGACCACAGTCCCCTCCCCCTCCTCTTCCTGGATGCTGGCGTGGGGGGAAGGGGGAGGGCAGTGATCCTGGAAGCCCTGCTACAGCCAGCCCTCAAGGGGCAGGTTCCTTGCCCCATCCCTGTTCCTGCAGGGCCCATAGGGATAGCAGGTTCTGCCCAGGCTGCGTCTGAGCCCGCAGTGCAGTGCAGCATGGGAGCTGTAGCCTAGGCCCACCTCCTCCAGGAAGCCCTCCCGCATGTTCATCCCAGCCCTGTGGGCTATGCACTGTGCTGACGGTTTCACATGGGTGGCCTCGCTCATCCCCCGGCAGCCCCTGAGGTGCAGAGTCCTTATAGCCTCCTTTTGCAGAGCAGAGGTAATGGAGCTGCTGCCCAGCTGGGCTGAGCAGCCCCTGGGCCTGGAGCATTCATACAACAGGGCTCGCGCTGAGATGAGTAGGGCAGGCTCCTGAGCAGAGGACTTGGTAGGTTTGTTCTTCTGGAGTGTGGATCTCACGGAAAACACAGGCGAGGCCAGAGCCGAGAGGCAGGTGTGGTCTGCCCCAGGGAGCTGGGGGTCGCAGTGCCCGCAGCTGCCTCATCCTGCAGGCCTGAGCTGCCTTCATGGGCCAGCCAGGGTCCCGGCTCCCTCAGCCCTCTCAGACTCTGCCCGTCTCATTGTTGAGAAGACAGTGAAGCAGAGGAGAGGTCTCCACTGCCCACCAGGGACTGAGCCACAGGAGGCGTTGTCGGGGGAGGGCACTTGCTCCTGGTGCCCCTGCCCAGAGCTCCCCTAACACCCTGTGCCCACTTATGGGTGCTGCAGGCTGGCCTCTGTCCCTCCTCCCACACAGTCCAGCTCCCCTGACCCTGAGCTCCGGGGTCTCCTCCTTCCTTCTCACTCCCCTGTGTGAGGCTGGGGAGGGATTGGGAGCTGATTAGACAGCGTGGCTTCAGTGGTGGGGTCAGGAGACCATCACTGCAAAGCTTTTGAGTAAAAGTGCCCAATGGGGGGACAGGGCCTCTCAGTGAGACCCCGCTGCATCAGGAGGCCCTGAGCCCCTCTGTGTCCCTACCACCCCTGGACCTAGGCGGCCTTGCCCCTCCCAGCTGGGGTCTCCCAGCCTCATGCCTGACTTAAGGCACCAACACAGCCCCCTCCCCACATCCTCTCCGGGGCCGTTCCCCCAGCCCCATCCTACTCTTCTGGCCCTAGCACTGCACTGGGCAGGGGGCCCATGCTGAGGAGCTCACCTGGACTGCGTGTTCTGCCCCCACACCATCCCTGAGGGAGGTGGGGCACCTCTCTTTGACCCCAGGGAGCAAGCCTGAGGCCCCCACACAGCCTGAGGTCTAGCGTGGTCCAGTTCTCCTGCCACTGTGCCCAGCACCCCAGTGTCTATGGCAGCCACAGGTCTGTCAGTCCAGCTGTGGCACGCAGAGCCCCGGCCCCGCCCCAAGCCCCTCGCCCTGATGTTCCTTGGCTCAGGAGATGGTCCCCTGAGCCCCCCGACCCCGGACACCCTTGCCAGGACCTCCCTCCCCTGCAGATCCAGACCTTCATGGTTGCCCCTCTCCTCTCCAAGAACCTGGCTGCTCCTCCATGCCCCCCTCACCCCGGGCACACGCCCGGCGCCCCACCCTCTTCATGGTGTTCACACCGGCTCGGCACACCCCTTCCCCTGGGCCTGAAGCCCCCCTTGGAGCTTGCCCCAGATGGCCTCTCTCCCAGGAGGGCCCCTCCTGAGTATGGTCCCGTCACCCCTGAGGTGCCCCCGCCCTCCTCTGGCTTTGCCCCGCTCCGGGCTGCACACCTTCTTTCCACACAGTGCTCTGCGCTCTTTCTCCCCCACCCTAGAATGCACCTGTTTGGGCGGCTGGTTTATCCTTGACCCAGGAGCGTGCACAGGGAGTGCCCAGCCGCAGGGGTGGGGCTGTGTTCCCAGGCCCTCGGGGGACACCAGGCCCTGTCTTTCAGGGGTGTTTGCTGGGCCCACACCTCATTTATTGTCTCACAGTCCTGGAGGCTGGAAGTCTGAGCTCAAGATGTGGGCAGGGCTGGTTCCTCCTGAGGCCCCTCCCCTTGGCTCGTAGACACCATCTTCTCCCTGTGTCCTCTCCTGGCCGTCCCGCTATGTGTGTCTGTGTCCTCATCTCTTCTTATAAGGACACCAGTTTTGTGGGATTAGGGCCCACCCTCATGGCCTCACTTTACCTTAATGACCGCTTTAAAGGCCTCGTCTCCAAACATAGCCACGTGCTGAGATACTGGGGGTCAGGACTTCAGCATGTTAGCCTGGGGGCACAAAACTCCGCCCGAGATAAGGGGGTGCCTTTGTTGCGTGTGGGAACCTGCCGGGACCTGGCTGTGCTCTGGGCATTCCCCAGGTTTAGAACAGAGGCTCCCAAACTCCCCCAAGCAGGGAACCCCCTCTTCCCCAAAGCATCTTATGGGACTTGGGGTTGTGGGGTGCAGAGGGACACTCCACTCTTCCCCCAGTCAGCCCAGAGGGGCTCCTAGAGAGCCCAGAGGGTCCCTCCCTCTCGAGGCTGGCAGCTGAGACTGCTCCTTATGGGCACAAGTCAAGTGGGGATGGCCCCTCCTCACCTGGGCTCCTTCCCGACCCCAGCCCCAGGCTCTGCAGGACACAGCAGGGAAGCAGGGCTAAGCCCAGATCCTTCCACTGACCACTGCTGCCCTAAGCAGGGCTGAGACCCTCTCCTGGGAGGGAGGTGACGGCTTCGGGTGCAGGTTCTGTTCGTGTGTTGACAGCGAGCCTGGCCATGGGAGGTGGGTGGGCCCAGGGATGAGGCCCTCACCACTTGGTCCCAACAGCTAAGTTAGGGCTGGCAGAGATGCTGAGTGGCACCCAGGCCACCAACCGCTGGGACAGGCGAGCATCAGGGTCCTCCTGGACCACCGTGGGTTTGGATGCTGCGGATAGAGGCCGAGCTTCCTCAGCTCCCCTCCCCTCCCCTCCCACCCCTCACCCTGCAGTTCACTTGGCAGGGTTTGTGCAGCCGACAGACCTTGTTTGCACAGAGCTCCAGTCCTCAGCCAGGTTCTGCACAGGCCAGCAAAGCCCCAGGTCCCTTTGCCCACAGGCCGCTGCCCTCCCCTTGGGAGTCCCTGGGTGGATCCTCTACCCATGTGCTTGGTGGCCCCTTCCAAAATCAGTGGGGACGGCTGTCCTGGGCCTCAGGCTGTGGGACATCTGACAGGTGGTGGCTTCCTCAACACTCAGACAACAGGGCCTTGGGCAGAGTAGATGGGAGGCCCCATGCGCAGCTCAGTAGACACTCAGCTAGGGCTATATCGGGAGATGCAGAGGGACGCGGCCAGGGAGCACCTGGGAGAGAGGACACAGTGGGCCCCAGCAGGGAGGAGCCCAGCCAGGGCCTGGCCACGCCGGACCTGACCCACAGGCCAGGCAGACCCGCTGCCATGGGCTGAGGCACTGCCAGGCTCCTGCCAGCCTCTGACACGGCTGTTGCCCTGGCTCAGAGCTTCAGGCAGCACCAGGGTCCAGCGAGAGGGAAGCTGAGCCGGACAAACACGCAGAATCTGCCAGAAGCTCCCAGCAAACCCAAAGATCAGCCCCATTAAGCCTGGGGTTCTGCCTGCTCCGTGTGGAGCTGCTGGCCCGGCCACCATGCCCAGCCAGGACCTCGGCCCTCCCAGGGGTGTGTCCAGCTTCTGCCTCCCCCAGGGACCAGAAGCTGCTAGGGCTAGGGGCACCAGGAGGGCACCTGCCCACCCGGAGAGCCTGGCGTAGGCCGATGAGCGTGTGCCTGTGACCCCAGGCTGGCTTCCTCCTTCCTGCCTGTGTGGCCTCAGAAGACTGTGGTCCTCTCTGAACCTTTGTTTTCTTTTCTGAAAACATGGTTGTTTTGAGGATTAAAAGAGAGAGGTCCCTCTGAAGTCCTTTGAGGAGGAGCTGGTCCAGGACAGGCACATAGTCAGTGAAGGCAAAGACCCTCGGCACTCCCACCCTGCCCAGCCCCCGACCAGGCCGGCCCTCTGGAGCCCTCAGCTCCCATCAGCCTCTCTCTCCGAGTTCCGAATCCAGTGCAGGTTGCAACCACCTTGGTGTCAGCCGCCTGCTGGCCAGTCTGGGACAACTGGGGCCAGGTTGCCTGGGGCCAGGCTGAAGGGGTAGCAGGTGTGTGGCTGCTGGCGTGGTGGAGGGTGGTGTGTCCAGGTCCCCTGAGAGGCATCAGCTCTGAGCCCTGGCTTGTCCTATCGCAGGGAGCCTTGGGGCAGGGCTGGCGGGTGCCTCACCCGCTGGTCTGGGTGTAGGGCAGGGGAGTGGAGACAAGGGGACAGCCTCGCAGACCTCGGCATGAGGTGGAGCTCACCGCGCTCGCTTCTGGATGCTGGGGACCACACATGGGGCCTGGGCTGGCTTCGTGCTGAGCAGGGCCAGGGCGAGTGCCCAAAGCATCGTCACCTGCTTGCGTGGCTGAAGGGTGGCCCTCTCCTCGAGTGTGGTTGTCACCCCCCCATCTGGCCCAGGCACAGGAGGGTGCATGCGCGGGGACCTCCAAGCGGGCTGTGCTGCTTTCTCGGGCCCTGAGGGGGCCAGGCTTGGCTCAGTGCCCCCACATGGCTCTGCACATGGACTGCCTCCCACAGGCACCTCTCCCGTGCCCGGGGGCGCCAAAGGTCCGGGCCCCCCAGAGCCTCCCTGCGTGTCTGTGCCCCGCCTGGTCCCAGAGCCCAGGCTCTCCATCTGTCTGTCTACTGCCTTCTCCATCCGTCCGTCTATCTGTCTGCTGCCTTCTCCATCTGTCCATCTGTCTCCCGCATTCTGGTTGATGCCCCTCTGTGTCCCCAGGCTTCCTGTAGAAGATTTCAGCCTGGACTCCTCCCTGTCTCAGTAAGTGCTTTGCAAGGGAGGAACTGTCTTGGTGGCAGACAAGGGCTCTTAGAGGTGTGAGAGCCCTTGTTTCTGGGGGGTCCCCTCAACCCAGCATCCCCTGCAGCTGGGCCAGGGCCACCGGCACCTCCCAGTACCCGCTGGTGCCTCTGGGTCCCAGGTGCTGGGGCTGGAGACAGGACAGTCAGTGTGCCCCCTTGGAGAGGAGCCTGAACTTGGGAAATGGGCTCCCCAGAGGTGGGTGGTCCGCAGCCTCAGGAGAGGCGGATGGCAGAGCAGGGGCCCTTGTCATGGTGCCTCCCAGGGACAGGCAGGCAGGCAGCTGCTGGGGCCTGGGCTCTGGCTCAGCCCACCTTGGCTGCCTGTGCCGGTCGAGCTCCCAGGAGCTGGGATGCGCTCTCGGAGGCTGTGCCACTCCCCACTGAGCCGCCGGGGCTCTGCCGGTGGTGCTTCCTGACTTCAGCTAAGATGTAGGTCAAATGGAAGAGGCTTTGAGGCCAGGGCAGCCAGGCCCTGCGCACTCCTGGGAAGCCCCCCGCTGCCATCCACCTTCAGCGCGGTCTCCAGGAGGGGCCCCAGGCTTACTGTTCCATGCACGGCACCAGCAGCAGAAACCACCGAGCACTCAGCACTCACGGCTGTTGAGCATCCAGGGGCTGCCCGGCACCCATGGTGGGACCTATTATTATCCCAAAAGAGTCCTGGAGGCTGGGAGGCCAGTGGCCACCACCGGACCTCTATCTTCCCAGCCTGGGGCCCCATGGTGCAGAGGGTGACGGGTGTGAGATAGAAGCCGTGCCCACCACCCAGGGTTCTCCTGGCCCCACCCCAGGCTCCCGAGGAGTCGGGTCTCAGACCTGTGGAGGAAATGGATGCGTCTGCAGCCGAGGCTATAGTGTGTGCCGCCGTGGCACGGTCTGGACACAGCCGATGTTCCTGGACCTTTGGAGGCCCAGCTGGACTCACCCTTCAGCCCTGAGCCAGCCTCACCTGGGCCCCTGGCCAAGCTATGGGGGGGCCCCAGAGGCCCAAGGGTGTCAAAACAGGGACCCCAGGGGGACGGAGACATGTGTGTGCCCTTTCTGGGCCCTTGGGCGTATCAGATGCTCTGTCCAGGCTCAGAATAGCTGGCCCCAGGGTTGGCAGTGGGCCTGAAGCCTGCCCTTTCTTCCTGCCTGCCTGCCTGGTGCTGGGGGCAGAGGCCTGCGTGGAGCTCCCAGGCACCTGCCTAAGAGCCAGCCGGCACCCAGCCACTGCCAGAGAGAGGCAGCTCGGACCTCGGCCCCATGTGAGTGCAGGGCTATGGTGGGCCCCGAGGCGTGTGCCTGACAGCCTGGAGCTGGTGTGGAGCTTCCCGGCATGGCCATCTGTGTATGACTACCTGCCAGGAATCCCTGGAAGGCCAGTCCCCCAGCCTGCAGCTGGCCTGCCGGTCAGCAGGGAGAACTGTTGCCGGCCTCTGCCGACCCCATTTGTCACAGGGCGGCCGGCACTTGCCTCAGAGGGTCCCGTCTTGGTGTGGGGGTGGGCACCATGAGAGCCCCTTTGCAGCACAAGGGCCTCCTCAGGCAGAGCAGTGGCGTGAGCCCCTGGGCACAGGCAGGCAGTGGGCATGGGTACACGCGGGGCCCAGGCCTGGCTCAACACCAGCCTTGCAGGACTGGGGCAGAGCCGCCACCTGGGGACAGACTCCCCTGCTGCCGCTACAGGGAGCCCCAAGGACCCAGGCCTGGCACTGCCTCTGACCTGCTGAGTGACTGGGGCAAGCGTGGGCCTCGGGGAGCCTCGGGGGGCTACAGCGGGCTTCAGCCGTGTAGGGACGGGGCTGGCCAGGAGCTGCCTGTCCTCACGGTGCCAGGGACAAGTTGTTCGCCATGGGCCAGCGCCGCTGACGGCTCTCCCAGGGCCAGGGCCAGGGCCAGGGTTTGGCCTGTGGATTCCTCAGGGACCAAGGCCTCACCCCAGGGGGTACACAAGGGACTGTCTGAGGCTCCCTGCTGTGTCTGGGACCCCCTGGCCAGGCCTGCCCGCACATGCCCATGAGTCTCACCGGCCCTGCGTCTTGCTCCTGGGCTGTAGGCCGTGGGCAGTGGCGGTCCCTGGTGTGCCCCGTCCTCCCCACCAGCCGAAATGCAGACTGGCAGAGGTGAGACGGGCCCGGCCCCCTGTGGCGAGTGTGTGGCTGCGCCCTGAGCCCGCCTCCCAGGGTGGGGGTCGGGACCCGTGGCCGGGGATCCGGGAATGCAGCACCCGCTGCCGGGTGTGGACTCTGGGAATGGCGATGTTCCCAGACGGATGCCGCCATGAGCGCTCACTTGCTGTTTGCCAGATAAACAAATGAGTGAACTGATGAGTGGATGAGAATGGACACAGGAAGTAGATTCTTCTGCCCCGTCCTTGCCTATTGTCCTGGGAGCCTGCGTTCACAGGCAGGTTCTTCCTAGCCCTGTGGGCGGCTCCCCACGGGAGTTCTCGGTCATCTCCCACCTCTCAGGGCGTTCCACCGAGCCCACGCCCAGCTCCTGGGAGCAACTTGCCATGAGCGGGTCCCCTGCTTTCCCACCGGCCGGGCCCTGACAGGAAGCGGAGAGTGTGGCCCCACCCGGGGTCCCGCCTCTGCCCGTGGTCCACACCTGTGGCTTCATAGCCTGGGAGCCACGGTGAGTCGAAGGCCTGCGCTGTCTCTTTTGGCTGACGTGGGTCCTGATGGTTTGAGCAGACGGGTGCTGGCCCCCAGATGAGCACCGGGGCAGCCTCTCAATGGAGCCTGTGAGCAAGGGCGTCGTCCCAAGAGAAGCCTGGGACACAGAGGCCATTGTTTCTATCTCAGCACAGACAGAGCTCCTCCACCTGTCTGCTGTCCTCGGGACACGCCGGGAGTTGGTCCCTGTCCTGGTTCCCATTCCCCAGGGAGGAGGCCCAGGCGCTGGCAGGTGGAGGGGAACAGCCGGGCAGAGGAGCGGCAGGGCCCGTGTAGCCTCACAGGGCTCACTGGGTCTCAGCCCTGGGCCTCTGGCTGCCGGGCCGGGAGCATGCTGTGACTCTGAGGAGCTAGCGGAGCCCTCCAGGCTACCAGTGTCCATGAACCTCTGCCGCAGCAAGGAGGCTTGGGCCACTCTGGCAGGAACCACCAGGCGGGTCTACCCCAGCCGGGTCGGCCTAGAGCTGACCCCAGCCAGGCCTCTGCAGCCACAGGCTCCCTCCCCAGGTGCCGCTGCGTGACTCGTGAAGACAGATCGCACCAGTCACCTGAAATACACTGCAGGGGAAAATGGATCGTTTTCATCTCCTTTTTGTGGTGGTGCTCGGAGAAGTGGGCGGCCACAGTTCATTAAAAATTAAAAGCAGAGGAGGCTTCATTAATGTCTCTGGCATCGCAGGCTCCAGTTTCTCAGGGAGTCTGCCAGGCCCCAGCGTTTCTCTGCCTCCACGTGGAGGGTGCCATCTGTGCAGGTGGGCACTCCCCGCTGAGCTCCGTGGGGGCTACCCAGATTGGGGCCCACAGCCCCTCGGTGAGGGGACCAGGGTCTGGCTGGGCTCTCTCCCTAAGGGGGGCTCAGTGCTCTTGTTTCTGGGGTGCCAGGAGGAGGTCAAGGGGCCTCAAAGAGAAGCTGCTGGGGGCGCGACTAGTCCCAGACCAGCAGCCCTCGACCCCACGGTGTCTGGGGAGGAACTTGGCTGTCCGGAAGCCAGTGAGGTCCTGGCAATGGGCAGGGTTGCATCTCTCTGTTTCCTGGCTGTGGAGGCCAAGGGGAGCCCAGGGGGACGCATTGGCTTCGTGGTCTTGCCAGGCAGCTGCAGAGGCCCAAGGCCCAGAGGTCCAGCTGCACCAGGTCCACGGGGAGGTAAAGGGAGGAGCAGGAGCTCCTTGGAGGCCTATGACCGATGGAGGGTTGGGGGCGTGGCCGGAGCTGGCTGGGGAGATGGAGCTGGCTGGGTGTTGCCTTGGAGTGGAGTGTGGGGCGATGGTCAGGGCGGAGCTGGGCACCCCCGCCTAGGAGGAGTGGCCAGGCAGGAGCCCAAGGCCCAGAGGGAGGTCAGAGGGAAGAAACATCCTGAGGGCAGAGCTGCAGGACCTGCTGATGGCTCTGGTCTAGGGGAGGGGAGGGTACAGGAGCCTGAGGTTGGTGGGGGATGGTTGGCCTGGTGCCATCAGGAATGGAGAATTCTGCCTCGGGGAGGGGGAGCCGGTGGATGCCAGAGGGTAGAGTGGGGCTGGACGGCTGCCAGCAGAGCCAGTTGGGAAGTCACCCCTGCGTGGCACTTAATTCCCGGGCTGGGTGGGAGAGAGGCACCTGTGGCAAGCCCTGGGGTCCCCCAAGGAGAACGGAGCGGAGGGGAGAACAACAGAGCTCGGGGAGGCCGTGCTGAGAGGCCCAGGGAGTAGAGGAGATTCTGGGGTCTGGTCACCGTGAAGGGCATGGTGAGGCTCCCTGCCGGAGAGGAGAGGGTGGGAGGCAGTAGGAGCAAGTGAGGTGAGCAGACCCCCCGCGTTGAGGCTTTTGCCATGGAGGGCGGGACAGTGGTAGGGAGGCGGGGAGGGTGGGTTCCTAAGCTCCATGCTTTTAGGGCCCGGTGGTCCCTGGGTACCGCCGGCAGTGAGGGGAGGAGGGCCTTGGGAGACCCTGGGCTCAGCCCCCGGGGGCAGCTCCCGCCTCAGCCCTGCCTGCCCCCCTGACATGGCCAGACCAGGCCCAGCGCAGCCTGGACCTCCAGCATCCTGTCTGAGCGAAAGACATCCATTCAGAGAGAAAGACGGCGGACAGACCCCCCAAAGAGACACTTATGCAGGGAGGGGCCTCCCCAGCCAGGGCTCCAGGCACACAGAGGAGAGGCGTGGGGCAGGAGGAGGGGCTGAGGGACACAGCAGAGCTGGCTACGCTGAGGGGTTGCAGGGCATGATGGGGCACTCTGGGGGCAGACTGACCCCCCATTAGCACTGGTTCAGACGCCACTGGTCTGTGGGAGGCTTGTCCCACTGCCTGGCCCCAGGAGCCCTGAGTATGCCCGGTGGGGTGACAAGCCTGCCCCCAGGACTTGGCCTGAGCCTCCTCTTCAGCATGGGGCAAGGGCACCCAGAGCCACACGCCTCTTCCTGGACCCTGGACCCTTCTTCATTTCATTTATTTATTTATTATTCATTTTTGAGACAGGGCCTCGCTCTGTCACCTAGGCTAGGGTGCAGTGGCGTGTTGACGGCTCACTTCAGCCTCAAACTCCTAAGTTCAAACGATTCTCCTGCCTCAGCCTCCCCAGAAGCTGGGACTACAGGCACGTGCCGCCATGCCTGGCTACTTTTTATTGAGACGGGGGTCTTGCTATGTTGTCTAGGCTGGTCTCAAACTCCCGGCCTCAAGCGATCCTCCCACCTCTGCCTCCCAAGTTCCTGGGATTATGGGCACGAGCCACTGTGACCGGCCCCTGGCCCCTTCTTGAGCTCTGTAACCAGCAGAGGCCACTGGGGCAGATCAAGGCAGGTGCTGGGACTCTACCAAGGCCCCTCCCGCCCGCCCCACAGCAGCCCCACCACGAAGGCTGCTGCACACACCTGGTCCACACCACTTACCCTGAGTGTTGTGAGCTTTGGGAAACATCGAATGTTTTAATCACTTTCGGAGATGTTGGGGTCACCAGCCCCAGGCCAGGCAGTGACATCAAATTCTCAGATTCGATTGATAGGAGCCAGTGCCTGCTCAGAGGGGAGGTGAGGCTCACAGCCCACCCACTGGGTGTCACAGCCTCCTGCCCTGGTGGACAGTGACAAGGAAGGGGTTGAGGCAGGAACAGGGGTTAGGCTGGTGCTTACCTCCCCCGACTTCTGGACAGCTGCCCTGGGACCTCTGCTTGAACACTGCCTCCTCCACGCAGCCGTCCAGGATCCTTCCAGGCAGCACAAGTCTTCCTCCAGGCTCCGCTGTCTGTCTGCCCTACTGTGTTGTGGCCCTCGCGCTGCACTGGGCAGGGGGCCCATGCTGAGGAGCTCACTGGACTGCGTGTTCTGCCCCCACACCATCCCTGAGGGAGGCGGGGCACCTCTCTTTGACCCCAGGGAGCAAGGCCAGGCACCGGAGGCAGCGCCCGAGGGCTAAGGCAGCCGACTGATAGGAGCAGACGTCATGGAGGGCACAGGGCCATGGCTGGGAGCAGCCGAGGGTCCCATGGAGGACAGCCCAGCACCCCAGGGCACGGGCCGTTTAGGGGGACATGTGCTCCCCCTTCCCAGAGACGGCCATGCCTGCTGCAGGAACCCTGGCTCTGGGTCTTGCTCCTGTCTGTCCTGCAGGCTGGCAGCATTGGAGTTTTCCTCTCAGGGGATCATTAAACCCTGGCCTAGCCTGGCCCGCATCCCAGCACAGCCGGGCACAGGAGACCCTGCGTCCAAGGCTGGGGCAGTGGGGGCAGCAGCCGTCCACCCCCAGGCTCCATCCTACTCTTGGTGGCCAGCCTGGGTCATGCAGGTGGCCACGGTAGGTGAGCCACGCAATCTCCCCACCCCACCTCACCCCACCTGCCACCCCCGGCAACTGGCACACTGTGGTCTCTTCTCAGGACCGCCGGGGCCCGGTTGGAGGCCAGAGGGCTGGGTGGTAGGCCCCATGAGCAGCGGCGTGCATGGGGGTTGAGGGGTGTCTGGGAACCAGTGGCTGGGGCCATAGGTGAGCCTGAGGGAAGGGGAGCGGCACTGGCTGGAGGGGCCCCACAGCTGGCCTGCGAGGTGGGTGCAGGGATGACCACTTCCCACCAGCCCATCTTCCCTGACAGCCCTTGAGGCTGCAGTGGCCCATAGCCTTGGAGCACAGCCACCAGCGGCCTCCAGACAGAGCAGCTGACCATCAGCTGTGGACAGCCTGTATGACGCAGGTCCTACGGCATGTTCTGAGCACTTGCGGTGTCCTGAGCACCATCCCCAGGGCCATATGGGCAACTTTACCTCCTGGCAGGTGCCCTGCACCCACGGAGGCTTGGGCGAGGGTGTGTGGAGTGAGTGCCGCACCCTGAGCCCCAACAGGGCGGCCTGGAGGGCCCAGACTCACAGCAGCGAGTGCCCAGGGCTGCGGGGAGGAATCTTCAGAGGAGCCGAGGCTGGGTCGGCTGTCTGCTGGGTGTGACGGACCCCAGGACCCTCCTGGGTCTGAGGTGGAGGGAGTGGTCCTGCTGGGCCCTGACTTCTCAACTCCTGCAGTTGGAAAGTTGGAAGAAGTCAGTCAGGTTGGGGCTCCCGGCGTGTCCCCAGCCTGAGTCCCCACTGGCCCTGAGCCTCCATGCCCCTCTCTGCTTCTTCAGGGTCCAGGTGGAGTTCTACGTCAACGAGAACACCTTCAAGGAGCGGCTCAAGCTGTTCTTCATCAAAAACCAAAGATCGAGTGAGTGGGGTGCCTGGAGGGCCACTCCCAGGCAGGGAGGTGTTGAGGGCGCCGGGAGCAAGCCTGGCGATGGCGAAGGCTGGGGCTGTGAGCTCAGGGAGAGTCCATGGGGTGGGAGCCACCTGAGTGCTGCGGGGGCATTTGGAAGCAGGGTGGGGGTGGGTCTGCATGGTGAGTGGGGCACAGGGTAGCCCCCTCTTAGCTTCACACTGTCTGAGACCAGGGCCTCTGCAGCGGGACTCGTGGGGACACCGTCCTGCCTGCTGGACACCAGGCTGGGTGGGGCAGGACCATCCATAGGTGCCAGCAAGGTCTCCCCTGTGGCCACGCCCTGCCTCCCACCCCTCCATACAGCCCCACCCTCCCCAACAGCTCCCTGCCCCGTTCCCAGCCAGAGCTTGGCATCATGCTCCCCCCGGGATTGCAGGTGAGGACTTGGGGGGTTTCCCCAGGGGCTCCACATTCACCTGCCTGCTCCCCAATCCCTATCCTGTCCTCCAAGAAGTGGAGTGGCCTCTAGAAATCCCCTGCACCCCAAGTTCAGGCACCTGTAAGGTGGGGCCAGGGACAGAGCCTCTTGGAGGCTGACCCAAGAGCATCAGCCCCCAAACAACGCAGGGCACACAGAGCTCTGCGTGCAGCCCGGGTGTGGGAGGGGAGCCCAGCTGGGGCCATCCAGAGAGCCCAGCCAGACCCGGGTGCAGGCCCTGCTCCCCGAAGCCCAGAGCTGGGTCAGAGCCCTGAGGCCGCTGCCCTCCCCGCAGGCCTGAGGATCCGGCTGTTCAACTTCTCCCTGAAGCTGCTCACCTGCCTGCTCTACATTGTGCGCGTCCTGCTCGATGACCCGGCCCTGGGCATCGGATGGTGGGCCACGTGCGCGGCCGGGCGCGGGGTCCCGGGTCCCAGGGCTGAGCCTTCCCACTGGGCCGTTACAGAAGCTGATGGCGTCCCTGGGGGAGCCCCTGTGCCTGGGGCCTTGGGGAGTCCTTCCTTCCCCAGTGCCTGTCCCAGGATGGAAAAAGCCAAGGACTCAGTGCCCAGGCTCCCGCAGACGGCTCAGCGTAGGGAGAAGGGTCCCCATCGTAGACTTCCAGCTGTGCCCTTAGCTACTAGCGGACCCAGAAGGTCCACGGAAAGGCTGGAGCATCTAGGATGTCCCTCCCTGCCCCCACAAGTGTCTCTGTGCTCACTTGAGCTTCTGCAGGTCAGGGAAGGGGGCGCCCAGTCCCCCTGGGGAAAGCCCCTACCTGTTTCTGGGGGTGTCTTCTACCCCTCCTGGGTCCCAAGGAGTCCCCTCCCCAGGGCCCATCGTCCTGGGGCCCATGCTCCAGGGACTTCTGGGAGAGGTGCTGGGGGCAGCAATCTGCACCGTCAGGTCCTTACCAGCCTCGCAGCAGCCGCGATGAGGGTGGGTGGGAACTTGCTCTCTCTGAGTCCTGTTCTGTCTCCTTCTGCTGTTGCTGCTTCGAGAAGTGGCGGCTGCTGGGACCTACTCTGTGCCCAGCGTGCCTTGGCAACTCCTGCTCACCTCTGTGTGGGTCCCAGGGGACATCAGCAGGGCCCTGCGGCCCTCGGTGCCGGCCTGTCCTGAGTCATGTCTTTGGGGACCAGCCCCCAACCCCAGGCCTCTCTCTCTGGCTCCCTGGCACTCGGATGCTGTGCTCTGTGTCCTGTTTCTTCTCTCCCCTCTCCTGCCTCGTTCCCTTGTTCACTCGTCCACTTGTTCTGTCCTGCCTCCTGGTTTCCAGAAATCCTTTCTCTGAATGTCCTTCCGAAGATGGTGTCTCCAGTCCTTTCCTGTTTTACGCTTTCCCCATCTGCTGGGCCTGTTTCTCCCGAGCTCACATTGGGCCCTGACTTTTTCATACCCGTAGATTTCCTCAAATGTCTGGTGCCGTTTATGCGTAAGAGTGCTCAGGCGCTGAGGGGCTCTGCAGCCACGTGTGTGGTGTGGTTGTCACCATCCAGCCATCGGGGTGAACCCTGCCAGCATGCTGGTCCCCCCTCTGGCTGCGCAGAGCAGGTTCTTCCCTGGAGAGAAGGCCTGACTGCCGGGAGCCTGGCTTCTGGGGACCTAAAGGCGTCCATGTAAACTTTTGCTCAATCCCCCTTTTCACCTGTTACCCCGTCACAAGGGGGCCTGGCATCCCCAGGCCAGAGACTTTCCCTCTCCTAAGAATGAACCTCCTGTCTTTGTCTAGGTCAGAAGAGGGCAGAACCCACTAGGAGAGTTTGAGAAGGAGAACTGGGCCCTGACTGACTCTCAAGCTACTTTCCTAGGTCACTCCCCACCCCAAGTCCCAGGGTCCCCTGGGGCTTCTGGTTTCACATCCCCACAGGGCCCAAGTCTGTTGTGTTCACTGCCCGTCCCCTAGCACAGCGTCCAGGACATGGATGGGGGTGGGAAGATGGGTGGATGATGGATGGATGGTTGGATGGATGGTGGATGATGGATGGATGGACGGACGGACGGATGGACGGATGGATGGAGTGGATGGAGGGATGAGTGGATGGGTGGATAATGGATGGATAGGTGGATGCATGGTGGGTAGATGGATGGATGGATGGAATAGATGGATGGAGGGATGAGTGGATGGGTGGATGATGGATGGATGGATGGATGGATGATGCGTGGATGGGTGGAGGGATGGATGTTGGATGGAGGGATGAGTGAATGGGTGGAGGGATGAGTGGATGGATGGAGAGATGAGCAGAAGGATGGAGGGATGAGTGGATGGATGATGGATGGATGGATGGACAGATAAGTAGATGGATAGATGGATGAGTGGATGGATGATGAGCAGATGGTTGGAGGGATGAGTGGATGGATGGATGGAGGGATGGATGGATGGACAGATGAGTAGATAGATGGATGAGTGGATGGATAGAGGGATGGATGGATGAGTGGATGGATGGAGGAATGAGTGGATGGATGGAGAGATGGATGATGGAGAAGTGGATGGATGGATGAGTGAGTGGAAAGATGGATGGGTGGATGGATGATAGATGGATGTCCAGATACTTCTGTGGGCACTTAGTTTGCAACAACCCCATTAAAAATCAGGGGAAAGTGGATCAGTTGAAAGAAAAGACAAGAGGAGCTGGCCATCACCAGGGGCCTTGTGAGCAGTGAGGTCTCCTTGGTCAGTGACCCTGGCATCGATGATGGTCTGGGACAAAACTAGCTTGTTGGCCATGCCCTGGTCACTGTCGCAGCAGCTGGTTCCAGGTGGCTTGGGGGCCGCTTGTCCTCAGAAGCAGCTTAGGGACGTGCCTCTTGGAGTCAGCACCTGGGGATAGGAGCTTCCTCTCCCTGTCTCTTGAACACTGTCCAGCCTTGTTCAAGGCAGCTCTGGCCTTGGGGAGGCCCTGAGTGTTCCCACATGCTCTCTCTGGCCATGTAAGGCCCCTCCCTGGGAGCCTGTTGTCAGCACAGGCAGAACCAGTGTGTTGCTGTTGGGTTGGGGCTACCCCCAATCCCGCAGATGTGGGATGTACCCTCGCTGTCTGCCTGCTGGGCTGAGCAGTGGCCAGCCCAGCATTCCTCAGTTAGAGGCCCTCCTGCAGGATCTCCGCAGTAGGTGGGGAGGGGGCAGGCTGCCTTGTCTCCCAGGTGTTAGAGCTCTGATGTGGGGGTTAGCCCCGGGTGGGTGAGTAGGAGGCCCCCATGAACCCGAGCCTGTGGAAGCCCTCGGGCAGCAAGTCCTTGCAGTGGTGCTAGAGGGGCCAGGGCCGGGCCAGCGCTGTGTCTCTCCACAGCTGGGGCTGCCCAAAGCAGAACTACTCCTTCAATGACTCGTCCTCCGAGATCAACTGGTGAGTCCACACTCCAGCTCCCAATAGCCAGGCGCTCAGAGGCCTGGGACCAGGGTGGGGTGGGATGAGTCTCCACTCCAGCTCCCAATAGCCAGGCGCTCAGAGGCCTGGGACCAGGGTGGGGTGGGATGAGTCTCCACTCCAGCTCCCAGTAGCCAGGCGCTCAGAGGCCTGGGACCAGGGTGGGGTGGGATGGACAGAGGCTCACACTGCCTGGTCCCTGAGGGATAATGCCCAGCCTCAACCCAGCAGCCACCCAGGTTCCCCAGGACACATGTGCCCTTAGCCCTGGCTGTGGTCAATGCTGGGAATGTCCCCTTCAAGAGGAGCAGTTTGAGAATTGTGAGTTCCCAGCCAGTTCCACAGCCTCCACACGCTCTTCCTGAGCCCAGTGAGAGATGCAAGGAAGCCCGTCTCCCAGTGAGGTGGCGGCTTCTCTTCCAGTTCACCATCTTACGGCAAAGGAAGGCACCTGCCCCGGGCAGGCAGTGGGAGGTGACTGCGGGGCAACTGGGGTGCCTGGTCCAGAGATTAAGACCTGTCCCCAGAACCTGCAAGGCATGTCCCCAGTGCCTGAGCCCCTGTCCGCATCAGGCAAGGAGCAGATGGCCCCCTGCAGCCATGCCCCTGCCTGTTTATGGATGAGGAACTGAGACTCGGGGAAACCCAGGGGGCTGTGGGTTAGATAGCCCGACCTCCCTGCTCTTAGGGACATTCATGGGAGCCCGGCTTCAGGGACCCAGGTGAAAAAAACAGGCTACCCAGTCTGGGGCCCAGGCTGCTGTTGCCTGTCGTGTCCAGAGAGGAGAAGCTTTGCCACCCTTGGTAGTGTCATGGGCTGCAGGCCAAGGCTCCATGGAGACTCAGCCATGGGCCCTGGCCTCACAAGCACCTCCTGGGGGGCCTGCCTGCTGCAGTCCTGCTCCATCCTCCTCTCTTGGGGAACCTTCCCTTCCCTCCTCCTTATGGTCCCCTCCAAAGGCAAGGTAGGCTCCTTTGGTCCAGCCCCAATGAGCAGCACATGCTTGGGGCCAGTGGAGGCCAATGGTTATGGCCCCAGCCCCAGGGTGGCTGGGGGACACTAGTGGCTGTGGTGCCCTACTGTGCTGCCTCCTTTCTCTTCCCAGGGCTCCTATTCTGTGGGTGGAGAGAAAGATGACACTGTGGGCGATCCAGGTGAGTGCCCTACCCTGCCCCCCTCCCGACTGCAGTGGTGCTCAGTAAGCACTGAGGACCAACCCAGACTCAGTAAGTAGGGAACCCAGGCTCGGTGAGCACTGAGGACATACCCAGTCTCAGTAAATGCTAAGAACAAACCCAGGCTCAGTGAGCACTGAGGACAGACCCAGGCTCAGTAAGCAGGGGACCCAGGCTCAGCAAATGCTGAGGACAAACCCAGGCTCAGTAAACAGGTGACTCCAACTCAGTGAGCACTGAGGACAAACCCAGCATTTACTGACCCAGGCTCAGTAAATGCTGAGGACAAACCCAGGATCAGTAAACAGGGACCCAGGCTCAGTGAGCACTGAGTACAGACCCAGGCTTAGTAAGTAGGGGACCCAGGCTCGGTGAGCACTGGGGACAAACTCAGGCTCAGTAGGCAGGGGACCCAGGCTCAGTGAGCACTGAGGACAGACCCAGGCTCAGTAAGCAGGGAAACCAGGCTCAGTAAATGCTGAGGACAAACCCAGGCTCAGTAAATAGGGAAACCAGGCCCAGTGAATGCTGAGGACAAACCAAGACTCAGTAAACAGGTGACTCAGGGTCAGTGAGCACTTAGGACAGACCCAGCATTTACTGACTCAGGCTCAGTAAATGCTGAGGACAAATCCAGGCTCAGTAAATGCTGAGGACAAACCCAGGCTCAGTGAGCACTGAGGACAGTCCCAGGCTCAGTAAGCATGGGACCCAGGCTCAGTGAATGCCAAGGACAAAGCCAGGCTCAGTAAAACAGGTGACTCAGGCTCAGTGGGCACTGAGGACAAACCCAGCATTTACTGACCCAGGGTCAGTAAATGCTGAGGACAAACCCAGGATCAGTAAACAGGGGACCCAGGCTCAGTGAGCACTGAGGACAGACCCAGGCTCAGTAAGCAGGGAAACCAGACTTTAGTGAATGCTGAAGACAGACAGGCTCAGTAAGTAGGGAACCCAGGCTCAGTGAATGCTGAAGACAAACTCAGGCTCAGTAAGCAGGGGTCCCAGGTTCAGTGAGTGCTGAGGACCGACCCAGGCTCTACTGCTCTCCACACAATTTTCCCAGGGATCCCTGAGGACTTCCTGACCCCCTCTGTCTGCTTCACCACCTGAATCTCTCCCTCCACTGACCCATCTGTGTCCTTGCTGTTTTCCTGGGGTGGAGAGTGCACAGGCCAGGTCCCTGGCTGGCTCCTGGGTGGGTGACCTAGTTCATGACTGGGTCCCATGTCTCCATCTGAGACCAGAGAGGGTCTTTCACACCCACCCCTATCATGTTCCAGAGGGGTCAGTAGATGCCTGTGCTGAGAGGGGTTCCGTGGGGGAAAACCAGGTCCACTGAGCCTCCATCTCCGTTCCCTCCCCACCAGGGCAGCGGGATAGCCGCTCTCTGGTGTCTTCCTGAGCGTCCTGCCTCACCCACTGCACCCTCCATCCCACCCTGGGCCTAGAGTGGGCGGCCCAGGAGGACCATGGTTTCAAGACTCCATCTGCCCTCGGCCCTGGCGGGGGTCAGCCAAAGGCCTTGGTGGCTAAGACTGTCCTGACATGGGAGTGAGGGTCAAGGCAGACCCCAGACACACACCTGGCTTTGTGTGGTACCTGCCCGCGAGGCCTGTGGGGTCAGGCCCCAGCCCCAGCCCCGGCCTGCTCCAGAGCTCCTTCCCTTTCCTGACTCCCAGGTCATCGTGGCCATAATAAGCTTCCTGGAGACGATGCTTCTCATCTACCTCAGCTACAAAGTGAGTGCCTGCCCGGGATGGCACCTCACAGGGGGTCCCCACCCTCCCCACCCTCCCCAGCCTCCCCCACCTCCCCCACCCTCTCCTATTTCCCCACACTTCCCAGCCTCATCCACTGACCTCCAGGGTGGGCTCCTCGCCCTCTTCCCCACCCTGCCCCTCCCCTGCTGGGCCCCACCCCCACCCTCCATCGCCCCCGCTGATACCCCCCGTTTGGCCCCAGGGCAACATCTGGGAGCAGATCTTCCGCGTGTCCTTCGTCCTGGAGATGATCAACACTCTGCCCTTCATCATCACGGTGGGTGAGCCCCAGCTGCCAGGAGTGCGGGCCCTGGAGCCCCAGCCCTGACCTGTCCCCTTCACAGATCTTCTGGCCGCCGCTGCGGAACCTGTTCATCCCCGTCTTTCTGAACTGCTGGCTGGCCAAGCACGCGCTGGAAAACATGATTGTAAGCCGGGGCGGGGGGTGCAGCTGGGACTTGGGGGGGCCACCCTCAGCCTCACCGGCCCTGGAAGACACTGTGCGACGTAGCCTGCCACGCCCCGGCCCTGGCATGACCTGTAGAGGACCGGGAAGCCAGGGCAGCAGAAACTCTGTCTCTGCTCCTGGAAAACATCCAAGCCAAGCCCCGAATGCCCTCCTTCCAGGAAGAAACTCAATCCCAGAGCTTTTCCTAAGCCTGGAAATGAAATGGCTGGCAGGAGGAGGAGGGACAAAGTGAAGGGTGTGACAAACCCAGGCCACGAGGACCAGGGCCACAAACACCAGGCCACACGCAAACTGGGGCCACGGGGCCACAGGCAGGCCCTGTGCTGAGCATCTCAGGAAACCTGGGCCACGGGGCCACAGGCAGGCCCTGCTCTGAGTGTCTCAACATGGTCCCTGTCATGTGAATGGCAGCAGTCAGTTCCCTAGGCGCCCACCCTCTCCAAGCCAGACCCCTTGACTCACAGCCCCCATTCCTGCCCCAGTGGTAAATCAGCGTTACCATGCTGGGTCCAAGCCTTGCACACTAACCAGCCCTCTGACCTGAGACTTAAGCCTCATCCCCGGGGATGTAGGCAAGATGGGGACCCGTCCTGAGAGAGGACAGCAGAGGGGGTGCCCTACCCAGGTGCAGGCTGCCCGTGGGCCTCAGCGGAGACGCAGGTGTGGCCAGGCGTGGGCTGCCCCTTGGGCCTCAGCCGAGACACAGGTGTGGCCGTGGGCTGCCCCGTGGGCCTCAGCCGAGACACAGGTGTGGCCAGGTGCAGGCTGCCCCGTGGGCCTCAGCCGAGACGCAGGTGTGGCCAGGTGCAGGCTGCCCCATGGGCCTCAGCCGAGACACAGGTGTGGCCAGGTACAGGCTGCCCCGTGGGCCTCAGCCGAGACGCAGGTGTGGCCGGGCCGTCTGCTTTCCACTGTCCTTCTAGTCTCTATTCATTGGCTCCTGGCGGGGTCCACAGTCCCTGCCCGCTGACAGCCACCACTCCTTCCACAGAATGACTTCCACCGTGCCATCCTGCGGACACAGTCAGCCATGTTCAACCAGGTCCTCATCCTCTTCTGCACCCTGCTGTGCCTCGTTTTCACGGGGTGAGTGCCGGCCGTCAGTGTGAGCACCCCAGGACGTTGGGAGGGCCCGAGAGGCAAGCAGGGCCGGGCGAGGGGATACAGATGCCTATGTCCAAGCTATCGGGGCAGAAAAGGCCACAGTGCCTGGGCTGCGGGTGTCGGGCCACCAAGCTGGGACTGAGGTCAGGAGGCAGCTCCAAGCCCACGTCCCCAGTACACGAGCAGCCCTGCAGCCCGACTCCTCCAAGGACAGAGATACCCAGATCTGGCTTCCTGGTCTATGCCATGGACGTAGAGAAGGGGACTGGCCCCTAGGCCAGGTGGGGTCTCTTGGCTGAGGCCCAGCTGAAAGCAGGGTCTGGAGGCAGCCAGGGTAAAGGTGGGGGTGCCCAGAGCTGCGAGGGCCTCCAGCCCACCCAGGCATGCCCACTGTGCCCACCTGCCTGTGTCCTCGTGGAGGGCTCCATGTTGCTGCTCTGCCTTGGGTCCCAGCGAGGCCTGGTCACCACTTCCCGTCCCCAGGCAGGGATGTCAGGCAAGCACTGTGCCCTGGGGGAGGGAGAGTGCCCTGCGTTTCCCGCCTCCCTTCCCCCCTGCCCCTCATGACAGACTGACAGACACAGAGCTGAGTGGGCAGATTGGGGCATCCATGAGGATAGCATCTGGGACCTGGCGGCGACCCCAGCCCTGCCCATTAGACCTCCCAGCCTCAGGCCTGGGCGCTTGTCTGGCTGTGCCGGGCAGAGGCCTGAGTGTGGTGGGTAAAGGGGCAAGGCTCTGAGATGGGGGTAGAGGGCCAGACCCCAGGCCCACCCCTGTGTCACCCAAGCCCACGCTGATGACACAGCCCTGCATCCCCTGCTCCCAGAGAATGTTCCAGGGACCTAGGAGAGAGCCACCCGGCAGGCAGGGAGGCTCCGGGGAATTCGCCGTGAACAGAGGCCGCCATGCTGTGGCCAAGCTGCATTGTCAGCCAGCGTCAGGCAGGAGGTGGCTCCGGCAGAGCTTGGGGACAGATGGGCAGGGCTGAGGGCCTGATGCCACCCAGCTGTCAGGAGGGCGGGGCTCGCCTGGTGATGCACAGCTCAGTCTCCTGGGCAGTGAGGGTCCCGTGGGCAGGCAGGATCTCTGAGGGGCCACGGCCCCCCAGCTCCTGGGCCCCAGGCCGCCCCTCACTGCCAGGGGTTGCAGGACCTGCGGCATCCAGCACCTGGAGCGGGCGGGCGAGAACCTGTCCCTCCTGACCTCCTTCTACTTCTGCATCGTCACCTTCTCCACCGTGGGCTACGGTGACGTCACGCCCAAGATCTGGCCATCGCAGCTGCTGGTGGTCATCATGATCTGCGTGGCCCTCGTGGTGCTCCCACTGCAGGTGGGTCCTCTGGGCACCAGCCCTGGGTGGCACCAGCAAAGGGACAGGCGGGTGCCAGTAGAGGGAGGGTGCCACTGAGGCTGTGGCACAGTGCGGGGGCCACTCCCAGGAGGGGACAGTGAGGCCAGGCGGGTGGTGCCTGCTCCGTTGCACGCCCCCACTGAGGGTCTACGGCGGGTCCGGTGGTGCTCAGCATGGTGGGTAATGATGGAGTCCCGTGAGCTGGCCTCTTCCTTCTGGGGAGATGGTGGGTCTCCAGTGCCAGGGTGACCTGCCCCTCCCAGGCCCAGGCAGAGTGCAGGGAAGGGTCAAGGTGGACAGCCGGCCCATTTCCCATCCACAGCCAGGTGCAGCAGCAGCTGCCAGGCCCACAGGGGGCACACCCCCCCGGCCACCCCAGTGGCTTCCCCGTCACCACTGCTGTGGCCCACTGCCCACTGAGCAGAGGAGGGGACGGGGCAAGACCTCAGTGGGAAAGGTGGAGGCCTGGAGAGGGCAGCTGCCTCAGGGTGTGAAGTGCTTGGGCCTGGACTGCCTCCGACACCTCCTCCAGGCACCCCAGCCCACCCTGGAGGGACCCTGCTATTGGGGAGATGGGAGAAGGAGGGGACCCCTGTGGGTGGTGGAACATTTTCCAGGAGGCTGGGTAGGAGGAAGAGCCTGAGGAGGTGGCCAGGGCCTTCTGGGAGACAGACCCCCAGGTGGCTGCAGGATGCCGGGGAGACAGGGCAGTGCTCCTAGGGAGCCTCTGCTGACCCCAGGCTCAGCCCCAGCTCCCTCCCGCTAAACAGCAGTGGGCGTGGCCCAGGTATGGGCCCAGGCCAGGCCTGGCTCTTCTCCTCACTATATCCAAGCCAAAGCTGTGGCACCAGCTGTACGGCCCCCAGCGTGGGCCATGTTCTCCACATCTGTGGCTTCTGTTCTCCTGAGTTCAGATGGGGCCGTGCGCGTCTTTCCATCTGGTTGTCGGCCACTCCACCGTCCAGTGCCACGAGTCCCGCTCCTGTGAGCTGCCCGCTCCTCTTTGGTCTTCCCCCTGGTTCTCGCTGATGAGCGAGTCTCTGTGTTCTAGAAGAAGCCAGTTGTGTGTGGCTTTCCCGTTACTTCCTGCTCTGTGACCGCCCCTCTCACTTTGCTTACAGAATCTTCCATTCACGGATGGTCTTGATTTTTTTTTTTTAAATTAGAGATAGGGTCTCACTCTCATTTTGTTGCCCAGGCTGGCCTCGAACTCCTGGGCTCAAGCGATCCTCCCGCCTCAGCCCCAGAAATAGCTGGGATTACAGGCGGCTTGGCTTTGATTCACCAATCTTTCCCTTATGGTTTCTGTTTTCCTGTCTTTACTGAAAAGATCATTCCCTCCCTCGATCATAAACCTGGCTTCCTATTTTCTTCTAAAAGTGTAAAGCTCGCCTCTCACCTGGAGGGTTTCACCCACCAGGAACCACCATGTGGGGTGGGGTGGAGCTGGGTTCTCCCCTCTGACGCCTGCTCCCCCACACCCTGCATTCTGCTCCTTTCTCTGCGCATTTCATAACCAGGCAAGGGCGGGAGTGAGGGTGGGAGTGAGGCCAGGAGCACAGTGTGGGGGGCACTCCGTGCAGTGACACTGCCTCCCTCCTCGGCCCTCCTGCCCCAATCCGTAAATCTCACCTCAAATTCTTTACCTTAATTACTTCTGCAAAGACCCTTTTGCAAATGAGGACTCATCCTGAGGTGCAGGGGGACCTGCTTTCAGGGCCATCCTTGACCTTGCTACGGGCCCCCAGCCTCCGTCCCTGGTCCGCCCCGGCCCACACTTCACCACGTGGCCGGCACCTGCTGAGGCCGCTGCACCCAGATGCTCTGCAGAGGCGTTGACCCATCCAGTCTCTGAATTCCCCACAAGCCCTTCCAGAGAAACATCCGAGAGGCCCCTGGCCCAGCCGAGGTCAGAGGAAGGGTCAACAGGGCCAATGCGTCCCCCTTTCCCCTGTGGGCCCACGGCCCAGCCACACGCAGCTCCACCTTCGGGCTGCGTCCGGCTCCTCTCCCCACCCCACACACCCCAGAGCGAAGAGGAGCCCCAGCCCCAGCCACCCCCAGGGTCGCTTTCAAATAAAGCAGGAGCGAAGCGCTCTCTCCCGTGCTTCTCACGAGACCGTGGCACCCACGGGTAAGGGCCAAATCGGGATGTGCAGCAGGCCTGTTCCATGTCCCTCTGCTGCGTCCACAGCCTCCGGGCCGGGGCTGCCTTCCCATTCTGCTCCTGAAGCACCAGGGGAGCCCCCACCTCCCCTTATCTCCATTAAGAAGTAAGACAAGGCCAGGCGCAGGGCTCATGCCTGTAACCCCAGTACTTTGAAAGGCCAAGGCGGGAGGATCGCTTGAGCCCAGGAATTTGAGATCAGCTTGAGCAACGTAGAGAGACTCCCATCTCTACCAAAAAGTATGAAAATTAGCTGGGTGTGGCGGCATGCACCTGTAGTCCCAGCTACTTGGGAGGCTGAGGCAGGAGAATCGCCTGAGCCCTGAGGTTGAGGCTGTGGTGAGCTGTGATCTCGCCATCGCACTCTAGCCTATGCAACAGAGAGTGAGACCCTGTTTCAAAAAGAAAAAGAAAAAAGGGCCAGGCACAATGGGTCCTGCCTGTAATCCCAGCACTTTGGAGGGCCGAGGTGGGTAGATCACTTGAGATCCGGCGTTCAAGACCAGCCTGGGAAACATGGCAAAACCCCGTCTCTACCAAAAAATAGGAAAAATTAGCCAGGCATGATGGCACACAGCTGTAGTCCCAGCTCCTCGGGAGGCTGAGGTGGGAGGATCACTTAAGCCCAGGAGGCAGAGGTTACAGTGAGCCAAGATCACACCACTGCACTCCAGCCTGGGTGACAGAGCGAGATGCCATCTCAACACCATCTTAAAACAAACAAGACAAGGTGACTCCAGGTGCACCAGGTCCTGCAGGCATCACACCTGCACTGCTCTTCAGGGAAATTCACGGAACAAATGCGCCATCGTCACGAGAACTGATTGCATCGATGGGTATGGCCATGGTGACAAGTGACCGACAGCCCAGCAGCCTGCACGCAGAGGTGTCACTGTAGCTCGAGCTCCGTGTCCACAGTGGGGTCCCTCAGATCAGCCACTGCCTGACTGCCTTGTCTCCTTTCTCCCGTGTGGGGCAGGCAGAGCAGGCCCTGAGTGGGACAAGCTCTGAGCGAGGCAGGGAGGAAGGCGGGGGCAGGGCCTGGGGGCTGGCGCACCCTCCCTCCCATCAGCCCTGCCGGACCTGGTGCTCAAACCTGACCCAGGTGGGCCTGTGCTGTCCCTGGCAGGGCTGGGGGTGATTGGGACAGTGATGCCGCTGACCCCACCGTCTAAGCCGCTCCCTGCCTCCTCCGAATGACTGGAAAGACTGAGCCTCTCACTGGCGATGGTAAGGGTGGGCTGCAGTGCCCTTGCCCTTGGTCTCCACTGGGCTGAATGCACCAGTAAAAGCCCTTGAAGCAGAGTGATGACCCCGAGGCCCTCGCTCACGAGCGTCCTTCTGGAACACAGCAGCGCCGGCTGGGTCTCCTGGAAGTATCCTCCAGGCTCTTCGATCAGCAAGACAGACAGGCAGCTTAAACAGCAGATATGTATCCTCCGCCAGCCCTGGAGGACAGAATCGGAAGTGGAGGGGTTGGCAGGGCTGACCCTATCAGGCCGCTTTGGGGGAGATTGTCCCATGCCTCTCTCCAGCTTCTGGTGGGGCCGCAATCCCTGGGGCTGCTTCTACGGTGGCTGTAGAAACCTCAGCCTCTGCCCCGTGTGCACTTGGCCTCTTCTCTGTACCTCTCACTGGATTTAGGGCCCACTCCAACCCAGGGTGACCTTATCTTAAATCATTACATCTGCAGAGACCTATTTCCAATCAGATCACATGGCGAGGTTCTGGGCAGATAGGACTTTTAGGGTCACTACGGAGCTGCCGTCATTAGCTCCTTCATCCTCACGGCGGCCCTGGAGGGTTGCCGTGCCATGCAGCCATCTTGTAGGTGAGGAAGCTGAGGCTCAGAGTGGGGGACGTGAGCCCTGGGGTGTCTGACAGCAGAGCCCCCGCCAGCACCATCCGCGGGGAAGCCTCTGTTCCGGTCGCCCTGGAGTCTTGAGCACCTCCCAGCTGTGGAAACTGTTTTGTGTGGCAAGGCAGTGGAGCCTCGTCACCGGAACAAAGCAGGCGCTGGATAAGTGCAATGCGATGGTCCCATTTAGACCAGACGATAGCACATCAGCCATGCAGCCCACAGTCCATGGGAGCTCCTGCCATTGTTCATTTAACACGTGTTCAACAAGCCGGGCACCATGACTCAGCCTGTAATCCCAGCACTTCAGGACGACAAGGCAGGAGGATCGCTTGAGCCCAGGAGTTCGAGACCAGCCTGGGCAATGTAGTGAGACCCCATCTCTACAAAAAATAAAAATAAAACTAGCTGGTCATGGTGGTGATGCACCTAGAATCCCAGCTACTCAGGAGGTTGAGGCAGGAGGATGGCTTGAGCCCGGGAAGTCAAGGCTGCAGTGAGCTGTGATTGCACCACGGCACTCCAGCCTGGGTGACAGAGTGAGCCTCCGTCTCAAAAAAAAGAAAAGCCAAAGACTTTCACCTAGAGGCCAGTGGGGCCGGTGCTGGGAGGCCCCGGTGGCCTCTGTTTTGGATCTGTCCCCTTTGAGTCTCAACACCCAGAGCTTGCATCTGGGGAGCATGAGCCAGGGCAGGCAGCATCCTCAGACCAGCAGCCTCAAACCACCTGCCCCCCAGACATAGGCTCCTGACAGTGAGGCCTGCGAGTGCCTGGAAGACCGGGGTCTGAGGCCTGATTTGGCCACGCTTACCATCAAGAGAGTGATCCCCAATCCCACGGGCTGAGCCTCCCCACCCTCGGTTTACTCCACAGTCTCCAGCCGCCCCTCCTCCCTTGGTCCCCACACATCCTGCCAGCCGGGCCTGCGTCCTGCTCTGTGTCATCTGAGGCTATCAGCATCTACAGTTTCCATGTGGGAAAGGCCCCCCTAATGTAGGTGTCACCCCCCGGCCGGCCCTGCCCCAGGCCCCTAACAGACAGTCGTGTGTCAGGGCCCAGGTTCTTCACCGGGAGCCCTCGCTCCCCAGGCCTGGTCGCTGGTGCTCACCTGTTTCTCACCTGCAGTTCGAGGAGCTCGTCTACCTCTGGATGGAGCGGCAGAAGTCAGGGGGCAACTACAGCCGCCACCGTGCGCAGACGGAGAAGCACGTGGTCCTGTGTGTCAGCTCCCTCAAGATCGACCTTCTCATGGACTTCCTGAACGAGTTCTACGCCCACCCCCGGCTCCAGGTGAGGCCCCTTACCGTGGCCCAGCAGACGACTCCCTCCCGGCCCCTAGAGACGCCATCCTCTCCCCAGGACTGCTTGGCAAGTCCCTGAGTCCTCTCAGCCTTGGTTTACCCCTTCAGTGAGGGCAGATGCCTCCCTCCCGGCGCCCAGAGACGCCATCCTCTCCCCAGGACTGCCATCCTCTCCCCAGGACTGCTTGGCAAGTCCCTGAGTCCTCTCAGCCTCAGTTTACCCCTTCAGTGAGGGTGGCAGCCCACAGTCAGGTGGAGGGGCCCTGCGGGGGCCCCTCTTTTCCCTCCCACCAGATGCAAGATCACAGTGAGCTCTAGGGCCCAGAGGTGGTGGGCACAAACACAGTCCTGAAGGCAGGGCCGCCCGGGCGGGGCAGGGGCTGGCTCAGAGGGTCTGACCCTCCGCCTGGCCGGCAGGACTATTACGTGGTCATCCTGTGCCCCACGGAGATGGATGTCCAGGTGCGCAGAGTCCTGCAGATCCCTCTGTGGTCCCAGCGGGTCATCTACCTCCAGGGCTCTGCACTCAAAGACCAGGACCTCATGCGAGCCAAGTGAGTGCTGGTGGGCGGAGGGGGTGGCATGGGGGCACCTTCCTGAGTCAGGTCGGCTGCTCAGGGCTGAGGCATTGACCGTCGCTCTCCTGGCCAATGAGAGCCATGAGAGCATTATAGACTATCCCCAGGGTGGACCATCTAGGTGGACTGTCCAGGGTGGATCGTCCGGGGTGGACCATTTAGGGTGGATCGTCTGGGGTGGACCATTCAGGGTGGACCTTCTGGGATGGACCATTTAGGTGGACCATACAGGGTGGATCATCTGGAGTGAACTGTCAAGGGTGGACCATCCAGGGTGGACCATCTGGGGTGGACCATCTAGGATGGACTGTCTGGGGTGGACCATTCAGGGTAGACCTTCTGGGATGGACCATTTAGTGTGGACCATCCAGGGTGGATTGTCTAGGGTGGGTCATCTGGGGTGAACTGTCCAGGGGGGACCATCCAGGGTGGGTCATCTGGGATGGACTGTTCAGGGTGGACCATCCAGTGTAGATCATGTGGGGTGGACCATCTAGGGTAGACTGTCCAGGGTGGACCATCTGGGGTGGGCTGTCTGGGGTGGGCCATTCAGAGTGAACCATCTGGGATGGATCTCTAGGGTGGACCATCCAGGGTGGATCATCTGGGGTGGACCATTCAAGGTGGACCATCTAGGGTGGACCATCTGGGGTTGGTCCTCTGGGGTAGATCATCAGGGGCGGACCGTCTGGGGTATACCCTCTGGGGTTGTCTGGGGTGGGCCATCCATGGTGGACCCTCTTGGGTGGACCATCTGGGGTGGATCGTCTGGGGTGGACCATCCATGGTGGACCCTCTTGGGTGGACCGTCTGGGGTGGATCATCCAGGGTGGACTGTCTGGGGTGGACCCTCTGGGGTGGATTGTCTGGGGTAGACTGTCCGGGGCCTCTTGCAGTTTCTCTAGCTCAGGTCCCAGGCCCAGATGAGCAGGACCCTGCAGCCAGGCCCTTGTCCCTGCACCATACCCACTGTGGAGCAGCCCAGGCAAGCCCAACCCAGCTAAGTCTCTGTCTCCCTTTTCAGGGTGAGGGGCAGCCTTTTGCGAGCTCCACCTTCCCCTGCTCCAAGTCTAGGGAAATCTTTGTCAAGTTCTAGGGAGGCTCAAAATAGAACAGGGGCGGGAGAGTCAGCTGCTGTGAGTCAAGGTGGGAGAACGGGCTGAAGGTAGAGTTCCTTTTAAAGACAAATTGACAGAGTGACAAGGTAACAAGAGTATATTATTACCTGGAACTTTCCAGAATGTGTCGGTGCACTTTCTGGGACACTCCCTGGAAAACCCTCCTGGTGACATTTTCATTCCAGGAGCCTGAATGTGTCCTTAGTGGCATAGTGTTGGTGGTACTCCCAGGGTCTCTCCTCATCACTCCCCCTCCCCCTGCCATGTCCAGAGCCCCAAGCTGGAACCCATTGCCTATGGAACGCCACCTCTTTTGTGGTCCCGTCCCCAGCACACACAGGCGATGCACCTGCTTGGGCCCAGGGAGTGGGGAGAGGGCAAGGGCGTAGGCCATTCCCAGCCAGGCAGGGATGAGCCCAGGGCTGTGGGTACAGGGCCTGGGGCCCCTGCGGAGCAGACAGTGGTGCCAGTGATGTGGTGGGGTTCCCTGCCCTGGGGCAGAGGCGACAGTTTCTTAGACAGCGTCTCAGCAGTGCTAGGTGGTTTCTGCAGCTGGGCTTTCAGGAGACCCAGGAGGCGCTGGAAGTGACCACCCAGGTTCCCAGACCACAGAGTAGCCAGGCCAGGGAGCGGACAGGGTCTCTGCCCCCAGATTCCCCCCTCCCTCCTGCACCCCAACCCAGCCCTGGGTGAATGTCTCATGGCAACATACAAGATGGGTACCCCGGAAGCCAGTGCCCAGGTCACTGGCACACACCTAGGTGGGGTCTCCACCGGGCCTGCTCCTGCCAACCCTGGACCCCTAGCCCCTGACGCCTGGGAGTATGGACAAATCCAGGCAGCCCCAGCCAGCAGAGCCCCCTCGCACGACCTCCTGATGCCCCTCCTACCTGGCCAACTTAGGGACAAGCTGGGGGGTTGCTTCAGAGAACAGGGCCTGGGGGAGGAAGGGCAGGCACTGCCCTAGGAAGCACCATGGGCTCCCACTCAGGGCCGTGGCCAGGAGAAGCTGTCAGCTGGTGTCTCCAGGACACACCATCCATAGCATCTGACCCCCTGCCCCCACCCGCTGTCAGCCTGCACACACTCGGGGGACAGGTGTGGCTCCTGACCCCTGCCCCCACCCGCTGTCAGCCTGCACACGCTCAGGGGACAGGTGTGGCTCCTGAACCCTGCCCCCACCCTCTGTCAGCCTGCACACGCTCGGGGGACAGGTGTGGCTCCTGTGCCTTCTCGAGTGTCGGAGCTTGGAGTCTCCTAGGGTGTCCAGGAGTCCTGACCCGGCTCAGAGCCTGCCAGGGATGGGCCAGGGAGTCTGGAGAGGCCCAGGATGCCTGCGGGGGGGGGGGGGGGGGCACTGGGATACCGGTGGGGGGGGCACAGGGATGCCTGCTGGTGGAGGGCACACAAGGATGCCCGTGGGGGACACTGTGATGTGGGTTGGGGGGGGGGGGGGCAGTATGGGGATGCCCACTGAGGGGGCACTGTGACTCCTGACCAGCAGAGAGTAGGGGCCTCCTCCCGCCTTCCATCCTCCCCGCCTTCCATCCTCTCCGCCTTCCATCCAGCCGTCCTCTCAGTCTCTTTCTGTGCACCTGCTGCACCAGCCTCCTCCCAGAGGAGGTCCTCCCCACCTCACCTCCGCACCCCCGGCTGCACTGCCCACCTCCCCTGCTCCACCCACGCTCAGGCCCTGGTGCATTGCAGGATGGACAATGGGGAGGCCTGCTTCATCCTCAGCAGCAGGAACGAGGTGGACCGCACGGCTGCAGTGAGTGAGGCTGAGGCCCTGCCCAGGCGGGAGGGGCACCGTGGGGCCGGGGAGCGGGGGTCCCTGAGGGAAGAGACCTGCCCCAGGCTGCCGGTGCCGCCCAGCAGCCCACAGAGGCCAGCCCGTCTGCACTGACCAACCACCCACCCCGCCAGGACCACCAGACCATCCTGCGCGCCTGGGCCGTGAAGGACTTCGCCCCCAACTGCCCCCTCTACGTCCAGATCCTCAAACCTGAAAACAAGTTTCACGTCAAGTTTGCTGGTGCGTCTGGGGCACACGTGGGTGATGGTGTATCTGGGGCAGGGCACGTGTGCACACGTGGGTGATGGTGCATCTGGGGCAGGGCGCATGTGCACATGTGTGACGGTGCGTCTGGGGCAGGACGCGTGTGCACACGTGGGTGACGGTGCGTCTGGGGCAGGATGCGTGTGCACACGTGGGTGTCGGTGCGTCTGGGGCAGGGCGCATGTGCACACGTGGGTGACGGTGCGTCTGGGGCAGGGCGCGTGTGCACACGTGGGTGACAGTGCATCTGGGGCAGGGCACGTGTGCACGTGTGTGTCGGTGTGTCTGGGGCAGGGCGCGTGTGCATGCTGTTGGGTGATGGTGCGTCTGGGGCAGGGCGCGTGTGCACACGTGGGTGACGGTGTGTCTGGGGCAGGGCGCATGTGCACGCAGTTAGGCGAGCTGTGTGGGGCAGCGGGAGGGGCTGGCCCTGGAGCTCCTCACACAAGCACACCAGGAGGTGCTGGAGGGGACGGCAGACCCCCATCCTCACCGCATCCGAGAAGGGACCTAGGGGGTCCAAACTCTTCAGATGAAGTCTTATGCTGGGATCCTGGGGTCAGTGAAGGCAGGGTCAGAGGTCAGGTGGGGGCAGGAGCACCGTCTGATGAGCACCTCTATGGGCAGGGACCATGCCGGGTGCCCGGGGAACGGGGGGCAGGCCCCATGCCAGGTGCCCAGGGGACAGGGGTCAGGGCCCACATGGAGTGCCCAAGGCACAGGGGCCAGGGCCTGCCCCGCCCTGGAACTCCTCGCTGAGCTGGGAGAGAAGCACAGGAGCGATGGAAGGTCCACCGAGGCTCAGACCAAGTAGGGGGTTGAGGTCCACAGACTCTCGGGGCAGAGATGCTGAAGCCGGACAGCAGACACGGGGGTGCCAGGCAAGGGTGCATCTGCATAGCACCTTCAGGAAGTGAGCAGGTACTGTGGGGGAGGAGAGAGCCGGCAGAGCGGCAGGTGGACCGGCCTCCCCCACTGCCCGCAGACCACGTGGTGTGTGAGGAGGAGTGCAAGTACGCCATGCTGGCGCTGAACTGCATCTGCCCGGCGACCTCCACCCTCATCACCCTGCTGGTGCACACGTCCCGCGGCCAGTGAGTGCCCCGTGCCCCGGGGGACCGACCTCCATGGCGGGGCCGGCGCAGGGAGACAACGCAGGGCCTGCTTGGGGGCGGGGATGGGCTTCCCAGAGGAGGGGCACATGGCGGGCAAAAGTCCTGCATAGGGAGGGGATCCATGCCAGGGGAAGCAGAGGGGGGCACCTGCAGACCCAGCCGGGGAGAAGGGGCAGCCATGGCCGAGGGTGACGCTCCCCTGGCCCCGCCCTGGCCCACAGGGAGGGACAGGAGTCTCCGGAGCAGTGGCAGCGCATGTATGGGCGCTGCTCCGGCAACGAGGTGTACCACATCCGCATGGGTGACAGCAAGTTCTTCCGCGAGTACGAGGGCAAGAGCTTCACCTACGCGGCCTTCCACGCCCACAAGAAGTAAGGCCGGGCTGCATCCACAGGGCTGGCGCTCCAGGGCTGCTCTGCTCTGTGCCCTCCCCACCCTCCCGGTCAGGCACAGGGGTGGCCCTGGGGCGGGGCTGCAGAGGGCTCGGGGGAGGGCATCAGGTCATCCTGCCTGGCGAGGGCAGCCGCAGGACTGGGCTCCGGGTCCACATAAAAACCTGCCACGCGGCTCCTCCCTGAGGCTTGTGGGCTGACCCCAGCTCTCTGGTCCCCAACACCTCTGGGACGGGAGGGCTCAGCCAAGGTCCCTGACCCCAAATGGCCCCCAGGAGGAAGACGCGGAGCTCCGGTGGGGACTCTGGTGATTTGCAGGAAGGGCAGGCAGGGAGCGGGACAGGGCGGGTGAGCGGCGGTACCTGAAGTTGCCGGTGCCTCTGCCCAGGTATGGCGTGTGCCTCATCGGGCTGAAGCGGGAGGACAACAAGAGCATCCTGCTGAACCCGGGGCCCCGGCACATCCTGGCCGCCTCTGACACCTGCTTCTACATCAACATCACCAAGGAGGAGAACTCGGCCTTCATCTTCAAGCAGGAGGAGAAGCGGAAGAAGAGGGCCTTCTCGGGGCAGGGGCTGCACGAGGGTCCGGCCCGCCTGCCCGTGCACAGCATCATCGCCTCCATGGGTGAGCCGGGACAGGCGCGCGGGACTCCCTGGGCCTGCTCCTTTGGCGGGAGACCAGGCGGGACACCGGCAGGTGACCAGGTGGGATGGGAGACCAGGCAGGACAGGGGGAGGTGACCAGGTGGGACAGGAGACCAGGCAGGACAGGGGCAGGTGACCAGGTGGGACGGGAGACCAGGCAGGGCGGGAGACCAGGTGGGACAGGAGACCAGACCGGGCAGGGCAGGAGACCAGGCCAATGTGGCCCCCAGACCCAGTTCCTCTTGGCCTATGCCTCCAACCTTGGACAGGTGGAGTCTCTCTGGGCCTGTTTTTGAATCTGTCAAACAGGTGTCCCCGCCTTCCTGTGGCCACCTTTGTGGGCATTGCTCACTGTGTCCAAGTGCCTGTCCAAGTGGGGCCGCCCACAGGACCGGTTGGCAGCTCAACCGGAGGCTCCTGGTGGTCCCATCAGCCCGGAGGGTCTGCTTCACGTGTGTCCCTCAAACAGTCGGGAGTCCTGACGTCCACTGGGGCCAGGAGTTGGCGGAATGAGGTCGCAGTGGCCGAGGGCTTTGGCCTCTTCTCGTGCCTTCAGGGATCCTCCCGGGGAGCCGCTTACCAGACAGGGTCAGGCTGCCTCTGAGCAGGTGGAGGCCCATGGCCCCTAGGGCACCACCCATAGTGGTGTTGCCCCCTCCCCAGCCAGGCCTTCCTGGGGGACAGTTAGGGAGCAGGGCCAGGCCAGGAAGCCACTCAGGCCACAGACCCACAGCCGGGCCAGCATGTTGCCACCTCCGTACAGTGGCCCAGGCAGAGGCTGACCCTATGGGGCACCCCAGCACGCCCACCCTGGGGTGTTGTTACACGGTGGCTGCTGGGGCACCAGGTGGTTCAGTGCAGTGGGGCACAGTCTCCAAGACCCAGAGGGCCCTGGGGTTTGGAGACGTGCCGATGCGGAGCCCACCACCTGCCAGACCCCGCAGGTTCCCGGCCGCCGTCTACGGCAGCTCACTCGGGGGGCCGGGCCTGGCCGCAGGGCACTGGGGAGGCAGGCTGCTGCTGCCTAGCCACACCTCCACCTTCACCTGCGCAGTAGGCACTCTGCCCCCAGGTGGCTTCCAGGAAACCAGGGTGACTCGGGCAACCCTCACTGTACCCACAGAGGCCCTGGGCCATACCTAGAGGTCCACAACCCCCATCTGGCAGCCTGGGGTGGTGCAGGAGTGGCAGAGTCTGCTCCCACAGGCACTGAGTCACCCAGCTGCTCCCCACCTGGCCCCATCCACCAGGCAGCCTGACCAGCTGCACAGGCCCCTAAGGCTGAGACCCCCGAGCCCAGAATCAGCCAACCCCCTCCTCAGGCATCTGGTGCTGAGGCCACAGCAGCTGGCCTGGGTGGCACCGATGGGGCACTGGGGCCCCCTGGGTCTTCGCTCAACATCATCGCCACCCCAGAGGCCACTGTCCCTGTTGTATGGAGGGGGAAACTGAGGCATAGATTGAAGCTCCTCAGCTGGAGCACAGGAGCCAGGCCATGACAGGGTCTCCAGAGCTGACTGTGTTCACCTGAGCTCTGGGAACTCGCCGCCCATGGAGGGTGGGAGTCGGGCTGTGGCCAAGCACAGGGCTCTCTTCCAGGGACAGTGGCCATGGACCTGCAGGGCACAGAGCACCGGCCTACGCAGAGCGGCGGTGGGGGCGGGGGCAGCAAGCTGGCACTGCCCACGGAGAACGGCTCGGGCAGCCGGCGGCCCAGCATCGCGCCCGTCCTGGAACTGGCCGACAGCTCAGCCCTGCTGCCCTGCGACCTGCTGAGCGACCAGTCGGAGGATGAGGTGACGCCGTCGGACGACGAGGGGCTCTCCGTGGTAGAGTGAGTGCTGCCTTGGAGACGGCTCCCAGTGGGGGGAGGAGCCGCCCATGAGTGCGGGGGATGGGTGTCGGAGCATCCTTGGTGGTCCCCCATGCTCTGAATTGCAGCTTCTGGACAGCTCCGTGGAAGTCCTTGTTTGACAAATGAAATCTTCAGGGGGCCCAACACAGACATCAGGGCCACATCACCCTCGTCGCCGGGGAGCACTTTTGAGTGTCACTGAGATGGGGTGTGCTGGGCTACACCCTTTCCAGTTGGGGCTGGGGGTGCAGAGCTAATTGGAGCGAGGCAGCTCACTGGCACAGGGGCTGTCAGGCACCAGGCAGCGCCACCCTCAGAGAGGGGCCCGTTCCCACCCACCTCACCAGCCCCATAGTGGCCCGGCCACTCTCTGAATCAGGATGGAGCTGGGCAGTGACCCCAGGCCATCCTCCACCCAGTGCCCTAGGTCTCCCCCTTAGCACTACAGAGCACAGAGGGGCACAGCCCGCCTGACCAGGGGTGGGTGTCCTCTGAGCAGGGTCCCTGTGCAACCCCTGGGCAAGGCAGTGTCCCAGCCTGGAAACCACAGCCCGTCCTGAGTTGTTGTCCTGGCCTAGGTTTGGGGCCAAGTCCTCCTGCTTCAAATCATGAGACAGGAGGCCCCACTCTGTTCTCAGCAGCTTCTGCCTTTTGGCCTCAGCCAGGACAGACAAGTGCCCCAGCTGCAGGGCCCGAGGTCCATCCTCAGCGGGGCTGCCTCACTCTGTCCTGGCCTTTGCCTCTGGGGTGGGGTCAACACACTGTAATGACAGCCCAGCTGCTGGGAAACAGCCCTGAACCATTGCATGTGTGTGTTGGGTGCTGCTGGGGACGGGGTGGTGGCCTGCTGGGGACAACAGCCTGGCTGGACAAGTATGTGGGTAAGAGCCCAAGGCCAGAGTGCCTGCCCCACCAGCCGGGGGTGCTGGGGATGTCAGGGAGGCATGGCGGGCGGGCAGAGCCCTGTGGGTTTTGCATGTGGCTGAAAAGCCTGGTCTAGGCTGTGGTGGGAGGAGAAAGACCGAGTAGGGCATGGGGGTGGGTGTGCAAGGGGGGTGTGTCCGGTGTGTGTGTGTGGTGTATGTTATGTGTGTGGTGTGTGTCCATATGTGTAATGTGTGTTGTGTGTCAACGTGTGTTTGTCACGTGTGGTGTGTGTTGTGTGATATGTGATGTGTGTCTGGGTGTGTGTGGTATGTGTCCGTGTGTGTGATGTGTGTCTGAGTGGTATTGTGTGTGGTATGTGGTGTCTGTGTGTTGTGTGTGGTGTGTGTCCGTGTGTGGTGTGTGTGGTGTCTGTTGTGTGTGTGGTGTGTTGTGTGTGGTGTGTGTGTCTGTGTGCTGTGTGTTGTGTGTCTGGGTGTGTTGTGTGTCCGTGTGTGGTGCGTGTTGTGTCTGTGTGTGGTGTGTGTTGCGTATGTTGTGTGTCCGTGTGTGTGTGGTGTGTGTCTGTGTGTTGTGTGGTGTGTCTGTGGTGTGTCTGTGTGTTGTGTGTCCGTGTGTGGTACGTGTTGTGTCTGTGTGGTGTGTGTTGCATATGTTGTGTGTCTGTGTGTGCTGTGTGTCTGTGTAGTGTGTTGTGTGGTCTGTGTGGTGTGTCTGTGTGTTGTGTGTCCATGTGTGGTACGTGTTGTGTGTTGTGTATGTTGTGTGTCGATGTGTGTGTTGTGTGTCTGGGTGTGTGGTGTGTATGTTATGTGTCCGTGCACGTGGTGCACGTGTGCATACGCCTGCATGTGTTCATTTCTGTGCGCATGTGTTGTGTGTGTGTCCGGGTGTGTCCATTTCCGTGTGCCTGTATGGGGCCATGTGTTATGCCGAGGGCTGACCATGGGGGGGTCCTGGGCTGACCAGGTGAGGGGTGAGCCCCACCGCCACCCCCTTCCACACCTGGGTGAGGGCAGCAGCAGTGAGGGCCCTACCCACCCCTCGGTCTCCTCCAGTCCCCCAAGGCCCTGATGGGGCTAAGTCCATGCCTCCCCAGCCCTGGCCTTGCAGCCGCTGCTGACCCGCCAGGCAGGCACGGGTCCTTAAGGTTCGGCACCTGCATGGGTGCCCTGGGCACTGCCCTGACTGCCCTGCAGGACACACTGGGTCCTGGGTGCCAAGGCTAGGCAGGCCCTATGACACGGTGACCACAGGCTCAGCTGGAGGAGCGTTTGCTGATGCACAGGTGGTTAAGGGAAGAACGGGCCACCTTGGGTCAGCTGTGCGTGACCCCGAGCAACGTGGCTGTGGGTGGAGTGGGTGCCCTCGAGTCCCCCAGCCCGAGGGGGGCCCCAGAGCAGACCCAGCCACCTCTGTGCAGCTGTGCTGAGGGCTCCTGTCTCCTGCCCCAGGTATGTGAAGGGCTACCCTCCCAACTCGCCCTACATCGGCAGCTCCCCAACCCTGTGCCACCTCCTGCCTGTGAAAGCCCCCTTCTGCTGCCTGCGGCTGGACAAGGTAAGGCTGGCGGCTCTGCCGCGCTCTGCACCCCCAGACGCCAGCACCGGGCCGTGCATACCTGCCCTGGTTTCTCTTTGGTCACTTTACATTTCGATACCATTGCAAACTTCTAGCACAGCTGCAAGAATTCTGCAAGGGAGAGCCACAGATCCTTCACCCAGATTCAGCAGACGGTCCCTTCCTGTCCCGTTTGGGCTCTCCCTCTCACAGTGTCTATGTTAGAGGCACCTGTTTTCTGAGCCATCTTGAGAACAGGTTGGAGCCACCACACCCCTTTCCCCTAATACATCTACATGCGTTCCCAAAGATCAAGAACCATCTCGTAACTACAGCTCATTAGGACAGGGACCCCGGCCCGGCATGGGTGTCTGATCCACAGTCCAAGTTCAGATTGGGCCGAGGGCCCCGAAGGCCTTCAGCGTCCTGCGTGGCAGTGTTTTCCCCACCGGGAGCCTGTCCCGGCTGCGTCTTAGCAACTCCTTTCTCGTTACTCTCCCTTAATCTGGAATGTTCCCTGGGGTCTCTTGACCTTAATATTTTTGCAGAGCAGGGACCAGTGACCTGGTGGCAGGTGGGTCTGCGATGTTTCTTGGTGGTGGGACTCTGCCTGCATGTGGGGCCAGCCCTCCCTGGAAACTCGGGGGTCAATTGTCAGGTCACTGGCGATGTTTACTTGGATCTCATGGCAAGCTGGGGTCAGTAGGGTTTCCCCACTGTGAAAATGACTGTTTTCCTTCTGGAGTTAGCAGCTTCTCTGTGGGGGACGTGTTGAGATCAGGAAAGCAAACCACTCGACCCAGCGGCTTCAACATCCCTCAGTGGGTTCTTTTTTGTTTATTTGTTGTTTGGTTTTTTTTAAGACGGGGTCCCACTCTGTCATCCAGGCTGGAGTGCAGTGGTGGGATCATAGCTCACTACAGCCTCCACCTCCCAGGCTCAAGGGGTCCTCCCACCTCAGCCTCCCAAGTGGCTGGGAACACAGGCACGCACCACCACACCTGGCTAATTTTATTTATTTATTTATTTTTTGTAGTGATGGGGTCTCACTATGTTGCCCAGGCTAGTCTCGAACTCCTGGACTCAAGTGATCCTCCCACCTCGGCCTCCCAAAGTGCTGGGGTTACAGGCGTGAGCCACCATGCCTGCCATCTGTGGATGGTTTCCAGTTCCGGAATCTCTCTCCAGCTGTGTGTTAGGGCTCGGCCACGGAGGGGACCTCCCCTTCCCCATGTGTGTGTGTCCTTCACGGACCACAGGCTCCCAGCATATTCTGTGGGTTATAATCTGTGGCCGGTCATTGCAGTAGCATCATCCTTGACAGATCGTTATTGATTCTGATGCTCGGACCCCCTCAGTTCACTGGGTGGGGTGGGGGCCTTCAAGCGGCTTCTGGGTGCTTCTGACACGATCCCCTCACCCTTTGAGCTCATCTGTGCTTTCCAACCGGAGATGTTCCAGCCACATCTTGGCCTTCGCCTGCTCCAGTCTGGAATGAACCACTTCTCCAAGGAACCCTGATTCCTTTTAGTGGAAAATGATGATTGGAAACCAAGACCTGGGCACGTGGCGTGCTCACTGCTGTTGGCATCCCTGCTCTGAGAAAACGTGTGTGCATACACATGACACGTATCTATGCCCACACCTAGATCTCTAGCCACATGCCAAAACCACATGTTCACATGGACACCGCCCTTTCCACCCCTGACATGACTGCTCTGTGCCGCCTGTGGGTACAGCTGTGGCATCTGGTGGTGCCTGTAGCTCCCCACAGGCGTGTGCAGGCCGTGAAAGGGCTGTGGGCCGAGAGGCTAACGGCTGGGTGTTCACGGGGGATGTTTGGTGAGGGGTCTGGGAGGGCTCCAGTGGCCAGCAGGAACCACAGCCCTGACTCCAGCCCTGACTCCAGCATCTGCCCCCAGGGCTGCAAGCACAACAGCTATGAAGACGCCAAGGCCTACGGGTTCAAGAACAAGCTGATCATCGTCTCGGCAGAGACGGCCGGCAATGGGCTGTACAACTTCATCGTGCCACTGCGGGCCTACTACAGATCCCGCAAGGAGCTGAACCCCATCGTGCTGCTGCTGGACAACAAGTGAGGCTCCTGGGGCTCAGCCCACCCCGCCCACCCGGGCCCTCAGACCTGCAGCCAGCAGCCTCCCCAACTGGGCCCACCCTTCGCCTTTGCAGAGGGCACGGGAACATGGGGCCTCTGGCCTGGTCCTCTCAGCTTTCCTAAAAAGGGGGACTCTCCTTCCTGCTCCCAACTCCTCCTGCTCCCAGCTCCTCCCCACACCCACTCCTGCTCCCAGCTCCTCCCCACCCCCAGCTCCTCTGGCTCCTGGGTCCTCCCTGCTCCCTGTTCCCCCAGTTCCCAGCTCCACCCAACTCCCAGCTCCTCCTTGCTTCCAGCTCCCCCAGTTCCCAGCTACTCTCCATTCCCAGCTCCTCCCCACTCCCAGCTTCTCCCCACTCCCAGTTCCCCCTCACTCCCAGCTCCTCCCTGCTCCCAGTTCCTCTGGCCACCAGCTCCTCCCCACTCCCAGTTCCTCTGTCTCCCAGCTCCTCCATGCTCTCAGCTCCTGTGGCTCCCAGCTCCTCCCACTCTGGTCCTCTCTCCCCCTTTCCCCCTCCTCCCTTGTCACTCCTTCTGTCCTGTTTGCCTCCTGCTCCACTCACTCTGAGCCCCAGGATTGGGGTGGAGGGATAAATGGCTCTTCCTCCTGGGCACCTTTTTGCCCAGGGGACCCTAGGACCCTGACAGCTGAGCCCAGGGTCATCTTGGCTGTGTGACCTCAGCAGGTCCCACCCTCCCGGGCCTTGGTTTCCCCTTGAATAAAATAAAGAATGGCCCACTGGCCTTAAAGTACTCCCCAGGTCCCATACGCTGCGGTTCTGGGGAACCCCTGCCTGGCCCAGCTCTGTGCATGGAGGGTAGGGCCCCACTGGGCCTGAGGAGGGCAGGCCTTGAAGCAGGGTGGGCCCCTCCAGGACCGCTGTCCCCACAGGCCCGACCACCACTTCCTGGAAGCCATCTGCTGCTTCCCCATGGTCTACTACATGGAGGGCTCTGTGGACAAGTAAGGCGTGGCCGGCCGAGGCTCGTGGGGGCTCCACACCCACCCCTCCCCTCCTCTTCCAAAGTCTGGGGTGACCCCGACCGCAGGTGGGGTGGGGGGCTGAGGTCCTCCTGCCTTCTGACCAAATCCCGGGGTCCTGTGGGTGGGGAGTGGGCCGCATCCTCAGCCACGGGCCCTCGGTCCCGCCACCAGCCTGGACAGCCTGCTGCAGTGTGGCATCATCTATGCGGACAACCTGGTGGTGGTGGACAAGGAGAGCACCATGAGCGCCGAGGAGGACTACATGGCGGACGCCAAGACCATCGTCAACGTGCAGACCATGTTCCGGTGCGTCCAGTGTCCGGGGCTCGGCTCTAAACCACCCCACAGCCACGACCACGGGCCCTCGCCCTGAGACCCCCACAGCCACGACCACGGGCCCTCGCCCTGAGACCCCCACAGCCACGACCACGGGCCCTCGCCCTGAGACCGCCACAGCCACGACCACGGGCCCTCGCCCTGAGACCCCCACAGCTATGACCACAAGCCCCCACCCTGAAACCCCCACAACCACAGCCATGGGACCACACCCTGAGACCCCCACAGCCATGGACTCTGCCCAGAGACCCCCACAGCCACGACCACAAGCCCTCCACCCTGAGAGTCCCACAGCCATGACCATGGGCCTCTGCCCTGAGACCCCCCACAGCCGTGGGACCCTGCCCTGAGACCCCCATAGCCAAGACAGTGGGCCCTGCCCTGAGACCCCCCCACAGCCATGGGACCCCGCCCTGAGACCCCCACAGCCACATGATCATGGGCCCCCACCCTGAGACCTCCTACAACCACCATGGGCCCCGCCCTGAGCCGCCTGCCTCCCCCAGGCTCTTCCCCAGCCTCAGCATCACCACGGAGCTCACCCACCCTTCCAACATGCGCTTCATGCAGTTCCGCGCCAAGGACAGCTACTCTCTGGCTCTTTCCAAACTAGAAAAGGTGAGCAGCCCTGCCCCGTGCCAGCTGCCACCCCAGAATCCCAGAAAGAGTGGGAGAAAGGGGCTCAGGGGAAAGGGGGCCAGTGCCATGGGAGGCTGGGCTCCTGCCGCCCTCCTGCTGGGGAACTCAGGAGATGGCGTGGGGGGCCCAGCATGGACAGGGTGCTCTTGATGGTGGAACCAGGAGATGGAGGCAGGGCGTTTCCCTGACCGCGTGTGAGGCACTGGGAATGTGGCCCATAGCAGCCTTCCATCTCCCTGAGCAGGGACCAGGCCTGGCCGTATCTGGAGGCCAAGGCCATCTGTCCTGGCATGGTCAGTTGGTCAGAACTCCCGTGGGGAGCCCTCAGATCGGTGGTTCCACATAGGTTGGCCAGTAGCTCTTAGTACAGATAACGCACACGGCTGCACCATTCCAGACTTCTCCGCTGCCCTGGCCACTACGCCCGACCTTGAAACAGGTTCAGTATAACCACTGCCTCCTTGTATTGACAAGGGACGGAGGGCCTGAGAGGGAAGGGGCCTGCCCCGGATCGCACAGTGGAGCAAGTGGCTGAGCTGGAATTGGCTTTCTGCCCTTGGAGCTCCATGAAGGGCACCACCCAGGGTCAGGTGTGGAACCCAGGGGCACGGGCACTGTTGCTGTTGCCTTGATATCTGGCTGACCCCAGCCCCACCGCATTCCCCACCTGCTCAAGCTGGGACAGCACCACCTTGTCCACACGGGGGCTGGTGCCCAGGCAGCCCTAGGCTGAGAGCAGGGAGCAGGCACCTTGGTCAGCAGCAATGCTGTCTGCTCTACACGAACCCCGAGCTCACCGGTCTGGGCTGAAGTCCTCATCGGCGAGCTGCTGGGACCTGCGTGGCTGCAGGATTGTGACACCGTGGAGGATCTACTGAGCCAGGCCCGGCCTGGCCACCAACACCAGGCAGAGGACACACACGGGCACTCCCTGCGACACGGACATGGCTTTGTCCCACCTGAACCCGATGGAGAGTGAAAGTGTGTTCCGGCCAGCCGTGGACCAAGAGCCCATAGGGATCCTGGAGTCAGTTCTGCCCCAGAGAAGCGAGAGGAGGCCGGGCTGGGCAGCCACCAGGTCAACAGGGGCTTCTGCCTTAGAGATGCCAGCCTGAGGCGTAGGGGGATGCTCGGGCACCTGGTCTCAGCACAGGAGAGGGCTCTGTCTGCCCTGCCCGCCGCCCAAGCCCACCCTGGAGCCTGCCCTGCCCAGCGTCGGGAGCTCCTGGCCCCAGTCCCCGGCTCAGCCGGCAGAGGGGTGTGCTCTGCAGCTGGAACCACGGAAGGGGAGGAAGTTCACAGGATTCTGTGTTCGGGTGCCGGGCCGCTCCCCAGGGCTGGGAGGACTCTCCGGATCTGGAAGACCAAGTCTGACCCTGTGTGGACAGGGATGCTGCCGTGGAGTCGGGGTCGAGGCAGTCATCCTGGCGCGGCTCCTCCGGCCTCAGCCTTGCACCTCTCTGTCCCACAAGGTGGCTTGAAGTTTGGGTCAGCAAGCACGCAGCCAACACGCTCCTGCCCGCCTTCCCGCCAGGCAGCCATCGCCAATCACCCACGCTCCGCCCCGCCGTGGGGCCCATCTCTTTCCCCGGCTTCACCTCCACTGGGGCTCTGTGTTGCCGGGGCGGGTGCGGCCAGCTCTCCATCTCAGAGCAGTGAACAGTCCTGGGCTCCAGCTCCAGTCATGCGATTCCGTGGCAGTTGTGTGACAGGGACCAAGGAGAAATCAGGACATCGGCAAAGCCTCTGGAAGCAGCCGTGAGCTCCTCTGGGCTGACATGGTGCTGGGGTCCATGTGGGACAGATGCCCTGGGCCCTGGGCAGGGCCAGGCATATACAGAGACGTGGAGCCGAGGGAGGAGAGGGTGCCGTGGACCACCTGACCCATCACCCTCTGCAGAGGCTGGGATCCGCCTCCCCAGCATGCAAGGAGCCTGTAGAAGGCACCAGGGGCTGCGTCTTCTCCAGCCTGGGTGGCCTTGGCCCCAGATCCCCCATGGGTCTCTCTGACGGGCCAGCATACGGTGACCTGCTTCCAACAAGGACACCTGTGGCAGCTTCAGATCCTTATTTAAAAGACATTAATGCCAATTTATTATAAAAATGTACATGTTTAGTATGTATTTTACTTCAAAGAATACTGAAAGTAAAAAAAAAAAAAAATTGAAGAAAAGTTACCCCAAATCCCTGCAGCCAACATCTTCTACATCCAGGCCCAGTGGAAGGATAAAGACAGGATTCCAGGCACGACTCCGGAAGGAAAAAGGGAGGAGGTGGAGATGGCATACACGACCGTCAGTGAGATGCTCTGCCAGGTGCAGCGGCTCATGCCTGTAATCCCAGCACTTTTAGAGGCTGAAGCAGGAAGATCGCTTGAGGCCAGAAGTTCGAGACCAGCCCAGGCAACATAGCAAGTCCCCATCTATACAAAAAATTTAATGGCTGGGGGCGGTGGCTCATGCCTGTAATCCCAGCACTTTGGGAGGCTAAGGCGGACGGATCACCTGAGGTCAGGAGTTCGAGACCAGGCTGGCCAACATGGAGAAACCTCTCTACTAAAGACACAAAAATTAGCCGGGCGTGGTGGCTGTAACCCCAGCTACTTGGGAGGCTAGGGCAGGAGAATTGTTTGAACCCGGGATGCAGAGGTTGCAGTGAGCCGAGATTGTGCCACTGCACTCCAGGCTGGGCGACAGAGCGAGACCCTGTCTCAAAAAAAACCAAGCAAAAAAATGAAACTATTATTAAGGATGCTGCTGGTGGGGTGACATGCATCTCCCCTTGAGGGCTGGCTCCAGAAGGCTCTCAGAGCCCCGGTGTGTGAGAGGAGTCTCTCCCCTGAGGCCCACCTCCCCTGCCGTCCACCTCCCCTGGTCTCCAGCACCCAGGACTCCTCCACCACTTCATTGCTTTCACATGGTCAGCCTGTGTGATCTCTCCTCCTCACCAGGAGCCTTCCTTCAGGCTGGCTCTGCCCATCCTGGGGCTGCACGGTGCCTGTCCTGCTCCCTCTGACCGGGGGTCTCGTGCTCAGGAAGGGCTCATCCGCTCCTGTGTGCTCCTGTCTTCACTGTCACTTGTGAATGGCACCCGCTCAGCCCCTGCTGAAGCCCTCCTGTCCAGAAAGCAGGAGGAAATCTCTGGAAGGTCCTGAAACGTCCAGCTTTTTCTTTCCTTCCACGTCTCTCTCTGGCCCTGTCGTGGTTCTTGTTTCCTGTTTAGCGTTGTTCTGAGTAAAGGAAAATTAAAATTGCAAGTTGTTCTGGAATTTCACGTTCGTCTCCGCGAAGTACGGCTGGAATTCTGGATGCAAATCACCACGATTGCAAACTCACACGCCCATCGCAGCTCATCGCACCTGGTTCTTGCCCCAAGAGCGGAAACGCCGCACGAAACTAATTCCACTGTTTCTCACGCCCCAGCCTTCCCACCGGCCACTGATGAGTAAGGGCGAACCCGGAGGAAAAGGGGCTTCTGCCTGCTTGTCCTGTCGCTGTCGTGTCTTTTACCTGTGAATCGAGTTCTGGTTCCGGGGGGAAGTGTGGCCTCCGTGGGCGCACACGCCTGCCTGTGCACACTTGCTTGGAGGCCGAGCTCCAGGGTTGGGGCCCTCCGCTGAAGAATGACCCGAGAGTTGGCCACGGCCGGGTCCGGAGCCCGTGGATGTACCGCCTCACGTGACAGAAGGGCCTCTGCAGATGGGATTAAGTCACGGGCCTCGAGATGGGAGATCCTCCTGGAGCATCCGGCAGGTTCACGCCGTCAGGGTCCTTCTAGGGAGAGGCCAGAGGTCCCCATCCGGTGGGAAGAAGCTGCACGGCCAGCTCAGAAGAGGGAAGAGGGAGCCACAAGCCAAGGCAGGTGGCCTCCAGGAGCTGGAAAAGGCAAGAGAAGGAGGCCCCCAGGCCTCCAGAGGGAGCGGGGCCCTGCCCAGGCCTGGATCCAGCCTGAGACACCTCAAACTCCCGACTCCAGAAACGGGAGAGAGGAGACAGGTGTCGTTTTAGCTGCTAAGTTTGCGGTCATTTGTTACGGGAGCCCCAGGAAACTCAGTGGGTCCATTGCAAGCCTGGAGCACAGGGACGGGGAGGCCAAGGACAGCAGGGAGCCCGATGCTTGCTCCTCCTCAGCCCAGACTCCACACGCCCTCCGGCACCACTTACAAAACACCGGGGGAGGAGAGGATTATCAGGAGGATTTGGAATTTCGGGATGGCAAGAGCAGGGCGCTTGACCAAGCGCAGTGCCCATGGCAGCCGCCGGGAGTCCACCTTCTCATCAGAGCCCCACATCACTCCTCCCGGGCTCTGGCCCTGAGTGTGTCTGGGAAGATAGAGCTGGTTCAGGCCTGCCGGTGTATGCACACATGCAGACACACACTGTGTACACGTGGACACACACACCATGCACAAATGTGCACACAGGTATCATGCACACATGTACGGTGCACACACAGTGCCCTCGACCCCGTGGCTGCCGTGCCACTGGAGGGACCTCGGCACCAGCCCATCTGAGGCCCCTCCTTTCCCACAGAGGGAGCGAGAGAATGGCTCCAACCTGGCCTTCATGTTCCGCCTGCCGTTCGCCGCCGGCCGCGTCTTCAGCATCAGCATGTTGGACACACTGCTCTACCAGGTCAGCGGGGAAGCGGCAGCAGGAGGGTGGCGCCTGGGTGGGACCCCCGTCATGCCCTCAGCTCTTCAGCCTGGTCCCTGTTCTGAATGATAGGACTCCCTCTGAATGACCTTCCCTGGATTCCAAGGAGACCTCTGGGCCCTGTCCTTGCCCCAGGGATTTCTGGGCCCTTTTTGACCTATGGGTGCCTGGCAAGGGAGTTTTCTTAGAAAAGGCCTCCCAGAACTCTGCCTGTGGGTCATGTGGTGCTTGGGGACCTGGTGGTTCTGTGTGTGTGTATGCATGAGGGGTGGCGAGCCCGTGGCCGGTGGGGTATGGACCTGTGTCCCACGCCCGTGCCCGCGTGCCTCACTGTGGCTCCCTCCCTCCCTCCCTCCCTCCCTCCCTCCCTCCCTCCCTCCCTGGCCAGTCCTTCGTGAAGGACTACATGATCACCATCACCCGGCTGCTGCTGGGCCTGGACACCACGCCGGGCTCGGGGTACCTCTGTGCCGTAAGTGCCCCTGGCTGCGCTGGGCTGGGGGCGTGCTGGGCTGTCCAAGTGGGTGGATGGGCACCTGCCCCTGATTCACGGTGGCCAGGAGGCTCTGGGTGCTGCCACCTGCCCCAGCCAACTCAGGGTTCCCACCCTGCAGATGAAAATCACCGAGGGCGACCTGTGGATCCGCACGTACGGCCGCCTCTTCCAGAAGCTCTGCTCCTCCAGCGCCGAGATCCCCATTGGCATCTACCGGACAGAGAGCCACGTCTTCTCCACCTCGGAGGTTCTGGGGCAGCCTGGGGGCTGGGACTGTGGCAGCCCCTGTCCTGTGTGACCCACAGCATCCCCACCTTCCGGGGGCTGGGACTGTGGCAGCCCCTGTCCTGTGTGACCCACAGCATCCCCACCTTCAGTGTCAGGGACCTGGGCTAGATCAGCTTTGCTATTGCTGGCAGCTCCTTCCGTCTGGTCCGTGTGCCCACGTGTAGCGCTTCCAGCTGGAGCAGCCATGACCCCTACCGGGGGCAGAGAGGCTCAGGGGAGTCTTCAGGAAGAATACGGGCAGCCCCTGTGCTGCAGTCCACACAGCAGCAGGCACCGTGCCCACCAGCCCTAAGCATGTTCCGTGCAGACCCCAGGCTGAGGCGGCGTGGGGGGCAGGGGTGCGCCCACAGGTCCCAGACTGCGCCTGTTTCCTTTGCAGCCCCACGACCTCAGAGCCCAGGTAAGCAACCCCTCCGTGCCCACGCAGCTTCTGCGGAGCACCAGAACATCGCAGCTTCACATGGAGAAGCCTGCCAGGCCCCACCCACCCACCCACCCACAGGGCCCTGGGAAAGCCGAGGCAGGAGCGGGTCCCACGGATGTGTCGGCCCCAGCACGGCTCAGAGAAGGCTGTTGACACTCACTCCCTCCTGCACTGGTGGTGGGGAAGCTGAGGCCTGGGGGGAGTAGCCTGTGAGTTTGGACACCAGGTGCACCCCCGCCCCCTCCCAGGCCCCACCAAGGCAGGCAGCCCCCATGCCCATCTGGCCTGACCAGCCCCCAGCCTCCCAGGCCTTTCTGAAGGTGCCACCCAGGTGGGATGCCTACCTCTTCCCAGCACCCCACGACCCACAGGCTCTGGCACCCCACGTTCCCCAGGTTCGGGGCCTCCAAAGGGTGTGTTTGCAAGAGGGATCAGGGCTCATCTGCAGATGGAGAAATTGACACGCAGAGGGGGTGACCTCTCAGGGCAAGGCCAGGATGTGCTGGGGTCCAGATGGGTCCCAGGCCGGACCCACAGAAATAAGGGCTCAGAGAGGCGAAGGGAGCTGCCCTCAGCAGCCTGGCGAATCCCTTGACCAGGCCCGGGCAGGGTGGGTGGCCCGGCGATCTGTGCTCAGGAGGAAACCAGGCACATTCTTTCCAGAGGAGGAAGGCACATGCACCCTGGGGTCTGTCGTCGTCCTCTTCCCTAACACCCCCAGCTGCTCCCACGCAGGCCCCAAGCTGCAGAGCCCACACCTCTTCCTAAGCCCCTGCCCCAAAGCCCGCGACCCTCCCGGCAGCCTCACCCCTCCCCGCCCTGCCCTGCCCTGCCCTGCCCAGTCCCAGATCTCGGTGAACGTGGAGGACTGTGAGGACACACGGGAAGTGAAGGGGCCCTGGGGCTCCCGCGCTGGCACCGGAGGCAGCTCCCAGGGCCGCCACACGGGCGGCGGTGACCCCGCAGAGCACCCACTGCTACGGCGCAAGAGCCTGCAGTGGGCCCGGAGGCTGAGCCGCAAGGCGCCCAAGCAGGCAGGCCGGGCGGCGGCCGCGGAGTGGATCAGCCAGCAGCGCCTCAGCCTGTACCGGCGCTCTGAGCGCCAGGAGCTCTCCGAGCTGGTGAAGAACCGCATGAAGCACCTGGGGCTGCCCACCACCGGCTACGGTAAGGGCACACGGCGCGGGTGGGGGCCGGACGGACGGACTGGGCCAGGGTCGGGCCACAGCCAAGAACAGTCGGCCACGGCGTCCCGGGGCCCGGGCCGTCCTCCTGTCTGTCATCTGTCTGTCTGTCAGCCTTTCTGGCCACCCTCTGCCTGCCTCTACTGTGGGGCCAGCTGTGGGCACCACCACGGCCCAGCAGAGGCCCCGTGCAGAGGAGGGAAGTGGCCATGGCCCACCCTGGTGCTGGGAGGCCACAGGACCCTTGGGCATCCCTGGTGTGAGCCCCGTAGGGAGGTGCTCGCTTCCACTGCTCTGGGGCCTCAGTTTCCCTCTCTGCCAAATTAGAGACAGGAGCTGGCTGAGCCCTTTGGCCAGGGGAGGCAGCTGTGGGGTGGAGAGGGCCAGGCTGGGCTCCCCAAGTCGAGGGCATCAGCTAGAGTTGGGCCAGCCAGCTGCAGCCAGGCCTGCTGGACAGCGGATACCCAGGGTCCCTGAGTTCTCGCAGAGAACAAGACTGGTGGGGACCCCCTCCCAGAGCCCCCAGCCCTCCCAGCAGCCAGGGTAGGGGGGAGACTTTGGGGGAACAGTTGGGGGAAAGGCCCATGCCAGGACATGCCTCTGTCCACCATGGGCCTGTTGCCACTCCCACGGCACAGCCCCCTCCTGCCGCTTCAGGGAGCCCGGCGTCCGTCTTCAGCAACAGATCCGTGCAGCCCCCTCTCTCTGCGCCTTGTGGTGGGAAGTGTGCTTGGGCTTCGGGGCCCTACATGCCCTGCCTGGCGTGGAGAGAAGCTCATCCCCTCCCTCACTCTAGAGATGCTACCTCCGTTGATGAAGCCATGGGCCCCAGCTCCCCAGCACCGGGCCGCTACCCAGTGACACCCACCCCTGAGCCGGGTCGAGGCTCCACCTTCCCTTTGTTCCATCTCAGGGACTTGCCTGATGCTCAGGGCTGCCTCTGTCCCGTCGGAGTGCCCCGTCTCCCAACCCTGCTTCCTGCGTCTGTCACCTGGGTCGGGGTCTTGAGTCCCCTGAGCAGAGTCAGGAGCTCACGGCTGGCCCAGGAGCTGCTCACGGGTGACTGGGCTGGGCTGGCCTGCGGGCCCGAAGGAGACTCAGAGGCCAGGGTTTGGGGAACAGGTGGCCTGTGAAGACCTTTCCCGGCCCCCAGCCCTGTGGGCGCTGGGGAAGGTGTCCCCCTGTCCCCGCCTTGAAGCTTCCCTCCATCCCCACAGTGTCCCTGTCCCGGGAGGGACTTCACGCCCTTTCAGGTGGGGCTCACGAGGCTGAGGGGGGTGCCCAGCATTCATGTTTGTGGTCCCCTGTGACTGCTGGCAGAGGATGATCCCGCCCGGTCTGGCCACCCCCAGAGCTGGTGCCTGCCTCTGCGACCGCTGCCTGCCCCCAGAGCTTGGCAAGGAAGGAGCAACTGCCTTTCTGGTGACCGACTCGCTTCTGGTGGCCGGCCTCCCGTGCAGCTGCCCCTGCACCCGCCCACTGTGCCGGCCGCCCGCACCTCGCTTGCTGATATTCTCTCTCTCTCTCTTTCTGTCTGTGCCTCTTTCTGTGTGTTCTGTAGAGGACGTAGCAAATTTAACAGCCAGTGATGTCATGAATCGGGTAAACCTGGGATATTTGCAAGGTAATTCTGCCCTGGCGGGTGCCGACCACCGCACAACGGGGCTCGCCAACCCTTCACCGCCGGCAGCCTTGCTGCGCCATCCCGGCCAGGCAGGTGGACAGGAGCTGTGAGAGCACGTCCCAGGTGTCAGCCCAGGCGGCCCTGTTGGGCAAGGCCTCGCATGCCGACAGAGTGTCCCCTGGCTGGGCGTTGAGGACGGGCCTGAGGCTGAGGTCTGGGGCTTGTGCTAGTCAAGGTGCTGTTGGCCGCCAGGCAGAGTGGCGACTGCCCAGCTCTCGGGCTCACCCTGGTGCTGCTTCTCCTGCTTTGCTGTTTACGATGAGCTCTGATGTGACCGGTGGGCCACCCTGGCCTACAGCCAGCCCTTCCCTGTGGCCGGCCCCACAAGCAGTCTGAGGACCCTAAGCTCCTCTGCTCTCAGGAAGCACCCAGAGGGTCCCGAGCCAGGGCCCCGGGAGGAGCTCGGTGAAGCCTGGGCTGGATGCAGGGGTGGGGACTCCAAGCCACGAGGAGTAGGCAGGCTTTATGGCTGCCCAGGCCAGGTGGATGGTGACCTTCGTCCCCCAGCTGGGGCTCCACGAGGGGATTCTTCCTGCTCGGCTCGAGCAGAGCCGCTCCACACCCCGTTTCCTCCAAGAACATGCTGTGCCCCGTCAGTGCTCAGCAGAGTCCGGGCCAGGGTGCTCCCAGGGGTCCTGGCAGCCTCAGGGGAGCTCAGAGCCTGCCCCCGCTGCCACACCTCCCTACAGGGTAACCCAGGAGCTTGAAGGGCCTCCTGAGCCAGGACGGGTGTTAGCTCGGGAGGGACCTGTTTGCCACAATGCCCTTGCACCCGGAGGCAGGGCCAGGCCTGGGGCAGCCACAGAAGTAAAGCGTCGGCCTCTCCCGGCTCTGTGCTTTTCCCCACGATGGCGCTCATGGAAGACCCTCGCTCTGCCGGGCACTGTGGTGCTCGGACCTGCAGCTAGCGGCCTTCATGAGTGGGATGCCTGCGTCGCCCGCTCCCCTCACCCGCCAAAGCTTCCTGCGGCTCCCACTGCAGCTCCAGGGCAGGCATGGCCACAGCGGGCTTGGGGGGCGAGGGCTCACAGGACTCCCGCGGCAGGCATTTCCTGGGCTCGGCCTACATGCCCGGGAGGGTGACGGTGCCGGGGTTCTGGGGCTGGGGAGCTGCACCCCCATGTTTAGATTCAAGCGGAGCCTAGGCCAAGAGGCAGAACAGGAAGAGTCACACCCTTTGCGGGGAGGGCGGGCAGCATCCTGGGGCCCCTCCAGCGTGCAGCCCCCATCCCACACACACAGCGGGAGGAGGCACCCCAGCCCCGATACTCACACAAATCCCCTCTTCACGCCTTCCTCACAGCTGCCGTGGGGGGAGGCACTAGTTATCCCCAGTTTATAGAGAAGGAAACTGAGGCTCGGGTGGCGGTAGCTCTGGCCTGGCGTGGGGGATTCAGGCGGGAGTGACCGTGGATGCCAAGAGCCAGGAGGTCTGGAAGCCTCTGGGGCCTGCAGGGTTAGGAAGCGGGTTGGGGGGCGAGCAGAGCTACCACTGAGGCCTGGAGTAAAGGTCGGAGGGTCTGGGTGGAGGAGTCAGGTAGCCCTGGGGACCAGGGGCGAGGTGGCCCTGCCCCAGGACATGCACCAGAAGAGCCAAAGCCAGCCCCTGCCCCACCCCAGGCCCTCAGGCACACCTGCTGCCAGCCTTCACCAAGCACCGTGGACACGCGAAGCTAGTCCTCTGCGACCATCCTGGGCAGCCAGGACCAGTGCCATGTGACTGACCACAACCCAGGCCCTGGCACTGCAGCTGGGGCCTGGCATCCCCACCCGCCCCCTAGCCCAGCCCCAAGAAACACAAAGCCCAGCCTGGCTCAGCCCAGTGAGCTCTGCTTACTTCAGAAGCGTGTGGTCCGGGCACCCCAGCGGGAGAAGCTGGGGCCTGGGGGCCAGTCTGTGCCTGCCGGAGTGAAATGAGCTGGTGGCCCCTTGTTCTCGGTGTCCCACTGGGTGCTCGTCACAAAGCCAGTCAGGCAGGGGGGCAGGGTCCCAAGAACCTACTAGAGCTGCCCTCACCACCCACTCCCTGTGCCACCTGCCATGCGGCCACCCCAGAAGCGTGTGTGGGCACGAGGGTGGGGAGGGTGTGTCTCCCTGCACAGCCTCAGCATGAGGCCCCTGGGCCTCCTCCAAAGGCCTGGGGAAGACCCCACCATGGGTTTTGGGAAAAGAGCAAAACAGCTGTGAGGGGCAGGTGTCAGGCCGTCCCATCCCGCAGGTGTGGACACAGGAGCTGGCACCAAATGACCTGCCGCCGTGTGCGAAAGGCCTGAAGCAGAGCTGGTCTCCTGGCCGGAGCTGCCCTGGTCGCCCCCAAGTCCTAGCCTGTGCCCCCGCCACCCTGGCAGCAGCTGTGCTCACACTGTGGGAACTCCAAAGCCCCCACTGCAGAGGGACCAGCATGGCCCCCACCTGGCTGGCCAGCAGCCTCCCCGACTTTTCCCTTCTCAGGGACCAGGGCAGGGCTACCCCAAGGGGAGAGGACGGGCAGAGAGGAGGGAATGGCAGCAGCCAGGGTGGAGGCTCCCTGGGGTCCCCCGTCCTGGGTCACCTTTGTTCTCTGTCCTTGGAGTCCTGGAACAGGAATCCAGGAGCTTCCCGTAGACACCATCAGATGGATAAACTGAGGCCACAGACCCTTTCCAGCCAGTGAACCCAGGGCCACTGCTGGGATGGTGGCCTCTCCCTCCCTGTGCTTGGCAGGGCTACCCTGCCGGCCCCATGGAGACTGTGAGATGATGGGGGGGCTGTCTCTCCAGGACCGTTCTCACCCTGTGGGACACATGCCCACGCCCACCCCATGAGCCGGACGCCAGGCTGTCTCCCATGAGGGGCAGAGGCCATGTTCTCGGAGGGATGAGCTGCGGGGTGGGGGTGCTCTGGGCTGATGCCACTCAGGACTTCAGTCTGAAGCAAAGGGCTGAGCACAGCGAGTGGGAATGGCCTGTCCAGGCCCGGGGACAGCGGCAGCTGCAGGGCCCTGAGGGAGGGACAGGGCTGAGCAGCCTCTGGAGGCGGGGGTGGGGGTGTGTGGATGTGGAGGACGGCATGCAGGTGTGTATATGAGTGAGTGTGCAGGGGTCTGTGGATACCATAGGCATGGGTTGCTATGAAGATCTGTGCAGACACACAAATGTGTGTGGAATACAGAGGTGAATCTGCAGGTGTGTGCAGGTGTAGATGAAGGCATGCATGCATGTGAGGTGAACAGACACGTCCCGGTGTCTGCAGGCTGACGTACGTGGCAGGTGTGCGCTGGTGTGTGCAGGTGTGCTCAGTGCCTCTGCTCAGGGCCACCCCTTTGCTGCGATGCCACCTAGCACCAGAGGTGGGTGCGGGTCAGAGCTGGCTCCCAGCTGCCCTCCTGGCTGTCCCCTGCCCTGTGTGGAGATGGGACAGGTGTCGGTCAGGGATGGGCCCTGGCTGGGCTCACCAGGATGAGGTGCTGGAGCAGAATGGTCAGGAAGGCCGGAAAGACTCAGCTCATCCTGGAGCCCCCACACCTCTGGGCCCCTGCAGAGCTGGGAGGGGCAGGGCTGGGGGGGTGACGTCTGCCCGGCTGTGTCCTTTGCAGACGAGATGAACGACCACCAGAACACCCTCTCCTACGTCCTCATCAACCCTCCGCCCGACACGAGGCTGGAGCCCAGTGACATTGTGTGAGTAGCACCTGTGGGCTGTGTGGAGACCCCCCCTGAGCACCAGGTGGGCACTGGGGAGATGAGGCCACAGGCACCACAGTGGGGCCGCTCAGCAGAGGGCTGAGCAGGGGCTGCCCGGCCCACATCCACTCCAGGGTCCTCTGTGCCCTCCCGCAGCTATCTCATCCGCTCCGACCCCCTGGCTCACGTGGCCAGCAGCTCCCAGAGCCGGAAGAGCAGCTGCAGCCACAAGCTGTCGTCCTGCAACCCCGAGACTCGCGACGAGACACAGCTCTGAGCCAGCCCTGCACGGAGCTCAGGCCACCAAGCCCGGGGTCCTCAGGAAGGACGTGGAGGAGCGTGTGAGGACACGGTGGCACTAGCGTGACCCTGGGGATGGCACACTCTACTCACCATGGCTCCTGGGACTCCACCCTGGAAAGGAGCCCCTCATGCGGGGGGAGGGCCAGCTCACCCCTGGGCACCTGCAGGCTAGTGAGGAGAGTTTTTTAACCTATTTTTACACGTCGATGCAGTCCACTTCTCTTTACACAGATGTACCGCAACTCGTGACCAGGGCTGGCTGGGAGGGCAACGCAGGGACTGGACGCCCTACAGGGCCGAGCCCAGGCTGTGCTGGAGGGTGGGGCTGGGGTGCATGGGGAGGGGAGCAGAACCCAGAACCCAGGAGCCCCGCGTGGGCCACACCCAACTCAGAGCCGGCCTGAGCGTTCACGGCCAGGCAGCCTCGCTTCCTTGCAGCCAAGGGCTGGGGGCCAGGGCTGCTGTTCTGCACTCTGGGGTGGGTGAGGGGGACCCTGGGCTGTTTGCTGTCCCAAGCCCCTTCTGGAAGTTAGAAGCAGCAAAGGGCCCGGGGAAGCCGGGCATGTGAGAGGGGTGCGTCCCCAGGTCCCCCAGAGGGCCCTGTCGCCGAGGACCTTTCTGAAGGAAGCAGAAGACGCCATTTCCTCTACTTCACACTGAACTGTCCCAGCCACTGCATCTAGGGGGCATTGGGCGGAAGATGGTGCATTTCCATGGACCATTTTACACTTACCTTTTAAAGCAAAGCCTCATTTTCTAAACCCCTGACTTGTGAAGCACAATTCAGCCTCCGGGCTGGGCCACGTGGAGAGAGAGGATCTTCTCAGCAAGGCGAGATCCCGGGCGGCGGCTGACATCAGGAGCGCCACCCTGCGTCCTTTGCTGCTGGTTCCTTACTGGTTTGTACGGTCAGCGCTGGAAACTTCTATTAAATGGATGCATTCTGGAGGCATGAAGTTACAAGTCAAGTCGCCCTGCTCGTGTTTCCAAGGCTCTCACCCCTCCCAGCCACCCCACTTTAAGGGTTACAAACACCTGCTGGGGTCCCCACCCCAACCCCATAGGCAAGCCCCCATTCCCCAGCCAGGCCAGGACAGTCCTTCCAAAACTCGGGAACCAAATTGTATTTGGCTACTGGTGACTGGATCCTGGTAGCCAGGAAACCTGCCTGGTGGTGGGGGTCCCAGAGTCCAGGAGGGCTGTCTGGTGAGCTGCCCATCAGCCTCACCCCTGCAGCCAGGCATGTCCCTGGGGTGGGCACAGAGACCCCAGGCTCTGCCCGCAGTGGCACAGAACTCATCTGAGGCCAGTGGCTGCTGGGGATCCCCTACACTGGGGGTCAGGGCTGCCCCAGGTGGGGATGTGTGTGCACCTCACCACGTTCACTTCAGGGTACCCCAAGAGGCTGAAGGGGAAGGACCAAAAGGCCGAGGTGCAGCCCCTCCCCGGTGTCAGGGCAGACAACACAGCAGCTGCTGGAGGGGCCGGCCCTGGCCACACAGACTAGCTAGTCCCTTACTCCCGGCCTGTCTGGAACCCTCCTGCTCAGAAGGTGCCCACTAGCCCTCTGTGGGGGACAGAGCCAGACATGGGTGGTCAGGGAGAGGCTGTGTGGATTCAGGGGACCAGAAAGTAAGTCCCAGGACCTTGATGGAGCGGCAGGGATTGATGTTGGGCTAGGGTGGCCAGAGCCTGTCCCAGCAGGGCTGGGGTCTATCACGTTCCTGGGATCCAAGCAGCGAGCACGCCCTGCCCCGCAGTCACCCCGCCCCGCAGTCGCCCTGCAGCTGGAAGGCCCAAGTCTGCCTCACCTGGGTGGCCTCTCATGTCCCCCACACCCTGGCCCCCAGGCGAGGGGGGCTGCACAGCACCTGCAGGGAGGAGAAGGGAGAGAAAAGCCGGTCTGGCTGCTGGGATGGGAGGGCCACAGTTCCAGCAGTGGCAGGGGAAGCTGTAGCCCCTGGAGCCCCACACTGGAAGAGCTGGCCTGCAGGAGGCACCATGGGGGAGTCGCATGACTTATTCGGGATTGACTTGCGATGTGGATGGTGTTCCCGGAGTCCCCTGTGGCCACTCCACCACCATGAGGCCGGGAGGCATCTTAGCCTTTGAGCCTCTCTCCAGGGGTGAGCGGAGCCCCCCAAAGAGGGCTGAAGGCTTGCTGCCCAAGAGGGGCTGGGTGAGCACTTGGGGCCTCTGAGAACATCAGTGGTCCGTTCCCTCCTGCACACTGGTGGCAAGTGGCAGCATTTTTTCATAATCTCCAGTAATGAGGCCACTTCGGGTCCAGCCCTGGACATCCGAGGAGGAGGCGGGCAGTCCCTGCCCCTTCACTAACCGCAGAGGATGCCAGCTCTAGGCCCCCTGCTCCGCCTGGAGCTCATGCGGGCAGCCGTGGACACAGGTGGCACCCAGCGCCCAGCGGCCTGTGAATCCTCCCGTGGGCAAAGCTGGGAGCCAGGGGCTGGAACCAGGCAGGTCAGTGACTGTGAGATGCCAGCTGCCAGCCCAAGAAAAGCTGCCTGCAGCATCTGGAAACTTCTGTGCTCTCCTTGGCCTCTGTGTTCTTCATCTCCAGGTTTAGGGAGCACCCGGGTGCCTCTCTGCTTGTCCCGAGCCCACTCACCAACAGCCCCAGCTTGCACAGTCATGACATCAGGAAGGTGGGTCCCTGCTCCCAGCCGTCCTCGTCCACCATCACTTCTCCCAGCCTCGTGTCCTGCTGACCCATAAAAGGTCCCCCTGCAAAGTACACCAAGTGAAGTAGGATCTGAGCAAAGGTTGAGGGACTGAATTCCCTAAGAAGTCATCACTGCCTAGAATAAGCGAAAAGAATTTTTTTTAATGTTTTACGGTAGAATTATTTGAAACATACAAAATGAGTGAGACACCTGCTATTTTCCTTATTCCTGTTTTTTGTTTGTTTTTATTTTCCTTATACCTAATTCATCTAACAGAAAACTGGGCAGGGCGCAGTGTCTCACACCTGTAATCCCAGCACTTTGGGAGGCCAAGGCAGGTGGACTGCTTGAGCCCAGGAGTTGAGTTTAAGATCAGCGTGGGCAACATGATGAACCCTGACTGTATCAAAAAGTACAAAAAAAAAAATAGCTAGACGTGGTGGCATGTGCATACAGTCCCAGGTACCCAAGAGGCTGAGGAAGGAGGATCACCTGAGCTGGGGAGGTTGAGGCTGCCGTGAGCTGAGATGGCACCACTGCACTCCAGCCTGGGTGGCAGAGAGAGACCCTGTCTCAAACAAAACAAACAAACAAAAAAGAAAAAGAAAATAAAACTGTTTGCTCAAAATCAGAATACCAACAGTGTATTGGGTGATTATCGCTTATGTGTGAGTGAAATGTAAGAGCAACGTTAAAAGGGACAGGTGGGAGGAAGCGGGGGCCATCAGTTACAAGTTACCATGTGACCTGAGAAGCAGTACAGTGTAACTTACAGGTGGATCTGGATGAGCTGCAAACTCTAGGGCAACCACTAAAATATATATATACTTATTTTTCTTTTTATTATTTTTTTCTATATATGGAAGTATAATTGATACGCTACAAAAGACAAGACTATGGAATCATATAAAATGCTTAACTGAAACCAGAGAAAGCAGAAAAGAAAGGCAGATAGAAACTAAGACCAAGGGCAACAAATAGAAAACAGTTACAAATATGGTAGATGATAATCCCACGAACCCAGTCATCACATTCAATGTACATGAATTAGTCTAAATACACCAATTAAAATACAGAGACTGGCCGGGCGCGGTGGCTCACACCTCTAATCCCAGCACTCTGGGAGGCCGAGGCGGGCGGATGACCTGAGGTCAGGAGTTTGAGAACAGCCTGGCCAACATGTGAAACCCCAACTCTACTAAAATTACAGAAACTAGCCAGGCGTGGTGTTGTGTGTGTGTGCCTGTAATCCCAGCTACTCCGGAGGCTGAGGCACGAGAATCACTTGAACCCAGGAGGAGGAGGCTGCAGTGAGCCAAGATCGTGCCACTGCACTCCAGCCTGGATGACAGAGCAAGACTTCATCTCCAAAAAAAAAAAAAAAAAAAAAAAGATGGAGACCGATAGTGGATTTGTTAAGTCCCCAAGTTATGGAGAGTCACATGACCAGCACGTCAGCCCCAGCTTCAGCAGTCCTCAGCCCTGTCTGTCCTTCTCCACCTCCCACACACACCTCAAGCCTGGATGTGTGTCCAGGCTGGAGGGTTTTAAAGTGACCCCTAGATGGCACATGGTTTTACAGCCGGCAGTGTGGCCAGCCAGTTCCCCGCAGCTCCAGCTCCTGAAGAGCCCCTGGGTACAGGAAGGTGTCCCGCTCAGCAAGCAGATGCTCGCCGCTGGAGAGGTCCAACCTGGTCAGGTGCTCAGGCTGCAAAGGGCACCCACGGCAGGTGGCACAGCTGGTTGGAAGCCAGGAAGAGCTCCTCCAGGCAGGCACCTGCTTGAAGGTGCCAGGTGACAGGTGAGCGATGCAGTTGCCTGAGGGTGCATGTACCTCAGTGGGGAAACTGAGGCACGGCCCCTTCATGGCCATGCCGCCTGCCAGGTGTCCAGGCATTGGCTACCATGATCAGCCCCTGCAGTGCCCCTGGGTCCCAGAAAGCTGCCGTCTCTGCCCCACAGCTGCCTGGATGGTTGTGTGTGCGGGCCAGGCTCCAGAGGCCCCACCTTGCATGCATGGAAGGCACAGAGGACCTGTGAGGGGCACTGAGGCACGGCCGCTGCAGGGCAAGGGCTTCTCCTTGAGCAGAAGAGTCAGGCAGGACTGAGGACAGAGGATGCTCAGAGAGCAGCCGGCCCAGCCCCTGCACCTGCCCGGAGCCTCGCTGCTCCACTTGCCCTGGCATTCCCGAAAGCAGGCTGCAGGGGAGCCACAGGGCACCCGGGGCAGAGTCTCACGGAGCCCCCAACTCACACATTCGATCTACTGCTGCGACTCCCAGCCCGCCCCAGAGGACAGCAGCCAGGAGCCCTCCTGACCTCCGAGGAGCCCAGATCTCCAGGGGACTGACAGTGGCTTGACCTCCTGTCTGCTGAGCACCGCCGAGCCTCAGCGCCAACCCCGGAGCTCTGCGCTCTCCCAGGATGCCAGCTCCCATCCAGCTGTTCCTGGGCCCCTGCCCTCACTCAGCCCGCCCTCTGGCACCACCTCCACACGTGAGCTCACTCTCTTTCTCTGTTCCCCTCTGAGCAGCTGAGCTTCTCCAGCCTTCCCCCATGCCGTCCTCTTCCTCACCCCACCCCCAGTGCCCCCCAAAACACACCCTGAGTCAGGCTGGCTCCTGGCCACTGAACATGAAGGGTGCTGCTGGTTCTCACCTCACTTGACCTCCACTGGACACTCACCCCACCCGCCCTCCGAAGAGTCTGTCTTGGCCCTCCTGATGGTCCTCACGCAGCCCCAGACTACTGAGGTTTGCCGGTGCTGACCCGTCTACCAGCTCCCCCAGAAGTCCATCCACACTCAAGTCCGGGAACTCGTCAGCCCACTCCACATTCCAAGTGGCTGTCCTGGGGGTACCTCAGACTCCACGTGTCCAAGCCGATCCATCTGTCACACCCTCAAGACCCCATGTCCTCCCTCAGTGTCCCCCACCCACACCCTGAGGCCACCCGCCGTCTCTCACACGGGCACTAGGGGGCGCCTCTGCCCTCTTTCCTCTGCTTCCCAAGCAGCCTCCGCCCTCTCCAGCATCACCAGGAAACGCTCCCTTTCCTGTGCCTTGGGCCCTTTGCCTGTTCTCTGTAACCAGAGCTGACCTTCAAATCCACCCTATCACTGTCTAAAATCCTGGGGTGCAGCGTGACGAAGCAGCCCTAAATTCTGAGCGTGACGAAGCAGCCCTAAATTCTGAGAGCGGCTGTGAGTTCATGCTGGGGTGGGCCTTGGGGGCTTGGCCACAGCGCCTGGCACCCAGGATGCTCATGAAAGGCACTGATGGCTGTTTGGGACCAGGCATTCTTCCAGGCATGTGTCAAACACGGCCACCCCTGGAAGGCCCTGGGAACAGCCTGACCCTGGCCGTGCTCCCGGCCCTGAGTTCTTTGCTGCAGCAAACCAGCCCTGTAGAGCAGTGCATGTGGCAGGCAGGACAGGTCTGGAGGAAGCAGCCCACGGTGGCAGCTCCACACACCAAAACACCAGCTCCGCGCTGCAGTCTCCGGTACGCACCTGCCCAGGCACCATGCATTGTTCCCACCTCTCACCACCCTCCACCCGCCCTGCTCGGGCCCTGCAGGGTGGTGGACAAGGCTGCCTGGTCTCAACCTCTTCTGAGGCTGTGCCTCCTCCTCCCTGAGGACACCCTCCTGCCTCCTCCTGTCCCCTGGGGGCCCGCACGCTCCAGTGTCTCGCCTCCAATGTTCCATCCTTAAGTCGTGAGCCGCACCTCCTCTCTCCACCACTCCCCCATGGCACTGCGGCCTCGGTCACATCTCTCTACTGCCCATGAACTTCAACACCCCCCAGATGCCATGAATTAATGCAAGCCACCCCTGGCTGGGACCCTTGCCTCCTTGTCTCCAGCCCTGCACCGCACCCAACAGCACACCCAGCCCTATTCCAGAACGAATGAGTGAATGAATGAGCAGATGGATAAATGAATGAACAGATGAGCGAGTGGAGGAGTACGTGAGTGCATGGTCATTCTACTCAAAATACAAAGTCCCAAAGGCCAGATGGCAGCTTGTGGCCAGGGTCCTTCACAGTGTGGCCTCCATTTTTCCTTAAAGTCTGGTCCCCCATCCCCCACCACCACCTCCCAGCCCAAGAAGGCCACCACTCTAATAAGAGAGCAGTGAGCAGCAGGCGCTGGCCGTGATTCCTGAACCACCTGCCCGTGGCCACCTCCCTCGGATGGCAGCTGACATGGTCTCGCTCAGCCCATCATGTTGCCACTTAGCCACCACACTGGCCCAGACTTCCAGTGATGGTGCTGGCACTCGGGGAACAAGAGCAGTAGGACTCACTGGTCACTTGGCCCAGAAGGCCCACCCACTGCCCTGATCATCAGCTCTGAGACCTCCCATTCCTGCATCCTTCCACAACCATCACCTGCCCAGACCAGCTCCAGGCTCAAGAGCCTGAGCTCCTCAGCATCGCACATTTCTTGGCTTCTGCAAAGACTTCTTCATCACCTCCCAGCCAACCCTGGTCAATTCTTTGGGTCTGGAAAAGGTCCTGCCCAGTCCACCTGCCTGACCTTCCTCCACCAGCCTGCAAAGCTCGGACACACAGAGCTGTGTGCTCAGCGCCGCGCATCCACCCCACGGCACCTTACTCCACGGGTGCTTCCGGGTACACACTTAGGGACAGTGCGGCCTCACCACACAGGAGAAACACAGACTTACCATGTGCCACAGATCCAGGGACGTGACGCCCAAAGTCCTGGGTAAGTGAAGCAGGAGCACTGGCCTTTGCGACTCCTTCCATCTCTAGAAATCTCGTTATAAAATTATTAAGATGAGTGAGAGTCACCGGCAACGTTTATTATTTTGCTTCATGACTAACATATGCGACTCTATTCCTTGGATGGCTTTCAAATATTTTACTTTTTATGTTTTTGAGACAGGGTCTAGCTCTGCTGCCCAGACTGTAGTGCAGTGGTGGATTCACGGCTCACGACAGCCCCAACCTGCTGGGCTTGAATGATCCTCCTACCTCAGCCTCCCGAGTAGCTGGGACTACAAGTTAAGCATCACCAAGCCCGGCTAATTTTTGTATTTTTGGTAGAGATGGGGTTTTGCCATGTTGCCCAGACTGGTCTCCAATTCCTGGACTCAAGCAATCCTCCCACCTCAGTCTCTCAAAGTGCTGGGATTACAGGTTGAATATTTTATAATAAAAAATAGAAATCCTGAGAGGTCCACCTACCTTTGGCAATGTCAGCTCTTCAAGCAGTGGACGCACTGCCCACGTGTGACCTCAACAGTGCCCCCCAAACCCACAGGTGGACATCCTATCCCTGGCGACCTCTGTCATGGGCTGAACGGTGTCCCCCAAACCCACAGGTGGACGTCCTATCCCTGGCGACCTCTGTCATGGGCTGAACGGTGTCCCCCAAACCCACAGGTGGACATCCTATCCCTGGTGACCTCTGTTATGGGCTGAACGGTGTCCCCCAAACCCACAGGTGGATGTCCATTCCCTGAGGACGTCAGAATGTGATTGTCTTTGGAGACAGGGCCTTTAAAGAGGTAATTAAGTTAAAAAGAGGTCACCGGGATGGGCCCTAATCCAATCTGACTGGTGTCCTTACAAGAAAAGGAAATTAGGCCAGGTATGGTGGCTCACGCCTGTATATCCCAGCACTTTCGGAGGCCGAGGCGGGCAGATCACAAGATCAGGAGATGGAGACCATCCTGGCTAACACAGTGAAACCCCGTCTCTACTAAAAATACAAAATATTAGCCGGGCGTGGTGGCAGGCGCCTGTAGTCCCAGCTCCTCGGGAGGCTGAGGCAGGAGAATGGTGTGAACCCAGGAGGCGGAGCTTGAAGTGAGCCGAGATCACGCCACTGCACTCCAACCTGGGCGAAAGAGCGAGACTCCCTCTCAAAAAAAAAAAAAAGTAGTATTAGACCTCTACAAGAAAAATTATCAAATGTTTTGCAAGCTTTAAGAGTTAAATAATGAAGCCACACCAAGTTCATGGATCAATACTATAAAGATGTCAAATCTCTCTGACCTCAAGACAATCCCAAACCAAATCTCAATTACTGGGGGTTGGGGAGGGGAGGGGAGGGGAGGGGAGGGGAGGGGAGGGGAGGCTGGGTAGAACCTAACATGCAAAGGGCCAAAAATATCCAAAACGCTCTTAGCGGAAGCAGCTGGTTTACCAGAGAGCGAGTCTCATTATCAAGCGACAGGAATCAGGATCCTGCCTGTGTATTGCACAAATAGACAACTAGACTGGATTCGCTTCCTGTTGCTGCTGTAACAAACTTAGTGACTTCAACCACCACAAACTTATTAACAGCTCCATAGACCAGAAGTCGGACAAACACCTGAGTTGAGATCAAGGTCATCAGCAGAGCTCCCAGCTTTCTGGAGACTCTCCAGAGAATCTAGAAGCCTTTCCAGCTTCTAGAGGGCATCTGCATTCCTTGGCTCACGGCCCCTCCCTCCATCTGCAAAACCAGCAGTCTGCAGCTCTGTGCTCTCTTCCGTCGGCCCGGTCTTGCTCTGTCCTCTGCACCCATCCCACACTTGAGACACCCTTGTGATGACATGGGGCTCCCCTAACAGTCTATGCTGATCTCCCATCTCAAGATCATCTGATTCGCAACCCGAATTCCATCTTCAACCTTGATTCCCCTTCACTGTGTTAACAAAACACCCAGAGATCAGAATATGGACATCTCTGAGGGTGTAGGGTGGGCACTGCTCTGCTCACCAGAGACCAACGGACTGGAAGTACTGAAACAAAACCACAGCAAAGCTGGCACTGCCAAACAGCAGAGGAAGTATGGCGTGTCCAAGAAGTGGCTCTGGGACCATTAGAGATTCTCATAGAAAAAAAAATGATACGGACTTCCACCTCATTCACAAGCCGTAAGAGCCAAGTCCAGGTGCGTTATAGGCTGAAATACAAACGTCAAAGGTTTACAAGGTAGTTTCCATGGCAGGGCAAGAGTTTTTTATTTTTTTGTTGGTTTTTTGTTTTGTTTTGAGATGGAGTCTTAATCTGTCACCGAGGATGGAGTGCAGTGGCACTGTGTCAGCTCACTGCAACCTCCGTCTCCTGGGTTCAAGCAATTCTCCTGCCTCAGCCTCCTGAGTAGCTGGGATTACAGGCGCCCACCACCACGCCCAGCTAGTTTTTATATTTTTAGTAGAGATGGGGGTTTCACCATGTTAGCCAGGCTGGTCTCAAACTCCTGACCTCAGGTGATCCACCCGCCTCGGCCTCCCAAAGTGCTGGGATTACAGGCGTGAGCCACCACGCCCGGCTTAGATTTCTGAAACGCTAATAACATTGACAATCTGGCCACAAAATCTTAAAAACTTCTGTGTATCCACAAACAAAAAAAATTGAAAAGTCACAGAATGGAAGATATTTATACCTTCTGTATATTGTCTTTCAAAAATGTATCTTCTATAAATTAGGAAAAGATGACTCAGGAGAAAAACAGGCAAAAAGCTTCTACAGACACTTCACAGGAGGAAACTCCGTGACCAAAAAAAGATGTAAATAGGCTCCACTTCTGTTGCCATCAAGAAACTGCCAATCGGCTGGGCGCGGTGGCTCACACCTGTAATCCCAGCACTTTGGGAGGCCGAGGTGGGTGGATCACGAGGTCAGGAGTTCAAGACCAGCCAGGCCAACATAGTGAAATGCTGTCTCTACTAAAAATACAAAAATTAGCCGGGCATGGTGGCGTGCACCTGTAATCCCAGCAACTCAGGAGGCTGAGGCAGGAGAAGCACTTGAACCCGGGAGGTGGAGGTTGCAGTGAGCCGAGATCGTGCCACTGCACTCCAGCCTGGGTGACAGAGTGAGACTGTCTTAAAAAAAAAAATGCCAATCGAAGGCACTGGGCAGCGTGTGGTGTGTCTCAAATGCCAACGCCACACAGAGGAGCCCCAGCTTGGCACGTCTGCTGCTCACAAAAGGAGAGGCGCCCTGTCCTCTTGATCACTCAAAGAAGTTCTATGAATCAACAGGAAAAAAGCCCACCCAATTAACACAACCTCATTAAAAGTGGGCCAGGGAAGTGAACGGAAATCTCCCAGAAGCAGCAGCGTGTTAGGCCCATCCCCATTTGAAAACACAAGTCAACCTCCCTAGTGCCCGGGAAAGGAACAGAGAAAGCAGTGACAACCCACATCACACCCACCAGTCCAGGAAAAGTCCAATCCTGGGGCCCTGAGAATCCCACACGGGCCCAGCACATCCCAGCCCCCGGCCCGTGCTCCCAGGACACAGGCCTGGGGCTGGAGACAGGCTTAGCAGCGCAGTGGCGGTGCCGGGAGGGGCCTGGGACAGGGCAAGCTCTGGGCAGATACTCCCCCACCTGCTGAGACCCGAGCACGTCCAGGCTTGCTCCATAAGCCATGCGGGGAGGACCCCGAGTCATCCTCAGGCCGTCGACTCCACCCCAGCTGGGCAGACAGCTCCTCTCCTCCTGCCACTTTCTCAAATAGCCGCCCCACCCCCGTGAGCTCCACTGAGGCCCAGACATACACCCCCATCAGTGCCGTACACACTTCAACATCTTTGAAAGCAGACCATCTTAACATCAACAGCGTGGCATAGTTTGATGGGCAGCATTTCTTGGTGGCACAAAATGATGATGTATCTTAAAATGAAGGACACCTTAGATTCCGTGAAATACCAAGTTGTCAGTGGATGCTGCTATCCTCATCTGCCTGTGCACTGGCCGGCCTGTAAGCTCCAGGCGGGCAGGGCTGGTAAGCACTGGCGCAAGGTGCACCTGCTTACGCGGTGACTCCGGTGTGGGGTGCAGGGTGTGGAGGTGGGCGTAGTGTCCGGAGATACCAACAGCCATGTGCTGTGGGGAAGGGGCAGGGCAGGGTGGGCAGTTTTCTGTTCTGTTCTCTCCTGTGCATTTCTGAACTCTTTGCACAGCTGATACTTTCAAGGAAAGCATATATATATAGCAAGGGCTGTGTATGCAATCAATTCACTTCCAGTGCAGGGCAAGGAAATTAACTCCAAAGGAGAGACTGCAGCCCAGAGCTTCCTGCAGGGCACCCACCTGGATATGTTCCGGGAAGAGGGGCACCGGCCCCCACCACAGCCCCAGCCAGGCTTGTGGGAAACCCTCCTCACCCCTTGCCTCGCACTTCAGAATGAGGCCTTTCCTTTGTACCCTAATCCTCCGAGGCTGAAATGCTACTTCTGTGGGGCTTCTAAAACAAGATCTACATTACCAGTTTTTATTTGAAAGCACAGAAGACAGGCCTGCAGCTTCTCCATAAATGGAGGAAACCCCATTTGCTTCTGAATTCTCAGACAAAAAAGAAGATTCAGACCAGGCTTGGTGGCTCACACCTGTAATCCCAGCACTTTGGGAGGCCGAGGTGGGCGTATCACCTGAGGTCAGGAGTTTGAGACCTGCCTGGCCAACATGGTGAAAACCCTGTCTCTACCAAAAATGCAAAAATTAGTCAGGCGTGGTGGCGTGTGCCTGTAATCCCAGCTACTAGGGAGGCTGAGGCAGGAGAATCACTTGAACCTGGGAGGCAGAGGTTGTAGTGAGCTGAGATCGCACCACTGCACTCCAGCCTAGGCGACAGAGTGACAGTCCATCTCAAAAAGAAAAAAAAAAAGCAGATTCATCTTCAAAACAATAAACGGACCCTCCACCACCCACTTTCCAGCTGGGTCCACACCTCGCCCAAGTGCTCTGCAGGGAGGGTGTGGCCGGTGCTGTCTCTAACAGACAGAGTGTGGGGAGGTGACCCTCAGCCTAACCACCAATCGTCTGCTGTCGCCCCCCTCCCAGCACCAGGTCGAAGTCTGCACACTCACAAGACTGCTCCACCCACAACAGGCTCCCGGGGGATGAGGTGCCAAACACAAGAGTGTGTTCACAGGCGGTGTTCGTGACACGGCTGCTCTACAGGAACTGCCAGCCTGGCACGCCATGGGCTCTGCCCTGTGTACCTGCCCGCCACCCTCAGAACAGTCCTCGCGATGTGGTTACCATTGGGCTTGACCCCTGTTCCTCGCTCAACACGGCTCCCATGCCTGCCACGGGCCCCCCAGCCCTCCCAAGCCTCCTCCTGAAGAAGTTAGTGGGAGGCTGACTGGAATAGCCCTCTCCAGTGTGCCCAGCCCAGGGCTGGGACTCTTAACCACAAGGCTCAGGGTGCCACCGCCTCACCCCATGTCTGGCCTGGTGTGTGTACCAGGGCCCTCCAGAGAGCGCTCCCGAGCCACTTGCAGCCCACAGGCCCTCGCTGCGCCTGGAAGGCAGGGTTCAGGCCGGGAGCCCCATGGTCTCCACCATTCAGACACAGCCTTTGCACCAAATGACTTGAAGTTTTACAGCTTAGTTTAAAAACCCGATTTGTAGCTAAAATAGTCACACATTTTTAAGTGGTGATCTCATTTCTTTTCTTTCCCTAACAGATAGGCCCACAGTTCTTATAAGGCTAATTTTGTCTGACTACTCCGTGGCTACCATTCCTTCCTGAAAAGCGCTGCCCCTTCCCTTGAGAACATGGTGGCACTCTTACAGCAAGGAGGCTTCCAGGCACAGACGCTCCACCAAGACCCGGGCCCAGGGCAGCATCTTCACCACGCACTGACTGTCCCGTGTGCCGGCCACTGGCACTCACCCAGCACCCACAGGGAAGATGGCCTGGCCTCTGCCCACTGGCCCACCGCTGCTCTCTGACCCGCACTGCAGAGCTCAGGGTGGTCGCACCCTCCCCTTCCCCTTCCACCGCCACCGCCACCACATCACCACATCCTGTGGGCCGCAGGGGACGCTGAGGTACATAACACAGGCTTCCTCTATTGAAGGAGCAAGGGCGGTGTCGCTGACCTCACCCCAACAGGAGGCTTCACCAGCATTTACCTACACCGCCTGGTGCAGCCAACACGATCTAAGAGCCAACCACAGCCCACCAAGGAAAAGGCCCTGCTGTGCTGCCTGCGGGTGCGAATGGGTCCCCGCGTCCCCTCACCTGGCTGTGTGCCACCTGGGGGCTACACTGTCCACCTCTGGCCCTTGAAGACTGTAATGGAAGAACGACAGCAAAAGTCATCCTCAAGGAAAATAAACACCAAATGCCCAGGCAACCAGCAGGTCTGCCTCCAGGACCGAGTCTGCAGCCAGCCAGCAGCCGGGAGTCTCTTCCCCAGGAATGACAACGCTTGTGCCCCACCAAGTTGACTTCCTGGGATGAGGAAACACTACCCACGCAACCACACGGCAACCTGCAAGCTGAACAAGAGTCCGACTTGGAGAAACATACACAGAAATAATGCCAATACCGGAACAGAAACCCGCGTGCCCACCATACACCCAACACTCCGCCTTCCCAGCACCTCTAACGGGCCACAGGGACTGTCCAGCTGGCCCACTTGTACTGGTAGTTAAATGTCTACTAAAATAGGGCAAAAATATGTATCCATAAATATAATTTAGAAGCAAAATATTATGGGGGGAACTTTGGTGACAAATATTGGGAACCACTGATTTTAAAACCAGAACAAGCACTTTGTCAAAAGTTTATTGAGATGGATGCTCGGGATCTGCTTTTCTCTAAGTATGTTCTACTTTAAATTTTAAAAGAATATGGATTGCATTATAATGAAAACAAAAATTTACCACCTGGCATAAAAGGAAATAAAAAAAGGTGTCCTGGAAAAAACGGAAATTAGAGAGATTTATCAGTTCAACTAAAAAAATCACTTTTTAAAAAACCCAAGATTTTTTTTTTTTTTTTGAGACAGTCTCGCTCTGTCACCCAGGCTGGAGTGTAGTGGCGCGATCTCGGCTCACTGCAACCTCCGCCTCCCAGGTTCAAGTGATTCTCCTGCCCCAGCCTCCTGAGTAGCTGGGACCACAGGCGCGCGCCACCACGCCCGGCTAATTTTTGTATTTTTAACGGAGATGGGGTTTCATTATTTTGGCCAGGCTGGTCTCAAACTCCTGACCTGTCAGGTAATCTGCCCACCTCAGCCTCCCAAAGTGCTGGGATTAGAGACATGAGGCACCACACTCGGCCCTAAAAAACCCAAGACTTTAAATGCCCATCCCGAAGCGTCAGCACCCCACAGTGCACACTGACGCAGGCCCAGGGGCTGCACGGGGAAGACACAAAGCGAGCACCCACTGGGCTCCTCTGGGCCCAACTCCAACAGCCGGTGCCTCTGCCAGCACGCCTATCATACAGGAGTCTCCATCTAAACCACCGTGTTATTAATCATTTCAACTATAAAGAGAACTTACTTTTCATGATAGCATGAAACTAGAAGGATGTGTATCATTCTTTCCACAATGAGAGAGAAAGGACACGAGATCTCCTCCAACTGGGAGTAAGCAAGCCGGGTGCCATGTGGGCTTTTCTTGACCTTGCCCTGTGGCAGCAACATGGATCCCGCAAGCATCATCCCCGTGTGCCCCCGACAGCATGTCTCAAGCCCCGTTTGTGGCAAGCCACACTCAGAGCAGGATCCTCCTCCTCCTGAAGGCTGTCTGCACAGATGAAGCCAACATGCTATGCACATCTGAATGGCAGGCCGCACCCTCAATCACAGGCTGCCAGAGCTAAAGTACCTTAGTTTGCAGTTCGAGAGCATCATTTACCAGATGAAAAAAGAGAGCTACTGAGAAGTGGCTCCAAGGCCAAGCTGGTTAGTTGCTGACCATCATCGCGATACTAGCGTAGAACTTCATTTGTATAGGAAATGTGGTTTAACACTTTTGAACCAGAAGCAACCCAAATTTTTCACTGCAAATAAATATTCTACCCTGAAACAAATCATTCAGCAATTCATTCACAAGTTTTGTGCCTGGGCTTGACTATGTGGAGTGGAGTCTGCTCATCTATTTCTTTGCCTTATCATGCATTCCCATCATATGTTGCTTTGGTAAAGTATTGCTACGTGAGAAATAACTGGGGAAATTTAACTTGCTCTTTCTAAAGGAGAAAGAACAAAACCAGGCATCTGCAAACAGCTTGCAGGTGGAGATCACTCCTCTTCTAGATGGCGGACGGACGAGGGCACTGACTTCCACAGCTGAAATTTACTTTCCCAGTTCATAATCCTGGAAAACGGCACGAGGAGGAAGGAGAGGAACTTGCCATCTGTACGGCGAGATGCCCCCGGGAGCCCAAGTTTCTTACAAGAGCAAGTTCTGCTCTCTGAACCCTCTAACAAACCCCACAGCCTGGGCCTTCAAATGTGATAAACTGAAGCAAATGGAGACTGTGAATGACAGAATATCCTACATGGCTCTGCTGGTGACGTCCGAATCCCTTGGACTGCCCTTAAAAATACACCTCCACCTTCAAAGCCATAAAAAACTCTAGACAAACAGTAAGGCACCTACTCAAGCCCTGTAAGAAAAGGCAGGTGTGAAAGTCAGAGATGCAGTCCTGGGTGTGTCTGCTTCCCAGTAACACAGACAGACTTGACCAAAACAATGATGGAGAGATACAGCTACAGTCCTTTTCAAAAACATTCACAGAAAAGGTGAAACTCAACTCCTTTACAGATGCCCGTTCGCAATTCTCACAAGTCAAACCCCATTGCACAAAATAAATCACAATCAATTGTAAAACATTCTCCAAGTGATGAATTTTTAACAGAAAATTTTATTTCAATAAATATTTTGCCCTCCAAGTGACAACTACAATTTCAGGGAGGTAAAAGTATAACCTAGAAGTAATTTAGAATTATTCCACTTTTCAATTTTGCCTGAGTGAAGAATACAGTTTGGGCCTGAAGTCTGCTAAGAGACTGCACCGCAGTGACACGTGCAGAAAGTCAAAAGGACACATGGAAAGCAGTCCATCTTTGGTGCACGCACACAGCCATGTGCACGCACACGTGTGGGTAGAACGTATCTGCACATACATGCGTAAAATAATGGGACTCACGCAAGTTTCATTTCTCTTTCAACCCTTCTGGGCTCCCAGAATTCTAGCATTACCAAGGATTTACACATAAACTTCATCATACATTGAATCATTTGGTTTACACTTTCTTTACAAAGTTATATCCTAAATGGGTAGAGCAGCTTGTCTTAAATAACAAGGTTAGAATTCTGAGACACAACGAAAGTTGTGCAAGCTTTCCGCTGAAAGAAATTTGCAACGAGACACAAATACCACTGCAGGGGCTTTGAATATAGGAGACATTGATAAACAGAGTTATAAGTCAGTGTTATCAACTGCAAAATCATGACTTTACCACCACCCAAGCCAGAAAGGCCCAAAAGCACCACCACGAAAATTAATCCTGTGTCTGAAACTTTTCAAGACTAATTAAAAGGGTTGCTGTGTCCAAGCATGAAGAACGCAGGGACGCTTCTGTCAATCATTAGGCGAACACTGGCCTGGGGACTTGGGACATCAGGAATGTCCATGCCACATTAGTGCTTACTCGCAACGAACAGTGAAAACTACACGCTTAAGGACAAGTTTCAGGATGTTCCACACACTGACTCATTCCATGGAGAAAATCCAGAATTGATTCAGACGTCCCATGGGAATGCAATTTTCCAGCTCTATGCCAGATATTTTCTAGCTCTTCATTAAAAAGAATCCAATTCCACTGACTTCGATAGGGCCATGGTAAAGAACAATGTGAAACTCCTATAAAGCAAGGAGTTGGTGTCGCCTGGTCAGCGAAATGAGCCACAGCAACCTCACACATACGATTCAATGTAAAGCAAATTAGTTCATCACTTTATTACATCTTAGTGCTTTCTTAAAATAAATACAGTAATATCATATCAAACATACAGTGAGAAATAAAGCCCACGTGTGAAAGTATGGTAACAGAAAGCTCACTCAGGACTGTGTAACTCAGCACTTGAGAAATCATACAGCCTTTAGTTCCCTATTTACAGGACAGAGAGCGGCTGTGTCGAACACGATATATACAAAATCGCAAGAGACTGTACTTCTCTTCAAAGGACTGAGGAAAGGGGAATAAGACCTATAATTCCTTCTAGCCTTCTGTACCATGTTCCCTCCTTATGTACACGACTCACTCATGTTTTTTGTCTATCTAAAATTATGTAACAGTTAAATTTGTCTCTTTTTCTCCCAATTATTGATCTTTTGATTTTTTCTGCAGTTTGAGATAGATTCAAGTAACACTCCCAAGAAAATATGTGCAAAACTAATGTTAGTGGCTCCAGAATCTTCCGGCAGCTGGTCAGTTGCAGCAGTGTCTGGCAGCCATGGCTGGCACGCACCTGCTCCTGGGAATGTCCGCGCTCCACAGAAGCATCAACACCATTGGGACCAAGGCAGAAAGAACCCAAAGCCATCCACTTACTTGGAGTTCTGAAATAACTGCAAATAACCACTTAATTGTTTTTAAATAGGCAACAAAACAAAAGTATCCATCTACAGGGGAAACGGCACGCTCCTCTGAGAGCATGCAGCGCTTCCAGATGCAGAATCCAGACAGGACAAGCCGTGACCTAACAAAACCACTGAAGGGACTGTCAGCTTAAGTGCATCACCTTTTGGGACAAACATGCTCAGAATGAAAAATATTCTACTTTACCAAAATCTGTCTTTATTAAAGTGAACAAACCATTAGAGCACTACCCAAAACTTAATGAATGATGGCTGCAGTTGGCTCGGCTTGCCTACTTTAAATGAGGCAAACATCAGCTCCTAGTGCCATTCCCCACCCTCATGACCGCGTGCCAGAAGTCATCATCTTCACATTTGTAGACGTTGTTCTAGCGGAAGACAGGCTTTGCAGATTTCGGTGCTTTTAGTGAACTGGTGTTTTCCGTAAACTTTTTCTGAGCAGCAAGGGATAAGAATTTTTTTTCAGAAATCTTAGAATTGGATATAAATGTTGGCAGTAGACACAACCAATAAATATCATACAATTTCTCAAATGAAAAAGATTTCCCATTATGAATTCCTTTGCTATAGACATTCAAACACCCCAAGCCAAGATTGAGCCTCAGTCCCATAGTCACGAGATTACAGCTGGCCAATATGAGGGTGTCAGGCAATGTGCAAGGGGGCGAGGTGAGAAGCAAGAAAGCAAAGTGGATCACGTCTAATCTATGCTGAAGGAGAACTTCAAGTAAGGGAGCTCCGTGGCCCGGGACCTGGCTGTGAACACCCTCCGCTGGGAGCCTCAGTGGTCAGCAGTGGCCACAGCAGTGCGAGCCACTGCAAAAGCGGCATCTACTCCCCCATCCTCACCCTGCCTGGCATCCTCTGCGTGAGATGAGCGCTGAGAGAGGGGTTTTCTTCTGCTGTCTAGAAACCTCTTTGCAAAAGGTCTGTGACTTTGCACACTTCGTACCCAAATAGATGAAAACAATAAATAAGGACCCCGTGGCACCCTCTGGATGCCAGCCACAAGGGCATCATTTACGAGTCTGGGTCACCCTTTGGACGCCAGCTGCACCGGGGTCATTTACGAGTCTGGGCCTTCTTTGGCACTGCAGGCCGCTTGGGCTGCCACAGGTGGTTGTGGATTGTGAGTGCGTCCACACTGACAGACATGGTTTTGGCTGGGATCAAGTTAAACTGTTTTCGGTCTGAGCTGTATTTATACAGTTTGTCGATCATTTTCTTGGTGATGTTCTTTGGCCCCGTGCCAGTGAGTTTGTAGATTTCCTCAGTATCAGGATAGTAGCAGTAAAGCGCCCTGAACTGGCAGCCAGCATCACGAAACAGTATGATGTAGTGATTGGCATCACACTTCTCCAGCTCCTGTGCAGAGAGAGAAAAGGGGAAGAGACAAACACTTCAGGGCCACTCCAATTGCCACGAGTTGGGCTCCCACAGCGGCTCAACCAGCACCGCTCCGTGGGAAGCTCTCCCACCCGTCAGCTACGGCCTGCCTGTTGTAAACAATTACAGCAGACCCCTGTACGGGAGCATTATATGCCATTGAGACTTTACTTAAGAAGTCTAAGCAAGCAAGGGGGAAAAGAATGCTTTTACGATTAAATGGAAAAGCATATGAAAAGATGCTCATCATCAGCCACCAGAGAAATGCCAGTCAGAAAGAGACGTCGCGTCATGCCCACAAGGACGGCTGGAACCCAGAAGCAGGGCGGTAACGAGTGCTGGCGAGCCATGGGGCTCTTTCACTGCCAGAAGGATACAGAGCACAGCAGCTGCTGTGAAAAACAACTTGGCTCTTCTCCAAACCATCAGGCAGTTACCGTGGGACCCAGCAATTCCTCTCTCACATATGTACTCAAGGGAAATGAAAACACGCATCCATACAAAACACTGCATATAAATAACAGCACTATCCCTTCACAGGCAAAAAGTAGAAACGAAAATATCACATGTACCCCCAAAAGCATGCACATCTGTTCCCTATCAATAAAAAATGTTTGAAGAAGAATCAACCCAAGTGTGCATCAGCAGATGACGAGATGAACAGCATGGGGTCGGAGCATGCAATGGAGCATTACCCAGCTACAAAAAGGAATGGAGGTCCGGTACACACTACACTGAGAAACCTCAGAGCATCACGCTAAGTGAAAGAAGCCTGACCCAAAAGGCCATATAATTATGATGCCAGTTATGTAAATGCCCAGAACAGGCAAATCCATGGAGACAGACTGGCGACCGCCAAGAGCTTGGGCGCGGGAAGACTTAGGGGGGTGACTGTTCACGGGCGTGGAGTTTCTTTTTATGAGGATGAAAATGCTCTGAAATTAGGCGGTGGTGATGGTTGTGCTACTCTATTAATGTACTAAAAACCACTGAATGGTATAACTTAAAAGGGTGAATTTTACGGTATGTGAATGATATCTCATAAAGCTGTTTGGGCCGGGCGCTGTGGCTCACGCCTGTAATCCCAACACTTTGGGAAGCTGAGGTGGGCGAATCACTTGAGGTCAGGAGTTCAAGACCAGCCTGGCCAATATGGTGAAACCCCATCTCTACTAAGGATACAAAAATTAGCCAGGCGTGGTGGCACATGCCTGTAGTCCGAGCTACTCAGAGAATCGCTTGAGTCTGGAGGGGTGGAGGTTGCAGTGAGCTGAGATTGCACCACTGTACTCCAGTCTGGGCGACAGAGTGAGACTCCATCTCAAAAAAAAAAAAAAGAAGAATCTGAAGTATGACAAACTGCTGATGCCTGTCGCCGCGTTTGTTGATTGTATTTTAAAGTTTAAAACGTATCTTCAAGTGTTTTGGTAACTTTTAAAAACAAACCCTCCACACGCCTGGGAATGGGAGTGCACCTGGGTCTGCCCTCACAGTTCTCCACATGCGGCCCAGGCATCCTGAGGCCTTCCCAGGAATCTCAGGGTCAAGCCCTCGACCTCGAAAGGCTAAGGCCTCATCGCCTCTCCCAAGTGTGCGGCAGAACCTTCCCAAGGCCCTGGGCTGTGTGGTTGTAATGGACGGAGGGCCCGAGCGGCTGAGATGCCAGCCCTCTTATGTCAATGCCACTCTTCTATTTATTTGGCTTTAGAAAAGTTACTTTTCATAAATATGCAATGTATCAGCATATAATGGGGTTTATTATTTTAAATAATACGTATTTTTTAAAAGAATCCAAAACTGTCTATATAATACTGATTTCAACCCTACTCACTGTGTTTAAATATGAACAGAATTAGATGCCAAAAAGAAAGAAACATTTAATTTGTAGCGACAGCGGGACTGTGGGGAGTGGGGTTCATCTTATTTACTTATTGCTGCCTGCACGATAAGGAAGCGTGTGGTGCCCACAGCTTATGTGGCACAGCTGAGAGGGCTGCTGTCCTAGAAAGGCCTGCCTGCTGGGCGGCCCTTGGTGGGCACCTGGGAACTTGCTATCTGCAGAGCTCGCTCCCAGTCACTCACTGGCAAGACAGGAGGGCCTCCTGAGCCTGAACTGCTGGTCTGCACGCTGACGCTGGTTTCCTCCCAGGCGTCAGGCACACTGCTGCACACTGGGCAGGGAGTGTGCCTTGTGACCAGCCCCCAAGGAGAGCTCAGGGCATCCAGTCTCAAAAGGGCTTTCCATGGCCCACAGGCTGCTGTGGATCCACTGCTGGAAGAACGAGAGCAGAGGGAGCTGCACAAGGCCTAGCCCCGCCTCTGTCTTCTCCCTCTTCACCCAGTGGCTGTGGCTCCCTCCACAGTGCTGGAATAAATCTAAGCCCTGGGTCGACTCCACACTGAGGGCCACGAGTCCTTCCAGTGCATCTCCGCATGCAGGGTGATCCTGGGGGCCACTGATACAGGGGGCCAACCACCTCTCCGTGTGGAAATCTAAGCAGGAAGGGCATGACCATGGCCTCTTCTGTCCCCAGTGCCACGAGACCTGCCTAGGTCGGGGCCATTCTTAGTCTAGATGATCTTCACTATCAAGAAAAGAACACATCCGTTTTAAAGTGGGTCAGAAATTCCGTATGTCACTTTAATTTTTACAACTAAACCAACTAAGGACCAGGGGTTAGTCTTAATTATTAAAAAGCAGAATTTCTGGTGGATGACAGATTGTTGCATAATTTTCATTCACTCATTCACAAGCCGTTGTATCCCAAGGCCAGCAACTTAAGGCCACACACCAGCCTCAATCTGGGGCAGGGTCCAGTGGCTCTGCCTCCTCTCCCCTGGAATCCCAGTCCTGCCCCTCAGGGGCCAGCCTAGACCCCGTGCAGGACCCTCAGATTCCTGCTTCCAAGCCCCTCCCTGGGCATGCACACTGGGTGCTCCGGAGTCCACACGCTCAGCGGGTGCGCGCCTCTTCCCTCCCTCCCCACTCCATCTTCCCCAACCCACCACTCCGTCCTCCGTCCTCGGTCCTCCCCAACCCACCGCTCCAGCCCTGGCCCCTGTTCCTCATTCACCTCCAGGCTGCCTCCCTGGCTTCCCTGCTGACTGCTCTGATCTACTGGGAAGGGCAGGTGGGTTCCTGGCTCTCCTCTGCCCACACCTGCATCCACTATCTCACTGAGTAGAACTATGTCTTTCCTCAGCCCAGAGGCACCACATGAGGATGTAGCCTCTGAACCCTGCCCCGTCCTCCTGGGTGTTCCTCCAGCACAGGCTCACTGCAGCCCCTGGACCTTGGCACTCCTCACTCCCACCTGCCTGGAACGGCCTCTTCCTTGAAATCTGCATTCTCCCTAGTAACTCTCATGCATCAAAGATTAGGGGTGTTTTCTTTTAAAAAGAACCCTTAATTTATAAACACTTTTTATTCCACATAAAAACTGAGGTTGAAACATGATACTTGCCTCCAATATGGAATTCTTGTGGGGTTCGTTCACTTTTCCAGCCAGGCAGCAATGGGATATGGCATTGTGAATAATCGGCTTGTTTGATTTACTACTGGGCTCCTTAAAGAGCTTGGGACCTAAGAAACGAGGCCAGGGTTGGTAAAATTATTATTTTAAGGCACGAACACACACAAAAAAGAAAACCAGCAATGTCTTAGAAGCAAGCAATGGGTAGGCTGAATTACAGATATTTATGATTATTTAAAAATGGGAAGTAAAAACCACTTAAATTTATTCAAAAGAATTTTAAGTTATAAATTTTTAGACAACTAAAGACAAAGTAATCAATAATTTATCCCCTTTCTAAATTCAGTGTCTTAACTATAAAAAAAAGACAAAACCAGGTAAATAACTTGTAAAAAGTCTAAAGTTCAAAGGCCCCGGGACATACACCTCAGCCACAGCAGCACCTCCAGTTCACTGTGCCCTGAGCCCACGCCTGCTCCAAGGGCAGCTGGTGAGAGCCAAGCACTTCCACCACTCCCGGGCTCTGCTGCCCCCAGGTCCGCTGCCCCCTGCACAGCAGACAGCAGGGCAGATGACCAGGAGGGCAAGGCAGGCCTAAGAGCTTCTACTAAACCACATGCCCATTTCAGCACCAAAGAGCTCAAATTAGCTCTCTTTCACTACATCAAACATCTTTGTTAGAAAAATACTTTTTAGACCAAAATAGAGAACAGATATTGAAAGAGCCACGCAAAGGCGTATGGCCATGCCCACGATGACCTCTAAGGAGGGCGAACGCCGTCACCTGTGTACTCGGCCACTGAGGCCAGGGAAGATGCCGCCGACGCGGTCTCCCAGTCTCGGTCTGTGCTCCTGCTTGGGTTACGGCTCAGTATGGGCAGGGCTTCCATCGATTCCACTCTGCAGGCAGAAACAGACAAGAGACAGGCAGGTGAAGCGCTGGCTTCCTCTCACCACTGCTGGCAAGGGGCTGGCCCGCAACCAGGACAGGAAGCACATCAGCAGGGGAGGAGGCTTTCGGTGACGGTGGGGGCTCGAGTTGCCACAACTCCCACACAGTACAGACACTCCGAGCAAAATACAAAAGCAAACACTTCAGGCACTAGGGAGTGATGAAGACAGACAGAGGGGAGTCAGCCCTTCACCGAAGGGGTTCACCTCCACGAAGCCCTTGCTCCAGGCACTGCCCCCGTGAGCAGGGCACAGGCACAGCACAGGGCACAGTGCTGCTGGCTCAGGAAGCCAGAGGATGAAGTTTGGGCCACCTGTGCTGCTGCCCAGCCAGGGATGAGACCTAGGGAAGGAGGGGCCACAGCAGGCCGAGTCTGAAAACTTGGGTCCCAGTGACGCTGATCCCTGGAAGGCCTGAGCTCCACCCTGCAGGGAAGTCTCCACTGAGCACAACAGATGCCGAAAGGCTGGACACAGCTGCTCAGAGATGTCGGCTGCTGCTCTCACAAGGGAGGCAGACAGAGCTGGAGTCTGAATCCAGCCAGGGTAACTGACCACCAGAACAAAAACCCAAACAGAATCTGCAGTCCCTCGGAGGGATCTGCCACAAAGCCCAGAGACAACAAGGAGCCATGAGACGGGTGAAGAGACAAGAAAACACGGCCCACAGGTGCACACAGAGCAGGAGCCACACGCTGTGCATATAAAAATAAAGGGACACATGGGCAAGGGAAGCCCTTGCTCCCACGAGAGCTGACAACACGCGTGGAGGAAGCGGTGAGCAGGAGCTCCATGGTGGTCACTAAAGCCCCTGCGGGACAGTTCCGTGAGGTCCAGACCAGTCCCCAGCCTCTCTCCTGAAGTTACTTTCTCATCACAGGAGCGGTCCCGGGGCCCACCTGAGAGGCTGCGTTGAGAAAGACGCACACTCACTTCTGGGCTGCTCAATCAGCAGCGCGAGGCCTCAGTCTCATCACAGGAAGCCGATACTGAGAGGCAGCCAGAAGGATAACTGACCTGTGGTTACCAAAAGTCAAGGTCCAGAAAAACACAGAAAGGCTAAGGAACTGCTCTGGATCGAAGGAGACTACAGGGACATGGCATTTCAAGGCCATTCATCGCCCCAAACCAGATCCTGGACTCGGAAACAACACAGTTGTCAGGGACACTCTTGGGATAACTGAGGACAGCTGAATGGGGACCGCAAATCGGATGAAAGTGCTGCCTTGGTAACTGGTAACACGAGAAAACATTCTCGTTCTAGGAAATACACACTTAAGTATTTAAGCATAAAAGGCCAGACATCTCCAACGGAGTGGTTTTTTTCTGTTTATTTTTGCTTTTGGGGGTTTTCTGGCAGCGTCTCACTCTGTTGCCCAGGCTGGAGTGCAGTAGCCTGAGCACAGCTCACTGCAGCCTCAACTTCCTGGGCTCAAGCGATACTACCACCTCAGCCTCCCAAGTAGCTGGGACTATAGGTGCATGCCCCCACACCCAGCTAACTTTTTTTTGTATTTTTTGTAGAGATGGGGGGGTCTCACTCTGTTGCCCAGGCTGGTCTGGAACTCCAAGGCCCAAGTGATCCTCCTGCCTCAGCCTCCCAAAGTCCTGGAATCATGGGTGTGAGCCACCACGCTTGGACTCCAACGGACTCAAAACGATGAAGAAGCAGGTGTGCACGTGTGGGGTGGGGGACAGGGGAGGGTGATAAGGTGAAGGCTGCCACGTTTAACCAGCTGGGGAGCCCGTGTGAAGGGCACTGGTATTCCTGATGACATGATTGCAACTATTCTGTAAATGTGAAATTATATCAAAATTAAAGTTACAAAAGCCTCTCTCACCGTGTTTAATCAGGAAGTCCCACCCTGCCCCTCCGAACGTCCTCCAGCCCCGTGCCGGCGGCCGTCTCAGGCCCCTTACCGCTGAGAGGGTGTGCCCCCGGAATGAACGCTCTCGGGTTCTGTCGTCGCCGCAGAGGCCAAGGACAGGCTGGAGCCTGACTGAGTCCGGCTCAAGTTATCAGCTGCCAGAGACAGAAACAGACGACGGTTCATGAACGGATTCCGACAGACAAGTACCTGTCCCCTGTACCTGTTCCCCTCACCTCGCCCTGCAGAGCTCGGCCACACAGGCCGCGTCCCCACCCCATCCCGGGGAGCCGGGCTGCGCCTGGATGTGCCGCACATCTCAGAGCATCTGGTCTCAACATTGTCATCCATGAAACGGGGATAATCATCTCCACCCTTCCCGCCTCACACCACTCTTGATGACAAAATTGAAATGAGCTGAAGAACGTGAGGCCGCCGCCCGCGGAAGGAAGCGCTGCCCGCGTGAGGGCCGGGGCTGCTTACGGGTGGAGGAGCACTTGGTGCCGGAGTCGCTGCACGACTCTTCCCGGTGCACCGACTTCGGCCGCGGCTTCTTCGGCTTTGACTTGGGCTTGCCGAGCCCCTGCTCCTCTAGGATCTGCTGCTGCTTCCTCCGCAGGTACTCCTGCTTGATGAGCTCGCGCCGCGCCTTCTCCTCCTCCTTCCGCACCCGGTCTTCCTCAGCTTTGCGCCTGAGAGAAACACACGCCCAGACACTGCTCGGTCACGGGGCTTCTTCCACGACGCCTGCGCCGCGGCGCTCTGTCCAGGCGCGTTTCTCGGGTTCTCCCCGGCCGCTGGGACCAAGAGTGGCCAGCCTCCACAAGCGGGACACAGAGGCTGCAAAGGCAGTCCTGCAGATGACCCACCGAGGCCACACAGCCTCCCTGGCCACCGGCAACGCACGTCCTCACTGAAGATCAGCAGGGGCCGTGAAAGTTCGGGGAGGTGGTCCATGGGAGGAGTAAGACCGTCACAGGCACTCATTGCCATGGTCCATGCTCAGTGCCAGCAACGGGACCGGGGCCGCCAGGGACCCACCAGGCTCCTGCTCAGTCTGCTTTCCCCCCCGGCGGGACGCTTACCGGGCTTCGTCACGCTTGAGCTCCACCTCCGCTTCCAGCTGCTGCTTGCGCACGCGGGCCTCCTCGGCCTTGCGCTGCTGCTTCAGGAGGAAGGCCGCCCGCTTCTTGGCGAGCTCATCTTCCGCTTTCTGTTCATCCTGCAAGACAGAGGCCACACAGAGCATGACAGGAACCCCCTCAGACGCCGGACACGGCCGCACTCGACCCAGCAGCCGACTTCCACTACGCTTTTAAAAGTTTAACGCATAAAGACTTCTATGCTTTTCTCTAACCGTTACAGACTCTGAAATACGAATGAAGACAAACCAGGGCATTTCAAAGGCGCTCGGCATCACCCAATTTCCCAAACATCTCACGAGATCCAGTTTGCCTTAAAAAGTACACGTATATTTCCAAAATAAGAGCGAGGCTGGGCAGAATGGCTCATTCCTGTAATCCCAGCACTTTGGGAGGCTGAGGTGGGTGAATCACTTGAGGTCAGGAGTTCAAGACCAGCCTGCCCAACATGGCGAAACCCTGTCTCTATTAAAAATACAAAAATTGGCTAGATGTGGTGGCTCACGCCTGTAATCCTAGCACTTTGGGAGGCCAAGGAGAGTGGATCACCTGAGGTCAGGAGTTCAAGACCAGCCTGGCCGACATGGCGAAACCCTGTCTCCACTTAAAAAAAAAAAAAAAAAAAAAAAAATTAGCCGGGCATGGTGGCACACGCCTGTAATCCCAGCTACTCAGGAGCCTGAGGCAGAAGAATCGCTTGAACTCGGGAGGCAGAGGTTGCAGTGAGCCAAGATCATGCCCTTTTACTCCAGCCTGGGCGACAGAGCCAGACTCTGTCCAAAAAAAAAAAAGCGAAAAAGTGAATACTGAAGTTGGTCACGAATTTGTTTACATTTCAAAAGTGCAACCACCAAATAAAGCTTGCCTCTTTTGCTAAGATCCACCTGATGATTTGGTATCCTCTCAAATTCATAACTGCCTGGAGGCAAAGCAGAAACAGTTGCGTGTCGCTTGCCGAGAGAAAACGTTCTGAGAAATAGGTCCTCAGGTGACTCTGCTGCTGTGTGAGCATGACGGAGTGTGCGCACACCTGGATGGCAGCGCCCCCCACAGGCCTCGGCTACATCAGCCACTGCTCCTAGACTACAGACCTGCACAGCACATTACTGTACCCAATACTGTAAGTAACTGTGTATCAAAATCTATCTAAACATTGAAAAACTACCACGAAAACATGGTCTTATCATCTTAGGAGACGACGATATATGGTCTTATCATCTTAGGAGACAACGAACGTCACAGCAAACATCATGTGACGCACTGACTATTAAAACAGTTCAGTTTACGCTTCCCTTCATATCTAAGGAAAAAATTACAAGAAAAACATACAAAAAATGTTTTTTGAAGTTGCTATATCAGAGGTTGGCAAACTTCAGCCCACAGGCCAGGCCTGGCCACCTCCAGAGCATTCTAACGACGAACGCTTTTTACGCTTTGGGGCAGGACAGGGAGATGACAGGGTTTTGACTGGAAAACCAGCAAAAAAAAAAAAACTATGTTGAAAATCACATGAAATTCCAGTTTCAGGGCTCATAACAAAGTCGTCTCAGCCACACCACGCTCACTTGCATGCGTATTGCCCGGGACTGCTTCTGGCCAAGTGGAGTCCTCGGGACAGAGACTCTGTGGCCCACAAAGCTAAACACACACATCCCCTGGCCTCTTACAGGAGCGGCTGGCCAGCCTGGTGCAGATCTGTGTTCTCTAACTCACTATCACGTGGGGTGGCAACACATCACGAGTGCCTGAAACAGATGCTACCAATCCCTTACCTTGAAGAAGAAGCCGACCCCCGGCTTCTGGTCGCCTTCGCTGACAAGGTCCGCCGAGCCATCGAGGCTTACCAGCTCCCCATCCTCGTCGGGGGCCTTCAGGTCGGAGAGGTCCACTTCAATGAGGCTGGCCCTGCTCCTCAGAGGCTCCTCCACGGGGACGCTCTCTTTTCCCGAGACATCTGAGGAGCTGGACCCCACCTCCTTCACACTCGCATCCAGAACTTCTTTGAGGCTCATCTGCTCCGAAAGAATGTTGGCATCTTTGGAAGAGGACAGAGTAAGTGTCCGCTGATTGCTTTCATCATGGAGCCTGTAACTGTCGAAGAGACACTTCCCATGTGGGTCACCACTGGGCTCCAGGGCACTGTCCAGGCCAGGGTCCGTGGGCGTCCGAGGGTGGCTGCTGGCAGGGAAGGGTCTCAAGTGCGGGAGCGTCTCTACACTGGGCGTTGGGGTTTTACTTCGGGAGGAGCCCTGTGGCCTGTCTTTTGGGACCTTCAGCTCCGCCGGCCTTCCGGAACGGGAATTCCGGCCTTGACCCAGCCGGGGGGCTTTGCGGTGGCCAGCCACGCCCGTGGGAGAGAGTGGCTCCACGAAGTGGACTGGTGCCTTCACTTTGTGGTCCTGCGAGTTATTCTTAGAGCCTGGCACTGGGACTGTGGGGGACTTCATCAGAAGCTGCTCTTGCTGCTGAGAGATTTTCAGGATGGCCTGCTGCAGCGTACTGATGGTTTCGTTAAGCTTCTCGATGGAAAGGTCACATTCATTCACGTCGACAACCTCCCCAACAGTGTCCTCCAGGAGGGCAGCGGAGATCACCTTATTTCTCTCCAGCTCGTGCAGAGCCACAGGGTCTTTTGCTTTATGTTGCTGAGCAAAGGCCAGGCTCTCTTTGTCCACATCCTGTGGCTCGTGAAGGAGCTCCTCTCTCTGCTCCTCCTTCACGAGAAAGTCTTCGGTTTTGGAAACAGCGTCCCCACAGTCCTCCCCGTTGTGCTGAGAGTACTCCTTTGCAAAGTGCTCCGGCCTGAGGGGTGGGGCAGCCTCGGCCTTGCCCTTCTTCACCACATGCAGGAATGCAGCCTTGCCGAGCTTCAGGCGCTGCCTTGCCGACAGCGCCTCCATCTTCTTCTTCTGGGCCTCGATGGCCCTGCGCTTCTCCTCCAGCTGCATGTGCAGCTGTACCAGCTCAGATGCCAGGAGGCTGGCGGGATCCTTGCCATGCTGGCTCGGACTCTGCTCCCTCTTCTGCCTCCACGTCGTCAGAGGGGCTGGGCAGCTCTCAGACGCATCTGGCGTGGTCTTCTGGGAGCTGCTGGTGCTGGACTTGGTCTCACAGCTGTTGAGTCTCTGGAGCTTCCTCTCCGCAAAGCTGGTCATCTTCACGCTCCCACTCGCCATGGAGACACTGCTCATCTGAGAGGCTGTGCTCAGGCAGGGGCTCGAGCGGCCGCTGGCGTCATCTTTGTCTTCATGTTCCTTCACCTTCATGTCCTCCTGCAGTTTGGCCGACTCTTCCTCCCCAATGTATCTGCTGAAAACCACAGGATGGGCCTCACCCATGAAATCGTGCTCGGCTTCCTCTATGTCCACCACATCCGAGTCAGAATCCTGCCTGAGGAGAGTCCACGGCTCTGAATCGTGGGAGTTGGGGCTTTTTGAACAACTAACATATAACCTTCCCTCGGTGTCTTCATCGGCCCTGCCTACATGAAGGAAGAAGCCATCCGTGGATGGTCCCTGGGGGAACGGATCGAATCCGCCAAGGGCCAGAGGCCCACCACAGACCTCTCCTGCGGTTTCCACTGACAGTGGTCCTGTCTCGGTGGGGTCGATGCCCATGGGGAATTCTGAGCATGGAATCGGGGTAAAAGTCCTATTCAAGTCGCGACTGCCAGTCATTTTCCTTCGTACCAAAGGCTGGGGGCCCTCGCTGGGCCTCCTAGACACGATGCTCCTCGGTCTCCCTTCCCCCCGTTCATCCTCCTTGGTGATCACCTGCTTCTCTTTCGCTGGCTTAAGAACTGCTGGCATCAAAGGCTCCAAGAAAAAACTGTCAGGCTTACTTTCCGAGGTGTCCAGCTGTCCTTGGGGAGACCGGGCATTTGCTGTAAGGCCTAAGGCCCGGGGTGAGGCCCTGGGGAACTCCGGGTCAGCCTGCTGGGGAACCACGTCTGCTCTAACAATAGCCACAAGCTCCTCTTCCTCATCCTCAATACTGACATTGCTCAGGAGGCTCTTCCCGTGGCTCTTCGTGGCCGTGGGGTGTGGCTGGTTCTGTGGGGTCAGATTAACAATGTTGGATGCCAAACTGTCTTTGCTGATGGAGCGGGCCAAGCTGATGCTGTCGCCAGAGCTGGGATCCACTTCACAACTCGCAGCGTGATGTAGAGCAAAAGGTGTTGGCTGGGACGCAGGCCTGAAACACAGGGAAGGCCCACTGGGTGCGCTGCGGTATACACCAAAGACCCCCAACATGGACCAGGGGGTGAGAATGCCGGCCACACAAAGAGAATACGCCTCTCATATGCAGGAGATTTAAACTCACTCTTCCACAGAGCAGAAGAAAATCAGAGATAATTTCAGCTTTGTGATTCTCAAACACTCTAGTCCCAGGACCTCTTGATACCCTTCAAAATTACTGAGGACCTCAAAGAGCTTTTGTTTCTATTTATCAGTATTAATCTCTATTTATCATCCTACAAATTAAAGCTCAGACATTTTCTAAACACTGATTAAAATTACAGTAATTAGCCCACTCCATGACAAATGACTATATTCGCCAGAACGGAAGAAGTTCCTAGTGTTAAGGGCAGGCACTATTTGACACCTGTATAGTTCTGGGATCTGGCTGGACCCTCATACCTGACTCCACCTGCTGCCACACCACATGGTATGCAGCCTCTGAAAAATCCCACGGCACACTCGCAAGAGTGAGGCTGCAGAGAGGCAGTAACTTCCTAGTGTTGTTATAAAAATAATTCTGATTTCAGGCACTCCCTATAAAAGGGTCTCGGTGATCCTCAGGGGGTTGGGGTGACATCTTAAGAACTGCTGTTTAGTATAAAAAACATTCCAAACAGAAACACTGCTGAAACACAGACTCACCTGGTTTTTTTTTCTGGCCAGGCTATTGCTGCTCCTCGAGGCTGACCATCAACTCGGGTCAAAGAATTCGATCGATGTCGCTGATCTGCAGTACAGAGGAATTAGATAGTGTTAAGTAACCAATTTTCTATCACTTGAAATTCTTTCAATATGACCATTTGTCCAGAAAAATGCCTCTCAAGTCAGTACACCAGAAGGGCCGCATGGAAAGCAGAGAGGCAAAACCATACAGTTGTCCCACATTTTGATGGTAACACACAGTTCAGAACTGTGAGAGAGCTTCAGCATGTGTGAGCCCTGCTTATGTCGCAGTTACTCTGTGTCTACTACACAGAAGGTAATTGCTCTCAACGATATTTTCACTGCAAGACTATACATTTTGACAACACAAGTTAAAATTTATTTGGCTACAGTCTTAACTAAAATCACTACATCAGCCGGGCACAGTGGCTCACACCTGTAATTCCAGCACTCTGGGAGGCCGAGGTGGGCAGATCATGAGGCTAGGAGATCGAGACCATCCTGGCCGACATGATGAAACCCTGTCTCTACTAAAAATACAAAAATTAACTGAGCATGGTGGCATGCGCCTATAATCCCAGCTATGTGGGAGGCTGAGGCAGGAGAATTGCTTGAACCAGGGAGTCAGAGGCTGCAGTGAGCCGAGATCGCGCCACAGCACTTCAGCCTGGTGACAGAGCAAGACTCCATCTCAAAAAACAAACAAACAAACAAAAAAATCACTACATCAGATAAAATGATTTAATTTTGAGAAATATGATTTTACTAATCTATAGTAAGGAGAAATTAAGGAAAAAAGGAGGAAACAACATTCTTACCAGGGATGTCCTCTCCCTGTATGGATTTCTGCTGTTTCTGTCTCAGTGGCAATAAAGGATGGGATGGGCTGAAGGCAGCAGTTCCTTTCCCGCTAAATGGAAAAAGAATTACAGGGAAAATCATTCCTTTATCAAACTTCAAGGTCAACAGCAAATGCACAAGTGTACAGGACCATCCTGAATTCACACCAAGTTTTGAGAAACTCGGACTGTTTGGGAAAAAAATGACAATAAAAATGAGCCAAGAGTATCAGGAACTTCCAACCTGGGATGAACATCCACACACTGCAAACGGGCACACTGACTCCCCGATGTGTCTACAACACAACCAGCTTCCCACGGGAAAAGCAAAACCCAAGCGTGCAATTAGAGTGATTTTCTGAGATAAGCAAAAGTAAAAAGAAAAAGTGATCCTCTGACAAGCAACAGTTTTCAAAAATGCACATTACTGCTTCAATTAAAAAAAAGAGAGAGAACTTCAGAGATAAAAGAGACCACAAGGATGATGCCCAATGTACTAAGCCACCACTGTGAAGATATTGATGAGTAATTAAACCCATCACAGACGGCAGCATGAACATTCCCACACTGCTGGTGGGAGGGTAAAAATGTACATTTTTAGAGGACAATATGGCAATATCCATAAAAACCTCTAAAATCACTCACACCTTTACCACTCCTTGGATTATAGCTTAAGAGAAAGAACGATGAGAGGTGCACACAGAAGCATGGGTGTGAAGGCCTCACTCCCGGGAAGAACGGCACATGCAGGAAAGGCGGAAGTCACACGTGTGCGGATCGCACAGTTCTGACAGAGCAACACCCATGAGACCGGCACCCAGCAGCCTCTGCCACTCCACAGGCACCAGCTCCCCGAGAAACAAGCGCGCTCACACTGCAGGGCAGCTATCTTGCTTGTTTCACTTTGGGGAGAATTTGGTAAAGGGATAATTCGCCAGGTGCAGACAGGCTGGGGAGATCACAGGGGACAGCTCGGCACCCTAGGCCAGAGTCAGCACACCTAGGCCTGAAGAGGCAAAGACGGGCAGAGGACACCAGAGTCAGGACACAGACACCAAAGAGACACAGTGAGAGCAGGTGTGCAGGAGCACACAAGCGAAAGGGTTGCGGAGAGAGGGGCTCAAGGCAGGGAGCCCGGGGGGAAGCTGGGCAGAGCAGGAATGGCACAGGGACCTGTGTCAGGGCCACAATGCAAACCCTGCAGCCTGGACACCGTGGGGACAGTGGACCCATCACGGCACGCCCATGACGTGACAGACTGGGTAGCTGTTGAAACTGTGGCAGACGAGGATGCACCGAGTGGGAAAATTCTCACCACAGGCTGCTGGGTGCAGACAACAGGGTGCAGACAGCAGGTCACAGAGCAGCGTGTACACGGGCACCAGCACACACACACACACACACACGGCTCAACAACAGACACGCAAAGACCGAAGGGAGGACGCCAAGTGTCCACGCTGGCCCCATGTGAGGGACGGCTCAGCCTCGAGCCATTCTCCTCACTCAGTGACCCCGCCTGTGCCCGCGGGCATGGAGTTACCGCCCCACCTCTGCTCTGAGCTCTGGGGACAGACACCCCAGTCTCAAAGCCGCCCAACACAGAACACATCCAAACCCCTCCCTCAGCTATGCCCCACCCCTGGGTGTGTACCCCCCCACCACTGCCTGTATCACAAGGGCCTCTCAACTCCTTCCTCCTGACTCCGGCAGCCCCCGCATCCCATCCCTCAACATGGTCACCGGTTTTAGCTCCTCTCAAACAACCTGAAACAACTGAGTTCGTTCTATGCCATGCTGTCTCACTGAACCATTCACTTATGTGAATTATTTAAAACCACTTTTAAATAGCGTCTTCATCTTAAATCCCAACTTAAATCGCCACATGTTAAAAATGTTTCTCCACTTTCGGTGTGCTAACTGGCTCCAGGCTGGCATCAGCTGTGGGTCCTCCTACCACACACAGCACAAAGCTCACTCTTACTCCAAGGGAAGCTTCCTTCACCCCCTCCCCCAATTCTGGCACAGTCAATTCTACCCCAGATATGGTTATCCAAATTAGGTCTTCATGATGAAAATTCATTTTAGAAAAAACGTTTTTTAAACAACTCTTTTTCTAGAGTAGTTTAGCCTTTAAGCAGCTCTATACACTTTTTCACTCGAATCAAATTAATTCTTCCCCAAAGAGCAAACAAATTCTCTTCTTTGAAGACTTCACAATACTTGAAATGCAAGAGGATTTCACTCTTTATGTCTATCAGACCATAAAGAGCACACCTAAACTGTCAATTCAACTTTCTAATCTTTAGATCGTTTCTTAAACAGTGTAACACATGGTGGAAAAGAGAACAGAAAAACACCTGTTCCATAAACAATGTCAGAATTAGGTACACATCCCTGAAGGAACTTCCTGCTAGTATCATTCCCGGCCTCTGGAAAGGGGACCGAATGGCCAGAAGGGCAGGGACAGAAGGAAAATCTTTCATAAGCGAATACAAATTGCTTATTTTAAAAAAGGTAACTTCAATTAATATTTTAAACTAACACAAAAAGGGACACAAGATGGTGAACTGATTCTGAAAGCAGAAAGACAGACTTACAGGTATTCAGGTTCTTCCGGGTGCAGGTAGTGCCTGTGACAGCCTTCCGCCGGCAGCTGCACGGGGGGCTGCAGCTCAGCCAGGGTCCCTGCAGCAGGGCTGCCTAGGAAACTGCGTTTGGTCGCGTTGGAGATCGGTACAGGAGGCCGGCTGCTCTTCTGGTGTAACACTGTTTTCGCTGCAGAAATAGCGTTTTTGCATCGTTACTTACAACACTAACTGGAAGCACAGAAAACCTAACCTGCAGCTTTTATAAGCACTAACTCAACCTTTTATTGAAACCAAACTTCTGCCAAAAAAAACTGGTTTCAAGTTTAACAAATGTATTCTGTAATAACAAGTACTACAAATATTATACCGAAGTAAATACTAACATTAAAAGACACAACACAGATGAGAAGAAGAACTGAGAGGAAATGTAAGCCCAGCTGATGGGCTCTGTCTTGGTCACCGTCTAGCACCCGCACAAAAGCCCTCCACTGGTGGGCTGCTTCCAAAACCACGTGCCACCTTCACCAAGCCTGGTCCTAGACAAGATGCCCACCACCCAGGCTCCTGGGAGAAGGCTTGGGGCTCAGCTCCAGAGAGCCACCTCGCTCAGCCCAGCCAGTGAGGGACCGAGGCAGGGTCAGAAGGGCGCTTCTCTAGACCCAGCATGTGGGCAGCTGCTCTGGTGGGTCCCTTCAGCTCCAGCCCCTGGGGGTCAGGTGAGGTGCTGAGCCTGGCTGGGGCGCCATTCCCTTTCTTGGCCCACGCCTGCTCACCCGCCTCTCTCCCAAAGGGTCAGCCCCAAACAGTGACTCTGTATCTAAGGCTGCTTCCCAGAGAACTAACCTATGGGAGGTGGTGCCAGGAGCAGCTCAAGAAGGCAAGAGGTGGGGCCATATGGTGGGGACCAGTGGGAGGGCACCCACTAGGTGATGTGTTGTGAACATGGAGGAGGGAAGTAAGGACGAGCGGGTGGCGGCTGCACTGAGCTCTGCAGACGGTCTAGGGAAAAGATAAAGAGGGCTAAGAGGCAGCAACATGTGACCAAAAGCCAAGGGCACCAAGCTGTGCTCTCCTACAGCCAGGGGCCAGGACCAGAAATGAATGGCTGCCGGAGAAGCTAAACCCCCAACCCAAGAAGGCTGCAAGGCCAAGGTGAGGCCCTAGATGGGAAGGAAAGAGACTATGACTCATGGCATACAAACTTCTAGGCCTGGAGAACCTCAAATTCTCAGATTACCTGAAATTCTTTGAGCCTACAGAGGAGGGCTTCCCTCCCTGTTAAAGGCCAGTATCCCTGCTGGCCCCACGCTTAGATGATACAGATCTCTCTCTCAAGATGACATGTGCTCCCCCAGGCACATTATAATCAAATTGTCAAAGACAAAAAGAATTTTGAAAGCAGCAAGAGAAAAGTGATTCATCACATACATGGGAACCCCCATTAGACTATCAGTAGGTTTCTCAGCTGAAACCTGCAGGCCAGAGAGAAATGGGATGATATATTCAAAACGCTGAAAGGACGGGAAAAAACCCCAACCAAGAACATTTTATCTGGCGAAGCAATACTTCAGAAACACAGAGGAAATAAAAACATTCCCGGACAAACAAAAGTTGAGGGAGTTCATCACCACTGCACCTGCCTTCCAAGAATGGCTAAAAGGAATTCTTCATATTGAATCAACAGAACACTAAATAGCAACACAAAAACATAAAAAGTATGAAACGTATTGGTAAAGGGAAATATACAGACACAAACATAATACTGTATTACCATAACAGTGGTAGATACATCGCTTTTAATTCCATTATAAAAGTTAAAAGAGGCCAGGCACGGTGGCCCATGCCTGTAATCCCAACATTTTGGAAGGCTGAGGTGGGAAGACCACTTCAGCTCAGGAGTTCTAGACTAGCCTGGGCAACACAGCAAGACCTCATCTCTACTGAAAAAAAAAAAAAAATTAAAGTAGCTAGGCATGGTGGCACATGCCTGTAGCCTGTAGTCCCAGCTACTTGGGAGGCTGAGGTAGGAGGATTGCTTGAGCCCAGGAGTCTGAGGCTGCAGTGAGCAATGATCAAGCCACTGCACTTCAGTCCAGCCTGGACAACAGAGCAAGACCTTGTCTCAAAGAAGAAAAAAAGGTAAAAGACAAAAATAGTTAAAATAACAATAAATTGGCCAGGCACAGTGGCTCACACCTGTAATCCCAGTACTTTTCGAGGCCGAAGCTGGTGGATCACCCGAGGTTGGGAGTTCAAGACCAGCCTGGCCACATGGTGAAACTCCATGTCTACCGAAAAAACAAAAATTAGCCAGGCGTGGTGGCGGATACCTGTAGTCCCAGCTACTCAGGAGGCTGAGGCAGGAGAATCACTTGAACCCGTGAGGCGGAGGTTGCAGCGAGCTGAGATTGTGCCACTGCACTCCAGCCTGGGCGACAGAGCGAGACTCTGTCATAAATAAATAAATAAATAAATAAATAAATAAATAAATAACAATAAGTTATGTTAACAATTACATAAATAGTTATGTATGGTGGCATTAACTGCACATCATGTAGAGGAGGGAGGTAAAAGCTGAGAGGTCTTGCATATAAGTGAAGGTGAGTTGTCATCATCTTAAAACAGACAACTGTATCTTATGTAAGCCCTAGGTAATGACTACTGAAGTTACACAAAAGAAAAAAAGAAGGGAAAGCAAAAACCATTAACACAAAAAGCAACAACAAAACACAAATGAAGATAGCAAGAGACAAAGACATGCAAAAGAACTGTTAGACAAAACAGTTAACAAAATGGAAAAAGGAAATCCTTTCCTATCAATAATTACTTCAAACAAAAATGGATTCAACTCACTAATCAAAAGATAGAGAGTAGCTAAATGAACTAAACACCAAGATTCAACAGTATACTGCCTACAGGAAACCCACTTTTGAGTGAAGAACACACAGGCTGAAAGTGAAGGGATGAAAAGATATTCCACGCATGCAAATGGTAACCCAAAGAAAGCAGGCATGGCTATACTTACCTCAGACAAAAGAGACTTTACATCGAAAACTGTCTCTAGAGACAAGGGTCAATTCAACAGAAAGCTGTAACAACTGTAAACATCTATGTACCCACATCAGACCTAAATATATAAAGCAATATTGACAGATCTCAAAGGAGAAACAGAAATACAGTAATAGCAGAAGGCTTCAATACCCCACTTTAAATACTGGATAGAATATCCAGACAGGATATTTAACAGTAATAAAAACAAAGAACAGCAGGCTTACACAACATTCCAGACTAAATGACCTCACAGAGACATATACACACTTTTCACCCAACAGCAGCAGAATACGTATTTTTCTCAAGCACATGGGACCCATTCTCCAGAACAGATCATATGTTAAGTCATAAAACAAGTCTTAAAATATTTAAGATCAAAATCATGTCATGTATCTTTTCAAACCACAATGGAATGAACCTAAAATTAATTACAGCAAGAAGGCCAGGCGCAGTGGCTCACGCCTGTAATCCCAGCACTTTGGGAGGCTGAGGGGGGCAGATCACCTGAGGTCAGGAGTTCAAGACCAGCCTGGCCAACACACTGAAACACCGTCTCTACTAAAAATACGAAAAATTAGCTGAGCGTGGTGGCGGGCGCCTGTAATCCCAGCTACTTGGGAGGCTGAGGCAGGAGAATCGCTTGAACCTGGGAGGCGGAGGCTGCAGTGAGCCGAGATCGCTCCAGCCTGTGTGACAGAGTGAGACTCCGTCTCAAAAAAATAAAAAAGTAACGGCAAGAAAACAGGATGATTGACAAATACGTGGAAACTAAACAACACATTCTTAAGCTACCATTGAGTAAAAAAGGAAATCAAAAGGGAATTTTAAAAGTATCTTAAGCTGAATGAAGCGGAATACAACATACCAAAACTTGCATGATGCAGTGTTAACAAGGAAGTCTGGGGCCAGATGTGGTGGCGCAGACCTGTAATCCCAGCACTTTAGGAGACTGAAGTGGGAGGACTGCTTGAGGCCAGGAGTTCAAGACAAATCTGGCCAACATAGCGAGACCCCATCTCTCTTTTTTTAATTAAAAAAAAAAAAAGGAATTCTGTAGCAATCAACACTTCCATTAACGAAGAAGCAGGACTTTAAATAACAACCTAACTTCACACCTCAAAGACTAGGAAAGGAAGAACAAACTAAGCTCAAAGTTAGCAGAAGAAAGGAAATTATAATAAAGATCAGAGCAGAAATAGATCAAATAGAGAAAAACAATAGAAAAAATCAACAAAACTAAGTTGGTTTTGTGAAGATAAAATCGACAAACTAATGAAGAAAAAGACTCAAATAAAATCAGAAATAAAAGAGGAGATATTATAATAGATGCCTCAGAAATAAAAATGATCACAAGGGCCTATTACAAACACTTATATGCCAACAAACTGAATAATGCAGAAGAAATGGATAAATCTCTAGAAATATACAATCTATGAAGACTGAACAAAGAAGATATCTAAAGCCTAAACAGACAGTAATAAATAAAGAGATTGAAGCAGTAATCACAAACCTCCCAACAAAGAAAAAGTCCAGGACCAGATGGCTTCACTACTGAATTCTACCAATTCTTCTTAAATCCTTCCAAAAAACAGAAGAAGAAACACTTCTAAACTCATTTTATGAAGACAGCATCACCCTGATACCAAAGGCAGACATAGACACCAGAAGGAAAGAAAACTACAGGCCAATATCTCTGATTAACACAGATGTAAAAATCCTCAATAAAATACTAATAAACCAAATTCAACATTACATCAAAAAGATTATACACCATGATTAAGTGGAATTCCTCCCTGAAATGCCAGGTTGGTTCAACAAAGACAAATCAATGCAGAACACATTAACAGAATCACAGATAAATACCACATGATCATCTCAACAATATGCAGAAAAGCATCTAAGTTCAACATCCATTCATGATTTAAAAAAAACAACTCTACACAGAACAGGTATAGAAGGAGCTTACCTCCTCACAATAAAAACCATTTATGAAAAGCCCACAGCCAGTACCATAATTAGTGGGGGAAAACTGAAAGCTTTTCCTCTAAGATCTGGAACAAGACAAGGATGCCCACTCTCACCTCTTTTATTCAACACAGTACTGGAAATTCTAGTCAGATAAATTAGTCAAAATAAATAAATAAATAAAACTGTCTCACTGCAGATCCAAGGTCCTACACATAGAAAATCCTAAAGGCTCCATAAAATAAGTGCTAGAACTAATCAACGAATTCAGTCAAGTTGCAGGATACAAAATCAACATGAAAAAACTGTAGCATTTCTATACACTAACAATTAATTATCTAAAAAAGAAATCAAGAAAACAATCCAATTTATAATAGCATCAAAAAGAACAAATACTTAGGAATAAATATAACCAATGAGTAAAAGATCTGTACACTGAAAACAATAGAACACTGATGAAAGAAATTGAAGACAACAAAATTAGTGTAAAGATATCCCATATTCACGGATTGACATAATATTGTCAAAATGTCCATACTACCAAAAATGACCTACAAATTCACTGCAATGCCTATCAAAATCCCAATGGCATTTTCCACCAAAACAGAAAAACAAACCTAAAATCTGTATGGAACCACAAAAGACCCAAAATAGCCACAGTAATCTTTTTTTTTTTTTTTTTTTTTGAGACGGAGTCTCGCTCTGTCGCCCAGGCTGGAGTGCAGTGGCGCGATCTCGGCTCACTGCAAGCTCCGCCTCCCGGATTCACGCCATTCTCTTGCCTCAGCCTCCCAAGTAGCTGGGACTACAGGCGCCCGCCACTACGCCCGGCTAATTTTTTGTATTTTTAGTAGAGACGGGGTTTCACCGTTTTAGCCGGGATGGTCTCGATCTCCTGACCTCGTGATCCGCCCGCCTCGGCCTCCCAAAGTGCTGGGATTACAGGCGTGAGCCACCGCGCCCGGCCAGTAATCTTGAAAAAGAACAACAAAGGCAAAAACATCACACTCCCTGATTTCAAATTATACTACAAAGCTATAGTAAAACACTATCATACTGGCATAAAAACAGACACAAGCCAATGAAACAGAATTGAGGTATACGGTTAACTAATCTTTGACAAAGGTGCCAAAAATACACCATGGGGAAAGGATAGTACCTTCAATAAATGTTGTTGGGAAAACTGGATAACCAGATGTAGAAGAATGAAACTGGACCCTTATTTCACACCATATACAAAAATCAACTCAAAATGGACTGAAGACTTAAACTAAGACTAATTAATTTAATTAAGGCCTGAAACTGTAAAACTCTAGGGAAATAAGCTCCTTGACATTAGCCTTGGTGATGATTTGGTTATCACACCAAAAGCACAACTAACAAAAACAAAAATAAACCACAGGAACTACACCAAATGAAAAAGGTTCTGCAAAGCAAAGGAAACAAACAAAACGAGATGGCAGCCTACAGACTGAGAAACTATTTACAAACTATATGGCTGATAAGAGGTTAACATCCAAAATACATAAGTAACGCAACTCAATCGCAAAAATACAAATAACCCAAATAAAAAGCAGGCTAAGGTCTTAAATAGGCATTTTTTTCCAAAGAAGACATACAGGTGGCCAACAGGTATGTGAAGAGTTGCTCAACATGGCCAGTCATCAGGGAGTGCAAATCAAAACCACAATAAGGCATCACACACCTGTCAGGATGGCTATTATCAAAAAGACAAGAGATGAGTATTGAGGAGAATGTGGAGAAAAGGTGAACCTTTGCATACTGTTGGTGGGAACACAAATTGGTATAGCCATTCTGAAAAACAGTATGGAGGTTACTCAAAAAACTGAAAACAGAATTACCATATGATCCAGCAATCCCTCTTCTGGGTATATATCCAAAGGAAATGAAATCTGCGTCGCTAAGAGTTATGTGCACTCCCATGTTTACTGCGGCACATTTCATAATTGCCCAGATATAGAATCAATCTGCTTGTCAACAGATGAATAAAGAAATTGTGATATACAGAGACATACAATGGAATATTACTCAACCTCAAAAAAGAAGGAAGTCTTGTCATTTGTGACAACACAGATGGACCTGGAAGATATTATGTACAGTGAATAAGCCAGACACAGAAAGAAAAATACTGCTTGATCACACTTGTATGTGGAATCTAAAAAGTAGAACTTAAGCAGAGAAGTGTTTGCCAGGGGCTGGAGGGTGAGGGGAACAGGGAGATGATGGTCAAAGGGCACCAAGTTTCCATTTTAAGGTAAGTAAGGCAGCATGGGACTATAGTTAGCAATACTATGTTGTCCGTTTGAGATCTGCTGAAAGATTTTAAGTGTTCTCACCACATACAAAGGTAGCGATGTGAAGAGATGGATGTTAACTAGCTTGACCCTGGTAACCAGTTCACTATGTATACGTGTATCAAAACATCATGCTGTTTATATACACTTTTAATCTTCAATAGGACCTGCCCCCATCTTCCCTCGCGGTCACCAGGCCTATAACCAGGGTGACATCCAACAAAGCCCTTGCCTGGGAGAAAAGGGCCACATACCCACACACCCCGTGGAGCTGCGGGGTGTAGCCAGCCAGTTTCAGCAGCCAGGGGAGGCTGTGAAGTGCTGGACTCTGAGGGCCCTTGTCAAGGGAGCTGGCTGAGGCAAAATGTGTCCATTTGGGAGGACCCCCAAGCACAGGATTTGGCAGGAATTGGGTGATGATGCACGTGTACTAACAGGAGGCCCTTACCAAGTAAGGGAGAAGTACCATAACTGCCAAGGGACAGCAAAGGAGGGGCTAGGACCCCTCCCGCCCCCACACACACAGCAGAAGCATGGGGAGTGTGCCGGTCAGACGGGTACCCACAGCAGCACCAGGCAGCCCCGTGGTCGCCCCCTTCAGTACACCAGGGCTGTCTGAAGCAACGATTGGCGGGGAAGCAATCACCATGGCAAGGGGAAGACAGAGTTCCAAAGTGAGAGGCTTCACGGAGGTATCAGAAACCAGGTGGCCTTAGTGATTATGGTGAATGGCAAGGCTGGAGGGGCGGCCATGGGGCCTGGTCAGCAGAGTCACAGAATTGAGAACAGGGCCCTGCTTCACTAGGCACAAAACGCAGAGCCAACAAGGGCACTGGTGAGCTTATCCCATGAGAAGAAACCAAGAAAGGATGACTGGTTGCTAAGAGCAGCTGTGCCCCCACTGGAATTCAGTATGCCATGCTGGACGGATCCAAATTACACCCTAGTGGCATAAAAATTATTTTGATGGCTGGGCACGGTGGCTCACGCCTGTAAGCCCAGCACTTTGGGAAGCCGGAAAAGGCAGATCACCTGAAGTCAGGAGTTCTAGACCAGCCTGGCCAACATGGCAAAACCCCGTCTCTACTAAAAAATGCAAAAATTAGCCAGGCATGGTGGTGCGCACCTGTAATCCCAGCTACTTGGGAGATTGAGGCAGGAGAATCACTTGAACCCAGGAGGTGGAGGCTGCAGTGAGGTGAGATTGTGCCACTGCTCTCCAGCCTGGGTGACAGAGCAAGACCCTGTCTCAAAACAAAAAACAAAAACAACAAAAAAATTATTCTGACATTTGCTATCCAACAGACTCAAAAAACAGCTTTTTCAGAGCTTCTCTTATCCGACCAGGGGCAGAAACTTCGGAAAGAGAGCTGCCAAAATCCCCTCTGGGGCAGACTTCCTGCCCAAAAGCACCCAGAGAAGCCCATGTGCATCTACAGACGCACATCACCACATACCTTTACCCGTTCCGCAGCCACACATCGCCAAGTACCTTCTACCCTGTTCTACAGAAACACGTCACCACCTACCTTTACCCATTCCGCAGCCACACATCACCACGTACCTTCTACCCTGTTCTACAGACACACGTCACCACGCGCCTTCTACCCATTCCGCAGCCACACATCACCACATACCTTCTACCCTGTTCTACAGACACACGTTACCACGCTTTTTCTACTCCGTTCTACAGACACGTCACCACACACTTTCTACCCTGTTCTACAGACACGTCACCACACACTTTCTACCCTGTTCTACAGACACACATCACCACGCACTTTCCACCCATTCCGCAGCCACACAGTCATGTACCTTCTACCCCGTTCTACAGACACACATCACCACACACTTTCTACCCATTCTGCAGCCACACATCGCCACGTACCTTCTACCCTGTTCTACAGACACACATCATCACGCACTTTCTACCCCGTTCTACAGACACACGTCACCACGCACTTCTACCCTGTTCTACAGACACACATCACCACGCACTTTCTACCCATTCCACAGCCACACATTGTCACGTACCTTCTACCCTGTTCTACAGACACACATCATCATGCACTTTCTACCCCGTTCTACAGACATGTCACCACACACTTCTACCGACACACATCATGCACTTTCTACCCATTCTACAAACACGTCACCACACTTGCTACCCATTCTACAGACACACGTCACCACACACTTTCTACCCGTTCTACAGACACACGTCACCACACACTTTCTACCCATTCTACAGACACACATCATCACGCACTTTCTACCTGTTCTAGAGACACACGTCACCACACATGTTCTAGAGACACACATCATCATGCCCGTTCTACAGACACACATCATCACGCACTTTCTACCCATTCCAGAGACACACGTCACCACGGACGTTCTACAGACACACATCATCATGCACTTTCTACCCCTTCTACAGATACACATCATCACGCACTTTCTACCCATTCCAGAGACACACGTCACCACGGACATTCTACAGACACACATCATGCACTTTCTACCCCTTCTACAGATACACATCATCACGCACTTTCTACCCCTTCTACAGACACACATCATCACGCACTTTCTACCAGTTCTACAGACACACATCATCACGCACTTTCTACCGGTTCTACAGACACGTCATCACGCACTTTCTGCCCGTTGTACAGACACACGTCATCACGCGCTTTCTACCCCTTCTACAGACACACGTCATCACGCGCTTTCTACCCCTTCTACAGACACACATCATCATGCACTTTCTACCGGTTCTACAGACACACATCATCACGCACTTTCTACCAGTTCTACAGACACACATCATCACGCACTTTCTACCGGTTCTACAGACACATGTCATCCGCACTTTCTGCCTGTTGTACAGACACACGTCATCACGCACTTTCTACCCCTTCTACAGACACACGTCATCACGCACTTTCTACCCATTCTAGAGACACACGTCACCACGCACGTTCTACAGACACACATCATCATGCACTTTCTACCCCTTCTACAGATACACATCATCACGCACTTTCTACCGGTTCTACAGACACGTCATCACGCACTTTCTGCCCGTTGTACAGACACACGTCATCACGCACTTTCTACCCCTTCTACAGACACACGTCATCACGCACTTTCTACCCGTTCTACAGACACACGTTATCACGCACTTTCCACCTGTTCTACAGACACACATCATCACACGCTTTCTACCCCTTCTACAGACACACATCATCACACGCTTTCTACCCCTTCTACAGACACACGTCATCACGCACTTTCTACCCCCTGTACAGACACACGTCATCACGCACTTTCCACCCATTCTACAGACACACGTCATCACGCACTTCCCACCCATTCTACAGACACGTCATCACACACTTTCTACCCGTTCTACAGACACACGTCATCACGCACTTTCCACCCGTTCTACAGACACACGTCATCACACACTTTCCACCCGTTCTACAGACACACGTCATCACGCACTTTCCACCCATTCTACAGACATGTCATCACGCACTTTCTACCCACTGTACAGACACACATCATCACGCACTTTCTACCCCTTCTACAGACACACGTCATCACGCACTTTCCACCCGTTCTACAGACACATGTCATCACGCACTTTCCACCCGTTCTACAGACACACATCATCACGCACTTTCCACCCGTTCTACAGACACACATCATCACGCACTTTCCACCTGTTCTACAGACACACATCATGCACTTTCTACCCCTTCTACAGACACACGTCATCACGCACTTTCCACCCATTCTACAGACACACATCATCATGCACTTTCCACCCCTTCTACAGACACACATCATCACGCACTTTCTACCCGTTCTACAGACACACATCATCACGCACTTTCCACCCGTTCTACAGACACACATCATCACGCACTTTCCACCCGTTCTACAGACACACGTCATCACGCACTTTCCACCCGTTCTACAGACACACATCATCATGCACTTTCCACCTGTTCTACAGACACACGTCATCACGCACTTTCCACCCATTCTACAGACATGTCATCACGCACTTTCTACCCCGTTCTACAGACACACGTCATCAAGCAGTTTCTACCCATTCTGTAGCCACACGTTCGCCACGTACCTTCTACCCTGTTCTACAGACACACGTCACCACGCACTTTCTACCCATTCTTCAGAGACATATCACCACACACTTTATATCCGTTCTGCAGACACACGTCACCACGCACTTTCTACCCTGTTCTATAGACACACATTGTTACGCACTTTCTACTCCATTCTCAAGACACACATCATCACACACTTTCTACCCGTTCTGCAGACACACTTCGCTACACACTTTCTACTTGGTTCGGCGCCCTTCGGTTCTGCTCCTGTATGAGCCTATCTGTCTTTCCTGAGGAAACTGATTCATCCTTCCCATACAAGCTTCTTCTCTCCCTGCCTCCCTGCTGATGCAGAGTGTATGAGTCCCTATTTCTAGCTACTCAGCAAGCCACTGTTTCTGTGCCTGCCACATGCATATGAATAGCTATGAGTCTGTTTGTGTCCGTATTTCCTCCCAACAATGCCCAGTCTCTGGGACCAGCAACACTAAGGTGAGCATGCATGGCAATGGTTCCCCAGTCATTCCCAAAGGGACCACCAGCTACGTTCCCAGATGAGTATGCACTGGGAAAGGGAGGGGTCATCACATCCCATGGCCTACAGGTATCAGTGGAGGGAGAACATGCCACAGGAGTCTCTGGCAAGTCAGCTGGGAGAGCACAATGCAAGATCCCGGGACTGTAGAGCCACAGAGAATCACGCGACATTAACAACAGCCCCTGATGTGCACAGGGTACTGTACGCCTGCTGACAGTGTGTTCAGAACTGCCCATCACAAGCTGGGTTCTGCCACCCACTCACTCCAGGGCTAAGGCCGAGTGCACCCATAAGACGGAGTTGTGCCTTGGGACCGAGCCTGCACAGGAGCAGGGGCACGAGCTGCAGGCATACACAGCCCAGACCCTCACGAGCTACTGCCAGGGCACCAGCAGCCCACCGAGCCCCTCTCTACAGCCACACAAGGGCCCCTGACGACCACAGATGGAAAAGGGGAAAGCCTGGGCACAGTTAACAGTGGGTCAACTGGGAATGCAGACAAACTCTGCCATCAGCCACTCTCAGGCCAGGACAACAGACACACACATGAAGCAGCCAGAGGTAGGCAGGTATGGAGACTAAGAGCACAGACTACCACCTGCCAAGACCAGTGCTGACTCCTAATATGGCACCGTCCTGGAGAAGACCAACCAATCACTAGGCAGCAAGGTAACTACAATGGACCCCTTGCAGCCTGGAAGGGCCAGCAGTTCACTTTTCCAAGAGCAGCCGTGCATTCTGCACCTGAGTGTTGGCCTCTCCTGGCCATAGGGTTTCAGCAGGCATCACTACCCAACGGTTGGCAGTAGGACCCACTGCACAGGGCCCCACATAATACTGTATCAGACCAGAGACACTCCCCAGCCTCGGAGGTGCAGAGCGGGCCCATGACTCTGAGGTCCCCCTCCCCCGCTATGTCTCATCCCAGAGTGAACTGAAGCTTAGCTGCTTCCTAGCATTCCTGACTCCTCATTCCTAAGGACCAGCAGGCAAGAAGAGGAGCCCCGCAAGAAGAAGGGGGCTCCAGCCATGACTCACGACGGGGTCCGATGGGAAGAGGCCTTTCCCACCAGGCAGAACAGGTGAAACCACCTCACAAGCAGCAGGAAAAACAAGACTTCCTTCTTGAGCTGGACAGTATCATGAAAAGGGTGAAGAAAGGCAGGAGGAAGGTGGCTGGCAAGATCAAACAGCTCCAATCTGCAGCTCCCAGCAAGATCAACACAGAAGGCGGGTGATTTCTACATTTCCTACTGAGGTACCCAGCTCATTTCATTGGGGCTGATTAGACAGTGGGTGCAGCCCACAGAGGGCAAGCACGGTGGGGAATCACCTCACCCAGGAAGCACAATGGGTCGGGGAACTCCCTCTTCCAGCCAAGGGAAGCCGTGAGGAATGGTGCATTCTGGTCCAAATACTATGCTTTTCCCACAGTCTTCGCAACCCACAGACCAGGAGATTCCCTTCAGTGCTTACACCACCAGGGCCCTGGGTTTCCAGCACAAAACTGGGCGACCATTTGGGCAGACACCGAGCTAGTTGCAGGAGTTTTTTTTCATACCCTAGTGGTGCCTGGAACGCCAGCGAGGCAGAACTGTTCATTCCCCTGGAAAGGGTGCTGAAGTCAGGGAGGCAAGTGGTCTAGCTCAGTGGATCCAACCCCCACAGAGCCCAGGAAGCTAAGATCCACTGGCTTGAAATTCTCGCTGCCAGCACAGTAGTCTGAAGTCGACCTGGGGTGCTCGAGCTTGGTGGGAGGAGGGACGTCCACCATTACTGAGGCTTGAGTAGGTGGGTTTTTCCCTCACAGTGTAAACAAAGCCGCCAGGAAGTTTAAACTGGGTGGAGCCCTCCAGAGCTGGGCAAAGCCGCTGTAGCCAGACTGCCTCTCTAGATTCCTCCTCTCTGAGCAGGGCATCTCTGAAAGAAAAGTATTAGCCCTAGTCAGGGGCTTATACATAAAACTCCCATCTCCCTGGGACAGAGCACCTAGGGGAAGGGGTGGCTATGGGCATAGCCTCAGCAGACTTAAACATCACCGCCTGCTGGCTCTGAAGAGATCAGTGGCTCTCCCAGCACAGCGCTCAAGCTCTGCTAAGGGACAGACTGCCTTCAAGTAGGTCCCTGACTCCCGTGCCTCCTGACTGGGTGTTTACCTCCCAGCAGGGGTCAACAGACACCTCATACAGGAGAGCTCCGGTTGACATCCGGAGGGTGCCCTTCTGGGACAAAGCTTCCAGAGGAAGGAACAGGCAGCAATCTTTGCTGTTCTGCAACCTCTGCTGGTGATATCCAGGCAAACAGGGTTTGGAGTGGACCTCCAGCAAACTCCAGCAGACCTGCAGCAGAGGGACCTGGCTTTTAGAAGGAAAAGTAACAGAAAGGAATAGCATCAACATCAACAAAAAGGACATCCACACAAAAACCCCATCCAAAGGTCACCAACATCAAAAACCAAAGGTAGATAAATCCACAAAGATGAGGAATAACCAGTGCAAAAAGGCTGAAAATTCCAAAAACCAGAATGCCTCCTCTCCTCCAAAGGATCACAACTCCTTGCCAGCAAGGGAACAAAGCTGGACGAAGAATGTGTTTGACAAACTGACAGAAGTAGGCTTCAGAAGGTGGGGAATAACAAATTCCTCTGAGCTAAAGGAGCATGTTCTAACTTAATGCAAGGAAGCTAAGAACCTTGAAAAAAGGTTAGAGGAATTGCTAACTAGAATAACCAGCTTAGAGAAGAACACAAATGACTTGACGGAGCTGAAAAACACAGCACGAGAACTTCATGAAATATACACAAGTATCAGTAGCTGAATCGATCAAGTGGAAGAAAGGATATCAGAGATTGAAGATCAACTTAATGAAATAAAGCATGAAGACAAGATTAGAGAAAAAAGAATGAAAAGGAACAAACAAAGCCTCCAAGAAATATGGGACTATGTGAAAAGCCCAAACCTACGTTTGACTGATGTACCTAAAGTGACGGGGAGAATGGAACCAAGTTGGAAAACAAACTTCAGGATATTATCCAGGAGAACTTCCCCAACCTAGCAAGACAGGCCAACATTCAAATTCAGGAAATACGGAGAACAGCACACTCCACGAGAAGAGCAACCCCAAGACGCAATCATCAGATTCACCAAGGTTGAAATGAAGGAAAAAATGTTAAGTGCAGCCAGAGAGAAAGGTCAGGTTACCCACAAAGGGAAGCCCATCAAACTAACAGCAGATCTCTCTGCAGATACCCTAAAAGCCAGAAGAGAGTGAGGGCCAATATTCAACATTCTTAAAGAAAAGAATTTTCAACCCAGAATTTCATATCCAGCCAAACTAAGCTTCATAAGCGAAGGAGAAACAAAATCCTTTACAGACAAGCAAATGCTGAGAGATTTTGTCACCACCAGGCCTTACAAGAGCTCCTGAAGGAAGCACTAAACATGGAAAGGAAAAACTGGTACCAGCCACTGCAAAAAGATGCCAAATTGTAAAGACCATCAACACTATCTATGAAGAAACTGCATCAACTAACGGGCAAAATAAGCAGCTAGCATCATAATGACAGGATCAAATTCACACATAACAATATTAACCTTAAATGTAAATGGGCTAAATGCCCCCAGTTAAAAGACACAGACTGGGCCGGGTGTGGTGGCTCGCACCTGTAATCCCAGCACCTTGGAAGGCCGTGGCAGGTGAATTACCTGAGGTCGGGAGTTCGAGACCAGCCTGACCAACATGGAGAAACCCCGTCTCTACTAAAAATACAAAATTAGCCAGGTGTGGTGGCACAGGCCTGTAATCCCAGCTACTCGGGAGGCTGAGGCAGGAGAATCGCTTGAACCCGGGAGGCAGAGGCTGCAGTGAGCCAAGACCACACCATTGCACTCCAGCCTGGACAACAAGAGCGAAACTCCATCTCAAAATAAATAAATAAAAAGACAGACTGCAAATTGGATAAAGAGTCAAGACCCATCAGTGTGCTGTATTCAGCAAACCCATCTCATGTACAAAGACTCAAAATAAAGGGATGGAGGAACATTTACCAAGCAAATGGAAAGCAAAAAAGAAGCAGGGGGTGCAATCCTAGTCTCTGATAAAACAGACTTTAAACCAACAAAGATCAAAAAAGACAAAGAAGGGCATTACATAATGGTAAAGGGATCAATGCAATAAGAAGAGCTGGCAGGGCGCAGTGGTTCATGCCTGTAATCCCAGCACTCTGGGAGGCCGAGACAGGTGGATCACGAGGTCAGGAGATCGAGACCATCCTGGCTAACACGCTGAAACCCCGTCTCTACTAAAAAATACAAAAAAAATTGGCTGGGCGTGGTGGCGGGCACCTGTAGTCCCAGCTACTTGGGAGGCTGAGGCAGGACAATGGCGTGAACCTGGGAGGCGGAGCTTGCAGTCAGCCAAGATCGCGCCACTGCTCTCCAACCTGGGCGACAGAGCAAGACTCCGTCTCAAAAAAAAAAAAAAAAAAAAAAAGAAGCGCTAACTATCCTAAATCTGTATGCCCCCAATAGAGGAGCACCCAGATTCATAAAGCAAGTTCTTAGAGACCTAGAAAGAGACTTACACTGCCACACAATAATAGTGGGAGACTTTAACACCCCACTGTCAATATTAGACAGATCGGGACAGAAAATTAACAATACTCAGGACTTGAATTCAGCTCTGGACCAGGCAGACCTAATAGACATCAAGAGAACTCTCCACCCCAAATCAACAGAATACACATTCTTCTCAGCACCACGTAGCACTTACTCTAAAATTGACCACATAATTGGAAGTAAAACACTCCTCAGCAAATGCCAAAGAACGGAAATCATAACAAACAATCTCTCAGACCAAAGTGCAATCAAATTAGAACTCAGGATGAAGAAACTCACTCAAAACCGCACAACTACATGGAAACTCAACAACCTGCTCCTGAATGACTACTGGGTAAATTACGAAATTAAGGCAGAAATAAAGAAGTTCTTTGAAACAAATGGGAACAAAGAGGTAATGTACCAGAATCTCTGGGACACAGCTAAAGCAGTGTTTAGAGGGAAATTTATAGCACTAAATGCCCATAACAGAAAGCTGGAAAGATCTGAAATTGATGCTCAAACATCACAATTGAAAGAACCAGAGAAGCAAGAGCAACGAAATTCAAAATGAATCCAGGAGCTGGTTTTTTGAAACGATTAACAAACTAGACTGCTAGCCACACTAATAAAGAAGAAAAGAGAGAAGAATCAAATAGACACAATAAAAAATGATAAAGGGGATATCATCATTGATCCCGCAGAAATACAAACTACCATCAGAGAATACTATAAACAACTCAGTGCAAATAAAACTAGAAAATCTAGAAGAAACAGATAAATTCCTGGACACATATACCCTCCCAAGACTAAACCAGGAAAAAGTCAAATCCCTGAATAGACCAATAACAAGTTCTGAAATTAAGGCAGTAATTAACAGCCTCCCAACCGAAAAAAGCCCAGGAACAGACGGATTCACAGTTGAATTCTACCAGAGGTACAAAGAGGAGCTGGTACCATTCCTTCTGAAACTATTCCAAACAACAGAAAAAGAGGGACTCTTCCCTAACTCATTTTATGAGGCCAGCATCATCGTGATACCAAAACCCGGCAGAGACACAACAAAAAAAAATTTCAGGCCAATATCCCTGATGAACATCGATGCAAAAATCCTCAATAAAATACTGGCAAACTGAATCCAGCAGCACATCAAAAAGTTTATCCACCACGATCAAGTTGGCTTCATACCAGGGATGCAAGGCTGGTTCAACATATGCAAATCAATAAACGTAATCCATCACATAAACAGAGCCAATGACAAAAAACCACATGATTATCTCAATAGATTCAGAAAAGGCCTTCGATAAAATTCAACACCCCTTCATACTAAAAACTCTCAATAAACTAGGTATTGATGGGACGTATCTCAAAATAATAACAGCTATTTAGACAAACCGACAGCCAACATCATACTGAATGGGCAAAAGCTGGAAGTATTCCCTTTGAAAACCGGTACAAGACAAGGATGCCCTCTCTCACCACTCCTATTCAACACAGTATTGGAAGTTCTGGCCAGGGCAATCAGGCAAGAGAAAGAAATAAAGAGTATTCAAATAGGAAGAAAGGAAGTCAAATTGTCTCTGTTTGCAGATGACATGATTGTATATTCAGAAAACCCCATCGTCTCAACCCAAAATCTCCTTAAGCTGATAAGCAACTTCAGCAAGTCTCAGGATACAAAATCAATGTGCAAAAATCACAAGCATTCCTATACACCAATAACAGATTAAGAGAGAGCCAAATCATGAGTGAACTCTCATTCACAACTGCTACAAAGAAAATAAAATACCTAGGAATACAACTTACAAGGGCTGTGAAGGACCTCTTCAAGGAGAACTACAAACCACTGCTCAAAGAAATAAGAGAGGAAACAAACAAATGGAAAAACATTCCATGCTCATGGATAGGAAGAATCAATATTGTGAAAATGGCCATACTTCCCAAAGTAATTTATAGATTCAATGCTATCCCCATCAAACTACCATTGACTTTCTTCACAGAATTTTAAAAAAACTACTTTAAATTTCATATGGAACCAAAAAAGAGCCCTCATAGCCAAGACAACCCTAAGCAAAAAAAAAAAAAAAAAAAAACGAAGCTGGAGGCATCATGCTACCTGACTTCAAACTATACTACAAGGCTATAGTAACCAAAACAGCATGGTACTGGTACCAAAACAGATATATAGACCAATGGAACAGAACAGAGGCCTCAGAAATAATGCCACACACCTACAACCATCTGATCTTTGACAAATCTGACAAAAACAAGCAATGGGGAAAGGATTCCCTATTTAACAGTGTTGGGAAAACTGTCTAGCCATATGCGGAAAACTGAATTTGGATCCCTTCCTTACACCTTATACAAAAATTAACTCAAGACAGATTAAAGACTTAATTAAATGTAAGACCTAAAACCATAAAAACCTAGAAGAAAACCTAGGCAGTACCATTCAGGACACAGGCATGGGCAAAGACTTCAAGACTAAAAGAGCAAAAGCAATGGCAACAAAAGCCAAAACTGACAAATGGATCTAATTAAAATAAAGAGCTTCTGCACAGCAAAAGAAACTATCATCAGAGTGAACAGGCAACCTACAGAAGGGAAGAAAATTTTTGCAATCTATCCAACTGACAAAGGGCTAATATCCAGAATCTACAAGGAACTTAAAACAAATTTACCAAAAAAAAAAAAAAAAAAAAATCAAAAAGTGGGCAAAGGATTTGAATGGACGCACTTCTCAAAAGAAGACATATATGCGGCCGACAAACATAAGAAAAAAAGCTCATCATCACTGGTCATTAGAGAAATGAAAATCAAAACCACAATGAGATACCATCTCATGACAGTTAGAATGGCGATCATTAAAGTCAGGCAACAACAGATGCTAGAGAGGATATGGAGAAATGGAACACTTTTACACAGCTGGTGGGAGTGTTAATTAGTTCAACCATTGTGGAAGACAGTGTGGCGATTCCTCAAGGATCTATAAACTGAAATACCATTTGACCCAGCAATCCCATTACTGGGTATATACCCAAAGGATTATAAATCATCCTACTATAGGCCGGGCACGGTGGCTCACAACTGTAATCCCAGCACTTTGGGAGGCTGAGGCGGGTGGATCATGAGGTCAAGAGATCGAGACCATCCTGGCTAACACGGTGAAACCCCGTCTCTACTAAAAAAAAAAAATACAAAAAAATTAGCTGGGCATGGTGGTGGGCACCTGTAGTCCCAGCTACTTGGGAGGCTGAGGCAGGAGAATGGTGTGAACCCGGGAGGTGGAGCTTGCAGTGAGCTGAGACTGTGCCACTGCACTCCAGCCTGGGCAGCAGAGTGAGACTCTGTCTCGAAAAAAATAATAAAATAAAAAAAAGTAAATCATCCTACTATAAAGACACATGCACACGTATGTTTACTGCAGCACTATTCACAATGGCAAAGACTTGGAACCAACCTAAATGCCCATCTGGATAAAGAAAATGTGGCACATATACACCATGGAATACTATGCAGCCATTAAAAAAAAGGATGAGTTCATATCCTTTGCAAGGACATGGATGAAGCTGGAAGCCATCATTCTCAGCAAACTAACACAGGAACAGAAAACCAAACACCGCATGTTCTTACTCATAAGTGGGAGTTGAACAATGAGAACACACGGACACAGGGAGGGGAACATCACACACCTGTCGGGGGGTGGGAGGGCTAGGAGAGGGAGAGCATTAGGGAAAACGCCTAATGTAGAGGATGGGTTGATGGGTGCAGCAAACCACCATGGCACGTGTATACCTATGTAACAAACCTGCAGGTTGTGCACAAGTATCCCAGAACAGGGAAGGGGAGGGGAGTGGGGGGAGGGGGCAGGGAAGGGGAGGGGAGTGGGGGGAGGGGAGTGGGGGAAGGGGAGGGGAGTGGGGGAGGGGAGTGGGGAGATGGGAGTGGGGGGGGAGGGGGAGGAGTGAAGGGAAGGGAAGCCAGAAAGGACAGGGCAGTGGAGAGGGTGCTGCAGTCATGAAGGCATCAAACAAGGAAAGCCTATTCTACCTTAAATGCAAGAAGAATAGAAACGAATCTGAAAACAGGAGTCAGCAATAGCCTTGACTTAGGGCTAACCTCAGTTAAGATGAAGGAAGCAAGTTTCACAGCACTACAGTGTTTCTGGCTGTAAGATGGAATAGTTACCACAGAAGAAGAGTTGGGAAGGAAAGTTAAGTCCAGGGATGAAAAATTAGTTCAAGGTCACCCGTGAGGAAGCGAGGTGACTTAAGAACATTCTAACAGCAAGGTAACCCAGTTCTAAGCTTTTTGTCGTTATTCTTTCTTATTGTAAAATAGTGCACGCACACACAGAGAGAGAAACTGCATAAAACGTACATAGAGCTTGACAAATAATTATAAAGCAAAATCGAGGTAACCACCACTCGGGTCCAGAAGAGAAAGTCACGGGTCTGCCAGGAGCACCCAACGTGCCCAATGAACCACTGCCTTTTAGCCCCAGACACACACACACACACACGCTCACACATGCACACACACGCATGCACACACATACACACCCCCTGGAAAACACAGTGGAGCTCTGCCTGCTCTCCAGCCTGTCCATGTGATTCTGTGCCTTCATTATCAGGAGAATCTTCCTTGTAGCTGCTCGTGGCTGTGGCTCACACACACCCAGGGCTGCACAGCATCTTGTGGCATGGACATAGAACACTGCACCACTCTGACTGCAGAGGCACATCTGGGAGCTTCTTTTTAGCTGTTATGAGCAGAGCTGCTCTGAGCATCCTTTCCCTGTGTCCTGATGCACAAGTACCAAGTTTCCCTGAGGATACACCACAGGAATGGGCTTGCTGAGCCAAAGGGCAGGCAACCCACAGGACTGGGTAACACTGAAGAGCTTCAGAGGCTGCTCCAAGTAAAACAGTGACTCCAAGTAACACTCTCGCCAGCAGTGGTGAAAGGTGCACTCTCAGACACTGCCCCACACCTGGGCCCGTTCCAACGTTTTGCCACAAATATATCTGGAGGATATATACCCGCACAGATGCTCCTCAGCTTACAATGGGGTCATGCCCCAATAAACCCATCGTAAACTGAAAATATCAGTAAGTAGAAAACACACTGAATACACTTAACCTAGCAAACATCACAGCTTAGCCTAGGCGCCTTCAGTGTGCTCAGAACACTTACACTAGCCTACAGCCGGGCGAAATCTAACACACAGCCTGTTTTAGAATAAAGTGCTGAGTATCTCGTGTAATTTACTGAATGCTGTACTGACAGTGAAAAACAAAATGGTTGTAGGGCACAGGAAACACGGTTTCCACTGAACGTGCATCGCTTTTGCACCACGGTGAAGCTGAAAAATCTTAAGCATTGCAAGCTGCAGGCCGTCTGGGTGTCATCTTTAATTTGCATATCCTTGATGACTGAGGCCAAGCAGCTTTTCACAAATCAGTTAGGCACATGGGGTCCCACTCTCATCAAGAATCTGTTCTTTTGCCTTTTTTTCCTGTTGGCTCTTCTTTTTTCTTATGGCTATGAATGAGCTCTTTATATATTCTGGATACTAGTTATTTATCTACCACATACATTGCAAGTACCTTTTCCCCCTCTATAGTTATTAATAGTTGGGGTTTTTTAAAATTATCTTTATCATCTTTCAAGGAAAAGAAGGTCCAAACTTTAATGTTGCTGAATTTGCAATCTTTTCCTTTGTGGCTAATATTTTCATATTCTTTGTAAGAAATAATTTCTTAATCCAAGGTTATGAAGATATTCCTCTATATTATCTCCTTAAAACTTTCTAGATTGTCAAGCCTGACAGATTATTTTAATCTGTAGTAAACATTTTTTTTTTTTCAGTTTGTTCATTCTGGAGGTGAGAACAGCCATCCTGGAACTTTTAGAGTTGTGCAATTTTTAGAGCTGTGATTCGTAACCGAATAGTTCATCAAAATCACTTAGAAAGCCTTTCCCCAAACTCTCACGCCCGTCCCTGGGATTCTGACTCCACAGGCTCTTCCAAGAACTCTGCTGTGCGAGAAACATGGAACCACTGGAGAGTGCTTTCTGATACTCTAGGCTCTCAAGGAAACCATTGCCAACCTGGGGAATATCTGTCACTCACCGTCTTTCAGCTCCTGAACATCCCTGGGCTGAACAAAATCTGGCTTGACATTCTCGAACCACCAAAAAAGCTCCGCAATAAAAACCATAACATTCGGCTAAAAGACAAAAACAAAAAACCAAAGTATGATAAGCAGTTTATTCACACATGGTTTTAAAACTGCATGCCAAATAATTCGTTATTACCTTCAACACTAATGGCGCATACAGCATATCTTCCAAGGTGAGATAAAAACATTTATTAAGATATTCATTGGAGAATTCTCTCAGAAGCCGAATATTATACAGACTGTCGGCCATCGACGTTACCTCCTTTAAGCATATATCTAATAGACAAAAAGAAAATCACAATTTATTGTAAAGGTATTCTGCTTCGAGAGAGAGAGAAGCATTCTAAAATGAAAACCATTTTACATAAAGGTAGTAATGAAGATAATGACATTGAGAGATGTAGGGAGTATAGGATGTACAACAAGTAACACTAAGTATAAAAAGAAAACACTCAAGACAACTCCAGGAACCTCTCAAGTCTGAATTTGATGGTGAACATCCAGAAAGCATAATAGAAATCGCTCAGATCTCAAGAGTGGGCTTCCAAAACAAACAGCAACAATCACCTTTCACTTTACAGCAGAGCCATGCTGCACGTAGCGAGTAAATGTTGAGCCGAGTTTCTTCCGCCCATCAGAAACCCTCTGCACAAGGTTTCCGTGTTTGTAAAGGGCAGGGGGAAGGGAAATGAATAAAACGTAAAGCATCAGGCTCATCCACGCCCACTCAGTGATAACACAGGAATGTGACTAATCACAAAGATCAAGTGACAATGCATAGCCCAAGTCTCTTTCCATGAAGAGGTGGAGACTGGTGGCTATAGCATCTGCAGGGCAACTTTCCATTGCACGTGACTTTGCAGACCCTCCATGGAGGAAGCACCAGTATGGGCAACAAGTCACAGGACCAAAGAGCAGGCCTCCCCCTAGTCTAGGCACCCTGGTGTGGAGTGGGGGGTGGCCCTCAGACAAAGAGCCCTGCGGAGAGCACGGTGCAGCTCAGGACTCCGTGAGAAGTGACTTGACTTTATTTTGCCTGTAAATATATACATAGAGAAAAAATAGAATTTCAGAAATAACTTTTTACATAAATTTTATTTCTAAGGAAAAAACCATTTTCAAGGGTTTAGAAGTACGTACAAACTGGAGCCACAGCATCCAGAGTCGTTCATGAACTGCCCTCCACAGTCACCTAAGCAGCATTCATTCTCAAAAGAAAACTTTAAAGCTGAGGAACTGTGCACACTCACACTGCTAAGGATGTTTCCTTTTGTACAGTTCTGACCATCAAATGTTAACGTCTTATAGGCTTCAGATCTTTTCTTTTTTAGAAATAAAACAGCCGAAGTCATCTCCATCTCCAAAGGGAACCATTCTCCCAACACTGCCACAAACCCTTTCCACTCCTCCTGAGTATTCTACACACTGTCTGCATCCACAAGTAACACAAACAGTGTTGTCTCAGCCTTGAGAAACTTACATTCATGGTATCAAGCTATGCCTCATTTTAGCAGCCAGTTTTTGCCCCAAAACTCAGTATGATGTTTTCAAACAGATCTATGTTGATACGGAGAGATTTCCGTCACTCATCTTGACCGCTATATGGTCCTCCACGATTTCTCACAATTATGACAAATGCTGCCATCACAAAGCTTGCGTGTGCTGTCTATGCGTGTACAGACGGGTGTTGCCCAGGCATACTCTGAGAGGGGACTCGCTGGGCCACGAGCTAGGCACGCCCTCCTGTGTCACCTGGCAACGCCCTTCTGCCTGGTTGTGCCTCGCTCCAGTCCCACCCACAGCACTCCACAGCTTGCTCCTTCCCACCTGCACCGCAGCATGACCGACCTGTCCATGTCTGCCAGGCGGAGGGGCGTGAACACCTCCTTCTCAAACAGCATGCCTCTGATGACTGCTGTGGCTTTACTTTTTCATGGTTACTGGTCATGAAGGGTCCTCTCCTGTGGACCCTGTCCATATCTGCCTTGGGCTGTGCATCTTTTTCTTACCGATTCTAGAATTCTTTCTGGATTGTGGTTACGAAAGGACTGGATGACAGTCCTTCATCAGGTCACGTGTGCTGCAAATATTTTCAATGGGTACAGTTTATCATTTCATTTTGTTTATGATGTTCTTTTGTCACAGGAAAGTTTTACATTTTGATATGGTTACATTTAACAATCTTTTCTATTTGTGCTTTTTATAATTTTGGCAATCCATCTCTACACGAACATCATAAAAGTATTTGCCTTTATCTTCTCAAAATTCTTAAATTTTACTTTTCAGGTTTGCATCTTTACTCCGAGGAAGGGGTATTTCTGGCTCAGGTGGGGTGAGGTTTTACGGCACTTTCCCATAGAGATGTCTATGCCGCCATGTTCTTGACCAGCCAGCGCGGCTCCCTCGGTGAGGCCACCCCAAAGGCACCAGATTCCCTGCAAAGCATCTCTTTTCTCAGTTCTACATGTGGTTTATTCATCTGGTCCATGTGACTGCCCCGGAACCAAAACCACACTGTTTTTGGTAATGCAAAGTTAAGCAAAATTTGGTATTTGTAGGGCACATACCCTGCACATTCTTATTCTTCAAAACTACTCAGCTAAAATCTGGGACAATTTAAGCAACAAAATAAATAATGAAAGTAATGAATTATGACCTATTGAATAAAGTAAGATCCATGAGGCCATCCGGATATAAACAAACACATGAATAAAGAAGCAAGCAAGTGGGGCAAACGCTGACAAAATGGAAAGATGCACTGAGGCTGGAAGCCATCCACACGTGGAGAGACCAGCAGGTGAGAGTCTGATGAGAAACGTATTCACAGTCCAAAGCCTCTCCCCACAAATTACTAATGCATTCTAAAGCAAAAACAGCAAGCTTAGAAGTGGGGAAGGCCAGCACATGCCACCTGCACCAAGGGGTGAAGCTGGAGTCACCAATACGGAGATGTCCCAGTACCTTGCCCCTGAGGTGACACGCTGGGAGGACACACCGCAAGGAAACTCCAGACAAACACACCAAGGGCCACTACTCACAACCTTACTCTTCGAAAACATCAAGAGTCAAGAGAGGTAAAGGCTGGAAACGACTCCAGATGAAGGGAAACTATGAGGGGACGCTGGGCCAAGCAGGTGCTCCTGGGTAGTTGAGCGAGTCAGGACCAGGCTGGGGATCTGTGTGCCAACGTTAGCTTTCCCAACTTTTGCTGTGTTACTCTCAAATGGTTGAGAGAGACACAGAAATAACACAATCCAAGAGAATTTCTGCATTGCCTTGTTAATATCTGTGAAGACAAAAGTATTTACTGGACTGGCGACAAGTTTTCAGAACAATCTGGAGAAATCACAAGTTTTAATACTGACTGGGGATCTAAGTACACTTGTTTCAGTCTTCTCCCAAGAGAAATAGAAAAGCCGATGGATTTTCTTCGCCTCTCTTCTGCTGCACTTACTCCCAAATGCCTCCCAGTTCTCACATGACAAGAGAATGCTCATAGGGAGTGGGCACTGCAGTGCAGGGCAGGGGCACAGGGCAGCCCTGGCTACGGCTCCCACTACCTTCCTCTTGCCAGGCTCAGAGAACCCGCTCCGTCAGGACACAAAGGCACCGCTTCTCCTGGGCCTTCAATGGAACTGCACCTGCCACAGGTGGGGTCAACAGCCTATGAGGTCCAATCAAGTCCCTATGAGGCCCAGAGCCACGATCAGAAGGGGGCAGTGACTGCCCACAAGTGATTCCCTGCCCTTACTGAGATGACTGTAGAGAATCTGTTCAATTTGCGCTAATATTTTACATAGGATTTTCAATCCATACTAACATGGAAAGCCAGCCTAGAATTTCCTCTCATAGCCTACTCAGTGTCAGGGAATAATCCCCTTTTGGGCCACTCCATCTTTTCCTATTATCTGGGACACTTGACATAACACAGGAGCTGACAATTCCTTGAGAGTCTGGTGAAATGCCCCAGGAAGAAGTTGGTCCCTGTGGATGTATGTGTTGACTCCTGAGTCCGTTTCCTTTGTAGTTATGGGTCTATTTAGACTGCCCACCACTTTTGGCTTCAAAGAAGATTGCTCATTTTGTCTAACATTTCAAACACATATGGCACACAAATATTCTCAGTATTTTTATTTCAGTAGCTGCTATACCTGAATTCTTGATCAGTCTTTCCAGATTATCTATTTTATTAATTCTTTAAAACAATAAGCTTTTAGTTTTACATATTCTCTAGAACTTTGGAATTTTTTCTACTTTATTCACTTTTTGCTGTTAAATTTGCCAAAACTTTTTTTTTTTTGAGAGCAGGTCTCACTCTGTCATCTGGAGTGCAGTGGCACAATCACAGCTCATTGTGGCCTCAGCCTCCTGAGCTCAAGTGATCCTCCTGTCTCAGCTTCCTGAGTATCTGGGACTACAGGTGCACATCACCAGGCCAAGCTAACTTTTTAATTTTTGGGGTCTCATTAGGTTGCCCAGGCTGGTCTTGAACTCCTGGGCTCAAATGATCCCCCCGCCTCAGCCTCCCAAAGTGCTAGAATTACAGGCATGAGCTACCACACCCAGCAAATTTGCCAATTTTTGTTAACTTTTATTTTAGGTTTGGGAGGGTACACGTGAAGCCTTGTTACATAGGTAACCTCATGCCACGGGGGTTTGTTGTACAAATTATTTCATCACCCAGGAATTAAGTCCAGTACCCAACAGTTATCTTTTCTGCTCCTCTCCCTCCTCCCACCCTCCACCCTCAAGGAGACCCCAGTGTCTGTGTTTCCTTCTTTGTGTTCTTAAGTTCTTATCATTTAGCTCCCACTTTTTTTTTTTGAGATGGAGCTTCACTCTGTCACCCAGGCTGGAGTGCAGTGGCGTGATCTCAGCTCACTGCAACCTCCACCTCCTGGGTTGAAGCAATTTTCCTGCCTGAGCCTCCCGAGTAGCTGAGACTACAGGTGTGCACCACCACCCCCGGCCAATTTTTGTATTTTTAGTAGAGACAGGGTTTCACCTTGTTGGCCAGGCTAGTCTTGAACTCCTGACCTCTGGTGATCCACCCACCTTGGCCTCCCAAAGGGCTGGGATTACAGGCGTGAGCCACTGCGCCCGGTCTTAGCTCCCACTTGTTAAGTGAGAACACGCAGTATTTGGTTTTCTGTTCCTCTGTTAGTTTGCTAAGGATAATGGCTTCCAGCTCCATCCACATTCCTGCAAAAGACATGATCTCATCCTTTTCTATTGCTGCATGCCAAAATTTTAAAATTTGTATTTTACTTTAAGAAGCTGGCTGGGCTCATGCCTGTAATCCCAGCACTTTCAGAGGCCAAGGCGGGCAGATTACCTGAGGTCAGGAGTTCGAGACCAGCCTGGCCAACATGGCGAAACCCCATCTCTACTAAAAATATTAAAAAATTGGCCAGGTGTGATGGTGCGTGACTGTAGTCCCAGCTACTTGGGAGGCTGAGACACAAGAATTGCTTGAATCCAGGTGGTGGCAGAGGCTGCAGTGAGCAGAGATCGGGCCACTGCACTCCAGCCTGGGTGACTAAGGGAGACTTCATCTCAATTTAAAAAAAAAAAAAAAAAAAAAAGGCCGGGTGCGGTGGCTCACGCCTGTAATCCCAGCACTTTGGGAGGCCGAGGCGGGCGGATCACAAGGTCAGGAGATCAAGACCATCCTGGCTAACACGGTGAAACCCTGTCTCTACTAAAAATACAAAAAATTAGCCGGGCGCGGTGGCGGGCGCCTGTGGTCCCAGCTACTCGGTAGGCTGAGGCAGGAGAATGGCGTGAACCTGGGAGGTGGAGCTTGCAGTGAGCCGAGATCGTACCACTGCACTCCAGCATAGGCAAGAGAGTGAGACTCCAGTCTCAAAAAACACAAAAAAATAAAACAAAAACAAAAAAGCCAAACTATTTGTTTTGAAAAGCTTAAGAGAACTAGGTCTCTGCCTATATTAGTCCATCTTCACACTGCTGATAAAGACATACCTGAGACTGGGCAATTTACAAAAGAAAGCAGTTTATTGGACTTACAGTTCCACATGGCTGGGGAGGCCTCACCATCATGGCGGAAGATGAAAAGCACGTGTCACATGACGGCGGCAAGAGAGAGAATGAGAGCCAAGCTAAATGGGTTTCCCCTTATTAAACCATCAGATCTCATGAGATTTATTCACTACCACGAGAACAGTATGGGGGAAACTGCCCCTGTGATTCAATTATCTCCCACCAGGTCCCTCCCACAGCACATGGGAATTATGGGAGTACAATTCAAGAAGAGATTTAGGTAGGGACACAGAGCCAAACCTTATCACTGCCCATTCCACTCCTTCTGCCTGTGGCCTCGGTAAGAGAACACGCAGCCCCATCCCCTACCCTATGACTAAGAGGCTACAGCCCACTGTCACAACAGACAAGCACAGTGCAGGTGGTCCTCTGTGTGCCTCCCCAGCCTCTCTCCCCAGTGGCCACACAGCAGGATGTGTGATTAAACCCAGACTGAGTCTCTATACACCATAACTATGTAACCATCTTCCACAGCTGGGTTACACAGTGTCTCTACTTACACTCCTTGCACAACTCTTCATTTCTCCTGGATTTAATACTTGGCTCAGTTATTCACCTGTTATTGCCTCTGAGCCGGACAGGCCAACTGCCTCCTCCTGGTCTGTGCCTTTGTCCCACGCTCCTGGCCCATCCATGGGAAGGCTGGCACTGTGGATTTCAGCCTGAGCCTCCCTCCACCTCCTCTTCAGGATGGTGTGCGTGCACACACTCCCCAGCACTGGGAAGGCACCTCCCAGTCATCTTCCTTCCAGGACTGTGGCTGAGGAATCTGGTGTCATTGGGGCTGCCTGCTTGTGTGTAACCTGCTTGGTCTCTCCACAGTTATTTGGGATCTCCTCTTTCCCAGGGGTTCCGGAGCTCATCATGGTAGGCTTTGCCATGGCCCTTCTTCAGGAATCCTGCTGGCCACCCACTGGGTCCTTCCTACTTACCACGCATGTCCTTGGGACATTTTTCTACATTTTGTGTTGACTAAGTTCTTTTCTCCTATTTTCTCTTCTCTTTCTTCGTAGACTGATCCTGATTTTTCCATCTTTTTTCCCTTATTTCCCATCTCTTTGCTTTTCTGGTTCTACTTTCTGGGAGATTTCTTCAACTGTCCTCTAGCAGTTCAGTGGCTCTCCCATCTTAGCAACCAAATATTTCCTTCCCAAGAACTGGTTTTTGGCGGCTCTTTAGAATTTGCCAGAGAATTCTAAACAAGCTGTAGCACTCCAACAGCTGTTCTGAGTCTGATGATTCTGTACACAGTTATGTGCCACTATCTTGCAGACATTGTTTCCCAGAGTCCTGTTGTTGGTTCTGAGGTCCAAACCCTCTCATCTCTAACATTTTCTCCTGCTCACCTGCACCATCTCTGTTGATTTGGGTTCTCATTCAGGTCAGTGGCTTTCCTCAAATGTCAGGAATCTTTGGCTGCTGCTCCTAGTAAAGAGTGAGTCACTGTGAGTCTTTTTCCTGAGGCCGATTTCTGCAGAGAAGAATCCTTCCCTGTGTTGCATGTGGGGCAGGTCTGCATTATGGAGTCAAGTGAGAGAGACGGTGGCTTCTGGGGCAGGGTGCACCAGGAGGAGAACCAGTCTCACCTTCGGGTATGAAGAATTTTACACAAAAGCCCTGATTTCAGTGTCACCTCATCCCTACCTGCACCTGGGGTCTGAGGCTAGAGCCTATCTGGCTCAGTTCTCCTCAAGAGTGTCCCGCATCTACTGAGGGCATGTGAGGAGAAAGGCATCAGAAGCAAAGTGAACCTGAGCTCTCATTGCTGGAGACCAACTTTCAAGGAATCCACCCTCAGGCACTGCTGTCCACCAGCATCCTTGGTGCTCCGTTCTGCTGTCCAGGGTCCTATAGGATGAGCCTCTTTGCGTCCCCAGCTTGACACCCACCCCTCCTCCACTTTGCCTTTTTTTTTTTTTTAATTACTTCTCCATTAGAGGACTTGTTCAGAGTCCAGATATATCTTAGTTTCATCCAAAATGGAATCTGTAATTCAGTTCCTTATTCTCCTTGTTTGGGAGTGACTTCTGACTAACAGAAATGGATAGAAAACTGCCCTTCATTTCTCCTTCCTTCAACTTTTTTTGGGTTTACTTCTACGTTCTTTTTCTAGTAACAAATACCTACTCAACACCAACTGGCCCCAGACACTATTTCAGATGACTGGGATACATCAGTGAGCAAAACAGGTAAAACCCTGCCCCTGTTGAGCTCACACTAGCAAGTCCCACTACTCTTTCCCCTATGATCCATGAAATATTTAAATGCCTTCTCTGGCTTCCAGGCACTCAATCTTTAAGATTTTAGAATAACTGTGCATTTGTCAGGGTTCTCCAGACAGACAGAACCAGTAGGACATACGAGAAGGGATTTAATCAGAGAAATCTGCTCACATGATCACAAAGACAGAGAAATCCCACAACAGGCCATCTGCAAGCTAGTGAATCAGAGGTGGCAGCATGCCTGGGTCCAAGTCTGGAAGCCTCAGAGCCAGCAAAGCTGATGGTGCAGCCCCCAGGCCAAGGCCAAAGGCCTAAAATCCCCCAGGAAGCCATGGTGCAAGTCCCAGAGTCTAAAACCCAAAAAACCTGGAGTCTGATGTCCAAGGACAGGAAGAGAGAAGGTGCCCCACTCAGTAAGGGAGAGAGAGCAGAGAGCAGAGAGGGAGAGTCCCCCTCTTCTGCCCACATTGAAGGCAGGTCTTCCCTTCTCAAGCCACTGACTCACACCCATCTCCCCTGGAAACACCCTCAGAGACACACCCAGAAACAATGCTTCACCAGTCACCTAGGCTTCTCTCAATCCAGTCAAATTCACACCTGAAATGAACCATCATTAATTCACAGGCAGGAAAAGAAGCTGCATCTTCTAGTTGGTGAGTTCTCACTTTACTGCACTGTGGAGAATGTACTGATTCTTTGGGATCTGCTGCAGTCTCACCTGTGGCCTTAATCGACTGCACGTTTTATAAAGGCTCCCATGTTTGTCTTTACTGTCTGTAAGTGAGCAGATTCCACAGTGGCTGGTGCACTGGATGAAGCCTGAAGTCCTCTATGGCCTTACTAAATGATCTGCTTTATCAATCAGTTTCTGTTACATAAGTCAGCAATGTGGCTCTGTCCATTTCTCCTTGTAACTCTGCCATTTTGTTTGTTTGTTTGTTTGAGACAGTCTCGCTCTGTCACCCAGGCTGGAGTGCAGTGGCACGATCTCGGCTCACTGCAAGCTCCACCTCCTGGGTTCACGCCATTCTCCTGCCTCAGCCTCCCGAGTAGCTGAGACTACAGGTGCCCGCCACCACATCCAGCTAATTTCTTGTGTTTTTAGTAGAGACGGGGTTTCACCATGTTAGCCAGGATGGTCTTGATCTCCCAACCTCGTGATCTACCCACCTCGGCCTCCCAAAGTGCTGGGATTACAGGGGTGAGCCACCGCGCCTGGCCGTAACTCTGCCATTTTTTAAAATCCATTTTGATGTTCTGCTCTTAGATAATGAGCTTCAATACAGTCACACCTTCCTGTAAACTGTTCACATGATCATAATTGGCAATGACCCTGTATCCTTAGCAATTCACTCTGTCTTAAGATCCCCAACAGACATACAGGGCAGGCTGCACACAATGAAGGAAAAGTCAAATTTACGAACTAGAAGGTGGACTTCAGAAAGCATCCAGGGCCAGGTGCGGTGGCTCACGTATGGAATCCCAGCACTTTGGGAGGCCAAGGCAAGCAGATCGCTTGAACCCAGGAGTTCGAGACCAGCCCAGGCAACATGGCAAAACCCTATCTCCACAAAAAAAAAAAAAATAAAAAAATACAAAAGTTAGCCAGGCATGGTCGTACGTGCCTGTAGTCCCAGCTACTCAGGAGGTTGAGATGGGATAATCACCTGAGCCTGAGAAGTCCAGAGAAGTCAAGGCTGCAGTGAACCATGATCACACCACTGCACTCCAGCCTGGGTGACAGAGTGAGACCTTGTCTCCATAAAAAATAAATAAATAAAATAAAAAGCATCCAGAACTCAGCAGGGAGAATGTAAGAGATGAACACATAAAAGAAGGTCCCATGGCCAGGCGCGGTGGCTCACACCTGTAATCCCAGCACTTTGGGAGGCCAAGGCAGGTGGATCACCTGAGGTCAGGAGTTCCAGACCGGCCTGGCCAACATGGTGAAACCCCATCTCTACTAAAAGTACAAAAATTAGCTGGGTGTGGTGGTGGACACCTGTAATCCCAGCTACTCGGGAGGCTGAGGTGGGAGAATCGCTTGAACCTGGGAAGTGGAGGTTGCAGTGAGCCAAGATCACGCAGTTGCATTCCAGCCTGGGTGACAGAGCAAGACTCTGCCTCAAAAAAAAAAAAAAAAAAAAAAAAGTGCCAAGACAAGACCTGGAGGATGAAGAAAATCACAGCACATCTGAAGACCCCAACCCCTCCGCCGTCTTCTTTAAGGTGTCTAGTTCTCTTTTTAATGTCCATCATTTTAAATATCCTGTTATCTTTCACCCATGTCTTGGTGCCAAATCAGCTGCAGTGCCTGCTTTCCCTGCGTGGTTTCTGATTTTTCAAAGAGTTTGTCTTCCAGCAGGGGTTCTCCTCAGTGGGCAGCCAGCATGCCCTGGCTCATGGAAATGTCCCTGCACAGCCAAGCTGTGCTTTATCCCTGCCAGGGACCATGAGTTTCACTAGTTCTAGACTACTTGTTGCACTAACATTCAACCAGTATTCCCACGCCACATGGGTGATACACATCTCAACCTCCCTCTGATCCACCGTGTACCCAAGAGCTGCATTTCCTCCTTAAAGAGCTTCTCCTCCACATCCCCAGAGCCAAGGGCATCTGTCAGGCCTCCTCAGTTCACTCCTGGGCAGTAGGTGGAGTTTTCTAGTCCTCTTCCCAAAAGGTCCCAGTCACAGCTCCTGACAGCACATAGGCCCAGGGCCAAACGAACATGGAAACTCAGGCCCAAGGGGCCCCAGGGCACCTACCTGTCCTCCACTCATGAGTTTTCACTCAATGACAGAGACCGTCTCCTGGTACCTGAGGCTCTCTCCTTCTTCCTTTTTTTTTTTTTTTCCCCCCGAGACAGAGTCTCGCTCTGTTGCCCAGGCTGGAATTCTCTGGTGCAATCTCGGCTCACCACAATGTCTGCCTCCCAGGTTCAGACAATTCTCCTGTTTCAGCCTCCCAAGTAGCTGGGACTACAGGCACGCGCCACCACACCTGGCTAATTTTTAGTAGAGACAGGGTTTCGCCATGTTGGTCAGGCTGGTCTCTAACTCCTAACCTCAGGTGATCTACCGCCTCGGCCTTCCAAAGTGCTGGGATTACAGGCATGAGCCACCATATCCAGCCTGTTCCTTTAAGTGCAGCTATATATTTGTGAAACTATTTTATCTAAGAAACTATATTTTCTAGCATTTTTACGCCCAGTAGGAACAAGATCAATGCCAGCTCAATCCACCCAGCACCTGAAGTCTGACACAAATGTTTCCATATTAGTTTGGGGGGCACCTCTTGGCCTTGTATCTGCCTACTTCAGAATGAATGGGGCTTAGCAAAACCTAAATCAGAATTCATGCTCCCCCAGCCCCTGTCCAGACACCCACTGTCGTGCTGGTGACAGTCACTCTCTCTCTCTCCTCGTTGTTAGGGTGTAAACACCTGGAGGGAGATACACTGTCATCGGAACGTCCCCAACACGAAGCGTGTGGCAGTTGTTCATAAATGGTTCATAAACAGATTCAATTTTGCATTAATTTTCCCATCCTCAAACTAAGTTCTAGGTGATTTAAATCAATTGAGGAAGGATTTACAAAAGCTACCCATTCTGAGACATAGATAAAGTCACAAATACTTTCACACATTACTCAGATACTTTGAAGTACCATTTCTCTCTCCCTCTCCACCACCCCCCGCCCACCCCACCCCGGGCTAAGGTGATCCTCTCACCTTAGCCTCCCGAGTGGCTGGGACCACAGGCGTGTGCCACCACACCCAGCTAATTTCAAAGTGCAGTTTTGTCATCAGATAAAATGCAGGTTAAGTATGAGCACATCATCCCCCAATTTTTTCATCTATAGGCTAACATCCCAATTTATATTAAGGATTCCATTTTCTTTCTCTTTTTTTTTTTTAATATATATGTGGATCAATGTACACTATAATTTTCCTTTAAGCCTTTTCGGATCTGTTTCAGGGAAGCATTCTCCACTCACCATCCAGTTTCATCTGCTCTGGGCAATAATAGTGAATCACAGCTAAGAGAGCAGCACCATCACTGCCGTCTCTCATCAAATCCTCCAACAACGGGAAGTAGGGTGACTGCCTAGCAGAAAGGTGCTCTCGTCGATAGCGGACCTGTAGTTGATAAAAGGAAAACGGTCTCTGCATGTGATGTCTCTTCACTACCATATATGTTACAGGCACACTGTTAGATCGAGAATTAACATAACGCCTAACAGACAACATGGAGAACAATTGCAATAATCTAGAAAGAGTTAGAAACGTCTGGATTACGTACTTTGCCTGGAACATATATGTCAAGATCCAAGGAGCTGGGCTTCATGGCTACACTGGGTAACAGCAACTACTTGCTAGCAATACCAGAGCCAGTCTACTCTAAACTGACCTGGAAGCAGAGGCTGCCACTAGTGCAGGCACACACGGGAAAGGACACAGAACACACACCTACACTACCGAAAGCCGACGTACTAGACACTAACGAGAAACAAGTTAAATGGTGAACATCCTGACGCTCAGAAGACCCAAGTTACTGTTACTTTTCTGAGTAATATCACTAGCCTCAGTCATTAAGAAAAACACAAAACAGCATGAATATTTAGTTTGAGAAATTTCAGAAGCCAGGTTAGACAAAATTTCTCATAACACAACCACCACCACTCTATTAACGGCAATGAAGCATCAGGAGGCGAAATCCATGCAAGGTGCTCCAGAAGACAAGTGTCTGCTCAAGGATTCCATGTTTCTGCATTTACAGAAAGCCACACGTGTGGCCTTCTGCACTCCATCAAACCCTCAGATCTGCCCCTGTATCTGCATGTCAGCGAACAAGAGCACAGACACAGGCCACTGAGGGCAGGACACTCAGCCCCAGCCCCACTGCCAAACAGCCTGCAGTACACTGGTGTTTTCTGCATTAACAGCCACGATACAGCTTTAAAATATGGCATTTCTTGCCAACCACATTTTCTCCACAGGAGGAAAATACACGATACAAACTAGAGGAAGAAAACCAGCAATCTACAATAAAAAATGACTGATTTCTGAGAGTCATGCAGCTGAATCAACTTGAGGAGAAATTGTCTAAAATCAAGAATTTCAGGTTGTTATGTCAATAAGTACATCATGTAGAATAATCAATACTGATGTTTAGCAAAAAACATTTGTAACACATTCTCTTAAATTTAGCAATAAGGCTTATTTTATGTCAATAAAATCTATTTCAGCACACACTTTAACTTGTTTCTCGGGAGCCCACGGCACACACTACAAAACGTGACCCGCCTCATACTGTACCACGCGTGCAAACTCCACGGGTTCCAGCATGCAGTGCACCACAGCATGCGCCAGGCCAGGCTTCCACACAGACAGCAGACACGTGAGGGGGGAACACAGGCATGCGGGAAAGCACATGGTTTCTTGATTAAAGATGGATGGGGTGGGCTTAAGGTCAGGTGAAACACTCCGGAACTACAAGAGTCCAGGAACTTGTATAGCTGCCTTGCAAATCAGGTGCTGTGAACCTCTAGGCTGTACAGTGTTGAGGTTAGACCTCTAAATCTGTCCGTCTTTCCCAGGCCTTTCCACACTTCTCCTCACTGACCTATTTACTGAACACTGGGGTCGGAAAGTTAGGGTTATGAACTATCTAATAAAAAAGCATTAAGGGACCCACCACCCTTGGTAACATGTTTCTGTTTTTATAAAACTCTCATGTGACCTCACTTCCTGCAGGACAGACGAAGTCTGTGAGCCCTTGACTAAATCACGTAAGTGCTTTGATATTTAGCTCTTCAGTCTTCAGGATTCAAAAAGTTAAAAGATCTATATTGATTTAGAATGCTTTCCTCTTTCTTCTTATTAATATATTTCAAGAGAGGCAAAATGATCTGTGAGCTCTGCAGCAGAATCTACCGCTGCTCAAAGGAGCCCTGTATCCCAGCTTACTCCCGCTGCTATCGCCTCGAGGATGGACTTCAAAGGAAAATAGGGGCCCAATAATGACACTGAAGGACACAGGCAGTTAATGGAGTATGCATAAAGCCCTCTGCAAGATCTCCATCCAAAAGTTCCCGAGAAAGGCACCACTGGCACCAAGTACTCTCTCCCCAGGGGCCTGGTAACAAACTGGCTCCGCTTCCAGAATGGGCCACCAGGTGGAGCACAACTAGGGTTGGAAAACCAAATGCTGTTTTCACCTTTCTTTTTATGTGAAAATTCACACTTAACTCCAGAAAGCCTGTGGCCAGGCTGACCTAACTCAGACCCTTGCCTGGGAATAAGGAAACGCCCCTTCCCCACTCCATGCAGGCCGAGGCAGCAGGAATGGCTGCAACACCCGAGGAGGAGAACAGAGGAATCTGACATGCTGGTGAGAGCCCCTCTCTGCAGCCCTCCAGCCCTAGTCCACCAGGTGCATCACCCGCATACCTGGACCACCCAGCTGATGGCTCCTAACAGATGTCACATTACATACCACAGTCAGGCAAGGTAACATCAGAAAGAACAAAATATACAGAGTAACTTGGGCAACTAGACCACTTCTCATTCCCTCTGTATCTATCACAAAAATGCCCTCTCATTACGTGCACGTTGATCACTTAAAGAAGTAACTAGGAAACTGGGCGAAATGTAACTTAAGAGTTCCAAAGTGCCATATTACAAGGCCTATTCGGCTCAGAATCAGGCCAATTCTTGTACTATATAAATAACTCCAAGGTGGGACATTTAAACAACAACAACAAAAAAACAGTTTTGGGTGCGAGCAGTTTTTAATGGAAGCAAGTGATCGCGACAGGATGGCTCTGTAGATGGCAGCTGGCGGCTTGGGGTTCACTTACAGGCACTAACTTCCAATACCACTTGGAGGGAGACTGCTCAGGAAGCGAGAGAAGGAAGGCAGGAGAGGAGCATCAGCAGAGCAGGTCCACGTGTGGACGAGGTAACACACACTTCCCCACGGCGTTTACACGGCAGAGGCGGGAGAGCCTCTGGTAAGCAAAGTCTTCTAAGTGTACGTGGCCATAGTCATGTTGTATTAGCAGATGATTAAAGTGGAAGATCACGAGTCACCTCCACAACACTATTCTTTGCAGTAGCAAAGAAAACTTCGGAAACTTGGTATGGGCTGGGTACCAAAAGGCAAGAAGTCAGCTCTGACGCGGGAAGGGTCTAGTGCTTAGTCTGTACCCATGTGTTAAACATGACCATCTGAGGAACAGGGAGGAAGCTCAATGCTTAAGATCCAGATGAGGGAGGCATACCAGGCGGCCTGACTCACCCACCCACCCAGCTAACAAATGCATGGCCAGGGGCTGGTGCCACTGGAGGGGGAAGAAGGAACAGGGGAAGGCAGCACACTGCCCTTCAAAGGCGAGACCTTATAGATGGTCGGGCTGCATCTTGTGTGCACTGAACTGAGTGAATTCAGTCACACATGTGCTTGCAAAAGAGAAAATAACGTCAGAGGAAGAAAAAGGCTAATGGCTGGAAGGTGCAGCCCAGCCATCGTGCTACTTCAGTAGGCACGTAGGGTTCATCCAGCAGAATCATGGCACAGGCACACAGGTACACCACCAGCTACGCTGTACCTCATGAGCCACTTAAGGACTTTTCGAGGGCATCTTTAGCAACAGGCAATTTCCCCCTTGTTTGTTGACTTGTGGAAGCTAGCACCCAGGTGGGCCCTACGTCCCTCACTCAAGCTTCCCAATTCCCCCAAATACCCTCACGCACCATAAAGTGCAATACAAAACACCCCTTCCCAGGAGAGGCGGGGCAGGCTGCCGTGGTCACATCTCACTGAGGTGTGGAGAATCAGCCCACCAGGTGAATCCAAGAGACTAGCTGCTTCTTTGGTGAGTAAAAATAGAGAATAAGCAAATAGTGGGAACTAACAGAATTCTTTAAAATTGGGACCAACATTAACTTAGTGCATTCCAGAAAAATTAAATTTACCCTTTACCTTTTGATGAGCTGGACTTTCCAATAACTGTTGTTTTAATTTAACTTCTTTCTCTGTTATCTCTCTCATTTTAAGATTTACCTAAAGTAGAAGAGAAATGCATTAAAGAGGTAATTGCTGTCCCGCACAATTGTATCTCCACAATTATCCCCCAGAGACCCCCACTTCACCTGATTCACCTCTGACTCCTAGACATAGGTATTGTTTAGGCCAATTACACAGATACAGAAGTACACGGATTCCACATGATCCACAACAAGGTCCGCCTGCTACCACCAGGAAACCACCTGCCCCCGACCCCCACCCCAATGCCAGCGCAGTGCTCCCCCGTCACTGCGGGGCAGAGTCACTACATCTTGGCAGTGGTCACTCACCACACAAGTACTGTCAAACAGCTAAGCTTCTCCAACACCAACAGCAAATGCCACTTACAAAACAATCTGGTGGAGACACCTCACTAAAGAGCCTAACTTGTGACAGGATGGGTCACACATCCCAGACCATGCAAAAATCATACCAAACCAAATCTAATTATAAAAGTTTAACTATACACCCCTTAAAAATTAATTCAACTTCTTAGAAATTTAAGTATTCTCTCCTGTAATTACTAACTCAATATCAAAATTGCAATCATAAAGTATGGAGAAAAACACTCAGCAGTGCTTAAAGGGGCTAGGTAAAAGCCATGATCAGACAAAAAGACACAGAGCTGAATGCTTCGTCATCAAACAACACAGACAAAGGAGTCCACCATGCACATCAAATCAGGAGTACGAAAAACTGTTTTTAAAAATAAAGACAAAAAAAATATAGATAATGTAAAATTCAATCAATGAGAAAGTAGAAGAAAGGATATTTAAATCCACAACCAAGTTTTGTATGCATGATTAAAAGAGTCCTTTGCAAAGGACGAGTGTGGCAGCTCACACGTATCATCCCAGCCACTTGGAAGGCTGAGGCACGAAGATCACTTGAGTCCAAAAACCGCACGCCAGCCTAGGCAACACAGCAAGACCCCCCTCTTTTTTTTTTTTAAAAAAAAAGTCTGTAAAGCTAATCAAGAAAATGAATGAAAATACCAATACATAACATGAAACAGTCATATTTTTGGAGGAAAGTCGAAGCCACTAAAAAAGCACCACGTAAAAACACATCCTTCTTAAAATGTAAATTAATTTGAAATTTTTAATGAAACTAACATTTTAAAGGAAAATATAAATTACCAAAAAATCAAGAAGACTAAACAGAGTAAATCAAACATTTGCTTGTAACTCTGATCCCTGTGAAAATAATACAGAAAAGATAATTTAAAAGCTGAAAATCCACAGGACAAACAAGGCAAGAGGGGAACCCTGTAAGCAAGGGAAACCTACACAGAGCAGAGCCAGTGCAGCCCCAGTGCTGGAGAAGAGATGCCAGGCAGGGGCCCTGCAAACAACCCCAAGACGCCTCCCATCCTCAGACCAGAGACAAGGCTGCAGACAAGACAACGGTTGAAAGTCAGTGTCTTAAAAAGTTGGAGCAAGAACCCAGTCCCACCTCATCCCACAAAGTAACCCCAGCAGCATAACAGAATGGAGCCATATTTTCACCTGAAAGAAAATTCAGTCAACCTAAAATTTTATATCCAGCCGTATATTTGGAAAATGAAAGCAAAATGTCTTTTTCAGAAAAAAAAACAAAAAAGCTGAGAGAATTCAGTAGAACTGCTTGTAAAAAAAAAAAATGCTAAAAGAAGTTTTTTAGGCTGAAGGAAACGATACAGATGGAAAATATTTTATTAAATCTCTACCTTATAGTACAACTTCTTTTGTATTCCATGACCACATGGTCAGCAGGCACAAAGCACCTCTCCTGTGGTCCAAATGACATCAGTGACCTCGGGACATGCACCTGTGCACCTGACTGAGTTACAAGCTGAGCCATTAACAAACCAGTTATTCACATTTGCAAACATGTTAAGACATCATCTCAAAACCAAAGAAGTGTTTTTTGTTTTTTTTTAAATGAATGTCTGTCACTAAAAGAAAACTACTTTTTTCCAGTAATAAAATTTGAATTTCAGAAAAAATTTAAATTTTGGAAAACTTGTTTCTGCCACCAAAAGCTAGATAACTTCCTAACATGTAAAGGCTTTTCTGATGAGATTGGCAATTTTTTTTTTTTTTTTTTTTTTTTTTGAGATGGTGTCTTGCTCTGTCGCCCAGGCTGAAGTGCGGTGGCATGATCTCGGCTCACTGCAAGCTCCGCCTCCCATGTCTCGCCATTCTCCTGCGTCAGCCTCCTGAATAGTTGGGACTACAGGCGCCCACCACCACGCCTGGCTAATTTTTTGTGTTTTTAGCAGAGACAGGATTTCACCGTGTTAGCCAGGATGATCTCGATATCCTGACCTCGTGATCCACCTGCCTCAGCCTCCCAAAGTGCTGGGATTACAGGTGTGAGCCACCACGCCCAGCCAAGATTGGCAATATCAATGAATGTAAGTTTTGATACTGTGTCATGAAATGTGACAACATTTGGAAGATCTACATAACTCAGTGAAACAATTTTCCGAATGACCAAAGCATGAAGCTGCAAAACCCTGGGTGGGTAAAAGGTCCAGGAAGAATGCAAGAACTAGAAATGGTTACTATATAGTAATAACAGAGTATAAAAACTCACTGATCTAGTACCCAGAATCTATAAAAGAACAATACAACCATAAAAAGACAATCCAATTTTTAAATAGGCAAAGGGTATGAATTCCTCCAAAGAAGATATACAGTCAGGCACGGTGGCTCACACCTGTAATCCCAGCACTTTGGGAGGCTGAAGCAGATGGAGCTCTTGAGCTCAGGAGTTCAAGACCAGCCTGGGCAACATGACGAAACCCTGTCTCTACAAAAAATACAAAAATTAGTCAGGTGTGGTGGCTCACACCTGTAATCCTAGCTACTTGAGAGGCTGAGGCAGGAGAATCACTTGAACCCAGGAGGCAGAGGTTGCAGTGAGCCACGACCGCACCACTGCACTCCCGCTTGGGCAAAAGGGCGAGACTCAGTCTCAAACAAAAAAAAAAAAAAACAGCCAGAAAATAACAAATGTTAGCAAGGATGGGGAAAACTAGAACCCTCAGATGCAGCCAGTGGGAATGCAAAATGGCACAGCTGCTGTGGAAGACAGTCTGGAAGTTCCTCAAAAAGCTAAACACAGAATGAATACATGACCCAGCAATTCCACCCCAGGTACATACCCAAGAAAAATGAAAACATGTATTCACACAGGAAACTTGTGCATGAAATCAGCATTATTCACAATAGTCAAGATGCAGAAACACCACAAATGCCCATCAACTGATAAATGAATAAACAAAACGAGGCGTAAGCACACAGTGGAATATTATTCAGGCATAAAAAGGAATGAAACGCTGACACCCGCTACAACACAGAAGAACCCTGGAAACATGCTCTGTGAAAGATGCCAGGCACGGAAGATCACATACTGTATGATACCATTCATAAAAACTGTCCAGACTGAGCAAACCCATGGATACAGAGTAGACTGCTAGTTGCCAGGGGCTGAGGAGAGAATGACGTCTGGCTGCTAATAGGTTCAGAGTTTTTTTGGAATGATAAAAATGTTCTGGAATTAGCCAGTGATGATGACTATAAAGCTGATATGGTTTGGCTCTGTGTCCCCACCCAAATCTTATCTCAAACTCTAATCCCCATAATTCCCACATGTTGAGGGAGGGACGAGGTGGGAGGTGACTGGATCATGGGAAGGTTTTCTCCATGCTGTTCTTGTGATAGTGAGTGGGCTCTCACAAGATGTGATGGTTTTATAAGGCAGTTTTCCCCACTCTTGCTTGCTCTCTCACGCCTGCCTCCATGTAAGACGTGCCTCTTCCCCTTCCGCCATGATTGTAAGTTTCCCAAGGCCACCCCAGCCATGTGGAACTGAGTCAATTAAACCTCTTTTCTTTATAAATTACCCAGTCTTGGACAGTTCTTTAGGCAGTGTGAAAACAGATTAATACAACACCCTTATGAATATATTAAAAACTACTGACTAGGCCAGGCACAGTGGCTCACACCTGTAATCCCAGCACTTTGGGAGCCCGAGGCAGATGGATCACTTGAAGGCGAGGATATCAAGGCAAGCCTGGCCAACATGGCAAAACCTTATCTCTACAAAAAATAAAAAAATTACCCAGGCACAGTACCACACACCTGTAATCCCAGTTACTTGGGAGGCTAAGGCAGAAGAATCCCTTAAACCCAGGAGGCAGAGGTGGCAGTGAGCCAAGATCACACCATGGCACTCCAGCCTAGGTGACAGAGCCAGAGTCTCTCTCTCCAAAAAATAAAAATAAAAAAATTTAAAAATCCACTGACTAGTACATTTTAACAATAGTGAAGTTTATGGCATGTAAATTATATCTCAATTTCTTAAAAACATTAATTGATGATAGTTTCAAATTCCACATAATTAATCTTTGAGAAACTATTGTTTGTCAAATTTTGGTGTAATAGCAAAAACAGATTTGCATACTTCTCAGAAAAGACTGTGAAAATACTATCCCCTCTTCCAATTATATATCTACATGAAGCCAGATTTTGTTCATGAACTTCAATAACAACAACATATTGTGACAGATTAAATGCAAAAGTAGATAGGAGAATCAGCTATCCTCTAGCAAGCCAGATAGTAAGACACTTGCAAAATTGTAAAATAACTGCCATCTTCCTTATTTATTTCTTTATTTTGAGATGGGGTCTCACCCTGTCACCCAGGCTGAAGTGCAGTGGCATAATCACGGCTCATTGCAGCCTCAATCTCCCAGGCTCAAGCAATCCTCCTGCTTCGGTCTCCCAAGTAGCTGGGACTACAAGTACACACCACCATGCTTGGCTAATTTTTAATAATTTTTGTAGATGGGGTCTCACTATGTTGTCGGGGATGGTCTTGAACTCCCTGGCTCAAGAAATCCTCCCACCTCAGCCTACCAAAGTGCTGAGATTCCAGATGTGAGCCACACACAGCCCCTTCTAATTTGTTTTGAAAAATAGTCATTTTTCACTAAAACATTGTTAGTATTAACATGAAATCAACTTACTGTTATTTTTAAATAAATATTTTTAAACTTTCTGATTTTTAACTTCTAGTATGGCAAACATTGATAGATTAAAATTTTCTTTACAAGTTCAGCAGGACACACTGGCTCACACCTGTAATCCCAGCACATTGGGAGACCAAGGCAGGAAGCTCGCTTGAGGTCAGGTGTTTGAGAACAGCCTGGGCAACACAGCAAGGCCCCAGCTCTATCAAAAAAAAAAAAGGTAAGTTATCTGAGGTCCACAGCAATTTATAAAGAGGTCCTGGCCAGGCGTGGTGGCTCACGCCTGTAATCCCAGCACTTTAGGAGGCCGAGGTGGGCAGATCACCTGAGGTCGGGAATTCGAGACCAGCCTAAGCAACATGGAGAAACCCCATCTCTACTAAAAATATAAAATTAGCCGGGCATAGTGGCAGGCGCCTGTAATCCCAGATACTCGGGAGGCTGGCAGGAGAATCACCTGAACCCAGGAGAGGGAGGCTGCAGTGAACCGAGATCACGCCATTGCACTCCAACCTGGGTAACAAGAGCGAAACTCCCATCTCAAAAAAAAAACGGAAGAGATCCTGAGACCAAACTGTGTGAAACTCTTGATGTATGCAAAGGAATTAAGAACAACAAAAATGGAAATTATGTGGATAAATATTAATGACTTTTGTTCTCAATTTTTAAATACTTTAAAAGATAAAAGAAAGCCAAAACAGCACAGCTGGGGTAGAATGAATGACAACACAAAGGTCAGCGAGGAAAAGATGCATCTTCTGCTATTTGTGCAATGGCATCACTTTGACTTGCAGGCAGCCTGTGACGGTCTAAAGATGCACACAGGAACCCTAAAGCAACCCCGACAAAATACAGGAGGATAAAAGGGAGTACTTAAAAAAAAATCCAAAATAACCCTTAAAAGAGGGAAGAAAAAGAAAAGAGATAAACAGAAACAGACCAGATGGTAAAACCAAGCCTTATGGATAATCACATTAAATGCAATTGGTTTAAACACTCTAAGAGATTGTCAGATGAATAAAAAAGCAAGAGCAACTACACAGCATCTGCAAAAAATTCACTTTAAAGAGAAAGACAACAAGAGGTTAAAAGTTAAAGGAATGAAACATACACCGTGCAGCCACTATTCACAAGCACTCTTGAATCCACATCCACATTAAATGAAGTAGACTTCTGGGACAAGGATTACCACCAGTGATGAAAAGCAACATCTCATAATGACAAAAGGGTTAATTCATCAACTAATATCGAAAACTTGAATATGTGTAAACGTAACAGACTTTGAAAATACACAAAGTAAAAACTGACAGAACCAAATGGCGGGTTACAAGTGCACAGCTCAGGACCTTCCACCCTCCTCTCAGATTAACCTAGTAATAGGACTAAAGACAGGAAAACGGTAAAGGAGACACAAACACCACCAACAACCAATCTGAACTGACACTGAAGACACTCTACCTTCAAACAGCAGAATATTCTTTTCAAATGCATATTAAACATTCTGCAAGGTAAGGCATGTCACGGACCCTAAGTCCCAATAAACTTAAAAGGATGAAAATCACAGAGTATGTTCCCTGACAACAGAATTAAACCAGAAACCACAACACAAAAAGCTATCTAGAACCTCTCTTTAAGTATCTGAAAATTAAACATCTGACTTCTAGATAACCCAGTGAGAAAACAAGAATCCACAGGGGAAACAAAATATTTTAAAGAGAATGATGAAAGACATGGCCTATAAAAATATATAATGCACGGCTGAAGTGCCGCTTAGAGAGGAATCGACAGCTTTAAATACCTGCCTTCAAAATGAAAAAAGACTTCAATAACTAACTCCCCCCTTAAAAAACTAGACAAGGAGAACAAATTAAACCCAAAATACAAAATAATAATAAAGGTAAAAGGAAATTAAGTATTAAATAGAGAAAATAAAAACTAAAAGATTTTTTAGAAGATTAATGAAGTTGATAAATCGGACTAATCAAGGTAAAGAAAAATGAAAGAAATTGCCAACCTCAGGAAACAAACAGGACACTGTCACTACAGATCGCAGGTATATTAAAAGGAAAATAAAGAAATATAAACCTTATGCCAATAAATTCAACTACTTAAATAAAACTGACAAATCCCTTGAAAGTCACAAATTACCAAAGCTAGCACAATGCTAAATAGAAAATCTATTATCATATGTATATTAAAGAAATTAAATTCATAATTAAAATCGTCTAAGAAAACTCCACTCCCAGATTGCTTTACCAGTGAATTTAATATTTAATTTCCTTTTACCTTAATACTTCCCAACTCACTTTTTTAGCCCAACATTACCCCAACACCAAAACAAGAGAAATACATCATGAGAAAAAAAACTAGAGACCAGTATCTGCCGAGAGCATTGACACAAAAATCATCAACAATATATTAGCAAATCGAATCCGTCAATATATAAAATAAATAATAAACACAACCAATTTGTGTTTGTCCTGGGGATGAAAGGGCTGGTTCAACATCTGAAAATCAATTACTGTAATTCATTGTATCAACAGACTAAAAATGAAAAGTCATATAATCATCTCAATAAATACAGAAAAGGCATCTGACAAAATTCAATATGTATTCATGAAAAAAATACCCTAAGCAAACTTAAAATAGAAGGGAACTCCTGGCCAGGCGTCGGAGGCCAAGGCAGGCGGATCCTTTGAGCTCAGGAGTTCAAGATCAGCCTGGGCAACGTGGCAAAATCCCCTCTACAAAAATTTTTTTTTAATTAGCCAGGCGTGGTGCTGTGTGCTGTAGTCCCAGCTATTCAGCAGGCTGAGGCAGAAGGATTGCTTGAGCCCAGGAGAATGAGGCTACAATGAGCTATGATCGTACCACCTGTACTCCAGCCTGGGACACAGGGTGAGACCCTGTCTCAAAAAAGGGGGGGGGGGGCCACAGGGGCCGGGAACTCCTAATAAAGGGCATCTATGAAAAAAAAATTACAACCAACATTCATCATTTCAATGGTTAATACAGTAAATGTTTATTCCCTAAGATGAAATACAAGCAAAAATGTCTTCTTTCACCAATTCTATTCAATATTCTATCTGAGGTACTAAACAGTACAGTAAGGCAAAAAAAAAACCTTTATAATTAAAAAAGAGCATACATATTAAATAGTAATACAAATGACTTTATACACAGACAACATGATCTTGTATGTAGAAAATCTTAAGGAATTTTCTCAATGCCACTAGAATAAATAAGTTTAGCAAGGTCACAAAATATAAAGTTAATATACAAATTATTAATTACGTTTCTACGGACTAGTAACAAACAACTGGAAAATGAAATTAGGAGAACACCATTTATAATAGAATCCAAAACACAAAAGATACAGAATAAAGTTAAACTATATACAAAATGTTACCCTGAAAAACCATAAAACATGGCTGAGAGAAGCTGTGAAGCTGTTAGGTCTACACAGAACGGAGAGAGATAAGCATGTCTGTGGGCTGGAATATGCAATACTAATAACACATCAATTCTCCCGAAATTCATCTAGCTTCAATGCATTCCCAATCAAAATCCCAGCAAGTATTCTTATAGAAGCTGACAAGCTGACTCTAAAATTAAGGGTAGGCATGCAAAGGACCTAGAATAGTGAAAACAATTTTTTTTTTTTTTTGACACGGAGTTTTACTCTTGTCGCCCAGGCTGGAGTGCAGTGGCATGATCTCAGCTCACTGCAACCTCTGCTTCCCAGGTTCAAGCAATTCTCCTGTCTCAGCCTCCCAAGCAGCTGGGATTACAGGCATGTGCCACCATGCCTGGCTAGTTTTTTGTATTTTAAGTAGAGATGAGGTTTCACCATGTTAGGCAGGCTGGTCTCGAACTCCTGACCTCAAGTGACCCACCCGCCTCAGCCTCCCAAAGTGCTGAGATTACAGGCATGAGCCACCACGCCCAGCCAAAAACAATTATTTTTTAACACAAAGGATATGGCTGGAAGACTTAACATTGTCCAATTTCAAGTATTCCTATAAACCAGACACAAAGATCGGTGGAACCGAATAGAATCCAGAAACAGACTCACATATATGTGGTTTACTGATTGTCAACAAAGATGTCAAAGTAATTCAATAAGGAAAGGAAAATCTCTTCCATAAATGGTTTCAGAACTGCTATCTATATGAAGAAAAAAATGAACCTCAACCCTTCCCTCATATCATTCATAAAAATGAACTCAAAGTGGGTCACAGAGGCAAATGTAAGAGCTAAAACAAAAAAACGTCTAGAAGAAAACATAGGAGAAACTCCTCACAACCTTGGAGTAAGTAAAGATGTCTTCTATAAGACACAAAAGGACAAACCATAAAAGGAAATACTGATAAATTGGGCTACAAAGAAAACTTTAAAAGCCTTTGCTTGTTTTTTGAAACAGTCTTGCTCTGTCACCCAGACTAGAGTGCAGTGGCATGATCTCAGCTCACTGCAACCTCCACCTCCCTGGTTCAAGTGATTCTCCTGCCTCAGCCTCCTGAGTAGCTGGGATTACAGGCGCCCGCCATCACGCCTAATTTTTGTATTTTCAGTAGAGACACGGTTTCACCACTTTTGGCCAAGCTGGTCTTGAACTCCTGACCTCAGGCAATCTGCCCACCTCGGCCTCCCAAAGTGCTGTGATTACAGGTGTGAGCCACCACACCCAGCCAACCTTTGCTTTTTGACAGACACTGTTAAGAAAACAAAAAGGTGGCCGGCCTGGGAGAAGATCTTCATGATACATACATCTGACAAGGCCCTTGATTCCCAAATACATACATTTCTAAAAACTCTTGCAACTTGGTAAGACAACCCAGTTAAAAATTCGGCAAAATATTTGAAGCAGCACCTCATAAAAGAATGTAGACAAGCATCTTTACCCATTAGGAAAACATTAAAACGACAATGAGCGACAGTTACACATCCACTCAAATGGCTAAAGAGAAAAGACGGACTGTAACAAGTGTAGAGCAACCGGAATCCTATCTTGCTAGCGGGAGTTCTAAATGGTACAATCACTGGAAAACATTTTGGCAGTTTATTCTAATGACTGAACTTACACATACTTGTATTAAGTTATATATACTTATCACATGACCCAGAGATTCTACTCCTAAATTTTTACTTAAAGAAATAAAAATATTGCTGGGCACAGTAGCTGACACCTGTAATCCCAGCACTTTGGGAGGCTGAGATGGGTGGATCATCTGAGGTCAGGAGTTCAAGACTAGCCTGGCCAACATGATGAAACCCCGTCCCTACTAAAAATACAAAAATTAGCCAGGTGTGGTGGCAGGCGCCTGTAATCTCAGCTACTTGGGAGGCTGAGGCAAGAGAATCGCTTGAACCCAGGAGGCTAAGGTTGCAGTGAGCCGAGACCTTGCCACTACCCTCTAGCCTGGGTGGCAGAGTGAGACTACATCTAAAAAAAGAAAGAAATAAAAATATATCTGCACACAAATGTCCCTAGTAGCTTTATTCAAAACAGGCAAAAACTGGAAACAACCCAAGTGTCCATCAACAGGTGGACAGATAAACGAACCATGGTATATGCACACGATGGAACTCTACCAAGCACCGACAGAACTTCTGACAGATGCAATGCCACAGGTCAATCTCAGAAACACTTTGTTCACTGAAAGAAGCCAAACACAAGAAGAGCACACACCGCACAACTTCACTTTTATCAAAACCTAAAAAAAAAAGCAAAACTAATCCACCGTGAAGATGGCAGATGAGTAGTTACCTGCATTGGGGTAGAGGATTAACTGCAAAGCACCATGAAAGAGCTTGTTTAGGGTGATGGAAACATTACCTTGATTGTGGTGAATGCTAAACAAATGACTGCTTATCAAAACTCAAGGAAAAAGATCCACTGACTTCATATAAAATACATCTCAGTAGAGCTGTCTTAAAAAAAAAAAAAAAAAGAAAAAAACAGGCCAGGAGTGGTGGCTCACATCTGTAATCCTACCATTTTGGGAGGCCAAGGCAGGAGAATTGCTTGAGCCCAGTAATTCAAAACTAGCCTGGGCAGTATAGTAAGACCCCATCTCTAATTAAAAAAAATTTTTTTTAATCAGCCAGGCACGGTGGTGCATGCCTGTAGTCCCAGCTACTCAGGAGGCTGGGGAGGGATAATTGCTTGAGCCTGGGAGGTCAGGCTGCAGTGAGCCGCAATGACACAACTGCACTCCAGCCTGGGCCACAAAACGAGACTCTGTCTCCAAAAAAACAAAAAGAGAGAAAGAGACAACAACAACAACTGGCTGGGCATCAATAAAAAATAAAAAGAGCCCCTGCAAGGTGATTCATGGTGAAACTTCAGAGCACCCGGGAAGGAGGAAAACCTGAGTGAGGTCATCTGGGTCACATACAGGATGGGAAACCCGCATGGCAGCAGATTCCTCAGCCTGGAAGAGAGAAGACAGCTGGGCAACCCCCTCAAGCTGGGGAAAGCGCTTCCATCTAGTTACACAATCACCAGGGAAAGGTGGAGGAAGGCCCCTTCAGAAGCTGTCTCAGAAATGGTCCCGGAAATGCACAGCATTAGCCTTTCCTCAGACGGCAGGGAGGCTCCTGCACCCAGGTAGGGACCCCGGCCAGGAGGAGACGGGTGAGCGGCCTGGAGCAGAGGTGAAGGGAGGGAAAGTCCAGGATGGCAGACATGCAGGTGGCTGGGGCAGCAACCATGCAGGCAGGGGCAGGACAGAGTCCCAGAGGGATGCCACAGAGGAGGAGAGACTCAGAACATGGCCATTCCCCCACAGATGCTGCAGAGGACGACACAGAGCCAAACCCAAGGAGGGATTACCCAGGTGTGGGTGTGAGAAGCTGAAATCTGCACTCAAATGCACCTGCGCACAGCAGGCATCTTGGAAACATGGTATCTATGCCCAAAGGGAATTCAGACCTTATGCATCAAAGAATTGATGCTGGAGAAAAAACTCACCCTTATGGAAATCGTACCAACAGCCCCAAGCTTATTAAACATGCAGCAATTTCCAATGGGGAGAAACCCCACCTGTAGAGTGAAAGCTTTGGGGCACAGCTCGAAGCCAGTGAAGCATCTGAGAACCCACACCGGAGAGGGCCTAGGAACACAGCGCGGGTGAGAGAGTTTGCTCGGGGAACTCGCACTTCCTACACACCCGGGCATTCACACTGCAAAAGGTGCTTTGGAAGCATTCAGCCGGTATCGCATCCTGCAGTGAGGACTCGCACCCGGGAGAAAGTCACATAAGGAGAAACCACTAACGTAAGGAACTTAAATTCATATGGAAATGGCAAGAAAACAGTAAAATATGGAAAACACTGAATACAAATGTAAATAATGCATGAGAAAAAAGAAAAGGTCATGAAAACTAAACCAAGTATTAACTCCAGGAAAAACAAAGCATAATACAAGGAAAGGAACATGAGTTGTGAAAATGGGCGCCTGACCACAGGAACATCAAGTCTGACTGTGAACGTGTCCAAAGCTGTCAATGCAACCGCAGGGGAATGAGGAGGAGGGGAGTGGAGGGCCATGGAAACTGTAATCACTGTAATTGCCATTTGTCACAATCCTACCTCAGTAGATCATGTCCACAAATGAGGAGTCAGGAGCCGGAAATACAATGTATTTCTTTAAAATACAGAGGTAGAAACGAGAATAGCATGGAAGGAAAATGATGTCTCTGGTTACAAGGAGACCACCTTCTATTTATCTGCCAAGTCCACAGAAACACAGAGGCCAGCAACAGCCTGAAAAGTCACTTACAAATGCACAGCAAATGAGAAACGTGACCAAGCAGGGGAAAAAGAAACATACCCTCTTGCCCAAAAAAATACGGGCAAAGATAACAAACAAGTGATTCACCAGAGAAGGAGAGTAAGGGACAGATGCTCTTACCCAGAATCTGCAATTTTACCCAGAATTAAGTTTTTCTATGTCTTTACCATAGAAAAAGACACTATTTTTCACCTTTCAAATGGGCAAGTAATTTTTAATAATGCCCAAGATATGGGAAGACATGGGAAAAGACACCTACACAAACTAATAGAAAGGAAAATGTTACAATCTTTAGGTTCAGATTTGGCCAAAAAAAAACAAGCAAACAAAAAACAAAGTCCTTAAATATGAACAACCATTCCCCTCGCAGGAACGTGGCCTGAGGGAAATCATCGTGGCTGGACGGAGACTACTGCACAGATGGAGAGGAGACAACTTGACCTCCAGCAACACTGAGATCACAGAAGGGCCACAGGGGAGTCACTGGAACGGCTGAAATCAGATATCTGGCCAATGAGCAGAAACTCACTGCACAGTACCGTACCAAGCAGAAACGTGGCTTACGACAGAAAGCACAGTAGGCTCCCCACTGTGTTGTAGGCCTATATAACACATACAAATCAAGAAAAACTATCAGAATTTTTACCAAAATGTTAACCATTTTCATAGGTGATAAGATTACGGGTAATTTACATTTTATTCTTTTTGTTCATCCATAGTTTCTACATTTTCTATAACTATGTCATTTCTAATACGAGGAAAAATCAATAAAAGATATTAAAGAAAAGCTAAAATTTGACTTTTGATCACAGGAAGCTTCCACTAGCATTACAGGAGCGTCCCCGAAGCTCAGGCTCCTCTGGAAATGTGAACTAGGCCTGAACACCATTTTCCACAGAATTCTTGCAAGCACTTCCCACATGCACGCCGCCAGGTGAGAGCCAGGGATGAGTGAGACATGGCGCTCACCACCAAGAGGCGTCCTCATGGGTAGAGGCAGAGTGGGGCAGAGATGCTACTGGCTGACACCCAAATCTGAACTAGGGCCCGGAGGCTCCACTGAGTCCTAGAAAACCCTGTGGCTTTCTGTCCCTACCTCACCGCAGGATAAGGAAATGTAAGGAGTCTGCCCATCCACCTGGTTCACCAACCCCAAGCTTGGGTAGGAAAACAGCTCAAGAGCAGGGCAACTGTCTTAGAAAAAGTCGAAACACAAACGTCTGCCAACTCCTGACAAAGACCCGCCTTTCACAGCGACGGAGGGGTCTTCCAGGGAGCCAGCAGATGGAGCACCGGCCTGGCTCTGCATGTGCAAGCTAACTATCAGTAACTCCAGAACCATCCTGCGTGAGCCTCTTATTCAGGCGCGCTAATACAGCCTCACATGGGGCCACACAACCTTCTAGTTCCTTTGCTGTGTTAATGCGCAAACTTAAACACCTTTTTGCATATCAGGATGCTTACTAACCAAAGGCTCCGGTAAGGTAACCTTATAAATCATTAGACACTACTAAAAGTAAACATTCTTTACATATATTGTATTTAAAATTACACTATGAGCTTCTAAATGTAAAAGGAGAAAACAGCATTTGGGAAAATGCCATTTTTTTTCCTTAATAATCAAAATGCTTCTGAAGGCATTTTGATAAACTCCTTTATTGCATATAGGTGCATACTATGAAAATAAAAAGAAATTATTCACTGGCCAGGTGTGGTGGCTCATTCCTGTAATCCCAGCACTTCAGGAGGTCAAGGAGGGAGGACTGTTTGGGCCCAGGAGTTCGAGACCAGCCTGGGCAACACAGTGAGACTCCCTCTCTACTAAAAATTAAAAAAAATAAAAAAATTAATTAGCCAAGCATAGTAGCACGTGCCTGTGATCCCAGCTACTCAGGAGGCTGAGGCAGGAGGATCACTTGGAGCCTGGGAGGTCAAGGCTGCAGTAAGCCATGATCGTGCCACTGTACTCCAGCCTGGGGGACAAAGTGAGACCCTGTCTCAAAAAAAAAAAAAAAATTTAAAGGCACTCAAAGTACCGACATGTGCTGCATTTTCAGATATAAATTCATCACCCTCTACTCTCGGCCTGCGGGAGAAACACCTGCTTGCTTTGCTTCTTTTTAACTACAGCAGACACATTTCTGGACACAAAATATGACTGGTCCCAAATGAAGGGCTGGGTCTCAGCGTGACAGACAAGGTGTGCTGCTCTCAAGTGAAAAGGAGACCGGCCACAGAAGCAGAGTCACACACCACATCTAGGCAGGGCACTCACCTTGTTGATCCAGAACACCATGGCATCCTCGAGGTCGTACGGAAGTTCTTTCGAGGCACTGAACGTTGAGAAGCGCTTGACACTGGCCACCACCTTCTCGATGCTGATCATCTCCACAGTGTAGGCCATCATCAGGGCATCCACCATTGCCATGTGGGCACTCTAGGGGCAGAGGCAGCAGCTATAATCCCTCAAACCCACCCCTCTTACCAGGTTCTGATGCAGGGAACCTGCTCATACTCAGCATTCTGGCCTAATTTCTTCATCCCTCGCCCTTTCCGTCTGAAGAGATACTCAGATTTGAGACCTGCCTCCCCCGCACCATCACTGTTCCAAGCCTGGCATTTCTGGTCAAGCCTCAAGACCGTCTGGAACCAGGAGTCCGTTCTCAGGCAGGCAGGCCAGCCCTGTGGCCCACAGTGCACTGTCTCACACTGTCCTTTCTTATCTCCTCAACAGCCCTGTGGGACTCCCAGGAAAGGCGGTGCAGCTCCCAGGTCGTGGTTGTGGGAAGGCAGACAGGAGACCTGCCCCAGGCCAACTGCCCACCAGAGGCCTCTGGCTCCTAGTCCAGAGCTCTACCTGCTACAGCTGCACCACGCCTTAGTGCAGCTTCCTCATTCGACAGGAATGACACTCTCTTCAACCACCGCACGGCACCCGCAGTCTCACCGGGAACGCCATGGGAGCAACCAAACAAAGGCAGTGCAGGAGGCACCGAGAATGGCCCTGACCCAGAACGCTCTGGAAAAGGCACACCAGTAGCAAGGCTTCAGAGAAAGATGGGGGTGGGATACTTGGGGGAGAAAAAGGCAGACTGAGTTATTTTAGCACAAAGTATGCATGAAACAACCTAACAGAATGGGTGCAACAATTACATTTCTCATCTGTAAAAAGTCTGCTTCAAGTATTTTTATTAACAGGCCTCACTCCAATCTCAGCATTCACAGAGCATTCCCAATGAGAAAAAGAGCTCAATGAAAGCTCTCTTTTCCCCATTCTCCACAACAGTCATGTGCTTTAAAAGATATGCAGTTTCCTAAGGAACGCCAGTGTGCAAAAGCACGGGTCTCCACCACCTCGCCGCACACCGTGTTCACACCATCCATGCACCAGGTGCGCCACACGAGAGCCCACGGCTCCAGAGGATGGCCCCTGGGGGCGGCCACCGCAGACCACTCACCATTTTTATGGGTGCGCGACTGAGGTCGGACTCTGTCACGGGGGTGTCATCACTCTCCATCACATAGATCCCTTTCCGGGACAGGGCCTGGATGACAGACTGGTGTCCCTGTAAGGCGGCCACCTGGTCCCCTTTCAGGATGAGGCTGCAGACACGGCAGTACAGCTCGCTGGACAGGAGAAGCTTGATAACAGGCGGCTTAATGTGCTCCTGCTCATACTGGTCAACGTAGAAAGGGTCTCTGAGGTCCTCAGGGATGTTATCTAAGACAGGGAGGGGATGACCAGGTGAGTGCCACACACAAGACCCAAAGGAAGGAGTTCAAGGCTGCAGTGAACTATGACTGTGCCACTGTACTCCAGCCTGGGCAACACAGGGAGACCAAGTGTCAAAAAAAATAATTGATTGATTGATTAAATGAGCAACTAACAACGTGAAAAGGCTCTAGGCTTTTCAATAATTCTACTGTCTTCTGTACTTACAAAGGCAACTAACTGTAGCATCTCAGACTACTCTGTGAACACAGACAACTGAAATCATTTCGTGACCTCCACCGTGACCTCAAAGGATGACTGTCCTAACTTAACAGCAGTAAGAAGGTAGACATGGGAGCCCTGAGTGTGTTAATGGGGCTGAGGGGAAACCAGCACAGGCTAGGACCATGTAGTGCCTGGGGACACCAGCGGAGACAGCATGTGGGCAGGGCTGGCATCAGCCCGGGGAGGGAGCCCAGCATCCTCTTTCTGACATGAAAATCAGAAGTGATAACAGAGGGTGAACACCCATGGTCTTTACAGAAGAGGGAGCCAGGCAGGCGTGGTGCCACTGTAACCATGACGACACAGCAGCAGCAGCAGCAATCAGCCTTTATCCATTTTTGGACCAGGCAGCATCAAACTCTTGACATGAACCACGCTACTTAATCTTGCCACTGCAGTTCCCTCAAATGAGGACTACCATCTGCACATTACAAATGAGAAATTGAGGCACAGAGAAAGTAAGTGCTCAAGGCCACAGGAGGCAGAGACCAGCCTGAACCCACACAATCTGATCCAGAGAGCCTACTGTATACTTCCGGCTGCAACATACGCCGCCTCCCACACAAACAGCGCAGGAGCAGCATACACACGGGACACCGAATGTGTCACAGCTGGCCTCACCCACTTTTCTAGCCTTGCCACTATGCCCCTCACACTGTCTCACAAGACATCAACGGCTGTCCCACTAAAGACGGAGGACGAGGGATGTCTGCAGTCAGACACATTTCGGAAACACGTGACCCCCAGGTCTTTAATGTGCCCCGCGCCCAACACTCTGCTAGGAGGTGCAGATACTCCCACCTCCACAGAGTTTAGAAAGGACTACCACCTCCACAGAACAGCTCATGAAGAAACCCCACTGACTCCTAGCGTTCAGACAACCAGTAACACTAGAGACATTCATGGGGACACTAACAAACCTGTCTTGTGTTCCGAGCCAAGCTCTCCTAAGCTCTTCCCCAGGGGAAGAACCAGCTGTGGCGATGGTTCCCCACAGCACCCCTCTCTCTCTGCTGCCATCTCTTCTGGCTTCCTTCACTATTTTCCTGAGCCCTGAGTCACTTCATTATGGTCCCATGGAGTCTGGTCATTTCCCCACAATCTGAGCACCTCATAGCTGGTTTACTTCTAAACGGCAGCAGTCACCGTTTACACAGCATTTTTGTTTTAAGCATGGTTGTACACAATGATTAGGTCATCACGGCAACCCAAGGGCAGCCAGGGCTCCAGCTATGGAAGGCTGGCTTAGTGGATGTTAACAGACTCAAATCCTATACTTGCTGACCACATCGAGTAGCCCCCTAATCTGAAATCATTGGAACTTTTGAAATACAACAGAGCACAGCAGTAACACAAGGAACAGGCCCCAATGCCAAGCACAACGGGAAGACTTCTGCTGTCCTTACAAACTGCTCAAGGAAAGCTGACCTGCAGAGGTGAGCACAGAGCCACCCCGCACACGCCGGAGTGAGACGTCCCAGGAAACAAGAGCAAGGTGGCCAGGGACAAACAGGCGGCCTGTGGGCCCATGTTTGTCCAAGTTCCCTCCACCCATGGGCCGTGGAGGGAAGTCAGGGGAGGGCACTGAGCAAGGGATCCCATAACCTGAAAACGTTTGCAGCAGTTCACACCGGCTGCGGGGAAAGATGCGACAGTCACTCTCAGCCTTCCTCTTATTCAACTGACCACACCAGCAGCCCACCTAGTCAGGGCTCTTGGAGGGAGCTGCCTTTCTCCTTTCGGGGTACCTGGCCTCTTCCTCCCATCTCGCTGCCTGCTCCATCCCCATCTCCTAGGCCAGCTGCCCCTCACTTCTCCAAATATTGGAAGGGGCACTTCCTATCTCACTCCTCCCTAATGACCTAATTCAGTCTCATGGCTAGAAATACCACAGACACACAGTCATCCCCAAATGTACATTTCTGGCCCTGATCACTTCCCTGAACTGCCTATCTGACATCTCCATGTAGATGTCTGGGGGCACCTCGAGCCTAACCGGCCTGGTCCAAGCCACCCTCTCCTCCCACTTAGACAACTGTGATGCAGTCCCCCTAGGAGAGCAGAAACTGGCACAGCTGAGGAGAAAGGCCCCAGGGGACCCCTCAGAGTGATGGCTCTGTGCAGAGTGGGAGACGGGACAGGCACGTAAGTGGAGGGCTGGCATTAGATGGAAGCAGGGTGAGCCCCAGGGAGAATGGCAGAGCCTACCTCACAGATGCAGAAACCTGGCCAGACAGGAAAAAGCAACCATGGCTCTGATTTAAGTTTCTCTTTTACAATCTACCAAGTAGAAACGTTTGCCATAGGGTGACCCACTTTTAAAATTAATCAATATAAAGTGATTCATATAATCACCTTTTTGAATCATATATGAATATGCATAACACAACTAATTCACATAAATTTCAGATGCAGGAAAATGAGAGTTAAAGGAAAATGACGCACTTACTAAAGATACAAGCTTCAGACTGTGGTGAAGCCCTCCTAACTGTATGTTACTCCTTTCCATCCGGCCTAAGGAAGACCCTGGCCAGACCCCCAACTGGGTGACAGTGGCCACACTCCTCCATGGCCCTGCTGTGGCAGTTCTGCCCTCAGACACTGCACTTGTCCATGAGTAACTGGCTTCAGTGAAAGCAACTACTGCGAGAGCTGGATGTGCACAGTTCTAGAACGTTTAACGTTCTATCAAAATCAATACCTACTTAAAAAAAAAAAAAAACTTTGTGATGCCTTCAATGTATTTCTAATAGTTTCTTGTTGTTTTTTCTACAAACCAGTAAGACTGTTAGAATTAATACACATTCATTCGACAATTATTAAGTACCCATGTGAGCCAGAAAATGTACAAAAATGCCAGGGAGTCAAACAGGAAGAGATAAAGTCACTGTTCTCAGGCTGAGCCTCGTAAGACAACTGAAAAGTCAACAGGTAATTTCCACGCAATGTGGAGGGTGTCACACAGGATGAGTGCTGGGGGACTGGGGTGCAGGAGACACCAGTCCCGCACTGAGGAGTGGGGCAGTGGGGCAGTGGGATGTGCAGGTGGAGAAGTTTCTTAGGGAAGGAAGCAGCCAGTAGGGGGGTGGGTAGGAGCGAGAGGAAAACATGAAAATGACCCTGTTAAGAGAATTTCAGCAAGTGACAGCAGTTCAGAATTGCGCGGAAGAGGCAAACTGGATGTTTCATTCATTAGCTCACCAGGCTCTTGTGCGTGCCTGCGCTGGGAGGACCTGGGCCCTGCGGGATCTGTCAGCAGAGCGAGACAGGCTTAGGCGGGCACACAAGGAATGCAATGAGACCACATCAAGTAAGGGGGTCAGACAAGCCAGAGGACGAGGAGATCCCATCTGCTGGAGCTCCCCGTAAACAAGAGTGGAGAATGAGCGTGGACCCAGGAGGCTGCTGTGGTCACCGCCAGGAGAGACAATGGAGGCTGACACAGGCAGGCAGCCCCGGGAAGGGGAACCACTGCCCAGGAGGCGTGAGCAGCAGGCCTGTGCCTGATGCAGTACGACAAAAACACCAAACTTATAATTCCTGCCAGCCTGGAGCAGGACGGTCCCTTTTCCTAAGACAGGAAACCAGTAGTGTGGAGGAGGAGGGCAGTCGGGGACAGGAGAGATGAGCCTGTGGGACCCAAGGGGAGCTTTGCAATGGAGAGGTGTAGAGACTGGAAGCGCAAGAGTAAAGGGACCAGCTGGAGACGTGCTTTGGAACCCATTACATATACACAGCCATCGATGCCCAGGGGGACGAGTCATCCAGTGAGAGCCGGGCGCAGTGGGAGAAGCTGGTCAAGGCAACCTGAGGACACCAAGCCCACGGGACAGATGTCGGGAGAGAAGCCAAAGAAACGGACAAGTGAACAGAGAACGGGGCGGGGCCAGAACATGGTGCTGCCAAGGCCAGAGGAGGTTTTGAAGGGGCAGTGTGCACCAAGGAAGGCTGAGAAGGATGCATGCATGAAGACCACAGAGCCCGCCGGACTCAGCTGGCAGCCTCGGGAAGAGCATTCTGAGAACTGGTGAAGAGACAGCCGCAGGCACAGAAGGAAGGAAGTGAGAACAGCGGGAACTGTGCCTCTGCTCTGAGGGGAAAGTGTGGCCAAAAAAGATGTGTCTGCTTTAAGGATTGGAGAAACGGTGACGAAAGAAAACCCAATCAATGGGAGAGGCTGAAGAGGAGGAGGCTGCTCCTGAGAAAGGAGGCCCCTCGGGAGGCGGAGGGGAGGGATGCAGGGCCCAGGTAGGGCAGTGTCTTTCACTGGGTCAGGGTACAGACGCAGGGAAGGGGTGGGCGGCCCATCAGCACCTGCAGTTTGTCTTACTATGTTAAGCAGGAGGCAGGGCATCTGCTGAGTGGGAGGGCCCAGCCTGGAGGAAGTGGGGAGAAGTGCGGCTACAGGGGGCAGAGTGAAAGTCAAACAAGGACACGGGCAGGGCAGGGGCCCATGGAGACTGGAGACAAGAGTCGGCAACGGCACTGTCAGGGTGGCAGCACTGTCACTCCTCGGACTGCTACGTCAGTACCCATGAGCAACGCATTCGCAGTGGCTGCTGGACTGCTGTGGGGCAGGCCTCGGCGGGAGCCACACAGAAAGGCCCTGGGAAGGGGTCAGAAGACTCTAACCAGTCTGCAGTGGAAGTGAGGTCAACACTAAGTGCAGGAGGAACTCAGAGGGGTGGCAACTGACGGAGAGCAGGAGTTGGAGCGCTGGGGTCTCCCAAGGGCAGGGCCCAGCACAGCCACCTGGCCCAGAGTCCCAGCTTGGCCTCTTACTGGATCCCTCTGAACCCTGGCCCCCTACCTGTCCGTTCCGAACAACGAAAGGGTCTATCTCCTGCCCTGCGCCAGCTGAGCATAAGCTCTGTGGATGCACACGGGAGTCTCAGCTGTTATTCCTTCCGTCGCTATTACTGCAATGAGGATGAAAAGGCAGGTCAGGAAGTGGCCATCTGTCGACTGCAGCCCTCCCGCGGCACCTGCACGGGGCTCGGGAGGAGGTGTCCACACCAACCGCCAGCTCTTCCACGGCAGCACACGGCAAAGACCCCTCTGGCAGGTGCTACAACTGTGGCCACTGCCCAACCTAAAGCCAGCTACTCCCGTAGCCTCCAACTCAGCCCCAGGAAAAAAGACCAGGCCACTGCAGTGCCAGGCACAGCCCAGAGACGTGCAGGACAGTGAGTCTCTGCTCTGTTGCTTGTCTGAGCCACCTGGGAGCTGAGACCAGCTCTCCCAGAATGTCCCCGTGGGCGGCCTGGCTATCTGCATTTGACACTGAGAAAGTCACCTCTGCAGAGGCCCCAAAGGTGAGTGTCTCCACCTGGAAAACGTGGATACTCTTCCTGTTTGGATATAAGGAGTCAACGGAAATAATTCCAACTCAAGGTAAAAGCGACCAGTAGTCCACGCCCCAGCTCCATCCTGGAGAGGCCAGACACAAGGGTAAGAAAAGCTGATGTAATGGTCCCCACAGGGCCAAGACCACCTGACCCCCACCCAGGGACAACCAGTAACAAACTGCACCTTGACAGCGGAGCGCCAGGTGCACAGACAAGCACACACCCCACAGGGCGCTGGCCCGGGCATGCCACACCAGGCTCAGGTGCAGACTTGGCTTCCAGCCAGAAGGCCAGCAAGGGAGACCCTCGGGAACCCTCAGAGAGGGGAGAGGATCCCAGAGAAGAGGGGGCTGGATAGGGAGACCCTCTAAATCTGTGTCACATCCTGGCCACTCCTGAAGCAACTACAGTGGCACAGCAGCCACTCTGAGGGCCACAGCCCACAGCCCAGCCAGAGCGGCAGGACGAAGACCGAAAATGAAACCTACGCTCAACTGTATGTAGCCCCCAGGAGCAGGTCAGGGCCTGCAGTCTCGACGTAACTGGGTGGACTACCTGCTAGAACAAACCAAAACCAACACCTCAGGCCTCCAACAGGACCCACGGCCTCCAAATACAATATTGCAAATGCCCAACACACAACCCAAAGCTCCTTAACAAAAAAGAAAGACCCACAGGAAAACCTGCAACTTCCAGGAGAAAAGGCAATGTCCCAAGGTTGGGACTGTCTGACAAGGAATTCAAAGTGACCATGGAACAATGCTCCAAGAAGCACAGGCAGAAGCCCGAACGAAACAAAAACTCTCACAGAAACTCAGAGAACTCCCAGCAAAGAGAAGCCCCAGTGTGGAGAAAAGACCAAGCCCGGAGCAGAGGCCACGTGCTGGTGAGGAGAGGCTGGAGGGGCTGCAGAGCCTGCCTGCTAGCAGCTGCCCTGGGCCATCTCATGAGCGCAGTGACAGAGACCTCACTGGGCCAGGAGGCAGACACTAAGGGGCAACCCTCATAGCCCCTCCTCCTCCTTCCCCTGAGCTCTTCTGAGAGGCCGTGGGAGCGCATGGGATGGTTAGAGTGGAGCACAAACTCTAAGGCCAGAGGCTCTGCACCTGAGGCCCGGCCGGCCACCCTCATTCACACCTCAGAAACCCAGCAGGAAAGGTGCTGGCACCAGGTCCTCTCCCCGTAAGCTCCCACCCGTAGCTCGCTCCCCTGAGCTCACGAAGAAATCTCGAGGCCCCCAAGGGCCACAACCACTGCAACCGAAACACAAACTGCACAGCCTGAGCCTGGAAAGGAGGCATGGAGCAAAGGTGGGCAAAGGAGCATGGGAGGCCCCTCGGGGTGGGATGGGAGGGAGCCTCCTTCCAGGCACGGTGGACCCTGTGCTAGGCCAGTAAGCCCCCGTGGCAGACACAGTAGGACAGTGCACACAGCTCACACCCGCAGAGGCTCCGCATGCCCAACCCACACCCATGGAGGCTCCGCATGTACAACTCACACCTGTGGAATGCTCCACACACATACAGCTCACACCCACAGAGCCTCTGCACACACAATCCACACCTGCAGGAGGCTATACACACACAACTCACAGCCACAGAGGCTCCACACACACAATTCACACCTGCGGGAGGCTCTGGCCGGCCAACTGGGTGGTGAGGAATCACCAGGCCAAGTTCAGGCAGAAGACGCAATCCAGAGAACCCGTCCCTCTTCCTGGACCGCGGTTTCCCCCTGAGGGCGCCTGGGAGGAGCTGTCCGTGCCAGGAGAGGTGGTAAAGACGGCAGGCTGTGTTTCTGGCACCGCACCTTTCTAAGGACAAAATCTGGACTCTAGGGCCTGCCCAATGACGCCTACCACATACTCTGGGTGGGTAACCTGAAGGGCTGCACCCAGGAGCAGGAGCAAACGTGAAGCAGCCCAGCCTCAGGGGACTAGAGCACGGCTCTGAGGCACCTCCACCAGGGCCTCGCGTGGGGTGACCAGATCTGTTCCTGTCTCCAAGGGACCGCTGGAAGCCAACGGAAACTCCCCCTGGGAAAAGATTATATCTTAGGCCTCAGACTGTTTCCAAAATCTTTCACATACAATGGTCAGTTAAGCAAAATGACAAGACATCATGAGCAAAAGCCAGCAGAAACAGTAACAGAAGCAAGCTCCCAGACTCCTGAAGCCTGCCAAGATGAAGACAGTCCAAGACAGCCCCTCTCTCCCGCTGACAACAGCTAAAAACTCTGGACAAAAGACAAACACCTACCTAAGGACTCTGGAAAGTAAGCTGCAGCAGGCACACTGGGGAGGAGGGTCCATCCTGAAGAAGGAACCCAAAACAGGGGACTCCTCAGGTTCGTTTTCTCTTTTCTGCCCTGGCTGGACCTGAGGGCAGCCCCAGACAGCCAGGCTCAGAGAGAAACCCTGTCTTTCTCTGGCTAGAGGACGAGGAAAAGGGGCCCCTACAAGCTGGAGGGGGAATCCTGAGGGCTCCCACTTTTCTCTCCCAGCCTGACCCAGCTGGCTGCAGTCACAGAGCTGTGCAGTGGCAGCATGAGCAGCAGAAACAGGGAAGCCTAGGCACGGGGTAAGGAAGGAGGAAAGCCCATCTTTCTAGGCAGAGGCTGAGGAAGAAGGTTCCTCGGAGCCAGAAAGTGTGTAAGGAATTCACAAAAGGAGAGCTGGAGAGGGATCCCCAGAGACGTGTATGAGCCTGCAAGATCTGGGCTTACTCCTGAGCTGTGTGTGCCTTGGGCAGGCCCGGGGCCACAGGCAAAAGCTGTGGAAGCTGAACCAACACTGCAGCCACCACCCATGACAGCAAAACGGACTCCTGGGCTGAACCCAATGGGGTTTATTGCAACCCAGCTGCAAAACAAAATCAACGTTATCCAAAGGACTTTAACAGGACCCAGAAACCAGTCTCACAGCATGATGTTCACAGAGCCCAATGTTCACAGAGCCCAATCCATAATTATTCAACAAAGAACCAGGAAAATGTGACCAATTTTCAAAGGAAGAGACAACCAACAGAGGCCAACCCCAAAATGACCCAGATGTTAGTTATCAAAGACTCTAAAACAGCTATTATAAGTTCCATGAGGTAAAGCTACACTCTCTTAAAATATATGAAAAAATAGAGATCTCAGCAGAGAAATTAAAAACTAGAACGAAAATTTCAGGACTAAAAAGTACAATGGCAACATAAAATTCACTGGATGCGCTCAACAGAATGGCAACGACAGAGGAGTCAGTGAATATGAAAATAGATCAATAGAAAGAATCCAATCTGAAGAACAGAGAGAAGAAACTGATGGGATAAAATGGCAAGTCTTGAAGTATGAGACGATGTCAAAAGTTCCAACACTGTCGGTAGAGAAAAGGTTGATGCAAAAAAGTATATGAATAAATATGGCCCAAATCTCCCCAAATCTGGTGAAAGACACCAATTTACAGGCTCAGGAAGCCTAGAAAACCCCAAACAGAATAAACTCAAAGAAAACCGTGTGCAGACATGGTTCATAATAAACTGCTGAAGACCAAAGGTGACGAAACAGGCCCGCAGGACCCCACAACTTGAGGTACCAGCCACAGACTTTCAGTTACCATGCTTCAAACAATAGCAACAAAAAAGACACGATTAAAATTTTGGACAGAAAAGTGGAAATTACAAAAAATCAAAAGAAGAAGAAAAAAGAACTTGACAGATTAGAAAAAGAACAAAATAGGCTGGGTGTGGTGGCTCACACCTGGAATCCCAGCACTTTGGAAAGCTAAGTCAGGTGCAGTGCATCACTTGAGCCCAGGAGACCAGCCTGGGCAACATAGCAAGATCCCATCTCTATAAACAAATTTTTTCAGAAAACAACAAATCATGGCCAGGTGCAGTGGCTCATTCCTGTAATCCCAGCACTTTGGGAGGCCAAGGCGGGTGGATCACGAGGTCAGGAGTTGGAGACCATCCTGGCCAACGTGGTGAAACCCCGTCTCTACTAAAAACACAAAAATTAGCCAGGCATGGTGGCATGCGCCTGTAATCCCAGCTATTCGGGAGGCTGAGGCAGGAGAATCTCTTGAACCCAGGAAGCAGAGGTTGCAGTAATCCAAGATCACAACATTGCACTCCAGCCTGGGCAACAGAGCAAGACTGTCTCAAAAAAAAAAAAAAAAAAAGAACTAATCAGAAATTATAGGCTGGGCACAGTGGCTCACATCTATAATCTCAACACTTTGAGAGGCCAAGGTAGGAGGATCATTTGAGTTCAGCAGTTTGAGACCAGCCTAGGCAACATGATGAGACCCTATCTCTACAAAAAGTTTTAAAAATTAGGCGGGCAAAGTAGAACCTGCCTGTAGTCCCTGCTCCTCAAGAAGCTGCAGCTGGAGGATCACTTGAGCCCAGGAGTTCAAGGCTACAGTGAGCCATGAATGCACCACTGCACTCCAGCCTGGGAGACAGAATGAGATCCTGTTGAAAGAAGAAAAGAAGAGAAGAGAGAAGAGAAGGAGAGAGGAGGACAGTGAAAGAAGAAAAGGAGAAGAGAAGAGAGACGAGAAGGAGAGAGATGAAAGAAAGAAAAGAAAAAAAGAAAAAAGGCAGGAAAGGCAGGAAGAAAGAAAAGAAAAGGAGAAAGGAAAAAACAAAAAAGAAAAAGAAAAGGCAGGAAAGGCAGGAAGAAAGAAAAGAGAAGGAAAGGAAAGGAGAAAGGAAAAAAAGAGGAAAAGAAAGAAGAAAAGGAAAACAAAACAAAAGAAAGGTTGTAGAACAGAAAAACATAGTAACTAAATTTAACTTTATACAATGGGCTGATGAATAGATTAGATACAGATAAGAGAATTAAAGCATCCTGAGTGAAGAACAATGAGACAGAAATAACATACACTGTGCCACTGACATGTAATTGGAGGCCCAGGAAGGAGAAGAAAAAATGGGGCAGAAACAGTAAACATATAATGGATGAGAATCTTCCAATACTTGTGAAGCTCATGAAACCATAGTCTCAAGAAGCACTACAAAATGCCAGCAGGATTCAAAAAAAGACATCTACAGACCAAAGAACTCACAGTAATACTGACGAAATCCAAAGACAAAGAGAAGATTTTTCAAGCAGCCAGAAGGAATTTCTGGCCAGGACAAAATGGCACACACTTGTCTCTCCCTGTTCCTCTCCTCTAAGCACAACCATAAACCCTGGAGAGAACCCTAGAGACAAAGGAGGACTCTGAAAGGTGGAAGAGGAAAGCAAACTGGCTTAGGGCCTCAGGACTGGAGGACCAACACAGCAACAGGGTGTTCTTACGACCCCCCACCCAACGGGAGGTGACACAGGCCTGATGCTTCCTGACTCCCTGCCTAGCAACAGAGGCAACCCAGGTACACTTATTCTGCCCTGGATTGAGTAGGAGTTCCACCTACCACACCAGGCGAGCCCAAGCCCTACTAACAATCAGCAGGTAGGGACATCAGCAAGAGATCCCTCAGCCCAGAAGCACTCTCCTTCCCCATCAGGCGGACCTGAGACACCCCTCCCACAAACTAGACACACCCTGCACCAAGGGAATCCAGCAAGTGGGACCACCATCACCAGCACCTGGCCTAGGAGGCACTCTCCTTCCCCACTGGTCACGGGACTCCTCTCCCCACTGAGGGAAGCCATCCGAGGGGAGGGGCGGACACCGGCACAGGAGCCACACTCCACGCACCTGACGGTGATGCTGAAATGTTCCACCCCTCAGAGGCAGGGGTGTAAAACAAACACCCAGCCTGGGAAGCTCTTGGTCCTGTGCGCAGAGACTCCCATGTCCATCCAGAGGCAGCACGCTGCCCAGCCTAAGGAGCTCCTGCTGCCCTCGAGCAACATCAGTGGGGACCCATGGAAGCCCCAGGGGAGAGGCTAAGTCAAGCGACCAAAACAGCACCACAAAGGCTAGGAAGGTCAGACTATCACCAGAACCACAGTCACAAAAGTAGGACAGGCCTGCATGCTAAACCTGAACAAGGTGACTACTGCTAAAATAAAACCAGTACCCAGAGTTTCCTAACAAAATAGACAAAATGATCAGGAAGCCATCAGAAATGACTTTAATCAGAGGATGATGAACTGGCACAAACACCATGATAAATCAAATGTTGGAACTATCTGACAAGGATTTTAAAGCAACTGGCATGAAATCACTCCCAAGTAATCACAAATTCTCCTGAAACAAAATTAGAAAATTCTGGTAATGAGAGCCAAATGAAGAACTGGAAAATACAGTAACAGACATTTTAAAACTCACTGGATGGGCTCAGCAATAGTTGAGATGACAGAAGACAGAATCATTGACCTTGAGGTCAGATCAAGAGAATCTACCCAATCTGAACAACAGGCAGAAACTGCAATGGAGAAAAGAAGAACAGAGCCTCCAAGACCTGCGGGAGAATAACAAAAGATCCAAGGGTTCTATCACCGGAGCCCAGATCAAAGAGGAGAAACAGCAACAGAAAGAGAGAAAATCTTCCCAAACATGTTGAATGACAGGAATGAATGAAATGTTTTAAGAAACTGAGTGAACTCCAAAAAAGATAAACCTAACGAAATCCACACCAGGACACATCATGACTAAACTTCTAAAACTAAAAACAAAATATTTTCAAGCAGCCAAAGGGGAATGGTACGATACATACAAGGGAACACCAGCTCCAAAGACTTCTCATCTGAAGCTATGGAGGCCAGAGGGAAGTGGCACAGTTTTCAAGTGCTGAAGGAAAAGAACTGTCAATCAACCACAAATTCCATATCCAGCAAGACTATCCTTAAAAAAATGAAGAGGAAATAAAGATGTTTTCTGGTGAAGAAAAATAAAATAATCTGTCAAACCTTAAAGAATGGCTAAAGGAAGCTGTCCAAAGAGCAAGAAAATAAGGAATCTTGGAGGACCAGGAAGAAAAATGCAGAGACATGAGTAATGAGTAAATACAACAGACTACCCTCCTTATGAGTTTTTTAAATTACATACGATGACAAAAATTTTAACACTGTCAGATGGTCAAGACAGTGGTATTTAAAAGTGGAGAGAGCAAGGGCGGCTAAATGGAAAAAAGGTTTCCACATTTCACTGAAAACAGTAAAATAAGGATATCAGTAAACTGTTGTAAGTCACATAAGTATACCGTAATACCCAGAGCAGTCACTAAGAAATTATACAGAGATACACCCAAAAACAATATAAATAAATCTAGAGAAAATCCTAAAAAATGGTCAATTAACCAATAAGAAGTCAAGAGAAGAGAAACAGGAACAAGAAACAGAGGAAACAAACAGAAAACAAACTATAAAATGTCAGACTCAAGTCCTAACGTTATAAATAGTAATTGTTAACAATATAATGTTATTAGTAAATGTAAACACTCTAAATACACCAATCAAAAGACAGACTGGTAGAGGGTAGATTAAAAAACATAACATCATTACATGCTCTTTACAAGAAATACACTTCAAATTCAACAACTTAAGTAGGTTAAAAACTAAAAGGAGGGAAAAAAGATACGCCATTCAAACACTTTTTTAAAAAAAGCAGAACTACATTAATAAAGTAGAAAAATTACGAGAGGCAAAAAGGGACATTACATAATGATAAAAGGATCAATCTACCAGAAAGACCTAAAAATCCTGAAAGTCCACGCACCAAACTATAAAGCCTCAAAGTACATGAAAAAAGTTGACACAGCTAAAAAGAGGAACAGACAAATCTACAAGTATAGCTAGGGACTTCAACACCCCCTAGACAGAATTACTAGACATAAAATCAACAAAGATATAAATCAGAACACAACCAACTAGCAGAATACAACTGATAGAACACTCCACCAAGTTACAGCAGAATACTCATTTTTTTCCAAATGCCCATGAAACATTCACTAAAAGAGAACATATCCTAGGCCACAAGACAAACCTTAACAAGTATAAAAGAAATCAAACTAGGTTATCTTAATGAAATCATATGGGAAATACATAAGACAAAACAGGAAAATCTCTGAACACTTGAAAATTAAAAGTTTGAAATCATTGAGGAGTGCTGTGGTCTGAGTGTTTTCTGCCCCTGCAAAATTCACACGGCAACCTAATCCCCAATGTGGCAGTGGTGAGAGGTGGGGCCTTTCGGGGGTGAATAGGTCACAAGGGCCCTACCCTCATGAATGAGACTAAGGAGGCTTGAGGGAGCCTGTCCTCTTCTGCCATATAAGGACACTCAGAAGGTGCCATCTATGAGGAACAGGCCCTCACCAGACACCAAATCTGTTGGCACCTTAATCTTGGACTTCTTAGCCTCCAGAACCATGAACAATCAATTTCTGTCATTTATAAATTACTCAAAAGTACAGCAGTCCCCTCTTATCCCCAAGGGATAAGCTCCAAGACCCTCAGAGGATTCCAGAAACAAAATATATACATATAGGGCTCAGTACTATACTTTCCTACACACGAAAGTTTTTTTGAGACACGGTCTCACTCTGTTGCCCAGGCTGGAGTGCAGTGGTACAATTACAGCTCATTGTAATCTCAAATCCCAACTCAAACGATCCTCCCACCTCAGCCTCCTGAGTAGCTGGGACTACAGGCACACAGCCACCACACCCAGCTAATTCTTTTTTTTAATGTGGATCCTAGGTCTTGCTATGTTGCCCAGGCTGGTCTCAAACTCCTAGACTCAAGCTATCCTCCTACCTCAGCTTCCCAAAGTGCTTGGATTACGGGTGTGAACCACCACGCCTGGCCCTCAAAACAACTTACTGTACTATACTCACACTTCTCATGAGGATGTGAGATGAGAAAATGCCTACATGATGAGATGAAGTGAGTTGAATGACATTAGGCATAGTAGTGACCTAGCTTTAGGCTACTCCCAACCTTCTGACAATAGGTCAGACAGAGAACTATCTGCTTGGAGAGATCCTGGGTCATCAAGCCATGATGACGTCCATGGTGGGATGTCAGGAGCAGATGATATCAATGACTTACGAGAACAGCATATACAGTGTGGACATGCTGGACAAAGGGATAAGTCACGTACCAGGCAAGATGGCGTAAGACTTCATCATGCTACTCAGAACAGCATGCGATTTAAAACTTATGAATTATTTCTAAATTTTCCATGTAATATATTCAGGCCACAGTTGACCAAAGGTTACTGATAACAGGGGACTACTATATTTCGTTATAGCAGCCCAAATGAACTAAGACAATGAGTCAAAGAAGTAGTTATCAAAGGAAATTTTTAAAAAATACCTAGAACTGAATGAAAATGAAAAAACAACATATATGTGAGATGCAGCTGTGGCAGTACTAAGTGGGAAATTTACAGCACTAGAGTCTTACATCAGAAAAGAGGAAAGGTCTCAAATCATTAATACAAGTTCCTAGCTCAAGAAACTAGAAAAAGAAGACCAAAATAAACCCGAAGGAAGCAGAAGGGAAGGAGACAGGTGTGGCTAGAAAAGGGCAACAGTAGAGGTCCTCCTGGGATGGAATGATCTGTACCTGGATTAGATAAAGGTCAATATCCTGGTGTAATATTATGCTACAATTTTAGAAGAAGTCATCATTAGGGAAACTGAGTAAAGGGTACCAAGGATCTCTGTATAGTATTTCTTTAAAATGCATGTTAATATACAACTGTCTCCAACTGGCCAGGCGTGGTGGCTCCCGCCTGTAATCCTAGCACTTTGGGAGGCTGAGATGGAAGAATCACTTGAGTCCAGAAGTTCCAAACTAGTCTGGGCAACACAGTGAGAGCCCATTTCTACAAAAATAAAAATTGTTTAAAGAAAAATATATATATATACACAATTAACTCAAAACTAAAATTTAATTTTTTTACATTAGCCAAGGATTTTAAGATACTTCATAGAAAAAGGTACTCGAATGGCCAATAAGCATATAAAAATGCTCATCATAAGTCATCAGGGAAATGCATACAAAAACCACGGTGAGATACAACCCACCTACTTACATAACTAAAATCAAAAAGACTGACATCATCAAGTGTTGGCAAGGATGCAAAGCAACTGGAATTCACATAAGCTGCTGGCCAAATAAATATGTCACTTTGGAAAACAACTGGGCACTTTCTTACAAAGTTACACATATGTATCTTATTATCACCCAGTAATCCCAAGCACAGCTGTTTAAGATAAATGAAAACATCTGTCCACATAGATGAATGTTCACAGAAGCTCTATTCATAATAGCCAAAAGCTGGAAATGCCCCCAGATAATCACCAACAGATGAATGGAGTTCTAAAACGTGAGCTAGCCATACCATGGAATATTATTACTAAGCAAAAAAGATCTACACAACATGAATTTCAAAAATACTACGCTAAGTGAAAGAAGTCAGATTAGATGCACAGAGGAAACTCATCTACAATAACAGAGCAGAGCAGTGAAGCCCTGGGTGGGTCCTGCCGGGCAGGGGCACAAAGGAAACTCGGGAAGTAATGAGAATGCTGTCTTGATTGTGGTTGTGGTCACAGTGGTTTAAATTCCTCAAACTACACTCTTAAAACATGTGTGCTTTACCAGATGTAAATCACACCTCGATAAAAGTGGTTCTCTCAAAGGTCCAAAATGGCCGGGCGCGGTGGCTCACACCTGTAATCCCAGAACTTTGGGAGGCCGAGACAGGAGGATCTCTTGAGCCCAGGAGTTCGAGACCATCCCTGACAGAACTTGTCTCTATTAAAAAAAAAAAAAAAAAAGTCCAAAACAAAAGTCTTCACTTTATACCTTACAATGGGCATTAACCATTGTATCCTAGCAGGGACTTCTCTGAAAAGCTCAGATTTCATACATCTCTCCCCTCCTCAGAAACCTTCAGTGGTTCCCCAATTCCCACAGAGCAAATCCCCAATCTACGAATCAGCCACTCAAAGCATTCTGCGCTCTGGCCTCAGCACTTTTTCCAGTCTAATTTCGCCTTCCAACTCTGCAGCCACTACCCCCATGAGGCCACCAGCCTTTCCCACACGGTGTGCACATCACGCACTCCCCTCCACTTCCCCCTATTGTCTTTGCTTCTCTTAATTCGTTCCCTTACCTCCATCTGATTCTCACACACCTAGACTACAAACTCAGTTTTCACTCTAATGGAACATTCCAGATTCCCTCAGGGGAGTCTCCCTCCCTCTACTCCCCTGTTCTGCCAGTAGCATCTGCCCTTTAGAGAGCCAGCCTCCTCAAGCCCGTCATTATGGGTCTCTGTATATGCAGACACTTCCATTGCTACAGGAGGCCTGAAAAGGATACGAAGGGCCCCACAGTTCACAATGTAATGCCCAACTGAACTCATGTAAGTTTAACCTTTTTTGAGACAGGATCTTGCTCTGTTACCCAAGCCGAAGTGCAGTGTCACAATTATGGCTCTCTGCAGGCTCAATCTCCTGGGCTCAACTGATCTTCCCACCTCAGCCTCCCAAGCAACTGGGACAACAGGCGTGCACCACCATGCCCAACTAATTTTTATGTTCTTTGTAGAGACAGTCTCACTCTGTTGCCCAGGCTGGTCTCAATCTCCTGGGCTCAAGCAATCCTCGACCTCAGCCTCCCAAAGTGCTGAGATTTCAGGTGTCAGCCACCACACTCCACCCCCAGATATAAGTTTAATTTTGACTAGTTGAGTTTGAAGTGATGGGACGAGAGTGACTGGGGAATAATAAACCACTCTAAGAAAAAGAGGGCCGGGCACGGTGGCTCACGCCTGTAATCCCAGCACTTTGGGAGGCTGAGGTGGGCAGATCACGAGGTCAGGAGATCGAGACCATCCCGGCTAACATGGTGAAACCCCGTCTCTATTAAAACAATACAAAAAATTAGCCGGGCGTTGTGGCAAGCGCCTGTAGTCCCAGCTACTCAGGAGGCCGAGGCAGGAGAATGGTGTGAACCCAGGAGACAGAGCTTGCAGTGAGCCAAGATCATGCCACTGCACTCCAGCCTGGGCGACAGAGCGAGATTCCGTCTCAAAAAAAAGAAAGAGAGGACTAGGTGGGAGCTCAGGAAAGCCAGAAATAAAAAAAACTCAAAGATCTTTCTTTTCTTTGAGACAGGGTTTCACTCTGTTGCCCAGGCTGGAGTGCAGTGGCGTAGTCTCGGCTCACCGCAGCCTCCGCCTCCTGGGTTTAAGCGATTCGTCTGCCTCAGCCTCCTGAGTAGCTGGGATTACAGGCGCATGCCACCACACCCAGCTAATTTTGTATTTTTAGTAGAGACGGGGTTTCACCATGTTGGCCGGGCTGGTCTCAAACTCCCGACCTCAGGTGATCTGCCCACCTCAACGTCCCAAAGTGCTGGGATTACAGGCATGAGCCACCACGCCTAGCCTCAAAGATCTTTTCTGTAGTGACAACAAAAGTTATGAAAGTAGAAAAATGCTATGAAATAATGACTAAATATTCCTGTCAAGGGCACCATCGTTCCTGTGTCTGGGCTCCCCATGGCAGTTCAGCTGACTGTAACTCACCCTTAGCCACCTCCCACAGCCACTGTCAATCAGTCCAGCTCCATAGATTCAGCTTGTATATCTGTTGGCTCTATCTACCCTTCCTATTCCCTCTGCCGACAGACAGGCAAGTCCATCTGGGCACAGTGGACTAACTCACTCACTCATACCTGTGATCCCAGCACTTTGGGAGGCCAAGGTGGGTAGGAGCACTGCTTGAGCCCAGGAGTTTGAGAAGCCTGGGCAACACAGGAAAACTCCACCTCTACAAAAAATAATAATTAACCGGACCAGGAGGTGCAGGCCTGTGGTCCTAGCTGTGATCCTAGCAACTCGGGAGGCTGAGGTGGGAGGATCACTTGAGCTCAAGGAGGTCAAGGCTGCAGTAAGCTGTGATCATGCCACTGTACTCCAGCCTGGGCAACAGAGCAAGACCCTGTCTCAAAAAAATAAAAACAAGAACAGGCAAGTCTTTGGCATTTCCAGCCTAACGACATCAACTCTCAGGTAGAACACCTGTCTATGGCCTCTACCCACTCAAACCTGCTAAAAACATCTTCCCAGGCTCGCTCTCTCGGCACGACATCCCCCTACTTAAAAACCCTCCCAGGCGAACATCATCAAAGAAATCCCCAGCCAACCTGAGCACCATAAACAATCTGGCCCCAGACTATTTTCCAAACTAATCACTTACTATTTCAGTCCACAAATCCTCCGCCTCAACAAGGTTAATCTACTCAGTACACCCGAAGACACCTCTCCTCTGCACAGGGCTGTAGCCAGCTGCCCTCCCCTCTGCTCTTAGGGGCTAACCATTCAACAAGTATTTGAGCACTCTGTACTGTGGACACAGCAGTAAGTGGGACAACCATAATCCCTGGCCTCACAGAGATGCACACATAACTAGGCAGCAGGTGGTTCTCAGGACACCTCTGCAGAGGAAAGGTCATGCTAGCTGGACCAACTAGCAACTCCCACAGTATTTAGTACCACCTAACAGGTGCTCAGGAAGCATTTGAAGATGCTCTGTAACCCCCATGTCAGAAACACCCAAATCCCTTGTCAAGAACAACCAAAGACGATTTAAATATACAATCTAAACTCATAAACCAATAATCTGAACAAGTCATCACCTTCAGAAATGTGGCAATGTGCTTACAAGTGTGCTGCCATCAAGAGCAGCCTCTTCACACCAAGACTCCAACCACTGTTGCCCTCCTGCCAACACAGGGAGGAAGACACGCAGTGGTTTCACCTGTAAATTTAAATAAAGAGTCTCAATTTTTACACAGTTTTACACAGGAGGGCAAGTTCTGGAGGTGGAAAGGGGCTCTGAGCACAGATTTCATTTTAACGAAAAGTCACTACAAGGAAACAATATGGCGACCCTCTGGAGTTGATTATAAAGGGATTTTGCTCATCATGTCAAGTTAGCAAACCGGAGTGTAAACTCTTCTTGTTGCCTATATCATGAAACTGCTGGTCCCTGAGATGGGGACTAAAACCCAGGCTTCACAGGCCACAGCATCCTCACACTGATTTCTTATTCCATAACATGGTTTCCAAATCAGTAGTTCGAATTACTCTAGCAAGAGAAAAAAAGGAGGGGATCAGACAATTCCTCCCAACAGTGTGCCTCTGGGCAGGCCATGTGGCTTCTGCACAGGGCCACGTGCTGTCAGTAAGGAGAGGGGATGAACTGGCGAACCCTAAGCTCCCATCCAGTGCCCTAGGGTTCAGGGCAGCTTGGCTCTGCAAGCAAAAGGAAAACCTGGTTTCCACTGAGCTACACCGCCGACATCCTTGCAAAGAATTGAGTGCATGCTAGTACTTGCCCTGGGTTGTTTTTTAACATTGTCCTTGAGAGATAATAAAAGCTTGCTCTCCACATTGTCCCCTGAAACCAAGGCCTAGATACCTCTGAGTTTCCTAAGGGCATGTACAAAACGCACAGTGGCCGAGATCAACGCCAGGACTGCACTGCTCTAGTCCAGCGTGCTATGCGGTAAAATAAAGGGAACTTCAGCCACCGCCTCAACTTTCCACCAATTTATTACAACTTTCACTCAAACATCACCACAAAATGTGATGACTAGTCAGGTTCTGCACCTTCTTATAGACATTTTTAAGCGGACAATTTTCAACATGTCCAATACATTATTTCTTTAAAAAATGCAAACACTGTCAATGAAACAAGAGAGTTACCAAAAGAAAGGGAGGGGGACCTAAAAATAAAAGCCCAAGGCGGCCACAATTCTTGGCTGTGGCCCCAGGAACGAATGAAACTGAAGGAAGTGTTTCTGCACAGCCATATGCCACAAGGCCTCGCCAAGGGCAAGCTCTCCTGAGCCCACCCACTTACTACAATGGCAGACTGGTGGCCCCAGGACACCAAAAATCTCAAAAGGCTAATGCAAAACAAGACAGCAGCCAGCCCTGGAGTTTCAGCAGGCTTTCAATGCTTTCAATCTTTACACAAATGGAGGATGGGCTTTAGTTAGCAACCTAATGAACAAGCCTTTAACAAGTTAAATATTGAAGCCACTTTCACCATCATACCCCCAAAAGCGATTTCCAATTAAAACATCCATATTGAAAGAACCATGTCTGATTAACTGAAAACTAAGCTGGAGAGGTACATGGAGACATTCAAAAGAAGAAACAAAGCAAATGCTGCTGGATTAGAAGAAGTGTTGGGGGGACCCACACTGTCCTACCAAAACCCCCTCCCCACTCAGTCTCTTACAAGATACAGCCACACTGGGTAGCAGCGAATCTCACACCTAGGCTGTGACCCCAACAACGTAAATCACTTCAGCTGAGCTGAGGCAAGTATTTCGGTCATCTGAATTACGATCTCTCCAACCTGTAAATTTAAAGAGAGTCTCAATTTTTACACAGTTTTACACAGGAGGTCTAAGTGCGGTGCCTCATGCCTGTAATCCTAGCACTTTGGGAGGCCGAGGCGGGCAGATCACCTGAGCCCAGGAGTTCGAAACTAGCCTGGGCAAACAGACCCCATTTTTACAAAAATAAAAACTGTTTAAAGAAAACCCCCATCTCTACAAAAAATACAAAAGTTAGCCAGGCGTGGTGGTGCACCTGTAGTCCCAACTACTCGGGAGGCTGAGGAGGGAAGATCACTTGAGCCCGGCAGGCGGAGGTTGCAGTGAACCGAGGTCACACCACTGCACTCCAGCCTGGCCGACAGAGCGAGACCCTGTCCTCCACAAAAAAAAAAAAAAAAAGGAAAAAAGAAAATTACACACGAGGCTGAAGCAGGAGGATCACTGGAGCCCAGGAGTTGGAGACCAGCCTGGGAAACACAGGCAGACTCCATCTCAAACACCTGGCCTCAAGTGATCATCCTACCTCTGCCTCCGAGTCACTAGAATTGTAAGTATAAATTACCACACCTGGCTTAAAAACTTTTTTTTTTGTAATTACATATGCTCCCCCTGTGAAGCAAACTATAGAATGTAAAAGCCCTCTCTCGGCAAAAAGAAGTGGAAACCAGCCAGGCGTGGTGGCTCACACCTGTAATCCCAGCACTTTGGGAGGCCAAGGCAGGCGGATCGTGAGGTCAGGAGTTCGAGACCAGCCTGGCAATATGGAGTAACCCGTCTCTACGAAAAATACAAAAACTGGCCGGGAGTGGGGGCGCACGCCTGTAATCCCAGCTACTTGGGAGGCTGAGGCAGAAGAATCGCTTGAACCCAGGAGGTGGCGGTTGCGGTGAGCTGAGGTCGCGTCACTGCACTCCAGGCTGGACGATAGAGCGAGACTCCGTCTCAAAAAAAAAAAAAAAAGTGGAAACCAGACCTCCTAAAATCGGAGTCTGATGTGCGAAGGCACTGTCACCCACCAGTAAGGGGCACTCCAGTCTCAGCTCCTAAGATGGTGTCCAGTCTTCTCCAGCTCCTGTTCATGTTTCTTTTCTTTAAATGCCCACCTTTTAATAATTCCAGAACTCAAAAGCCCATGTTAGTATCAGATTGTGAATTCATCATCCGATGAGTCAACAAGGATTAAAGAGTGACCTGGTACCGGAAGTGAAACTAGACGAACCCAATACTAACACAGAGACACGCGTACTTATTTCTGGATGGCTGACAAATCCCATGCTGAATGCCAAAGCTAAATGCAATGAAATAAAAAATGCATGCACCTTGCTAAAGAAATTGGAAAGCAGATCGTGAAAGTTCTTTTTATAGCAATTTGTCTAACATCCGCTGCCTGAGCCCTCAGCCCTCTCCACATATAAAATCTTAAAAAACATGCAGGAGTAAAACTTTGTGCTCGGATCCCAGGAGCCATGCCCAAGAATGCACTGGGCTCCACAGCACCTACGGGAGCCCAGCCAGCGCCCACGAGCAGCTGCGGTGAACAGTCCTCAGTGAGACACTCCACAGCAGCGGAAATGTGGAAAAGTGAAGATGAAGTCAAGAAGAACCTAAGAACGTAACGTGGGATAAGGGAATAACAAAAGCCAGTCTCAGAAAGAGACATCATTGGCAAAGGTGTAAAAACTAGTTCGTGGTGTAAGCACATGCGGCAAAATACAAAGAAAAGCAAAACAGTGACTAACACAAGGTGTGAGGCAGGTGAGCCCACGCAGCCGGCAGTGACTGCAAGATACCCAGGCGTCCGCTCTCGGGCTGTTCTTTGCACCTGACTCAAGTTTCATACCTACATCTTACCAATTCCGTTCTCAAAAACTCATGTGAAGTCTTGGATGTAGCAGTGTTTCTTCCTCATTACAACACAGAAACTAAGGTTCCACTGAGCCAGTAAACAAGAACTGTAAAACTGAAAACTGTCAAAGGAAAAACTCTTTCCCAATTACTACTTACACAGTACAAAAACCAGTTTGAAATAAGGCGAGTTATTTAATCCCTAAAACTTACAAAACGCGTTTGTCCTTATGACTAACTCGAGTCTAGCTGGGGCACAGGCCACTGTCAAACAGGGCAACGCCTACTCAGCGTTTTCCAAACTGGTCAACTGAACTCTTCTCTGGAAGGGCTGTCTCCTTTAGTCTTACTCTAAAAAGGGTAATTTTTCACCAGAATAAAGGCAAATATTTTAAGAATGCTTCAAATGAAAAGAGGATTGCAGAAATATTAACCTTTAATTGTACCTGAAACAAAGCACCTGAAATTAATAAAGAAGTCAGCCACTGACGAGAATCACTAGGTCTGTCCTGTTCCCAGGGCACGAAACAGAAGCGTCTTAATCCACTAAGCACATTAGGGCCTAACAAACTGGACTGAGTAACAAGGTTACCTAGTTCTTCCAAACAGGAATTAACCAAAGGGGATCATTATGATTAAGCACAATGCGCGGAATACGCAATTTCTAGTTGGGGAATTCAACAGCTGACAGCTTGTAAGCATCAAAATTCATAACAAGTGCAAGGCTCGGAATCACAGGTCCAGCACTGGACGATGCCCGGCGCGCCGGGAAGCGGCGCCTCAGACGGCGGCCCCGCGTCCCCATGGTCCCTCCCTGCGCCCAGAACCGGGCAGCTCCTTCCCGCCGCCGCCGCCGCCAACGGGAGGCTGGGGGCACTCCCGAAATAGGAGCGGAAGCCCCGACCCACGCCGCCCTCCGCCGCAGGGACGCCCACTCGCCAGGTGACCGCGTCCCCACGCTCCGCGTTGCCCGGGCGCCGCCAGGACCTCGGAGGCGGCCGGCCCAGCCCCGACCCTGTGCGGACGCGGCACAAAGGCGCGGCGCGCGGACCCCGACCCGGCCGGACCCCGGCCGCGTCCCCCGGCCCCGGCCCGCGCCCCTGGCCCCCGCCCCGCGCCCCTCACCCGGCCCACCTCGGCCGTAGGCCTTGGCGCAGATCCACTGCAGGTTGGCGGCGATCTTGGCGCGCGCCGCGTCGTAGCGGTCCAGGGGCACGAGGTCGGCGGCGCCGTCCGGCGGGGCCTCCATCTTCCTCCAGCCCTCGGCGGCGGCGCGGCCGCTCGCGTCCACCATCTGCAGACAAAGGGCTGAGGCGGCGGCCCGGCCGCAACAAAGGCGCCGCCGCCCCTCGCCGCGCCGGGCCCGGTGCGCCCCGAGCCACCACTCGGCCCCGCAGCCGGCCAGCCGGGAGGGGCGCCCGAGCGCGGCCCCCGCCTCACCTCACAGCCGCCGCCGTCGCCGCCCCCGCGGCTGCTGCATGCTGCGGGCGCTGAGCCCGAGCGGAGGAGGTGCCGAGCCCGCGGCCCAAAGAGGCGGCGGCAGGAGGGCGCGGGCCGGGGGCGGGGGCGGGCGCGGGGGCGGGAGCGGGCCGGGGGCGGTGGCAGCGCGTGCGCGGTCCCGGGTGAGCGGCGGCGGCGGCGACAGCGGCTGAGGCGGTGGCCAAGGAGCGGGAGCGCGCTCACCGCCGGGGCCTCGCACAGGCGCAGTAGGCACCGCCCGCCACCCCGCCCTCGACCCCGCCCCCAGCTCCGCTCCCTTCTCGCGCCTGCCCCGCCCCTTTCCGCAGGCGCAGTAGGCACCGCCCGCCAGCCCGCGCCCGCCCCGCCCCTTTCCGCAGGCGCAGTAGGTGGCACCCGCAGGCCTGTGCCTGCCCCGCCCCTTTCCGCAGGCGCAGTGAGCGTCGACCCGCCCCTCCCCGCCCGCTTCCGCAGGCGCAGTAGGACCCGCCCTGGTCCGCGCCTGCCCCGTTGCTTTCCTCAGGCTCTAAGGCCCGCGGTGTGGAGCGCGGCGTAGGCAGCGGGGAGTGGGCGGCGCGGGGTGGGTGGAGTGGGTCGGCGGCGGGGATCCTGCCGAGCCCGCAGCTGCCCTCTTTTAGCGCCGTGTCTCCTCCCCGGCCCTGGCTCGTCCCACCTCAGCCACAGCCCGGCCCCCTGGCCGGCCGAGGTCTCGCCGCCGGCGCCCTGGGGACCTCGTGGGTGTGGCCGGCGGCGACCTCGGCAGGCGACAGCCCAGCAGACGGGCACCAGGTGGACGTGCCAGTCTCCAGACCCCCGTCCCGGTGCAGGGAAGGTGGGCGTTTGGACCCCTGAGGCAGAAACAGGTGCGGCCCCGCCGGCGCATCCCCCGGAAGGGACGCTGACTTCGTTCCCCTGGAGCCTGCGTCGGGGCCCGCGCTGGGCTGAGAATTACGGGAACGCCGTGAGAGTTTGCATTCCGAGGATTTGGTCTGAGAACCTCACCAGCGAAATAGAGAACTGCCCCCGGGAGAGCCGGCCCACGTGCCGCCCACCGGCGCCTTGACGGCAGGGAGAGGTCGAGCTTCCAGGGAGCGGGCGCCCGGCGCGGGGCTCCCAGCCTGTCTGTACCTGGTCGAGACACCCCGTGCCAGAGGCGGAACATGTATGAAATGCCAGGTGCCCAGAGGACCCAGGCAGTCCGTCATTCACATACCAACCCACGTGCAGGCTTCAATTCAACCTTGAAGCCATTTGGGCCTGGGCTTTTTTGATGACTTATTTGATTCATAGTTTTTTGGTTACTAATTGAGTCTCTTCACTTGTTATAGGTCTGTTGAGATTGTCTATTTTTTCTTGAGTCAGCCGTCTGAAAAGAACACGAGGTGGACAGGGCAGAGCGGTCAAGGAAAGCCATAGGAGGAGGGCACTTATTTGAGCAAAGACCGGCGGGACGTGGGCGTCGAGGGTAAGGATATCTGCAGAAGTACTGTCTTGAGCAAGGAGCACGGCAGACAGAGCCTCTGAGACACGAGAGCCTGGAGTGTAAGAAACACAGTAGAGGCCACTAAGTCGAGAACGCAGGAGCTGGAAGGACTGGTAGGAAATGGGAGGTGGGGACATGGAGGGATGCAGACAGGTCCTGCACAGTCAGAACTGTGGCCCCTTCTCTGCAGGAAATGGGCAGCCTTCGGAAGACTGAGCACACGGAAGGATATGACTAACCCTTTAAAAGGGTCATTCTGACTCCTGGGTGAAGAACAGACTAGGAAGGGCTGAGGAGGAGGCAGGAGGCCATCTACTGTTATATGGGATGTGGAGTGTGACCCGGAAAGGTCAAGTGTGACTCTAAGGGCTTTTTGTGTACTGATCTTTTATCCTGCAACCTTGCTAAACCCATTTATTAGTTCTTCTTGTCTTTTAGTGGCATTTATTAGTTGTTCTAGTGTTTTAGTGGATTCCTTGGGATTTTATACAAAAGCGTGTCATTTGTGAATAGAGATCAGTTTATCTCTTCCTTTCTAATCTGGATGCCTTTTATTTCTTCTCCTTGCCTAGCTGCCCTATCTAGAAGCTCCAGTACAATATTGACTAGAAGCAGCAAGAGTGGACATCCTTGTCTTGCTCCTGATTTCAGGGAGGAGGCATCCAGTCTTTCACCTTTGGGTATGATGATAGCTGTGGGTGCTTAAAAAATAGGTTTTATCAGGCTGGGCACAGTGGCTCACGCCTGTAATCCCAACCCTTTGGGAGGTCGAGGCGGGCGGATCACGTGGGGTCCAGAGTTTGAGACCAGCCTGGCCAACATGGAGAAATCCCATCTCTACTAAAAATACAAAAAGTTAGCTGAGGTTGGTGGCCGGTGCCTGTAATCCCAGCTAAAAAAGGGAAACTGTCTAAAAATCATTAAAAAAAAGGGTACTTCCTCAACCTGATAAAACCTATTTTTTGTTTGTTTGAGATAGTGTCTCACTCTGTCACCCAGGCTGGAGTACAGTGGCTGGATCTTGGCTCACTGCAACCTCTGCCTCCCAGGTTCAAGCGATTTTCCTGCCTCAGCCTCCTGAGTAGCTGGGATTGCAGGCACAGGCCGCCACGCCCAGCTAGTTTTGTATTTTTAGTAGAGATGGGGTTTTACCATGTTGGCCAGGCTGGTCTTGAACTCCTGACCTCCAGTAATCCACCCCCCTGGGCCTCCCAAAATGCTGGGATTATAGGCGTGAGCTACCACGCCCAGCCGAGGAAGTATCTTCTATTTCTAGTTTGTTGAGTGTGTTTATCATGAAAACGTGTCAGATTTGGTTAAATGATTTTTCCACATCCATTGAGATGATGATCATGGGTTTTTTTCCTTGTTCTAGTAATGTGGTGTGTTACATTAATTGACTTTCAGATATTGAAAAGACACTTATCCCCTGCGTTCAGATAAATTCCAGTTGGTCATGGAGTATCTGTCTTCCTGGATTCAGTTTAATACAATTTTGTTGAGTGATTTTTTTTATCCATATTCATCATAGATACTGGTCTGAAGTTTTCTTGTGGTGTCTGTGTCTGGTTTTGGTATCGGTATCAGTGTCCTACTGGGCCTCATAAAATGAGTTGGAAGTGTTCCTCTTTTTTTTTTTTTTTTTTTTTTTAAGATGGCTGTTCACTGTATCATCCAGGCTGGTCACCAATTCCTGGCTTCAACTGATCCTCCCACCTCAAGCCTCCTGAGTAGCTGGGATCACAGGCACAAGCCACTGGACCCAGCTTTAATTGTTTAAGTGTTTCATAGAATTCATTATTGAAGCCATTTGGGTCTGGGCTTTTTTGATTACTTATTTTGATTATTAATTCAATCTCTATTTGTTGTAGGTCTATTCAGATCATCTGTTTGTGTCTTTAGAGGAATTTGTCCGTTTTATTTAAGTTACAGTGTTTTGGGCGTAAGCAATTTTAAGGAGAAAGTTATCCTTAACCAAGATGGGAAAGGTCGAGGCAGGGTGGTACAGGGATTTTACCTCCCACCAGGTATCTCCCACAAACTCCCCCTAATATAATACCGGCGGAGTTTGGGCTGTGGCTTTGGCTGTGTTGAGTCTCAGATGCCTGTTGGGCCTCCTCATGGAAACGCTGGTGGGCGATTGGATGAGCAAGTCACCGGCGTGGCCCAGGTTGGAGACTGGGAATTGTCACCACAGAGAGAGCCTTTAGAGCTGTGAGACAGGAGGAGGCGCCAAGGAGCCATTGCTCAGGTGGAGGGGAAGTCGAGGCATGGTGCTTGGGCCTAGGGGCAGCACTTGGGAGTAGTCAGCCTGAAAGGTGAGAAGCCAGGAGAGGGGTCCCCAGCTTATGGCCTGGGAGCTAACTCAGATTTGGCGAGTGCAGGTTTTGTGGAATGGTGGTGTATTAGTCCGTTTTCACGGTGCTAATAAAGACACACCCGACACTGGGCAATTTACAAAAGACAGAGGTTTAGTGACTTACAGTTCCACATGGCTGGGGAGGCCTCACAATCATGGTGGAAGGCAAGGAGGAGCAAGTCACATCTTACGTGGATGGCGGCAGGCAAAGAGCGAGATTGGGCAGGGAAACTCCCCCTAATATGATACTGTCAGATCTCGTGAGACTTACTCACTATCACGAGAACAGCATGGGAAAGACCTGCCCCATGATTCAATTACCTCCCACCGGGTCCCTCCCACAGCATGTGCAAATTCAAGATGAGATATGGGTGGGGACAAAAGACAGGCAGGAGTTCCGAGGATGAGTATTTGCATTCTGTCCCTGAGTTTGCTGTAAAGGAGAGCAGCGAGACAGAGGCATGGGGTGCGGAATGGCGTGTTTAAGATGGAGTGATGACAGGTGCCCGTTGGAGTGATGCAGTAGACAGGATCTGATGATGGGGAGCAGGTGTCGTGTGCCCTTGAGCAGGAGCCCAGCAGAGAGACCCTTTTTCCTCCTGTAGCAGCAGAAGAGAAGGCAGCAGGGTGCAGGACTGAAGGAGGGCTGGGCTGGGCTGGGATGGGAGCCTGGCTGGTTTTCCCCTGGTGGCCCTATGACTGGTTAAGGGCAGGGCAGAGGCACGGCAGGTTGGAGGCACAGAAGGCCCAAGATAGTTATCTGGGCTGGATGTGGGGCGGTATTCTCGCCTCTCTGGGGACATCCCTTAAGTGGACAGGAAGACTGGGTGGTTCAGGTGTATGTCCACTCACCAAGAACACAGGATGAAGGTGGGGCCTAGACAGTGGCTGTTTTGACCAGGGCAGAACAGTTGAGGGCATGTGAGAGGGCCCATGCTGACGCCAGACCTCAGTGGGGAGAGGGGAGAGTCCAGGGACCAGAGGTCCCCCTAGGCTTAAAGGACAAACCACAAGGAGAAGAGGAAGAAGTCTCTATGTCATTAAAGTTTCATTATCAGGGCTGCTATAATGCTTCTCATTGCTTATTATAAAACCCAATTCTGCAAGACCAGCCTAGCCAACATGGTGAAACTCTGTCTACTAAAAATACAAAAATTAGCTGGGCGTGGTGGCATGTGCCTGTAATCTCAGCTACTCAGGAGGCTGAGGCAGGAGAATTGCTTAAACCTGGGAGGCAGAGGTTGCAGTGAGCCAAGATCGTGCCACTGTACTCCAGCCTGGGAGACAGAGGGAGACTCCATCTCAAAAACGAAACAAAACAAAAAAAAAAACTAATTCTGGCCCAGCGTGGTAGTTCACACCTGTAATCTCAGCACTTTGGGAGGCCAAGGCAGAAGGATCGCTTGAGCGCAGGAGTTCAAGACCATTCTGGGCAACAAAATAAGACCCCACCTCTACAAAAAATAAAAAAAATAGAAGGAAGCAATAGTGTGCACCTGGGGTCCCAGCTACTCAGGAGGCTGAGGTAGGAGGATCACTTGAGCCCAGAAGGTCGAGGCTACAGTGAGCCGGGATTGTGCCACTGTACTTCAGCCTGGGTGACAAAACAAGACCCTCTGACTCAAAAAAAAGAAAAAGAGAAAAATATTTTTGTTAGAGCAAAACAGGCTGACCTTTTTTTCGGGTTTTTTTTGGTTTGTTTTTGTTTTTTTGAGATGGAGTCTCGCTCTGTCGCCCAGGCTGGAGTGCAGTGGCACGATTTCGGCTCACTGCAAGCTCTGCCTCCCGAGTTCACGCCATTCTCCTGCCTCAGCCTCCCAAGTAGCTGGGACTACAGGCGCCCACCACCACGCCCGGCTAATTTTTTGTATTTTTAGTAGAGACGGGGTTTCACCGTGTTAGCAGGATGGTCTCGATCTCCTGACCTCGTGATCCACCCGTCTTGGCCTCCCAAAGTGCTAGGATTACAGGCATGAGCCACTGCGCCCAGCCCTTTTTTTCGTTTTTAATGTTGAGACTAGGTTACAGCATTATTAGATACAATGAAGGTAGAGGGAAGGTGCTCAGAACTCTCCTACAAGCATAGCAGCTGCTCAGGCACAGCTCCAGTGACTCCAGGGCCCAGCCTTCTGGGGAGGAGTTGGATGGGCATATTCCTTGAGGGGCTCCCACCTGCCCACAGAGAGCACAAGAGGAGAACTCATCCTGTTTGCCCTGCTTTTCCCATCTTGTTCCTAGACATCCTGAGGTTCCCACCAAGTGGACATTGGCTTATTCTACAAGCAACAGGATGAGGCCCCTGGACTCCTCACTAGCAAAATAGTGCAGTGACAGCAACACCCCCCCCCACACACACACACACAAAGATGTCCACATCTTAATTCCTGGAACCTGTGAATGTGTGACCTTACCTGGTGTCTTAGTTCATTTGTGCCACTGTAACAAAATACCACAGACTGGGTAATTTATAAACAATATAAATTTGTTTCTCATGGTTCTGAAGGCTGGGAAGTCCAAGATCAAGGCACTGGCATGTCCTGTGTCTGGTGAGAGCACTTCGTTACTGTTTCCTCTGGAGGGAAGAATGCTGTGTCCTCACAAGGTGGGATGGACAGAGGGGCAAGAAAAGGCCAAACTCCACAGGAAGCCTCTTTTATAAGAGGAGCCCTCGTGACCTAGTCCGAAATGGCCCCACCTCTTCTTTCACCACAATGGGGACCAAGTTTGTTGTTAGTTAACCTAAATGACAGAGGAGCTCTCTAAAGAGATATTTATTCAGGAATAGGGCCTTGCAACGGGAACACGTATATTACGGTAACTGCATGTTCAAGGAAGACAAAAGTTTTAAAGGAAGAAAGGAAGATTACATAATCATTTTGAAATGATACTCTTGACTGCAAAGATTAATAGCAAGGGAGACACCGGTCCAAGTTTGGAAGGTAGCTGCTGGGCAGGTATCCTTGCAGAAGTATTTTCTTGTGTAAGATTTCAGCGGCCTTGGCCAGGTGTGGTGGCTCACGCCTATAATCCTAGTAGTTTGGGAGGCTGAGGTGGGTTAATCACTTGAAGTCAGGAGTTCAAGACCAGCCTGGCTAACATAGTGAAACTCTGTCTTCACTAAAAATACAAAAATTAGCCGGGCATGGTGATGCATACCTCTAATCCCAGCTACTCAGGAGGCTGAGGCAGGAGAATCACTTGAACCCGGGAGGCAGAGGTTGCAGTAAGCCAAGATTGCACCACTGCACTCCAGCCTGGGCGACAGAGCAAGACTTGGGCTCAAAAAAAAAAAAAAAAAATTCAATGGCCTTTGTGCAAGGTTGTGGGTTTTGTGGTCTTTTGTGATAGTTTTTGTTATCGGGCATATGGACCCTCTCTTCATGGCCTTCCCTAGCTCTATTTGTTAGGGTTTTCTTAACATTAGTCACTCTGTTTTGATTCTGACAACTTTCAGTTTCAACATGAATTTTGGAGGGGATGCCATCTTTTAAATCATCGTACCTGGTAAAAGGGACTTTGGAGATGGGATTAAGTGAAGGGCCTTCAGATGGGGGGTTATCCTGCGCTATCCAGGTAGGTCCCATATAATCACGATCATGAGAGGGAGGTAGGAGCTTCACAGTTGGACAGAAGATGTGACCACAGAAGCAGGGGTCAGAGGAGGGAAGATGCTGGCTTTGAAGGCAGAGGAAGGGGCCACAAGCCAAGGAATGTGGAGACCCCTAGAAGCTGGAAAAGGCAGGGACAGATTCTCCCCTACCCTAGAGCCTCCAGAAGGAGCCAGCCCTGCCAACACCTTGACTTTACCTCAGTGAGATAATTTAGACTTCTGACCTCAGAACTGTAAGAGAATAAATGCTTGTGTTTCGACCACTGAATTTTTGGTAATTTGCCATAGCAGCTGCAGGAAACATATACACATGGTGACTAGTTACTGAGTTCCTTCCCCAGACACACTCAGGAGCATGTAACCACCACAGCCTCCTAGTGGAAGCACAGGTCCTGCAGAGAGGCCATGCCTGTGCACCCCAGGAGCCAAGGCCACCCTCCTGCACAGGGCACCACCCCTTGCACCTGCACACTCCAGCCTCCACACAGCCCTTGGTCAGGGCTGGGTACACCAGGGAATGTTTCAAAGTAAAGCATCCCTTACTGTGGTCATTCTCAGCACTTTTTTTCTGGAAAGACAGATATGACAGAATATGTTCATGTGTGACATGGGCCCATGGGGGTGTTTGGGATAGTTATCATATCCAGCACACCGAGAAGGTTGATATTGAGAACTGGGACAGGAAAAAATACCATCTTTATCATCACTGGCCTTTAACCAAAATTTAACATTTTCCTGAATTATGAATCTAGGCAACCAACTGCTGCAGCAGCATCAGCAGTGTCCGGGACTCCACCTCCTACAGAAGTCGTGGATGTCTCACATCACATCACCATTGCTGCAGATGCCACAGAATACCATTCTGCTCATCATTGCTCCAAAATTACCATAACTCCTGGACCAGCTGCTTGATTACATTATTTAATGCATTCATAAAGAGGCACATGCAGTACTGTACCACCGTTTAAAATTTGTGATGAAAGTACTTTAATTTCATTTTTAATTTTGTAGGCATTAAAAGCATTATCTGAATCTCAAAGAAAAGTCCAAGACCTGATGGTTTCCTGGTGAATTCTACCAAACGTGTAAAGAAGAACTAATACGAGCCCTTCATAAACATTTCCAAAAAACTGAAGAGAAGGGAACACTTCTTAACGCATTCTATGAGGCCAGCATTACCCTGGTACCAAAGCCAGACATACACATGACAAGAAAAGAAAACTACAGACCAATATTCCTTATGAACACTGATGCAAAAAACCTCAACAAAGTACTGGCAAACTTCAGCGGCATATTGAAAGGATTATACACTATGACCAAGGAGATTTATTCCTGGAATTCAAGGATGGCTTAGTATACAAAAAAAAAAAAATCAGTGTACTACACTATACTAACAGCATGAAGGAAAAAACTACATGATCATCTCAATTGATGCAGAAAAAGCATTTGACAAAACAACACCCTTTCATGATAAAACCACTCAACAGATTAGGACTGGAAGGCAACTACCTCAACATAATAGAAGCCATTTATGCAAAGCCCACATCTAACACTGCTCAGTGATGAAAGGCTGAAAACTTTTCCTGTAAAATCAGGAATAAGAGGCCGGGTGCGGTGGCTCACGCCTGTAATCTCAGCACTTCGGGAGGCCAAGGCGAGTGGATCAGCTGAAGTTGGGAGTTCAAGACCGGCCTAAGCAACGTGGAGAAACCATGTCTCTACTAAAAATAGAAAACTAGCCAGGCGTGGTGGTGTACACCTGTAATCCCAGCTACTCCGGAGGCTGCGACAGGAGAATCGCTTGAACCCAGGAGGCAGAGGTTGTGGTGAGCCAAGATCGCACCATTGCACTCCAGCCTGGGCAACAAGAGCAATACTCCATCTGAAAAAAAATTAAAATCAGGAATAAGGCAAAAATATCCACTTTTGTCCCTTCTATTAAGATCTAGCCAGAGCAATTAGGCAAGAAAAATAAAAGACATCCAAATGGAAAAGGGAGAAGTAAAATTATCTCTGTTTACAGATTATATGATCCTATATGAAGAAAATCCTAAAGATTCCACAGAAGATCTGTTAGAACTAGTGAATGAATTCAGCAAAGCAGTAGGATGCAAAGAACAATCTGAAAAGGAAATTATGAAAACAATTCTATGTACAATAGCATAAAAAGAATAAAACAAGATTAAGGCAGTGAAAGCTACAAAACATTACTGAAAGAAATTAAGACACAGATAAATGGAGAGACATTTTGTGTTCATGGGCTGGAAGACTTAATATGGTTAAGATGTCAGTACTACCCAAAGCAATCTACAGATTTAATGCAGTCCCTATAAAATCCCAATGACATTTTTTGCAGGAACAGAAAAACATCTTAAAATTCATTTGGAATCTCAAGGGACCCTGACTAGCCAAAACAGTCTGAAAAAGAACAAAGTTTAAGGACTTTCACTTCCTGATCTCAAAACTTTCTACACAGCTATAGTAAGCAATGTGGCACTGGCATAAAGACAGACATAGAAACCAATGGGATAGAATAGCGAGCCCAGAAACAAACCCTTGCATACATGGCCAGATGATTTTTTAATAAGGGTGCCAAGACCATTCAGTGGGGAAAGGACAGTCTTTTTCAGCAAATGATGCTGGGAATACTAGATATCCACACACAGAAAAATAAAGTTTGGCCCTTACCTTACCACAGATAGATTCAAAATGGATCCAAGACCTAAATGTAAGATCCAAAACTATAAAATTCTAAGAAGAAAATAAAGGGCAAAGCCAGGCACAGTGGCTCGTGCCTGTAATGCCAGCACTTTGGGAGGCTGAGAAAGGAGGACTCATCCCCCGAGGCCGGGTGTGGTGGCTCACGCCTATAATCCCAGCACTTTGGGAGGCCGAGGCAGGTGGATCACGAGGTCAAGAGATCAAGACCATCCTGGCCAAAGTGGTGAAACCCCATCTCTACTAAAAATACAAAAATTGGCTGGGTGTGGTGGCATGTGCTGGTAGTCCCAGCTACTCAGGAGGCTGAGGCAGGAGAATCGCTTAAACCCAGGAGGTAGATAGAGGTTGCAGTGAGCTGAGATTGCACCACCGCACTGCAGCCTGGCAACAGCGAGACTCTGTCTCAAAAAATAGGAGGACCTCTTGAGCCCAGGAGTTTGAAACCAACCTGGGCAACAGAGAGAGAGACCCTGTCTCTACAATAAATTTTAAAATGAGCCAGGTGTGGTGCACACCTGTAGTCCCAGTTACTCAGGAGGCTGAGGTGGGAGGATCACTTGAGTCCCGGAGTTTGAGGCTGCAGTGAGCCGTGATTACACCACTGCACTCCATCCTGGATGACAGAGCAAGACCCTGTAGCAAAAAAAAAGAAAAAGAAAAATATAGGGCAAAAGCTTCGTAACACTGAATTTGGCGATGATTTCTTGGATATGACACCAAAGGCCCAGGCAACAAAAGAAAAGATAAATTGGACATCATGAAAATCAAAACATTGCTTTCATTAAAAGACACTGTCAGCAGAAGCTGGGCATGGTGGCTCATGCCTGTAATCCTAGCACTTTGGGAGGCCGAGGCTGGTGGATCACTTGACCTCAGGAGTTGGAGACCAGCCTGGGCAACATGGTGAAACCCCATCTCTACAAAAAAACACAAAAATTAGCCAGGCATGGTGGCTCATTCCTATAGTCCCAGCTGCTTGCAGAGCTGAGGCAAGAGGATCGCTTGAGCCCAGGAGGCAGAGGTTGCAGTGAGCCGAGATTGTGCTACTGCACTCCAGCCTGGGTGACAGAGTGAGACTGTCTCAAAAAAAAAACAAAACAAAAGAGTAGAAAGACAACCTACAAAATGGGAGAAAATATTTGCAAATATTGTATCTGAAAAGGGATTAATATCCAAGACTCCTAAAACTCAAAAATAGAAAACCAAACAACGTGGTTAAAAAATGAGCAACAGACTTGCATAGACGCTTCTCCAAAAAAGATACACAGATGGCCAAGAAGCACATGAAAAGATGCTCAACATCACTAGTCAGTAGGGAAATGCAAACCAAAAACCACGAGAGACCCCCTCCCAGCCACTGGAATGGCTGCTACCAAAAAACTAGAAAATAGCAAGTACCAGGGAGGATGTAGAGAAACGAGAAGCCCTGTGCACTGTTGCTGGGAATGTAAAATGGTGCAGCCACTGTGAAAAACAGCATGGAAGTTCCTCAGACAATTAAACAGAATTACCATGGGACCCTGTAATTGAAAGCAGGGTCTCCAAGGGGTGTTTGGACACCCCAGTTCACGGCAGCTTATTCCACTTGGGTGGAAACAGCTGAAGTGTCTGTGGACAGATGGATAAGGAAAATGCGGCCTCACCACACAAGAAAATACTACTCAGCCCTAAAAAGGAAGAAAACTCTGACCCACACTACAATACGGATGAGCCTTGAGAACATTATGCAGAGTGAAATGAGCCAGTCATGAAAGGACACATCCTGTAGTCCCACTCATTGGCAGTCCCCAGAGTCATCAGATTCATAGAGACAAGAAGTAGAAAGGTGGCTGCCGGGCTGGGGAGGGGACGGAAGTGAGTGTTTCATGGGGACAGAGTGGGCAGATGGAGAGTTCTGTGGAGGGAGGGAGGTGATGGTCCCGCATTGCTGTGACTGCTTAATGCCAGTGACCTGCGCACCTGCAATGGTCAATCTCTGCCCTCCAGCGGGTGCCCCCATGGTGCCAGGCCCCCGTCATCTTGGGGTGCACAGCGCAGCGGTGTCTCACCAGGATGGGATCCGCTGAGGGTTGGAGCCTCAGCTCAGGCCAGGGCTGCACCTGCCCCCACCACACCATACACACCTCCCCCACTCTGTTCCCCATTGGCCCCCTCCTCACTCCACCCATGCTGTCTGGCCCCTTCTCCCCCAGGTTCTGCAAGAGCGGGTGTGGTGGGCCCACTTGCAGTCCCAGCTCCTGGGGAAATTGCAGGGGCTGCTGGAACCCAGGAAATCCCAGCTCGCTGGGCATCTTGAACCTACCAAAAAACACCCTCAGCAGAAAATGAGAGGGCAGGAAGGATGTCAGCAGAGCCTCTGTGGACTCTTCATGGGAGGGAGGACTCTCATGCTGACTTGCAAGGAGGCACCCCGGAAGCCCCCAGTCCAGGAGTGACATGGGAAGGGTAGTTCAGAGGCAGGTTTCTGACCCCTCTGGCCTCCATCAGAGCCACCGCAAAAATTCCACCTGTTAAATAAAAACGGACTGAGGCCGTGGTGCACTCCTGTAATCCCAGCCCTTTGGGAGGCCAAGGTGGGAGGATCGCTTGAACCCAGGAGCTCAAGACCAGCTTGGGCAACATAGCAAGACTCCACCTCTACAAAAAAATTAGCCGGGTGTGGTGGCGTGTGCCCTTGGTCCCAGCTACCCAGGAGGCCGAGGCGGGAGGATTGCTTTGGCCCACTGGAATGTTCTGCCAGGAGGGGGTAGTTTAGAGCCTATGAACCACGGCAATGAGCACTGCGAGCAGGGACAATGGGGGGCTGGGGTTGGGGTGGGCTCCACGAGCGCTGAAAGCTGAGCTATCCCAGGGACCTGGGAGGTGACCCTGTGGCTGCCGAGTTTCTCTCTGGATGCACACCATGTCTATGAACCCTAAGGAAGGGTCCCCACTTTGCTGGGAGCCTCGGAGGCTGGGGGCACCATCCCCAATCCCTCGGGGCAGGCTCAGATCCTGGCACACTGACATTGCCAGCCACTCCTGGGCACTTGCTGTGTGCCGACCCAGGACTAGGAGCTGCACCTGGGCCCCAGGATGTCCCCTAGTTTGCAAATGTGGAAACTTGAGTCTCAGAGACTTAGGGACATTGGCCTCTGTGAATCTCAGGGCTGCTTCTCCTGAGGCCTGAACCAGGCCTGGCACTGTCTGCTGGGTGCGGGCCCAGCCCTGGGAGGACCCAGCAGGGGTGCTCAGACCTCCCATCCCATGGCTAACCCACCGCTGGGGAGGAAACCTGTGGACACTTGCACTGAAAAATGTCACTCTCTACAAGTATGCAAGGGAGTCGGACCATCTCCCATCAGACCTGGACACCCGCCGGACACCACAGCCCCTAACACTCCGGCCAGGTCGCTCCAGGCTGGCACAGGTGGCACCCAGCCAGTCACACTTAAAGCAGGGTTTCCCTGGCCTTACCATATTATCACTCCCCAAGGAGGAAATGCGAATTTTTAATTAAGTGAATTAAATGCTAATTTAATTAAGTGAATTAAATTCCATTTCTCCCTTGTGAGATAAATAATAAGGAATGCGGTTTTGCCAGGTAGGGGTGAGCTTTGAACGGCCACAGCATGGGACAGGTAAGAGGTCTGTGCCACCCGAGACCTGGCGAACGCCCGAGTTTCAGCCTCACGCACATTCCTTCCCCAAGAGCAGCTGCGCTCTGTTCTCCCACGGGAGAAGCTGTCTGCTCTTGGTGCTCCCAGACACCTCCTGGGTTTGCCCGTCCTGCACTGGGCTCTGTCCTCTCTCACACTGCTCGGCCAGCCATCCGGCTCCTGGGACGGGCGAGCCCAGGACACCCCCCGGGCCTGCCTCCACACAGGTGCTCTCTGAGGCCACCTTGGGCTCCCCGGCTCTGGCCCTGCTCCCCTGCCCTGCTTGCCTGTCATGCTGCGTGGATCATGCCTCGGTGTTCCGTGACTGCTGGTGTTCAACGACCTGAGAAGTGGGACGAGTGGGCGCTGTTTCCTTATGCATCAGGAATCTGGGGGCCCTGCAGAGAGGTGCCATCACCCTCACCAGCCCCAGGTTCCCACCTCCGTGGGGGGAGGTAGAGGGACAAATGGGACACCCTCGTGTGGATTGTGGCACATGGACCCAGTCCCTGTCACCCTAGTCCAACATGGTCAGGTGCCAGCCCTTTCTGGAACCCTGGCCTCTGGTCACCCCACCCTCCTGGGTGACCTGATCCCCAAGCATTTCAGACCCAGCTGCTGGAGAAGGCAAAATGCACCATTACCCACACATCCCCTCCCCTCCTTCATAACCCTAACGCTAACTGCACACCTGCCTCCTGGAGCTCTTCCCCGAGCCTGCCTGCCTCGCCTTTGCTCCCGTGCCCCCAGCTCACCTCCTGCTCTGGGTGGTGACCCGGGTGAGGCCTCTGGCCCTCACAGCCTCTGGGCGGCCCCAGACCAGCCCTGCAGATGCCCCTAGGCATGGACGGAGGAGTGGGGAGCGATGAGAGAGGAAACCCTGACCTGGCTGAGCTCTGAGCCCTTCGCCTTCTCAGTGGCCCCAGGATGGCCCAGCTGGTAGCCCAGATATCCCCAGCGGGCCGGCCCATCAGACCCTCCCCTGGCAACAAGGTCACACAAGCCTTGGTAAAGGTGGCAGTGTTCCACCCTGGACCCAGGCCTTCCAAATCGGGCCCTGCACCCCCTCAGGAGGGGCACAGGACTTTTCCCCACCTGGCCCCCAGCCTAGTTGGAAGTCAGGGCAGGGTGAGCCCATGCTCCTGGGCATCCGGCCTGCAGGCTGACGCTTGCTCACCTCATTGTAAGGAGGTCATTTTTTATTATTTAAAAAAAATAATGGAGACAGGGTCTTATGTTGCCCAGCCTGGTCTCGAACTCCTGGGCTCAAGCGATCCTGCCACCTCGGTCTCCCAAAGCACTGGGATTACAGGTGTGAGGCACCGTGCCCAGCCTTTCTATTTTTTTTAATTTTTGTAAAGTGGTAATTTCAACATATTACCATCTCCCCTAATGACAGTGGTTTGTTTGTTTTGTTTTGTAGGTTTTTGTTTTTTGGGGTTTTTTTTGAGTCTCACTCTGTTGCCAGGCAGGAATGCAGTGGCTCAATCTCGGCTCACTGCAACCTCCACCTCCCAGGTTCAAGCGATTTTGCTGTCTCAGCCTCCCAAGTAGCTGGGATTATAGGTGCCTGCCACCACGCCCAGCTGATGTTTATATTTTTAGTAGAGACAGTGTTTTACCATGTTGGCCAGGCTGGTCTTAAACTCCTGACCTCAGGTGATCCGCCTGCTTCAGTCTCCCAAAGTGCTGGGATTACAGGCATGAGCCACCCTGCACAGACTTTCTTTTTTGAAATGGATTTTCCCTCTTGTTGCCCAGGTTGAAGTGCAGTGGTGCGATCTTGGCTCACTGCAACCTCCATTTCCTGGGTTCAAGTGATTCTCCTGCCTCAGCCTCCGGAGTAGCTGGGATTACAGGGGCCCGCCAAACTCCTGACCTCGTGATCTGCCTGCCTCGGCCTCCCAAAGTGCTGGGATTACAGGCGTAAGCCACCAATCCCAGCCTTTTTTTTTTTTTTTTTTGAGACGGAGTCTGGCTCTGTTTCCAGGCTGCAGTGCAGTGGCGTGATCTTGGCTCACTGCAGCCTCTGCCTCCCAGGTTCAAGCGATTCTCCTATCTCAGCCTCCCGAGTAGCTGGGATTACAGGAGCGCACCACCACGCCTGGCTAATTCATTTTTTTTGTATTTTTAGTAGATGCGGGGTTTCACCATGTTGGCCAGGATGGTCTCCATCTCTTGACCTTGTGATCTGCCCGCCTCGGCCTCCCAAAGTGCTGGGATTACAGGCGTGAGCCACTGCACCCGGCCAACTTTCTTTCTTTAATTTTTGTAAAGGTAATTTCAACATATTACCACTTCTCCTAATAATAGTGTTTTAACAAATATTAGGCAGCTTCATTTTTGCTTTGAGTTGTGCTTTTAAAAGAACTAAATTAGGTCGCTGGAGATTAAAGCATTTACCATTTAGCAGGCAGGGCCTGTCCAGAGCCCCAGTCGGGAAAACGGGCTAAACAGCTGGCTTAGCTTTAGGACTTCCCTCGTTCCCTCCTCTCCCTCCAGTCCTGGGGACGGAGGTCTGGCGTGGGGATCAGGGTGGCCTCCGCCCACTCCCCTGCGACCCCCAGGCTGGGCTCCAGGAGTCAGCGGGGAGCCCCAGGTGGGGGATCTCTGCGCCCCAGCCCTTCTGGGTCAGGCTAGTTACCTCCCGCGGTGCAGCACGCATCTCTGTCTCCACTGACTTGCAAGGCTAAAAATGTGCAGAACCCAAACCAAAATGTGCCTGCCCATTGTGTTTAAAATACCACTGTTGCAGATGTATTACTGTCTGGCACGGTGGCTCACGCCTGTAATCCCAGCACTTTGGGTGGCCGAGGTGGGTGGATCACGAGGTCAGGAGATCGAGACCATCCTGGCTAACACAGTGAAACCCCATCTCCGCTGAAAATACAAAAAATTAGCCAGGTGTGGTGGCAGGCGCCTGTACTCCCAGCTACTCGGGAGGCCGAGGCAGGAGAATGGTGTGAACCCGGGAGGCGGAGCTTGCAGTGAGCCGAGATCGCAACACTGCACTCCAGCCTGGGCGACAGAGTGAGACCTCCGTCTCAAAAAAAAAAAAAATTAGCTGGGCATGGTGGCACGCATGCCCGTAATCTCACCTACTCAGGCGGCTGAGGCAGGAGAATCACTTGAACCCAGGTGGCAGAGGTTGCGGTGAGCCGAGATCGCGCCATTGCACTCTAACCTGGATGACAGAGCAAGACTCTGTCTCAAAAAACAAACAAACAGAAAAAACAAGTGTATTACCATATGGAAATTATTTTATGACAAAGCATGCATATTGGTTTGCTTAAATAAACCGTTCTGACTAACAGTACTTCAGGCCCAGCATGGAAATTTTGAAAAATCACAGATGATAAAAAACACGAGACTAGCTTGGGTCTCAAGTTTTTCTTCCTTGGAGTTTTGGTTTTTCATGAACTTTCTGGGAAATGAAATTTAGTAGTTTGGGGGCATCGATTAGTTCATAGAGGATGTAAAACGGAGGGATTGGGTTCGACGCCTTAAAAACACGGAAGTTACAGCTGGAAAGAAAATTAGAGGCAATTTTTTTTATTTTTGTATTGAGGGGAAATTCACATAACAAACTCAGCCGTGCTAAGGTGGACAATTCAGTGCCGTTGCATTCATTCCCGATGCGTCGCAGCCACATCCATCTAGTTCCAGAACACTGTCATGCCCTGGGAAGGAAACGCCCTCCCCATCAGCCCTCACTCCCCATTCCTCCCTCCCCCAGCCCGTGGCAACCACCCATCTTTGTGTCTCTGTGGATTCGCCTGTTGTGGACATTTCATAGAAATGGAATCAAGACAACATGTGGACCTTCATGCCTGGCTTGTCCTGCTCAGCATGATGCCTTCAAGGTTCACGCGTGTCGCTGCGTCAGGGCTCACCTCCTCGTGTGCCGAACACCCCATTGTCTGGGTGACCACATGTTGCCCCCCTACTCCTCCACCAATGGGCTTCGTGTTGTCGCCACCTCTTGGCTGCTGTGAACCCGTTTGACTTTTTGAACTAACTTTCAGATTCACTCTTGTAGTTTCAAGGTCGAACCTACAGAAGGCGAAAGAAACCCGCCGGCTCAGGAATTGTGCAACCAGTGGCCTGGCGGCTGCAGGTCCCCCGTGCTGGGGGTCTTGACTTTGATGCTTTCCCAGGTGCCCACTTGTTTCAGGAGCCTCCAACCTGTGAACCTCGCACACACAGCTTGGTGCATGTCAGGTAGAGCCTAGTAGAGCTGTTCTTTTTTGGGGGGGTGGGGGATGGAGTTTCACTCTTGCTGCCCAGGCTGGAGTGCAATGGCGTGATCTCGGCTCACTGCAACCTCCGTCTCCCAGGTTTAAGCAATTAATGGTGAGGGCAGCCACATCATGGAAGTGGTGGGCCCAGCCTGGATAGGAGGGAAGCAGCGAGAGTGTCCGCTGTCTGCGAGGGCCACCCTGGCCCCGGACTCACTCCTGGGTAGGGCCTGTGGGGTCAGACCCCCTCCCTCAGCGAGCCCCAAGGAAGCGTGGGGTCCGACCGCCGCCATCCTGGGACTGAGTTTGGAGGCCTCAGTGCTTGGCTGGCAAGAGCAGCCACCTGGGGACACGGTGATTAATTCAGCATCAGAATGCAAGCGTGGGAGTTTCCAGGAACACTGAGGTTCAGGTCTGGGGGCGGAAGAGAAAAGCAGCTCATTCTCAGAAAGCACTGAGAGGCCGGGCCCTGTGGCTCATGCCTGTAATCCCAGTGCTTTGGGAGGCTGAGGCAGGATTGCTTGAGGCCAGAAGTTCAAGACCAGCCTGGGCAACACAGCAAGACCCCGTCTCTAGAGAACATTTAAAAACTAGCTGTGCGCAGTGGTGCATACCTGCAGTCCCAGCTACCCTGGAGGCTGAGGCGGGAGGATGCTTGAGCCCAGGAGTTGTGGGCTACAATGAGCCGTGATGGCTGCACTGCACTCCAGCCTGGGTGACAGAACGAGACCTCGTCTCTAAAGTAAATACATAAAACCTAAAAACAACGGCCGGTTGTGGTGGCTCACACCTATAATTCTAGCACTTTGGGAGGCTGAGGTGGGCAGATCACAAGATGAGGAGTTCGAGACCAGCCTGGCCAACATGGTGAAACCCCGTCTTACTAGAAATAAAAAAATTAGCTGCGTGTGGTGCTGGGCGCCTGTAGTCCCAGCTCCTCAGGAGGCTGAGGCAGGAGAATGGCATGAACCCAGGAGGCGGAGGTTGCAATGAGCCGAGATCTTGCCACTGCACTCCAGCCCGGGCGACAGAGACTCCGCCTCAAAGAAAAAAAACAAGGAGAGCCCTGCAGGCCCCTCCTTAGGCTGGCCTCAGAGGTCTTCAGTGGCCAGAGGGTGTGAGGATCTGCGGGACGTGCCGACTGGGGCAGCCCCCACCACACCCTGGGATGCACCCTGGCTGGGACCAGTCTCCAAATTCCCCTGCATCCGTCTCAGGCTGGAAAACTCTCCAACAAAGTTGCCTCCAGTCACTGGATGGGAAGCGGCCTCTCAGCTGAGCCGGACCCTCTCTCCTTCAGCTGGTGCTGCAGTGACTCCAAGTGACCAGTGACACCAGGTGTGGCAGCTGCGCACAGCCTTTATCGTGCCGCACTCAAGGGCCCCGGGAAGGGAACCCAGGCAGGGCCCAGTGCCATGGTGGTCTCCACTTCGCCGTGGAGAGAACGGCCAGGTGACCCAACCACAGCGAGGCCTTCAGTGTGTTCCTCACTTCCACCTGTGGCGGTCGCTTCTGGCTGTCACCCTGAGCACATCCATGTGGCCTCTTGGAGTGGCCTCTCCACGTGGCCTAGGCTTCCTGGCAACGCAGCCGCCTCAGGGCAGTGTGACTTCCTGATGGTGGTGACTCAGGACAACAAAAGCGAGAGGCCCTGAGAGTCAGGCGGGCACCACAGGGCCTTGCTGAGGCAGCCGGGGACTCCCGCTCCCTCTGCTGACACCATTGGTGGCCAGTGAGTCAGAGGCAGAGGTGCCAGAGACCCCGCCCGAAGGGAGGAGATCTGAGAGCCTGCAGCCACAGGCTCCTCCAGGACTCGAGCACCGGGGCCGCACAGAGAGCCCTTTCTCTCCTGGGCAGGCCAGGCGGGGATCCCCCAGCGCCCTAACCTGCTCTGTGACCACGGCAATGTGGCCTTGGGGATGTGCCCTGCCTCTCTGGGTTCCAGTGCAGGACTCAGGGCTGGCCACCTGAGAAGCATCTCTAGGACATTCCAAAGCCTGGAACAGGGACAGCATTGTGGCCCTGCTCTGGAAGGCTGCGTGGAAGCCAAGAAGTTGTCCTGGCCTGTCCTGGAGGTGCCTTTGCCCTTGCTTCCTGTCCTTGTCCCCAGGGGCTGCACCCATCCTACTGACTCTGCCAGCAGTGCCAGCCTGGTCCCAGGCACCCTGGAGCTGCTCCATCCCCATTGGGGGCCAAGAGCTGCCGGCCCACACCAGAGGCCCCGGCCACACAGGAGCCACGGGACAGCCGGAAGGGAAGCCAGGAGGCCTTGCTTGGGGAGCTGGGCACACGCCTGGCCTCCCCGTGATGCTCCCCTGGACGACACACGCACGCACACATGCACGCCTGTGCATGCACACAGAGCACACATGCACACACACGCACACCTGTGCATGCAGAGCACACGCACACACACACAAACCTGTGCATGCACACAGCATACACGCATGCACGCCTATGCATGCAGAGCACACATGCACACACATGCACGCCTGTGCATGCACACAGCACACATGCACACACCTGTGCATGCACACACACACATACATGCCTCTGCATGCACACAGCACACACGCACACCTGTGCACGCAGAGCACACACGCACACACACGCACGCCTCTGCATGCAGAGAGCACACACACACACATGCACGCCTGTGCATGCACACAGAGCACACACGCACACCACACCACCACACACACACTTCAAAAACCACACACGGGCGACGCCGCAGGCAGAGTGTACCACAGCCCCGCAGCTGCCACCCCTGCCCTCTGGGAGAGTCCGCTTCCGAGCTCACTTCGAGGAGGATCTTTCTGGCGACAGAGCCAGTGCTGTGGGCGGGAAGGCCCCACCTGACCACACCTCCTGCTCTGTGGCACCTGTGTCCCCGCCACCCCCCAGCCCGAGTAAAATCATTTCTCTAGACTCTGCGGCTGGGCCCTGGAAGTCAGGCTCTCCCCGACCTGCCAGGGCAGTGCCTGCTGCGGCGGAGCCTGGACACCAGGTCTCCTGTCTCCATCCATCTCCACTCAAGGACAGGGGTGCAGGTCCCAGAGCTTTTGTCAGGACTCTGCCAGCTTGCAGAGCCGCTGCGGCCACAGGGCTCATGGTCCCAGGCCTGCTCCACCACGGCCCTCGGCAGTGGCCCTGATCCCTGGCTGTGGCCCTGGTGCCCGAGGCTCACACCAGGGCAGGAACGTGCTCTTGGGTGTGGGTGGGGTCCACTCTGACAGGGACCTGGAAGGGCCCTCACAAGTCTGGGATCCAGGCCCTTGTCATTCAGGAGCCCAGGAGGGGTCAGCCAGGTCCCCAGAGGGGAAGGGGACGTGCCTGGGCTGTGAGGTCCACAGCCTCTGGGTGAAGCAGAGGCCAGCCCAGGATGGGGCTCACAGTTCTCAGGAGCCCGGGAGGTGGCACTGGGAGGGTGGGCATCCCCGCCCACCCCAGAGAGGCCAAGCACAGGGCAGGAGTGTGGCCACACGGCCCAGGGGGCGCATGGCTGCTGAGAGGAAGAGCGCAGTTGCCTGGGGGAGGCTGAGCACGATGCAGGGTGGACAGAGACCCCACTGCTGGGCGAGAGCCAGGCTCATGCCCTGCTGGCGCCAGAGCCTGCCCACAGCCCAGGGGCTGCCTGGGAGGCGCGGGAGGACCACACTTGGGGCCCTACACAGGCTGGGACTCATTCTGAGCCCCTAAGGACAGCTTGTGGGTGAAGGGAGCCCCTCTTGGGAATGTGGAGAAGAGAGTGGGGCACCTGCTGGCCAAAGAAAGCCCTGGGCCCACCCCCAGTTATGTGGGCAGTGACAGTTGGGGACAGGGCACTCAGCCATGCTCCCCGGCGACTGCTGGGTGATGAGCAGCCCAACCGCAGGCCCTGGCCCTGCCAGCCCTGGGCTTAGGCTGAACCCGTCAAAAAGGCCCTGCCTGGCCTTGGAGAGCCCACCGTGCCCTGCGGGGTATGAGGCTGGCAGACCCTTGAGGACCAAGCCAGGAGACATCCCTGGCGGAGACTCGATCCCAGGAAAGTGCCGGGGGTGCACTGGCAGGTTCCCCTGCAGGAAGCCAGCTCTTGGGAGCCCAGAATGCAGGCACCACCCCACAGGGGGCTCCCTCAGACTCCCTCGTGTGCCAAGCCAGTGAGCCCGCCTGGGAGTGGGGCAAGGGTGGACCTCACTTAAGTGCAGCTGTTCAAGGGGAGACCGTCAGGCGGGAAACCAGAGCGAGCTCTGAGAGAACGTCGAAGAGCCACTAACTGCCTCAGACCCCCGCCCCCAGCCCTGCCCAGTCTGCAGCATCCAAACCCTTGTCCCCCAGAGCCACATGGCTGTGTTCTCTGCCTGGGAGTCAGTCCCCAGCCAGGCACCAGGCATCCTCACCTGGAGGCAGCTGTGCCTTCCAAGCCTCCACTGGGCACAGAAAGCTGCTTGCAGGTGCCACACCCGACTCCCGGCCCTAACCCGAGAGAGAGCCCCTGGGTGGGCGGGGGCACCCCTGGGCACATGCTGTCTCTGGGCGGTGCTCTCATGGTTAGGAGGCTCGGCCACATCTGCACATGAGGGTTCCTTCTCTCCAGCCTGTGCTGGGCCCAGAACGCCAACAATGCCCTTCCTCTGGCTGAGGCTGTGCCCAGCGCATGAATGCTCTGCCCACCCCACACCCTGCAAATGGCAGCTCATCCTCCTGCCTTCCCGTGGGACCAAGCATGCCTCCAAGGGCAGCGAAGGGCACGGGGGCGAACCCCACAGCTGGGCTGAGGCTGACCCAGGCAGGCCCCACCTGCTCCCCGGATGCACTGAGGCCCCCGATGGTGCTGTCCCCACACCCCCAGCAGGAATGTCCTCTGGGATTCAGGCTCCTGCGGTCTCTGGCTCCCATGCTCCCTGTCCCAGCCCCACCTCCCACCCGCCTGTTCCAGCGAGTGTTTTCCAAGTGCCTCCACAACCAGCCAGCCCTGAAACGGGACGGAGCAGGGCCCTGACCTCGAGAAGGATGCAGGCTGGTGGACCCCCAGCCTCTCCCACATCCAGTACCTCCCGGAGCCCCCCAGTCCCCACCAGCTGACAGTGAGCCCCACCCCTGCCTTCAGACTCCTCACCCGGGGTCCCACCGCCATGCCAGCTCGCTGTAGTGGCCCAAGTGGCTGGGCCACCTCTCTCTGCACCTGGGGGGAGGAATCCCCTGCTTGTGTGGACGGCGCCTACAGTCGGCACAGCAATGTCCTGACCCCACGATCTCAGGGGAAGTCACCCCTCCAGCAGCTGAGCCACGCTGTCCTGGAATCTCAGCATGATCCCACTCCACGAGGAAACGCATGTGTCATCGCCAAGCTCGGCCACCGGAGCAGGAGGGAATGCTGGCCAAGTGAGCCATCTAACTCCCTCCACCTTCCCTGGCACACAGGTGACCTGCCTCGGCATCACACCCTGGTCTAGAGCCCTGAGTATGGCCACAGGGCACTGCCCAGGGGTCCTGCTCCACAGGACCCCGGAAGAAGAAAAACGGCTTAGCAGAAGCTCAAAATGACACAGGTGGCCCTTATCTCAACAGAGCAATGTGCACCGGAACATCTGTGTACGACCCAGCGTCCCCGACCCAGCACCCACGCCCCCCAGAGCCAGGCAGCCTGGCCCCATGGGCTGAGAAGCCACTTGGCCCTCAGCAGCTGGAACACAACTGCGCTCAGGGCCAGGCTCGGCCAGCTGCCTGCCCCTAGTTCATGGGCCACTGTGGCGAAGGCACACATGGACAGCAGCGTTACTGGTCATGGAACTGAAGTCCACGTAAACGAAGAATTTCTAGAGTTTGCCGGCCATTTCATTTCACCTTGTAAGATACAACCTCAGCCCTAAAATACGCGTGCCAGACACAGGCTGTGTTCACAGGGATGGTGCCTCGCCCATGTGTGCGCTGATGGCCTGGCCCAGAGAAGCGGCAGGACTGCAACCAGGCCCAGAGCACTCCCCACCTCCCCAGCAGCCGCTGCAGGAGCAGAAACCACATTCACCAGGGCAGCTGCGACGTGCTCCAGAACCCATCTACGGACGGCCCGCAGCCCCTGGGAAGGCCTCGGCGGCACGTGGTGTTTACTCACCCAGAACTCCACAACTGCATGCAAACCGCGACCAGGTTAAAACGTGGATCCACGCTCACCAGAGGACAGGGCTGGGTGAGAACGCGCATTCCCGACCTCAGGGCCTCTGGGGACTGAAAGGCGGGCGCGGCAGAACACGGGGCTAGCGGAGGAGGCGCACCTGGAGAAGCTGCATGTGCAGGACCAGCCAACGGGAGCGAACGCAGCATCTCCGAGGAAAGGCACTGGCACACACTTCCCTCCTCATGGCCACATCAGGCAGGTGTTGGTGTGGCCCCTCGCCCACCTTGTGGACGCTCAGGCCACAGCAAGATGAGCCAGGCAGCCAGCGAACCCGTGGAAAGCACGGCTCCACAGCCCGCAGGAGGCGGGCTGAGGACACACCTGTCCAGAGGTTCCTCGGAAGGAATTTCCCAACTTTGACTCTTAAACTCGCTGAGGAGAACATTCTCTTCCGACTCACAAGTTTGCCAAAAGAGGATGGCGGGCAAGGAGGGCACTGTGGCTGGCTAGACCCTGCTGACGTGGGGCGGGCCGAGGGCCTGTGGCCTGGCAGCAGGGTAGTAGACAGGCATCTTTTTTTTTTTTGAGACTCCGTCTCAAAAAGAAGTGAGATTCGCTACTTTTTTTTTTTTTTTTGAGACGGAGTCTTGCTCTGTCGCCCAGGCTGGAGTGCAGTGGCGCGATCTTGGCTCACTGCAAGCTCCGCCTCCCGAATTCACACCGTTCTCCTGCCTCAGTCTCCCAAGTAGCTGGGACTACAGGCACCCGCCACCACACCCGGCTAATTTTTTGTATTTTTAGTAGAGACGGGGTTTCACCGTGTTAGCCAGGATGATCTTGATCTCCTGACCTCGTGATCCGCCTGCCTCGGTCCCCCAAAGTGCTGGGATTACAGGTGTGAGCCACCGCGCCCGGCCGAGATTCATTACTTTTGAAAAGCATTTTTAATATTTCTGCCCAAAGAGTTTAAATTAACTTTAGTTTTAAATCTAAATCTCAAAAACAATGAAAAGACCTAGATGTGTGGAGAGAAACATTTTCCGAAAACATTCTTACTCAGCTACAATGCAAGCAGAGTTCAGAAGGGGAGGGGGCTGGTTCAGAAGAGAAGTTCAAAACAAACAGCTCGGAACTGACTGCTTCCAGCAACAATAATGAGCAGAGTTCACAAAAAACAAAATAAATTCATTTTCTCATTTTAAGACACCGGTCATGTTTTTTAAAATGAAAAAAAAGGAGGAAGAGGCCAGAGGTAGGCGGAGGCAGCCGTGCTTGGGCTCAGGACCTGTGTCCCAGGAATACGGGCTCAGCTCCAGTCCCTTAAACCCAATACAACACGAGGCTTTGCCAACCAAACATGGCCACAAGGCCTCCCACATGCTGCGGTGGCCCCGGTGCCCGCCCCGGGTCAGAGCAGCCGGCACGGAGCCGCGGGGATGTGGCCTCTCGGGGACGCACGGGTTTCTTGTGCGGCACCAAGAAAAGACGAAGACAGGAAATAGGAAAAGGGACTTTATTAAAGAAAAGTCATCTGTGAGTGACTAGTTAAATTAGCATGCTTGACATTAACTCTGGGTTGAAACCTACCTCCGTCAAATAACAAGTGGACTCTCCAAGCAAATGTCTACACGGCAATTCAAGCAGCAACTCAAGAGCCCAGAGGAGCACTGGAGACGAGGCCATCACTCCACTTCCCAGTGCGACAACCACTTTTTTGTAAACACCTGTCAGATGCTAAAAATACGGCCTTACACACTACCGTCACCAAAGTTTATAAGCAATAAGATCAGAGAGCAGGAGCAGCTGCAGCACCTCTAACAGTCCAGGGCTGAGGCGCTGAAGGTGAGTTTCCAGGTGAGGTCCACTCTGCCCGGTCTCGGGCCGCACCAGGGGGCTGCTGTGGCCTGATAGCCGAGTGGAACAACGCCACCTACGTGCGATTTAGTGTCTGGAAGATTCTAGAGATCTGCAGCATGACAGGCCCCGTTTCTGGATCATTCATCCACTGGGTGCTGTTCAGTGGGTTCTCCAGCATGTCTTCAAATGCTGCAGGGAAAACAGAGCCAGCCTGAGTGCCCACGCCCCCACTCAGCCCACAGGCACAGGCGTGACTTTCCTCTTCGGCAGCTTCCTAATGAAGAGGGTGCGTCTCCAATACAAAGGCCACACAGAGCTCACTGCTAAGTGTGCACTCTCAGGCTGAAACCCACCCAACTCCATCGGATGCACCCATCAAATCAGATCTGATCACAGAGAGTCATGCACTCAATTCTGGCAGGTGGGCAGTGTGCCTGTGCGTGCTCATGGCACCCCCACTCTCGGCAGCTGTCTGGCAGCCGCCAGGGCTCAAAAATCATCTTCCCCAACAACTCCACTTCCAATCCCACCCCGAGAAGGTCAGCAGATGCAGAAAGGACACACACAGACACTGTTGCAAAGTTAACAACAAACTGGAAAAACGTAATGCTCAGCCTTCAGAAAATTCCTTCTTCAAAAAACCAGCACATTAAAAATGCAACACAGCACTTCTTCAAAATGAAAACTTGGGTTTTAACAGCTTTACAAAACTGTTTCCCCAAAACAGGTGGCTTTTAGCAAAAAGCTCTCTGTTCCACCCACTGTGAAGGAGCACGCGTTCTGCCAGCCCCTCTGCCAGGATCGATGGCTCCATGCTGACCTGACACACATGGACGCACTTCAGCATAAGTGGCCCCAGGTCTACAGGCTCCAGGGACAGTGCTCACTACAGAATTCACAGCCATTCACGGCCCAGTAGCCCATGGCTGAGCACAGAGCTCAGAGTGAACCCAACTTGGCTCTGTTCATGATTGGACAATCCCCAGGCCTTAAAACAATCCTCTGGTGTTCTGATTAAAAGTCTCCAAAAACCACTTTAAAATCTCAGAAAAAGCCAGGCACGGTGGCTCATGCCTGTAATTCCAACACTTTGGGAGGCCGAAGCAGGCGGATCATGAGGTCAGGAGATCGAGACCATCCTGGCTAATACGGTAAAACCCTGTCTCTACTAAAAATATAAAAAATTAGCTGGGCGTGGTGGCAGGCGCCTATAATCCCAGCTACTCGGAAGGCTGAGGCAGGAGAATAGCATGAACCAGGGAGGCGGAGCTGGCAGTGAGCCGAGATTGCGCCACTGCACTCCAGCCTGGGCAGCAGAGTGAGACTCCGTCTCAAAAAATAAAAATAAAAATCCCAGAAAAAGACTCAGAAAGAACAAACTATAAGGTGCGAAACAGCTGTTTCACACACAGGGCGGGGAACTTAATTTCCCATTTCCTCTCAATAAACAGCAAAATAAATTCTGGAAGGATGAAAGAGTTGAACAAAAAGATAAAGAGTTAAATATGAAAAACCACACAGATGATTATTTATCTGAGGAAGGACTTTCCTTTTTGAATTTAATTTTTTTTTGAGACAGCGACTTGCTTTGTTGCCCAGGCTGGAGTGCAGTGGAGTGATCATGGCTCACTGCAGCCTTGAACTCCCAGACTCAATGATCCTCCCACCTCAGTCCCCTGAGTAGCAGGGACTACAGGTACGTGTGCCACCACTCCTGGCTGATTTTGTTTTTTTGTTTGTTTGCTTTTTTAGTAGAGAGGAGGTCCTGCTATGTTACCCAGGCTGGTCTCGAACTCCTGAGCTCAAGTGATCCTCTTGCCTCAACCTCCCAAAGTGCTACAATTACAGGCATGAGCCACCATGCCCAACCTGAGGAAGGACTGTCTTCTGTATATCCTAACTTCTGTATGTCAGAAAATGCCACACAAAATTAGAGAGCAAAAACAGTTTACAACATTCAACAAAGGAAGATGTGCCTAATATCCAAGAAGCTATTAAGGAAGCTCTAGGATTAATATTGCAATTGAAAAACACATGTGCCAGGCACAATGGCTCTCGCCTACAATCCCAGCACTCTAGAAGGCAGAGGTGGGGGGAGCGCTTGAAGCCAGGAGTTCAAGACTAGCCTGAGCAAAAAAACGAGACCCCATCTCAACAACAACAAAAAAAATAGCTGGGCATGGTCGTGCATGCCTGTAGTCATAACTACCCATGAGGATGACTTGAGCCCAGGAGGTCAAGGCTGCAGTAAGCTGTGATTGTACCACTGCACTCCAGCCTGGGTGACAGATCAAGACCCTGTCTCCATAAAAAGAAGGAAAACAAATAGATGACACGCATAGACAGTATGTAAAAGAAGAAATGCAATGGCCAACAGAAAAGTATTCAACATTGCTAATAACCAAAAGGAATGCAAGTGGCCAGGCGCAGTAGCTCAAGCCTGTAATCCCAGCACTTTGGGAGGCCGAGACGGGCGGATCACGAGGTCAGGAGATCAAGACCATCCTGGCTAACACGGTGAAACCCTGTCTCTACTAAAAATACAAAAAATTAGCCGGGCACGGTGGCGGGCACCTGTAGTCCCAGCTACTCAGGAGGCTGAGGCAGGAGAATGGCGTGAACCCGGTAGGCGGAGCTTGCAGTGAGCTGAGATCGTGCCACTGCACTCCAGCCTGGGTGACAGAGCGAGATTCCATCTCAAAAAAAAAAAAAAAAAGAGGAATACAAGTTAAAACAATGAAGGTCTTGTCTATAATATGGAGGTGGGCAAGTGTGTGTGCTGGGGGCAGATCTTGCATGGACAGTGGCGCCATCACTGCACTCTAGCCTGGGTGACAGAGAAAGAGCCTATTTCTATTAGGAAAAAAAAAAGAAAAAGTTATTGGACAGACCCCAAGGCAGCACACACTAACATCCTAAGGTATACAAACAGCTGGAGAGCTAGGAGGAATATGCTTTCAGTGTGAAAGGAATCACTAAGAATAAAAATAAACTCACAAAAGACCATTCTCAAGTTTTAGAATTTGGGTACAAAGAAGATCCCTACCTCACACCACACACATACTTCTAGGTAGATTATGGACTTAAATTAAGAGAAACTTTTAACATTTTTGGAAAAAAAAATAAAAGGAAAACGTGTTTCTGACTTTCGGATAGGAGGGTTTTCCTTTTTCTTTTTTTTTTTTTTGAGGTGGAGTCTTGCTCTGACGCCCAGGCTAGAGTGCAGTGGCACGATCTCGGCTCACTGCAACCTCCGCCCCCCAGGTTTAAGCAATTCTCTGCCTCAGCTCCAGAGTAGCTGGGATTACAGGTGCATACCACCATGCCCAACTAATTTTTTGTATTTTTAGTAAAGACAGCGTTTCACCATCTTGGCCAGGCTGGTCTTGAACTCCTGACCTCGTGATCCACCTGCCTCAGCCTCCCAAAGTGCTGGGATTACAGGCGTGAGCCACCACGCCCAGCCATGGAGGGTTTTCTTTAAAGGTTCACATCTTAAAAAAAATACAGACACACTGAAGGACATCAAAACACGGGATTCTGCCCATCAGTGTGAGGAAATAAACCAGAAACTGAACAACGGCATCTGCAACACAAATAATGGGAAAAGGGTCAGCATCCAGGAGGTGAGGACCTTTCTGAATGAATAAGAAAACAATCCAAGAGAAAAGCAGGCCAAACGCTGAGCGGAAGGTCTCTCACAGCCAAGGTTCTACAGGCGGCCAATACGCTTCTGAAAGAAGGCCAGCCTTCAAGATCAGGGCACGGCCATCGCAGCTCCAGAGACACTTCCAGCCTGCTCGGGTGGCAAAGGCCCTCCCAACATCCAGGAACTCAGCTCCTGGGGACCAACAGGTCTGTAATCCCAGCACTTAGGGAGGCTGAGGCAGGTGGATCACGAGGTCAGGAGTTCGAGACCAGCCTGGCAAACATGGTGAAAGCCGTCTCTACTAAAATACGAAAAATTAGCCAGGCGTGGTAGTGCACGCCTGTAATCCCAGGTACTCAGGAGGCTGAGGCAGGAGAATTGCTTGAACCTGGGAGGCGGAGGTTGCAGTGGGCCGAGATCATGCCATTGCACTCCAGCCTGGGTGACAAGGCGAGACTCTGTCTCAAAAAAAAAAAAAAAAAAAAATCAGGAGTGGCACCACATGTAGACAACCCAACGAGCCCTGGGTTCCCAGTGCCTTCCATCAAGAAAATACTCCACAACCCCCACAAAGAACGCAGTCAGTCACAGAGGCCTGCTTAAAACATGATTCTACTTACACAAAGGCAGCAGCAAATGAGAGATTGTTTAAGGAGACACAAATACGGCAAAACTCTACCGGGAAGCAGAGAGGTAAGCCGCGGCCACGGCGACGGCCACACCGGAGGGAGGGATGAGGTGCATAGGGGAGGGGCACCCCAGGCCCAAAGCTGAATAGTAGATACATGGCTATTAGTTTTATTCTTCTTTAAAGTTACATCATCATATACACTTTTGTATGTACGTATCTCACAATAAAAATAAACCATTGCCATCGAAGACCCTGACGAGTAGTAAGAGCAAAAGCCCAAACCACACCTTGTCCTCCCGTGAGTTCCTAAGCTGCTGGCGCAGTCTCCACCCCGCTGGCCCTCGGAAAGCCACTGGCACTGGTTTTCTGAGGCCTATGTCAGGGTCATCGCGCAGGAGACAGTCACACCACGATCAGAACCTGACCTGCGGGCCCCACAGTGACGTAGCGGGACTACACCCGCAGGATGCCAACCTGCATGGCAGGACGTGCTGCCAGCGCACGGCGATCCTCAGCGCTGGATCCTCCGTATCGCCTCCGCAGCACCTATTTGTCCTGCAAGGGAACCAGCCAGCCTCCCCGACCCGAGACTTAGCATAAAGAAGGCGCACATACCTAGCAATGTTTTCGGGTTGGTCAGGCCCAGCTGCACCACCGGGTTATCCAGGATGGCCTGAAAGAGAGGACTGTCGGGGTCGATGCCCTTGTCCAGCTCCTCCGGAGAGGGCTTCCGGTCCCCCAGCAGCCACTCGCACTGCAAAGCCAAGAGCACCAATACCACTGTTAGCGCCTTCAGTGCCTCCGCAAGACGCCACCAGCAGCAGGCATGACAGCTCCTGCACCTTTCTGTGAGTTCCTGTTGAGCCCCCAGGGCTGATCTCCCTGGAAGGGACTCTACCGTGAAGACAAACGCAGTCTGGATTCACTGCCGTGCGTGTCAGACCAGGCCAGAGAAGGAAGAGCTAGTCCGCTTTTCTCTGCAGACCCTGGTGTCGCAGGGATCACTGACTGCTGCCGCTTCCCCACTTACCTGGGCCAGTGTGGCCCACCCAGGAGTGTTGGGAAGGTGATTAACAAATGTACCAAGTGCCCAGCTTGCCTGTGGTCCTGTTATGGGCAGTCAGCAGTGCTGGAGCCATGAGGACACAGGCTCCTCATCTCTGTCTTGGAGGTGTGAGCCACGAACTCCACTGGCACGGGGGATGGTGGGGGGGGGATGTGGGCCACCACAGGGACCTCCCCAGGCACAGCTCCATCAGCCCAGCTGGCACACGGGCACAGGACGGGAATCATTCTTGAGTCAGTTTAATCAGAAAAATGGGCTGGGAGTGGTGGCTCATGCATGTAATCCCAGCACTTTGGAAGCCAAAGCAGGAGGATCGATTGAAGCCAGGAGTTCAAGATCAGCCTGGGCAACAAAGGGAGATCTTGTCTCTAAAAAACTAATTAGCCGGGCATAGTGGTGCATGCCTGTGGTCCCAGCTACTCAGGAGGCTGAGGCAGGAGGATCGCTTGGGCCCAGGAGGTCGAGGCTGCAGTGAGTGTGATCACACCGCTGCACTCCAGCCTGGGGGACAGAGTGAGACCCTGACTCCAAAAAAATTAAAAAAAAAAAAAAATGAACAAATTACCCATCCATAAAATATGTACATATAAGGCACCCTTTTAAAAACCTAGAATTCCGTATTTTTAAATTTTTATACTGTTTGAGCCATCTATCCAATTGTCTCACTTTAAAAGCCACATAGCCGGCTGCATGTGAAAGTAGGCAAACACACGGCCTCCACCACGCCCGGGGCGCTCACGAGTGAGGCTCCCAGCACTCGCCCAGCCTGACACACTCACTCACCACAGCCCACACTCACAGCCCACACTCACTCACCACAGCCCACACTCACTCAGCCCACACTCACTCATCACAGCCCCCACTCACTCACCACAGCCCACACTCACCACAGCCCACACTCACTCACCACAGCCCACACTCACTCACCACAGCCCACACTTACCACAGCCCACACTCACTCACCACAGCCCACACTCACTCACCACAGCCCAACACTCACCGCGGCATTCTGCTGGTTGTTGTTCACTCTGAGGGCATCTATCACCTCTTTCTCGTCGAACCCCATCTCCATCAGGGAAATGACGGCCTAGAGGACAGCACAGCCGTTAGCTCGCTGGGGGCGGCAGGAGGCCGAGGAACCAGTGACCTGCGTGCAGAGGGGCCCGCTCCCCGCACCCTAGCGGAGGGTGCTCCCAACAGCACTGAGGACGCTGTCCGTCCACGTTCTTTCCTCACAGCTCTGCTAAAACAGATCTTGGTTTTCAGCATCCTAAAGCCGAGGAAGTGCAGGGATGACTGTAGTTAGCAGAGCCGGGGGGCAGTGCAGCTCCCAGGCTTGTCTTCAGGGAGCCACAGGTTGTGACAGGTAGAAACGCATCGCTTATGTGGACACGAGGCAGTCAGGCCAACTTCAGACCCTTTCAGGTTTGTCCCGATGACTGTGTGGATAAGACTGTCTCGGCAGCCACCGCAGGTTTACCCCAGAGGGCCTTGTTACCCAAAGAGAAGTGGCATTAGGGAAAGGCCACGTCAGTAAGTGCAATCTCAACGGAAACAAAAATGCCATTGTAACCTGTGAAAAAAGGTTTTATTCAGATTTTATCTTAGAAAAAAAAAAATCCTAGGGCCGGGCGCGGTGGCTCACACCTGTAATCCCAGCACTTTGGGAGGCCGAGGCAGGCGGATCACCAGGTCAGGAGATCAAGACCATCTTGGCTAACACGGTGAAACCCCGTCTCTACTAAAAATACAAAAAAATTAGCTGGGCGTGGTGGCAGGCGCCTGTAGTCCCAGCTACTCGGGAGGCTGAGGCAGGAGAATGGCATGAACCTGGAAGGCGGAGCTTGCAGTGAGCCAAGATCGCGCCACTGCACTGCAGCCTGGGCGACAGAGCGAGACTCCATCTCAAAAAAAAAAAAAAAAAATCCTAAAACTAATTTTTTAACTTTTAATATTGAACAAAACTTAAGCTACAACTGAACATATGCTAATTCGTTTTTGGGGAAGGACATACATTTTCTGGACACAATTCATGTAACAAGATAATACATCCTCTACTCTGGAGATTTATACCACAATGTTTAAAGGGGTCCATTTTGAAAAAATATAAATAAGTAAGATGAAGGCTTCATCAAAATTTCAAGGGCCTCTCCTAATCCCTGAAAGGTCAGATCCCACTCTCTTGAAGCCCCCAGAGTCCTCTCCATCTTTGGCAGTTTTCCGGCCACCATAAGGTGGTCTAGGGGTGCCAGCCCCACACAGCTCCCAGCACCACCCAGGCTGACTTCATGCAGCACTGCACCCCGCGGACGGTGCACGTCCACAGCCAGTCTGGACTGCACCATCAGATGCTTCCAAGAGAACCTGGCAGAAAAAGACTTCAGCTGGGGTGGAGCTCAGGAAGGATGCTGGCTAGAGCTAAACTGTGTGCATGATCAGGTCAAAAGTCCCAGCCGGGAGCAGTGGCTCACGCCTGTAATCCCAGCACTTTGGGAGGCCGGGGTGGGAGGATCACTTGAGGTCAGGAGTTTGAGACCAGCCTGGCCAACATGGGAAAACCCCATCTCTACTAAAAATACAAAAAGTAGCTGGGCGTGGTGGCGGGCACCTGTAATCCCAGCTACTCGGGAGCCTGAGGCAGGAGAATCGCTTGAACCTGGGAAGTGGAGGTTGCAGTGAGCCAAGATCGCACCACTGTACTCCAGCCTGGGCGACACAGTGAGACTCCATCTCAAAAAAGAAAAAACTCTGTATTTTCTATTTATGGTCCATCACAATTGCCTTCCTGAGCCACACCCTAATCCAGGAGCTCCAACAATGAACTCTGGAAGAACCCACCGCACAATATTTTGATATCAAAGTCATACAGAATAGCCTGGAATCTACTGAATTCAAGGACAGGATGCCCTCCTCACTAGCTTCAATAGGAAGTACTGTCGCTCATTTCTACCTCAGCCCAGGAAATGATGCCCCAGTACTCCCAAGGCAACACCTGGCAGTCCCTGCCCTCCCTCCCAGCCCATGGGGGCAAAGACTTGCTTGTGGGCAATGGGAGAGGGGCCTTGCGCTCACGGGCTGCAGGACGTCGGGCCCTGCCAGCTCTGCCCCCGGACAGCAGGCATCCTGTCTACCACTGGGAAGGGAGGGGCAGCAGGAAATCTGTTTTGGCCTCAAGTCAGAGCTCTCCAATCCTTTCTCAGTAACAAAGCTAGTATCTCGATCCCTACTGGACGACTGCCTGATCTCATGACTTGTACAGAAACCAAAGGCTAGGAGGACTGATGGGCTGGCCCCTCAAGCCTTGACCACCTTGTGATGATTTTCATCAAAGAAGACATTCTACGGAATGTTGTTCTGACACAGAGAGATGACGGGAGGGAATGGCAATGGGGAAGATCTTAGGAAAACGAGCACGTTAAGATTGTTAAGAATGAGCATCCATATTTAACAAAAAGGCTTAAGATGGCAAGAAAGTATATGACTAACAACCTCCAAGAGACCGTGCAGGACCACAACACACGAGAGTGCGAAGTCCAACCTCAGAGCACAAGGGACCCAGCTGGAGAGTGACTGCTCCACTTGGACAGGCTTCCAGGATCAGATGTAAACTTGGCTCCCTAGGAGACAAGCACAACGAGACAAACTTCCTGCTAAACCTAGAAATGCTAGATGAAAATAAAACAAAAATGCTTTTAGGTTAGGCACAATGGCTCATGCCTGTAATTCCAGCGCTTTGGGAGGCCAAGGCAGGAGGATCACTTGAGGCCAGGAGTTCAACACCAGCCTGGGCAACACAGGGAGATCCCTATCTGTACAAAATTTTAAAAAATAAAAAATTAGCCCTGTGTGGTGGTGCGTGCCTGTAAGAGCTACTCAGGAGGCTGAAGTAGCATCATTTGAGCCCAGGAGGTCAAGGCTGCAGTGAGCCATGATTGTGCCACCGCCACTCCAGCCTGGGTGACAGAGTGAAACTGTCTCAAAAAAAAAAAAAAAAAGAGAAACTTTTACATGCAGAGCTAACCTCACAAGAAAGGGATATCCACAAGTGAGAAACCCAAGAAGGAAGAGACAGAAAGCTAGCCCTGGGAGAGGGTGTGCGCAGGGGCTGCCCTGGGAGGGCGGGGTCTGATGTCTACACACAGACAGAACGTGCGCCTTGGGCCCATGGGAGGTAGGGAGTGGGAACTGAGACCCTTACTTAAAACAGGACCCTGAAAAGATGAGAAAATAGACTAGAAAAGCATTTGTCTCAATGGGATCTAACTAAAGAGCTTCTGCACAGCAAAAGAAACTACCCTCAGAGTGAACAGACAACCTACAGAAGGGAACGTTTTTGCAATCTATTCACCTGACAAAGGTCTAATATCCAGAATCTACATGGAATAAACAAATTTACAAGAAAAAAACAACCCCATTAAAAAGTGGGCAAAGGACATGATCAGACTCTTCTCAAAAGAAGACAGTTGGCCGGGCGCAGTGTCTCACACCTGTAATCCCAGCACTTTGGGAGGCCGAGGCGGGCAGATCGCTTGAGGTCAGGAGTTTGAGACGAGCCTGGCCAACATGGTGAAACCCTGTCTCCACTAAAAGTACAAAAATTAGCTGGGCGTGGTGGGTGTGTGCCTGTAGTCCCAGCTACTCAGGAGGCTGAGGCAGGAAGAATCCAGCCTGGGCGACAGAGCAAGGCTCAACATCACTGATCATTAGAGAAATGCAAATCAAAACCACAATGAGATACCATCTCATGCCAATCAGAATGATGATTATTAAAAAGTCAAGAAACAACAGCTGCTGGTGAGGCTGTGGAGAAATAGGAACGCTTTTACATTGCTGGTGGGAATGTAAATTAGTTCAACCACTGTGGAAGACATGTGGTGATTCCTCAAAGACCTAGAAACAGAAATACCATTTGTCCCTGCAATTCCATTACTGGGTATATACCCAAAGGAATAGAAATCATTCTGTTATAAAGATATGTGCACACGTATGTTCACTGCAGCACTACTCACAATAGCAAAGACATAGAATCAACTCAAATGCCCACGGATAAGAAAAGAAACCGGATAGACTGAATAAAGAAAATGTGGGATATATACACCATGGAATACTATGCAGCCATAAAAAGGAACGAGATCACGTCCTTTGCAGGGTCATGGATGAAGCTGGAAGCCACTGTCCTCAGCAAACTAACACAGGAACAAAAAACCAAGCCCCTCATGTTCTCACTTATAAGTGGGAGCTGAAAAATGAGAACACATGGACACAGTGAGGGGAACATCACACACCGGGGCCCATCAGGGGGTCTGGGGGAGGGAGAGCATCATGAAAAATAGCTAGTGCATGCTGGGCTTCATACCTAGGTGATGGGCTGACACGTGCAGCAAACCACCATGGCACATGTTTACCTATGTAACAAACCTGCACATCCTGCATATGTATCCCAGAACTTAACATTAAATTAAATTTTAAAAGAAACAAAGAAAAGCATTTGTCTCCACGGAACCCTGTGCAGGGAAGACCTGAGCTGCGAAGCCGGGGGTTACACTGCGGGACATGGTGGGGCAGGGGCCCCACTCATCACCAGCAGAAGCAAACTCAGAATCACCCCAGGTGGATGTCTACAGCCTGGCCACATGGAACTCCATGGAAAACACGAGCTCCGCAGGTGAGGCCACAGCACAATGTCACACACCCCAAGGAAACGATCAGTGCCACACGAGACGACAGCATGCAGATGGAGCAGATCTGCCATCTGAGCATGTCGGAGACAGACAGAAACCTCCAAGGAGGAAGTAAAACCCGAATCAAAGAACAGGAGAGAGAAGGAAGAATGGGGAGATGAGGCGCGGGCGAGGAAGGTCCACACACACAGGCGCAGGGACCCTTCAGCCCTGCAGACTGTGCCATGGAGGCGGCTGGCAGCCTGAGCGGCCCCTCGCTCATGGACACCCCCGACGGCAAATGACCCTCCCGGTCTCTGGGCAGGGCCCCCACCCCGCAGAGAGGCTGCCGAACAGGGGGGGCTTGTGGATGAGTGGTCAGAAGGAACTGTAAAATATCAAGTTTTTCAAAAGGTGACGAATGTGGCAACACAGAGGAAACTGGGGCGCCTGGATTCAAGCCAGGATAACTTACAGGTGTGCTCAGAAACTCGGGCCACGGTCCCCAGGCCCACCGCCCCCAGGCTCGCCATTTCCCAGGCCCACCTGTAAACCCCTTCCCCAGCTTCTCTCTCTCCTGGGACAGGAGCCAGCTCAGCCCAAGGTCAGCCATGCAGCCCCAGCTTCCTTTCCATGGCGCCACCTCAAGGGAAGACACAGCGACTCTGCCTGGCGACAGGTCTAGTAACACATACCCGAGCATCAGCCCGAAACTCCCTTTTCCTCCGGATCTTCTTGAAGATTTCCGTCAGCTCATCTCTGGCCTCCTCATCGGTGGCGCTGGCTCCCGCGGCAGCCTCGGAGGCAGCTGCTGTGGCCCCCTCGGCCTCTGGGGGAGCTTGGCCAGGAAGAGGCGTGTCTATGGTCGGGTCTTCTGCGTGTTCAATTAGCCACTCCATGGCCTGAGGCACCGACATGCTGCAAGGCAAGAGACTCTTTCCAACATCCCCAGACTAACGGACCAGGGCCTTCGCCTCCTGTCCATTCCCAAGAAGAGCCTCTGCTATGGTAGTGACTTCTCCAGCATCAGCTGGTGACCCTTATAACAAGAACCTGAATGAACACAGGTGCGACGGAAGCGCTGGTCCTTGCCTCAGACTACCTTGAGACCCTGGGCAGAATCAGAAGCCCATGTCTAAGGAGAGGCAAGCGGACCCAGAGATATCTGCTGAGGGCTTAGATAGGGACCACAGGGGGAACTGCCCCCGGCTGCCCCTGGATCTCGGATTATTCATTTTAGATCTGAACACAGAAGCAGGGCAAGTAACTCACACGGGAATCCTGAGAAGACTGTTAGAGGCCGTGTCCCTGCTACGAACGGGATTCACCTTGAGTTCTCATACAACGGCCCAAAGAGAATTTACACAACGACTGTTCTGTCACATTCACCCCAAAAACACTTTGGAGGCACATATTTAAGGTACCTCTTCAAAACCCCACGTTAGAAATGATTCAGTCAAAGAGTTTAGGGTAGGAGGACGTCACCCACGGTGGGAGCCCCACAAAACCAGGCCCCAGGTGTCTCCGGCAAGGGAAGGAGGTGGCCCCCCACGCACTGGTTCAGCTGAAGGGCCTTGGTGGCTCTGTTCTCCGGAAAGCCCATCTCCGTGAGCTGCCGCAGGGCAGCCTCGTCCACACGCTCATCCTCGTCCTCGTCCAGCATTGCTGCAGGGAGACGACAGGGCCATGAGGGCTCCAGCCTCAGGTTCAGGGGCCTTATCTGAGCACAAACATTTGCAGCAATTATCTGTCTGAGCTCCACCTGCCCGCCCTCAGGCACATCAACAGGAGTTGCCGGTGAGGCAGGCCCCAGGCCCTCATCAGCGCTTCCATAAAGCACTGAGGTTCCGGTCAGTGGTCAGTGCGTGGAGCTGCAGACGCTCCCCAAGGCCGGCAGTGAACCGCCCTGGAATGCAGCATCGGGGTTGACTCATACCATTCGCCTTCTTAAACAATTCCACTGCATCTGGGTTCAGCGCTAACAGCTTCTGCGCCACCTCGATGAGAGACACCAGTATCTTCCGGAGTTCTGTCTGGAACTGTGGTGAAAAAAAAGGAGATCAATTCTCTAAATGTCCACCAAACCTACTTGGATCTATGACTTGCTCCCCTGTCCTAGAACTCTTGATTCTGAGAGTTGAGATGACATTGCTTTCTTGCAAGACAGCAGGATCAGCTGAGGGCAAGGCAGGGGATTGGCAGGGCCAAGAGCCTCCCTGCAGGTGGGACTGAAGCCAGTGGAAAGGGACAGGAACGCCTGGTGACGGTCACTCAGTGCTGGCCCGATACTCAGCCTGTGCCCTGTGAGGAAACCGTCGGCCCAGCTGGCGCAGGTGCAGGGCAAGCTGAAGACCCTCTCTGGCTTCACTGAAGAAAACAGAATCATCTGAGGCTCCACCCCCATGAGTCTGCCAGCCCCCAGTGGAGGCATGGCTGCCACACAGCGTCTGCGGCGGCCATCACTGTCCTCCCCAGGCAGGAGGAGCCGTGGGATGGACCGGAGATGCCCTCCAGAACAGCTCCTGGCTACAGGGCCTAGAGGTCAGGCGTCAGCTGTCCCTACTCTCACACAAGTGTGAGCCTTGGTGCGGACACCACACTAGAGAAATACCTCTGAGCCGGACACACACAGGATGGGAGACACACATGCTGGCTGCTGGGGAAAAGCCACCATGCCCTGGTCAGCACAGAACTCTCTGGAAGACACCCCAAGAGGTTCATTCCTAAAATGAAACAGGGCTTATAGCAGTGCCCTTAGGTTGGACTGGCATCAGATGAAGTTGGAAGCCAGCCGTCCTCCCACCCCGGCACAGCACGTGCCTGCCCTGCCTGCTGCGGCGTCCACGTGAGCACTGCAAACACTTTTCTTTTTTAACTTAGAATGTTCTGACCCAAAATAACTCACGGGTTCAGATTTGTGTGTTTTTTTTTTTCTTGAGACGGAGTTTCGCTCTTGCTGCCGAGGCTGGAGTACGATGATGCAATCTCGGCTTACTGCAACCTCCGCCTCCCGGGTTCAAGTGATTCTCCTGTCTCAGCCTCCTGAATAGCTGGGATTACAGGTGCCTGCCACTACGCCCGGCTAATTTTTGGTATTTTTAGTAGAGACGGAGTTTCATCATGTTGGCCAGGCTGGTCTCGAACTTCTGACCTCAGGTGATCCACCCGCTTCGGGTTCAGAATTCTATCTAAACGTTTTGCCAAACTCAGGGCCGGATTGACGTTTTCCCAGGGGTATCTATCTTTTCAATCCTGCCTTCAGATGGCTTTCCAACTCTTACTTGGAAATAATTTTTGATTTACAGAAAAAATGCAAAATAGTGCAGTCCTACAGACCCGCTCACCGGCTTCCCCAAATCCTCCCAGAGAATCTCCTCTTGCTGCCCCGCCCCGCAGGAACCCCCCCACAGCAATCCCCCACACGGGGACCCCATGCACCCGCCGCCGCTCTGGGCTGACACTCACGTCTCTCATGTTGGTCTGGACCGCGGCCCGGTCCATGTTGTAGGAGGGCAGGTTGGCGGTGGCCCGCAGTATGGCCTCTTTATCTGGAGCTTTCTGGTCTTGTTTTTTCTACACAGAAACGTAATCAGAAAGTCTGAGGTGAACGTAAGAGCAGCAAAAAGACGATGACAACTGAATCAGCGGAGCTCTGCCCAAGAAAGACTCCGTCTCCTTTAGGAGCCAGAGGTGTAAACTCCTTGATGAGCTGGGGGAGCCTGGAGAGTTCTGTGCAAGGCCCAGGGACAGCAGACGTGTCCTCAGCGTCTGCTCTGACGTAAATAAGAGTGAAGCGGTAGGTGAGGGGCAGAGCAGGAGCAAGGGTCACAGAACGACAACCACACAGGGACCGTGGCAGGGCTGGGGCAAGGGAGGCGACTCCAGAAGAACCACCCAGGCTGCAGCTGAGCCCCGAGGCCAAAACCACGAACTCATCTCTGCTCCTTCTGGAAGCTCCTGAAGGGCAGTCATGGCAGTAGAAACTCACGAGAACAAAAGTGATGGGAGAGGAACAGAACCGGAAGAGTGACAGCACATTCTCAGAAGACGGCAGAGGACGAGGATGGAGGGATCAGCGGAGCTACAAAGGCTCAGGCCAAGAGCAGAGCATGGACGCAAGACCATTCCAGCCTCCTAGAACTGCATCGGTGGCAGGGGACAAGGAGCGAGCCTCAGGAGCTAGCGCTCCATCCCCCGCCACCCTGCCCTGTGCTCCCCTGCCATCCAGTCCTGCCGGCAACTCCCAGAGAGCTGGGCTTGAGACCCCGGGCCAGGAGCCCTAGGCTCATGAGAGGGAAAGCGGCACCCCAGCACCCTCCACAGGGAGACCCAGTGGCAGGGGAGCGGGGCAGACACAGCCAAGAGGTGGGAGGGGGCAAAATGGCAGGGTCCACACCCAAAGCGCAGTGCCCCAGCCAGCCACCCAGTCCCAAAGCGCTGCTATCAAGATCCAGGGCCTCTGGAAGGTGACACATGCCTGTAATCCCAGCACTTTGGGAGGCCAAGGTGGGTGAATTACTTGGGGTCAGGAGTTCGAGACCAGCATGGCCAACATGGTGAAACCCCATCTCTACTAAAAAGACAAAAATAAGCCCGGTGTCCTGGTGCACACCTGTAATCCCAGCTACCCGGGAGGCTGAGGCAGGAGAATCACTTGAACCTGGGAGGTGAGCTGAGATCACACCACCGCACTCAAGCCTGGGTGAGTGACAGTGAGACACCATCTCAAAAAAAAAAAAAAAGGAACAACAGAAAGCAGCACAAAGTGAGGAGTCAGCAGGGAAGAGGATAGTGTTTATGAGCCAGGACAGACGGCCCACGGAGGAACACACCAGAACACTAGAAGACATCATCTGAGGAGGAGAACTGGCCTAGGAATTTAAACATGTTACAGCCAGATCAAAGAGGCTACAGAATGCTTAGAAGATAAAATCAAGGAATCCCTCAGAAAACACGCCTACCAGCCAACTCATAAGAGTTACAGAAAGAGAAAAGAAAACAAGGAGATCAAAAAACCAATTCAGAACATTTTCCAGGACTAAATTTCCCAGAACTCAAACATCTGAATCTCCAGAGTCAATGTGCCGGACATAGCAAAGAGAAAAAGACCTGCAGCAGAGACACCATGGAATATTCCAGAACACTAAAGCACACCAGATGGCAGAAGGTTCTACAAGGAGCAGAGGAAGGGGAGGCGGCTGGTGCAGGGAGGAGCGGCTCAGAGCTGCCTCACGTACTGCATACGGCTGGCACCCCCTCCACAGCTGCTGCGCTGGAATACGAGGCCTCCAGACAGTTTCCCCTCCTGGCACCCGAGGAAGTCAGGCTCCACCAGACCAAGGGACAGATCGAGAAGAACAAGACACCTGGTCCTGCGGCAGGCAGAACTCGAGGACGGCCGCACGCTCCCCGGGCCTGGCAGTTGCCCGTGCGTGGCTGCACAGCATGAGCAGGACACAGTCCACTCTGGGGTCAGGTTACATCACGCGGCACAGCCGACTGTGGGGAAAGAGTATGATCCTTGGTGGGCCTCAACTAATCAGGCAGGTCCTTAAAAGGGATGGGTCTCTTTCTGGAAAGAGAGATTCAACACTTCAGAAGTCCTGTTGCTGGCTCTGAAGGAGGAGGAGGCTGTGCGGGTAGGAATGCAGGCCGCGCCCAGGCCCTGAGAGCAGCCCCCAGCTGGCCGCCAGCAAGAAAATGGGTCGGAACTGGACTCTGCCAACCGCCGGAAGACCTCAGAAGCAGAATCTTCCCCAGCCTCAGAAAGGAAGGCAGCCCTTCAGCACCCTGAACACAGCCCTCCGGCACCCTGATTTCAGCTCGAGACCCTGAGCACAGAAACCAGCTGAGCTCACCCAGCCAGACTTCTGCCCTACAGAACTGCGAGCTACAAGCGGAGTGCTGTTTTAAGCAGCTACATGTGTGGCGATTTGTTAGGTGGCAACGGAAAACTTGCATAGACTTAGCAAACTCTAACACGGGAAAGAGGCAGGAAAGCCAGGCTGTGCAGCAGGCCTGGAAGGCAGCGACTCAGACAGATGCGCAGGCCAGAGGGATCTGGAGGGAGGGAACACCCCAGTGACCTAACATCTGTGACCACGTTTCCAGAAGCTTTATCGGCTCTGTGGAAGAGCATGAAAAAATCAGCGATAAGCCTATAAGAAACTCAACAAGCAAACAAAAGGAAGAGGCAAATATTAATTCCAGGAAAAATACAGCTGTGTAAGAAGGATAGATAATCTTAATCTATTTTGCTCACAGCTGAAAACCACACTTCAATTATACTAGTAATGAAAACCCTGAGATCTTCAACATTATGATCTAACCCTCAAGGGAGGAGAGAGGGAGGTACTATAGCCTCTTCATTAAGAAGTCAATAGAGACTAAAGTTGGTCATTCAAGGAATAATAATATACACATATTATTTATAAATCAGGAAGAGAATTGTTAAAAATAACAAGAGTTATGAGTGGTTGGGCCGGGCATGGTGGTTCACGCCTGTAATCCCAACACTTGGGAGACCAAGGTGAACAGACCACCTGAGCCCAGGAGTTCAAGACCAGCCTGGGCAACACGGTGAGACCCCATGTCTACAAAAAATACAAAAATTAGTCAGGTGTGGTGGCACACACCTATAGTCCCAGCTGCTTTACTCCTGGGGCTAAGGGAGAAGGATCACTTAAGCCCAGGAGGCAGAGGCTGCAGTGAGGTGAGATCGTACCACACACTCCAGCCTGGTGTGCACTGCCTGGCTTGTGCCAACAAGCCTAACTAACTTTTTATATTTTTTGTAGAGACAGGGTTTCATCATGCTGCCCAGGCTGGTCTCAAATTCCTGGACTCAAGTGATCCTCCCACCTCAGCCTCCCAAAGTGCTGGGACTACAGGCGTGGGCCACCGCACCCAGCCAAGACTGCTAATTTTTATTAAAAGATTTGTAGTATTATTCGACCTTTTAAAAACATACGTCACTTTGACTTAAAAATTAATTCATAAATACAAAAATTATCTGGGTGTGGTGGCACACACCTGTGGTCCCAGCTACTCGGGAGGCTGAGGCAGGAGGACTGCTTGAGCCCAGGAGGTCAAGGTTGCAGTGAGTTATAATTGTACCACTGCACTGCAGCCTGGGCAACAGAGTGAGATCCTGTCTCTAAAACAAAAACAAAAACTAAATTAAAAATTAATGTAGGCCAGGCGCAATGGCTCATGCCTGTAATCCTAGCACTTTGGGAGGCCGAGGCAGGTGGATCACCCGAGGTCAGGAGATCGAGACCAGCCTGGCCAACATGGTGAAACCCCATCTCTACTAAAAATACAAAAGATTAGCCGGGCGTGGTGGCACGCACTTGTAACCCCAGCTACTTGGGAGGCTGAGGCAGGAGAATCGTTTGAACCTGGAAGGCGGAGGTTGCAGTGAGCTGAGATCACGCCACTGCACTCTAGCTTGGGTAACAAAAGCGAAACTCTGTCTCAAAAATAATAAAATAATAATAAAAATAATAATAATTAATTCATAAAAATATGAACTGACATCTTACAATGTTTCAGTTTGCAAATATTTGAAGAGAAAAGGTAAGCTCCTCAGGTTAGCTCCAAGCTACCCATCCAAGAGGCTGTGGGGCAACGGGTGTATGGTCAGACCCCGCTGTTTATATTAGTTACGGGCCTGTAAGTCTGAACACCAACGGTCAAACTGTAATCTGAGAACTGTGAATGCTGCCTGCAGCAGTTCCCAGAAACAGGCCTGACTCAGGGACAGGCGGAGGCAGGCCCAGATCTGTCCGCTGCAGATGGGTGGGGCGGCAGCCTGTGTGTCACTCATGCGTGGCCAGGTGTGGCTGAAGATAAGGAGGGGACCCAAGCCCAGGGTGCTCTTCCTGGGTACCCATGGTCCCAGATGAAACCCAAAAATAGCTTATGCACTACCAGGCATGGGCCTAGCCCAAAAGAGTTTGACCTGCTCTTTCTCTGGGGTGAACACTCTCCTTAGCCTTTCAAAGCACGAGTAAGAAATTCTACCCTTGAGATGAGTAATGCAAAGACAGCAGAGGAAAGTGGCTGCCCTTCTAGCTGGCAGGCTCCATGCTCGGCACGGGCTCAGGCCCTGCTGTGGGGTAGGACACGCCACTTGCAGAACGCATCTTCCTCTGCTCAGTGAGCTTTCCAAAACATGAGCTTCTAGGGCAGCCAGTAAACAACACACTGCACGGTGTTCCTAAGGTACACGTGCAAGTGGACGGTGCAGACCATGAATCAATAACGTGTGAGTGAATGTAAACACCAACGACATCCAGTTCTGTTTTGCAAGAAATAGACAAGACAGGCAGAACTCAGCCTCTCTCAGCATTAACAGTGCAGCTGAGTATCCCTCATCTGAAATGCCCGGGACCAGAACTGTTTCGGATTTCGGGTTTTTTCAGATTTGGGAATATTTGCATTCCAAATAATCAACTCAAAAAGCACCAACGAGCACTTCCATTAAGTGTCATTTTGGCACTCAAAAAGTTTCAGACTGCGCTGCATTTCTGCGTTTGGATTTTCCGATGGGGATGCTGAGGCTGTGCGGTGTGAGGTGGGGCTTGTCGCGAGTGCTCCCTCACCGGCCACTCTCTGCATGCGCAGCCCTTATTCTGTGTGGTGGTTGGTTACCCACTTTCCTCCGTTTTTCTGTCAGGACTGACTTGGCTGCTTGAAAAGAGGAGGGAACAGGAGCACACGCAGGTGAAGGCGGACAGCAGCGCGGGAGTGAACCGTCACGCAGGATGTGTCCCTACCCTCCTCTCTGTCTCAGAAAACTCAGAGGCAGGTTTTCCGTGCTGGTCCCGTGAGCAGGGAGGGACCAGGACTGACACGGATTAAACAGGCTCTGCCGGGAGAGAGAACCCCTTATAACCACATCTACTGTAAATGGCGAATGCGTGGGTTGGTGAACAACTAGTATAGAGAACTTCTTTATAATTCTTTTTTTTTTAAGTTTGTATTTATTTATTTAATTTTGAGATGGAGTCTTACTCTGTCGCCAGGCTGGAGTGCAGTGGCACGATCTCGGCTCACTGCAACCTCTGCCTCCCGGGTTCAAGAGATTCTCCTGCCTCAGCCTCCTGAGCTGCTGGGACTACAGGCATGAGCCACCATGCCCAGCTAATTTTTTTTGTATTTTTAGTAGAGCCGGGGTTTCACCATATTTGCCAGGATGGTCTTGATCTCTTGACCTCGTGATCCACCCGCCTCGGCCTCCCAAAGTGCTGGGATTACAGGCGCGAGCCACTGTACCCAGCCTGTAATTCTTAAATGTAGACTTCTACCAACCAAGGTCCCCAATTGCAAACTTTGAAATTTACCTTTTCTTCTGCTGAGACATCAGCCATCTTGGGAAGTGGTGATGGAGCACGCTTTTTTATCAATAATAGGACATCTAGAAAAAACAACACGTATATCCAACACACTGGTTATCACTTCATATCCACAAAATGGCATAAAGGGTGCTGGATGCCCTGAGAACAGAACAGCAGGGATTCGGCCGGGCGCAGTGGCTCCCATCTGTAATCCCAGCACTTTGGGAGGCTGAGGCGGGCAAATTACCTGAGGTCAGGTGTTCAAGACAAGCCTGGCCAACACGGTGAAACCCCATCTCTACTAAAAATACAAAAATTAGCCAGGCGTGGTGGCGCATGCCTGTAATCCCAGCTACTGGGGAGGCTGAGGCAGGAGAATCACTTGAACCTGGGAGGCGGAGGTTGCACTGAGCCAAGATTGCACCACTGCACTCCAGCCTGGGCAACAGAGCAAGACTTCATCTTAAAAAAAAAAAAAAAAAAGAAGAAGAGCAGGGCTTCAGCTGGGTGCAGTGGCTCACTCCTGTAATCCCAGCACGAGGCAGGCGGATCACTTGAGCCCAGGAGTTCAAGACCAGCCTGGACAACATGGCGAGACCCCATCTCTACGAAAATATAAAAAATAGTTGCGCATGGTGGCACATGCCCGTAGTCCCAGCTACTTGGGAGACTGAGGTGGGAGGACTGCTTGAGCCCAGGAGGTCAAGGCAACAGTGAGCCTGACTGTGCCTCTGCACTCCAGCCTGGGTGACTGAGCGACACCCTGTCTCAAAAGAGCATGGGTTCCTTTGGTCCCCCCAAACCAAGCATCTACACCAGCCTTCCCTCACTTTTGCATGATATCTGCATGGCCCTAGCTGAGGTACAAGCTCCCAGGCCTGGCACGAACCCCCAGGTGACCCATGGCCCAGGAGGCAGGCACAGCACGGCCCCAATAATTGTGCAAAGAATTGGTGACAATCCTGCAACAGGCATTTTAACCGGCTCAGTTCTGAAAAAGTCTGTGAGGGTGGAGAGTTTAGTCTTAACCCTCAGAGGTCAAAACCTGAGATGCAGCTCATCCTCGGCCCACGACGGTGCCCATCCCCCACTGGCTTGGAGCTTGATGGTCATCTCAGCGGATATCTGTTAGCAATACTTCCAGGATTTTCAAAACAGCTTACTTCAAGGACTTCCACAATTAAAGGCATTATTTGAATGACACAGACAAAACTGATGTCTGCTCTTCAAGTGCCTCCAGACACAAAACCATAAGCAATTACATGGATGTGTGTGTCTAACACTGCACTGGGATGCCAACATCACCACAACGAAGGTGAAACCTGCAGAACCCCTGGAGTCTCTGGCTTTGCTCTGAAACAGAACTAAAAGCAAAATTCACATTTGGCTTCTCAAATGCCTGCTGCTTGTTCAATTTCAATTTCTGCTGTTTTTCACAAATACTCTATAACAGAACTCTTTTTAATAAAGGAAAAACAGAATGCTTTTAGTCGATCTCGTTTTTGTGCTCGTGTCCAGCTCAGAACACTGACTCCTGTGGGTGGACCACCCCCTCCTGGCTCCAGCGCCCCCAGCAGTGCACGATGCCTGCTGCCAACCCGCCCGCCCACAGCAGCCTTACCTTGGTCCTGGATGTTCTCTTCCAGGATGGTCCTGGCATCACTCAGCACCCTCTCTGAGGCAGCGTGGATTAATTTATGATGGGTTATACTTTTGGGATCTTCTAAGCTCCCATGAGCACACTGGGGAAAAATAGAAATTTCAAGGTAGAAAATAAGTAAATCGTAATTCTAATAATATAGGACCTGGCATCCCAAGCTACACCAGGAATTTACTGGGTTTTCTTATGAGCTAAGAAATTACACCATGGATGAAATTAAAGAATTCCCACTAATGGTAGATGCCAAATGAAGCATCATAGCACCAGTGAGCTGATCCCCAGCCCATGGAGTACTCCTGAAGCAAGCTCCCAGCTCTGATATACCACACCCTACTGACAATTCGCGGCCACCAGAATTGCTTCTTTGGTCTAGAAAGATCTGGAAAATAATTTTAAATGAAAACAGCAGATCCATTGTTTCCTGATGACCTAAAGATCTACCTAAGTTTTGGGTAGCTGTTTTTCTTTTTTCCACAGACGCATGAAAGGGGCCAGAAAGGCTGCCCAGAAAGAAGACTGGCTCACAGAGAGCCTGAGATGGGGATAAGAGGAGCGCTCGGCATGACTGCTCTCAGCTTGGCTCAGCTCACTAAGTAACAGCCATGCTGCATCCCGAGATTGGGATAAGAGGGGCACTTAGCATGACTGCTCTCGGCGTGGCCCAGCTCACGAAGCAACAGCCATGCTGCACCCCTGGGCGGCTTGAAGGTGGACCAATGGGCACGCAGTCACCAGGGCCCTGGAAACCCTGCCACACCCGGGCAGGGAACGGGAGGCAACACATGGGTAGCAGTGAGGGGATCCCCTTCACACACACCACAGCCACCTCCGAGCAGCGCTCACGGGGGACCTGGGAAGCCATCTTGACAGCTACTGAGTGCAAACTCCAGGAGGAAGTTGGAGCAGACGGCCATGACCCCTTCCAACCCTGCCATTACAAAGATCTCACAGCCAACTGCTGGCAGGGGTAGATCCTGCTCCTCAATTCGGCCAGCATCCTCTCTGCAAAACAGCACACAGCTGTCCCTGATTCATGCACGTGGCACTGGCTTGCGGGAGTCCTGCTTTCCTTTGAACACGGGGGCTAGGCGCGTCGGCTCACCATTTTGTGAAGAATGGCAAACACTGATGGTGCCGTGTGATGAAGACTGAGGTCGGCACATGTGCCTGCATGTTCGTGCCCAAGTCGGTCCAGAGCTCCACGACTCCACTCTATTATCTACCTCAGCACCATACAGCCCGACACACGACAGCACAGCACAGCACACCACCGCACAGCACAGCACCGCACACCACACCAAACAGTGCCCACCTAACCAAATATGGCGCCTCCCCAGCCGGAATCGTGGGGTGAGAGGAGAGGGGCTGCACTTCTGTGTTTCACAAAATACCCACAGTTTCCATAGCCTGGCCTGAAAACCCTTCAGAACTCAGAGCTTGGACGGAGAGAAGGCTGACTATTTTCTTGCTCTTACAGATCCCCTGAGGTTTGATGGTAGAATTACCTGACTATCAGAAAAGGATGAAACCCTCACTGGGCACTTTCTAAACCCGGTAGCAGGCTCAGCCTGTGGGTCAGGAGCATGGCCCAGCCTGGAGCTGGGCCGGGGCACCACCCCAGGACAGGCCGTCCTCGGACGTCTCAGGTGGCCGGGCAGACGCCCTGCTGGCAGCTCACTTTCCACCACCCTTTGCTGCCACAGAGGCTCTGAAACACCCAGCACACACAACTGCTTGCTGGGAAAGAAAATCTAAGCACACACTTCACCTCTCAACACTGGCATTTTCAGAGTAACTGGAATTTCTGTTACTCTCAAGACTGAAAACGGTTTTGAAAAAGGGATTGACGGCTTCAGGGGCTCACTCCTTCACACAAAACTGGCCAGGCTGAGGGGATGTTGGGGGGACGCAGCTACTAGGAAGACACACTCCTGCCATTTACAACAGGGCAGAGAACCCTCAAGTGCCTCTGGATTTGACAATGGCTCTGCTCCCTGAAATACTGGGGGTGCTTCCTCATGATCCTAAAGTTTGCAGGCTAGTTCATTTGTCAAGTTCAGAATACAGACTACGAAATGCAGTTTTCCAAAATAATTCTCATACTGATTCCCAAAAAACCCACAGTCCACGTGTCACCAGCACACCAGGAACAACACGGAAGCACTAGGACGACCGTGTCACTCTGCTTCTTTGTTCTCGGCAGAAGCTGGGGTATGGCAGCAAAAAAGCCCCAACCAAGGCCGCTGGAGTAGGGAGGCCCTCACACCCCCACCCCACTCCATCCTGCTCCTCCCCAGAAGAGTAGTGACTTCGTTTCTGCTTGTACCTGATGCAACCTGCCATCTGAGGACCCATCTTCATGCGATCTAGGAAATGGAAAATTTAACAGCTATACTAGCGGGTACTCTCTTCTAGTCTGGCAATTTTATGAACTCCTTCTTTTTTTTTTTTTTTTTTTAAAGACAGGGTCTCATTCTGTCACCCAGGCTGGAGTGCAGTGGCGCGATCTCCGCTTATTGCAACCTCCGCTTCCCAGGTTCAAGCGATTCTTGTGCCTCAGCCTCCTGAGTAGGTGGGATTACAGGAGTCCGCGACCATGCCAGGCTATTTTTTTACATTTTTAGTACAGAAGGGGTATTGCCATGTTGGCCAGGCTGGAATTTCATGAATGTTTACGACACACCAAAAACTCTACTGCACCACAGGTATAATTTTCTTTTTTTTTTTTTTTGAGACGGAGTCTCTCTCCGTCGCCCAGGCTGGAGTGCAGTGGCTTGATCTCGGCTCACTGCAAGTCCCACCTCCCAGGTTCACACCATTCTCCTGTCTCAGCCTCCCGAGTAGCTGGGACTACAGGTGCCCGCCACCACGCCCGGCTAATTTTTCTGTATTTTTAGTAAAGATGGGGTTTCACTGTGTTAGCCAGAATGGTCTCGATCTCCTGACCTTGTGATCTGCCTGTCTTGGCCTCCCAAAGTACTGGGATTACAGGCATGAGCCACCGTGCTCAGCCAGGTATAATTTTCTAAAACTCATTAACTACCTGTTGTACAAGACAGGTTCCTCTGCCCCCTTCTCCACTCCAGGGCAATGGAAGCTAGAGGCCACCACGGTGATCCCAATTTGCACAAAACAGAAAAGGGAAAGGCAAAAGCAAGAGTTTTGATCATAAAACCCCTCCTTGATTCAGGAGTGCACACCCAGGAGCACAGCAGGGAGAAGCCGACATCATTCCCCTCCAGGCAGATGGAAAAGAGGAAGGAAAAAATCATGCCGGCGTCAGCACGCACTGGGGACCTGGCGAGGAGGAACAAAGCTAAAACAGACACCAGACCTCACTGCCTACAGCAGGATGACATCCAGGGACCGGCTTCCAGAGAGACATTCAAATACACAACTCGAGGGTTCTCTTTTCTGACTAACGCATTCTGGCCCTGCCTGCAGAACCACGCTGGGATGTGGTGGTGGGGAACCTTTCTGACGCTCAGCTCTGGAGTCCTGAAATGTATGTCGGCTCTTGCGGTGTGAAAATCCCCTGCTACTCAGATCCTCCACACCTGTGGAAACCGCAGAGTGGGATACAATCTCAATTTAAAGTAGAATAATGACAAAACATCCCAAATGATACATCTCAACACCAAATGGAATAATATATATCAGGAGTATAATAATTAGCATTGCATCGGAACTGGCTGCCTAACTGACCCTCCGTGCTCCTGAAATTCATGAGTAGGTATCTGTGGATCAAACAGCTCTCATTTCCTATTTCCTTTCATAAAAGAGTATCATGATGGCCATGCACATCGCACCGAGTGAGTTAAAGTAAATGCCGTGCCAACGCAGGGGACATCCCATGTCGATGCAGTGTGGGGTCCACAGGATATTTTTGTCTATTCCATTAACCCACAAGTTTGTTTTGGTGCCACTCTAAGCCCGGCCCTGGACTTGTGGATATAAACCGAACCCCTGAGGAGCTTCTGTACTGGCTCAGGGAGGACACAGCAGCACCTCAGAGAAGTTTCTAGGGTTTTTTGTCTGGTTTTTTTTTTTTTTTTTTTTTGAGACGGAGTCTTGCTCTGTCGCCAGGCTGGAGTGCAGTGGCGCGATCTCATCTCACTGCAACCTCCGCCTCCCGGGTTCAAGCGATTACCCTGCCTCAGCCTCCCAAGTAGCTGGGATTACAGGCACACACCACCACGCCCCGCTAATTTTTTGTATTTTAGTTGAGACGGGGTTTCACCATGTTGGCCAAGATGGCCTCAATCTCCTGACCTCATAATCCGCCCACCTCGGCCTCCCAAAGTGCTGGGATTACAAGTGTGAGTTACCGTGCCCGGCCCAGAGAAGTTTTTTAAAATACACACAACTAGACAAGCAACACCACCTGGCTCAAACAGCCTGGATGCCCACGGAGTTACCGGCGCTGGAGCTTAGTGATGCCCCGATGGTTGTTCAGACGGCAAAATCATGCAGACTGGGGCAGAAGAAAAGCAAGAAAGCAGCCAAAACATACCGGCCCTTGAACGCAGGAGGCTCAGCCCCCTCCTTGGTGTGAATCCTGAGGCCAGCACCTCCCAGTTATTCACAGCCAGTGCGTTCCAGAAGGGGGCTTGCCAAGCTTGCCTCTGACAGTTCCAGAACTCCACAGAACCATGCTCACAAAAGCAACTCGAAAGTACTGTATGCGAGCAGCTACTATGGTAAGAACTGAAGTTTATCCTTAGAGACCACACTCAGCTCAAGTGTAACGCACTCAACCTGTCAACACAGATACGTCGTAACTTATCACATGGAGTCGCCACTAGAAAATTGCAGCCTCCTTCAACCTAAATTCTGCCAAGCCCTCAGATCATGTCAGGTATAGACAGGAGGTCAGTCTGACACACAGACAGGCTTCTTAGCTGACCTTACTGAGTCCTTTAGAGACTCGAGAACTAGTTCCAAAAATCAGCAACCTAAGGAACTAAATACACAGGAGTATTTCAGGTGAATAAACTTTAAAAAGTGTCTCCGCGAGGAGACCCTACTCCTGGGACTTCTCTCTTGACCAATTTTACCTCTGCAGAAAAGCAGGGGCGCAGGGCCTTGTCCCGCAGCGGCACTATTTCAGGGACTCCAGCTAAAAGGCACAGTGGCCTGGGGCCAGCCAGGAAAAGAGCTCCAAGCAGCCGGCTCTGCGGGAAAGGGGAAGAGGAAGGAGAAGGGGCCTCTTCATGAAGGAGCCTACGTTAATTCTCAGCTCTCAAAGATGCTGCTGAAAAAAAACCTCACCCCAACAGCAAAAAGGTACAACTGCCGGAAAGTCCCGAGGCCCTGCTCCGTCGGCGACTTCACTCTCCAGGCCTCAGTTTCCCGATCTGCCCCTACCTCCCTGCGTGGCTGCAGAGTTAACTGAGAGGCTGGCGTGTACAGGGCTCGGCCGGGCGGCTGGCACGGGGCGAGCGCTTAGTGACCGGAGTCCGCCGGCCGAAAGGCCAGGCCCGGGACGAGCGTCCAGAGGTGTGGGATCCGAAAGGGGGAGAGTCGGGCAAACGGGCAGGAGGCGCTGCCTCCACCCCCGGAGGAGAGGGCCTGGGAGCTGCGGACTGGGCGGCGGACCCCAGGTCGGGGCGGTTCGGGGACTGAGGCGGGGTCCGCAGTCGGAGGGGTCCGGAGCGGGTGTTGGGGGCAGGGGAGGGGGCCCGGCCTTACGTGCTTGAGGCAGCGCTCCTTGAGCTTCTCCACCGAGGTGTCCTCGGTGGCCTCCTCCAGCCACTCGGCGCCGTCGGACGCGCAGATGTGCAGCCGCAGCACCTTGCCCGCGAAGATCTTCTCCTCCTGCACGAACATCCCGCCGCCGCCGCAGGGGCCTGCGCCCGCCACCCGGGCCCCTGAAGGTCACCGGGAAGGCGGGCGGGGAGGGGGCGGGGCCAGACCGCCCGCGCGCTCCTTCGCTGGGCCGCCGCCCCGCCCCGGCTCCCGTCGGCCGGGCCGCCGTCACTCTCCGCGGCCTCAGCGGTCGCCTCGCTCCCGCCGCCGCAGCAGCCGCCGGGGGCGCGCCGTCGCGGCCGCACCGGAAGTGCGTCACGGGCGCGTCTGGCGCATGCCGGGAGATGTGGTTCTCGGACAGGCGCCTCGCTCCCGCCGCCGGGGGCGCGCTGTGGCCACCGCAAAGGAAGTGCGTCACGGGGCGCGCCCGGAGCATGCCGGGAGCTGTAGTTCTCTGGTAGCTTCGTTCCTCCCCGAGCTGCAGGCGGTTCCCACCCGGGGCACTCACCACGTGGGACCTCATGGGTTCTAAAGGTAAAATACACGCTGGATCCCAAAGAAGTAACGGGAAAAAGGAATGTAAGGCATCTCGATAATGTTTTCATATTGATTACATGTTGAAATAATATTTTGTATCTATTGAGTTAAGAAAAATATGTCATTAAAATTAATTTCACCTGTTTCTTTTAACCTTTTTAAGATAGAATTTTAAATTGCCTACATGGCTGCTGTGATATTTCTTTTGCACTGCACTGCTGTAGAACGGAGGCTCTCCAAAGAACTTGGCTTTAACAAGCCTAGGTCTTTCTAATTCACACGCAGATCAGAGAGTCACTGTTCCTGCGAAGCCTAGGTTTGCGGGGCACCCAGAGGGGAGGGAAGCCGCCCTTGGTGCAGGTGATGCCAGGCAGACTCATTTTCTGTGGGGTGTGACAAAGAGTCTTTGCTTGGCCAAACTTAAGCAGGCTCCTGAACCTTCTACATCATCTGTACACTTCCTTGTAAAATCCAGTTTTAGCGAAGAGCCTTGATAAGTGAGTTTAGCAAGAACTCCCAGCCTCAATATCAGATCACCCTGGACGTCTGGTCAGGTTCCTCGTCCCCCAGGTGCTGTCTGATATCTCCAGCCTCTCTTCAGCAAGAACCCTGTCAGGTCGGTTTAGCCAGAACCGCCCACATCCCTGATGTTTTCTCCTATTAATTTTCCATTCACTGACCCCACCCACTTGCCCTTGCTGTATTGGGAGTTGAGCCTGACCTCTCTCCCCACTGCAAGCCCCCTTGGCAGTGGTCTCTGTACCTAGCTCAACAGTCCTGGATAACGTCTTACTTACCATGCTCCTAAATATGAATTTTGTAGTTCAGGTTAGACCTGACACATTGACTGATCTGTACTCATTCATCCCATTCATTTAAAAAAACTTTACTGCGCAGAGATGAATAAGGCACAGTTCCCGTTCTCAGAGGTTAGCAATCTAACCGGGGAGGCTGTCTCTGCCTCCTGCCTGCAGGCTTTTATTCTGTCCACACCATTTTGCACACACATCCTCATTTTTCTCCTGTGATAATTCCAACCTCGTCCAGATTCCATGTGTCCAGTTCAGCACTTACTAATTGCCTCTCACAGGTGGGAGCCTCTGCTACTCAATGAAAATATGGTAGTGATTAAGACCAGACACCAGGATACAGTCCTGGAATGGGGCATTTTTAACGCAGGAAGCAGAAGTACCGACTGTTAGAGACCGCAGTGGAGGTGGTGGTAGTATCGTGGAAGCTGGTGGAGGAGAAAGGGGAGGAACACCAAGGTGGTGAGTGGAGAGTGGGGGAAGCTAGAGGGCTTGGAGGAGCCGGGTCAGAGCATTAAGACGTTGCTGTGAGAGCCACTAACGGTGTGACCAGGTGGCAGAATGAATGGTGGTGACTGTGGAGGGGACAGGGAAGAGGGCAGGGCATCCTTGCGGGGGAGCAATGCGGAGGGAGAGGAAGAGGAGAAGGGGGCTTCCAGTGGCCTGTGGGAGGGGAGGCCAGCAGGATTGGAGGGTGTGGGCCCAAGAGTGAAATCAAGGATGACTTGAAGACTTCCAGTGTGGGTGGCAGAGTGCAGGGCAGTGCCACCTTTTGAAGTAGGAGGCAGGAGGAGGAGCCATTGGCCAGGAAGGTGTTGGGTAGTTTTGGACACGGGGACCTGGATGTGCTGGGGGCATTCACACGGAGGTGGCCTGGAGGCAGCTGGACCTACAGGACTGAAGTTGAGGAGAGAGGCCTGGGCTGGAGACAAACACTGGGCAGCCGGCCTGGGCCACGTAGCAAGACCCTCTACAAAAAATAAAAAAAATTAATGAGCTGGGCGTGGTGGTGCACACCTGTGGTCCCAGCTACTCAGAAGGCTGAGGTGGGAGGATCACCTGAGCCCAGGAGGTCCAGGCTGCAGTGCGCCGTGATGGCACCACTGCACTCCAGCCTGGGCAACACAGCAAGACCCCGTCCCAAAAAAACAAAACAAAACAAAAAAGTCAAACCAGTCATGAGCACACCAGCGGCAGCTGGAACTAAGAGGATGCCCACCCCCCTTCCCATGCAGAGGAGCTCATGAAGAAAACAGAGGAGTATGGTACTAGGAAAGTTCCAAGAGTGTGGCTCCATGAAACACAAGGCGGAGAAGATATTGAGGAGAAAATGGGGCCTGTAAGAGAAGAACCAGAAATATCACGTCATCTCAGGGAGCGTCTCCAGGGACCGGAAGGGGACTGGGGCCCAAGCCTGCCTGGCTGCAGATCTGGTATCTGCAGCCACAGTGATGCTGCATAACAAAACCGTCCTAAAACTCAGCGGGTAAAACAACCAACAGCTCTCCATCACTTCTCACAAGTCCACGGCTGGCTGGGTGGTGCTGCTGACCAAGCCAGGCTGGCAGGTGGGCTGGTCGGGATCCCTAGGCCCTCAGCCTCGGTCTCATGTTCCCCAGTGAGTTCCCACGGGAGTGTCTGGGATCCACCGCAGCAGGTTTTTCAGCCTTTGCTTGAGCCATGTTTGTTGATGTCCTCTGGACCAAAGTCAAAGAGGGAGGGGACAAAGTGACAGGGAAAGGATGGAGCCATGGGAAAGCCACCAAGAGGCCACAGATGCACCTGTTCCACCTTCCAAGAAGGCTGGGGGAACAGAGAGAGGAGGGCACCAGCCACGGGGTGCCCAGCAGCATGTTTACATTAGAGAGGCTGGGCGCGTTTCTGGGCTGAGCGTGAGAGCGGGCAGAGGGGAGGCTGGGGCTGGAGGAAGGAGGAGGGATGGGGTGGCTGGGGAGGGGGCTGAAGCTGTGGCCTCAGGGCATCCCGCTTGCTTCTGACAGGAAACATCTGAACCCCCCATCCTGGCATCAAACCTTCCCAGTCTCCCTGTTTCCTCCTGGCCACGGGCTTTACAGCGGGGGGACAGTGCCATCACAAGGACCCTGCAAGGGTCCACAGAGGCCACGCTAGCAAAGACTCAAGCCAAAGCTGACCTGAGTCCTGGAGGAACGCCTGTGCCCTCCCGTGGAAGGATAGGAGGTTCGTGGTACTCTGAGACCACTCCAGCCCCCACCCCGCTTCACCCACGAGGCTGTCAATTGATGGGTTCTCATTGTCTCCCCTCCTCTCATGGGTTTGAGGCTGTTTCCTATAACAAATTGCCACAAACTGGGGCTGGGGGGTGGTGCTTAAAACAATAGAAATGTATTTTCGCCCAGTTCTGAAGGCCGGAAGTCTGAAATCCAGGTGTTCATGGGCCACGCTCCCTCTGGAGCCACAGGGGAGGGTCCTTCCTGCCTCCTCCAGCTCCTGGGGACTCCGGGGTTCCTTGGCCTGTGGCCACATGGCTGTAGCCTCTGCCTCCATCTTCATGCAGCCTCTCCTCTTCCCATGGCTGTCCTTTGTGTGCCTCCCATGAGGACACTTGTCATTGGATTTGGGGCCACCCTAATCTAGGATGATCTTACCTGGAGATCCTGAACTTAATTACATCTGCAAAAACCCTTCTCCCCAAATGAGTTCCCACTACAGTTCCAGGGTTGGGACACAGATGTGTGTTTATCAGGGCCACCAACCAGCCACCAGAGAGGCTTCGGGCCCAACCCCCGGGTACAGCGGGAGCCCAGCAGGGGCTCCTTAGTGGCAGGTAGTTCCCACCCTGCTGGAGTCATCGGCCTCTGCCGTTCTGATGCTGTCCTTTTTGGACAAGGGCTTATGCTCCTCCTCCCTCATTGTCTGTGTCAGAAGTGGCTTCTTGTGTCTCGTGCAGCCAAAGCACTCAGGCTGGCCTGGCCTGGCCTGGCCCCTCACCCTGCATCCTGAGCCTCAGTGAAGCCCCTCCCTCCCTCACCCCTGGGTTGCTCCCGGCCATACCAGCACTCCTGCTTCTCTCCCTACCTCGAAGCCTGTGCCAACCTAGCCCATTCCTCAGGCTCAGGGCCTCCTCCTCCAGGAAGCCCGCCCTGGCTGCACCTCCTCTGGGACACTACTCGGCACACCAAGTGTGTCAGCAAGGAGCCTGGAAGTTGCTGGAAGCCACCTCCCTGTTGGTGGCAGCTCTGCCCCAGGCTGAGGTCAGCTGGCAGTACCTCCCCCCAGCCCCTGAACGTAGGAGAGGAACAGCAATGCCAGAGAGGTCTGGGGGGAGTCCCTCTCCAGTGGCCAGGCTGTCCTGAGGCCTCCCAGGCCCCACTCTCTGGGACTCCCTGGGGTGAGGGGCCAGCATGAAGGGAAGATCCCAGAGTCAAATGGCCCAGTCTGGCATCCACACTGTCTCTTCCCAGTCAAGAGGCCTGGGCAGGTTCTTTTCTTTCTGTCTTTTTTTTTTTTTTTTTTTGACAGAGTTTTGCTCTGTCACCAAGGCTGGAGTGCAGTGGCGCGATCTCAGCTCATTACAAACTCTGCCTCCTGGGTTCAAGTGATTCTCACGTCTAGGCCTCCTGAGTAGCTACGATGACAGGCGCTGCCCCCACACCCTACTAGTTTTTGTATTTTTAGCAGAGACGGGTTTTCGCCATGTTGGCCAGGTTGGTCTCGAACTCCTGACCTCAGGTGATCCGCCCGCCTTGGCCTCCCAAAGTGCTGGGATTACAGGCATGAGCCACTGTGCCTGGCCGGTTCTTTTCTTTCTGACCCTCCGTTTATCTTTCTAGGAGGGTTAGGCTTTGGTGTGGACATGGAGACACGACCCAGAGCCCCCTCTGAAAGAGGACCTGCTGCCCCCATCCCTCAGCCTCAGCCTCAGCCTCAGCCTCAGCCTCGGAGGCCACCTTTGAGGTCACACCCCTCCCTGCATGGCAGAGCTGAGTGGGGTGGCAAGACCCAGCCATTTCAGAGGGTCTCCCGGCAGGGAGCCCTCCCCTGAGCCCCCCGCCACCTGCCCCCTGCCCCCCGGCTGGCCAAGGCCTGCATGAAGGTTCAGCTTCTCCCTCTGCCCGACGCTGCCTCCCTGGGCTGATCCAGCAGGTGTGGTCCCCAGTGCACCCCAAACTCCATCTCAGCTTCTGCTTCCAGGGAACCCACCAGGCGGGCCCCCCTTGGTGCATTGGTCCATTGTGTGTTTAGTGCCTACTGTGCACTGGGTGCTGCTTTAGGCCCGGGGGTGCAGCAGGAAGAAGATAGACAAGGCTTCCGGTCTGCTGGAGAATGAGCCCCGTGCTCCTAGGGTGGGGGAGGGGCCGCTTCGGGGGCCTCTTCGTTGCAGCAACAGACCCCAGCTCTGACCAGTTCAGGCAGAAAAGGAATTCACGGAGGGGTTTCTGGGGCGCTCTCAGAACCTCCTGTGGCCAGGAGGACCAGGCTGGGCCCCAAGACCATGCTGCAGAGGGGCCTCCAGGAGAGCCCACCACCACAGCCACGCCAGGCACCCTACCCCAGCCCCAACCACAGCCACACCGGGCACCCTACCCCAGCCCCAACCACAGCCACGCCGGGCACCCTACCCCAGTCCCAACCACAGCCACGCCGGGCACCCTACCCCAGTCCCAACCACAGCCACGCCGGGCACCCTACCCCAGTCCCAACCACAGCCACGCCGGGCACCCTACCCCAGCCCCAACCACAGCTACAGGAGCAGGCTCCGCGGCGGTGGCGTCAGCCCTCGGAACTCCCTGCAGCTCTCAGGAAGGGGCAGGCCAGGTGCGTTGTCCTGGAGCTGCCTGCCAGTTCCCCCTGCCTCGTTTGGTCTGGGCGTAGCTGCCCAAGGCCCTGCAGGGAATCAGCGAAGGCCCAGGTGACAGATTCCCTGCATCTGCAGGGGCAGAGCCAGTCCTGGCCCGAGGCCTGGAGTGAGGCCACCCCAGCCTGCCCTGGCTCTTGCCATGGCCCTGAGAGTTCCCTGGAGGAGCCCCAGCTGCCCTGGGTGGTGGCAGCTAAGGACAAGGCCATCCTGCCCACGGTCTCCCCGACCCCTGCCTCGACTTAGCTCCCTGGGCAGATGTGGCCAGAGCCCCCAGCCCCCGTATGGTGTCAGCGCCTGGCTGGGCAGGCCAAGCAGGGTCTCCTGGCAAAGGGGGCTCCAAGTGTGACTGAGGTGGGGTGTGCCGCTCTCATCCACTGCACCCCCAGGTGGCCTGGACCCAACCCGAAACTCAACAAGCAGCAGCCTGGCCGTGGTGCCTCAAGCCAGCCACTAGAGGGTGCAGTTGAGCTGTCAGCCTGCCTGGAGGGGCGAGGTGGTGGGGGTGAGTGTGCAGGCGTGTGTGTGTGTGTGTGTGTGTGTGCGCGCGCGCGCGCGCCTGTGTGTGGGCGTGTTGTGTGCATGTGTGCATATGTGTGCACTGTGTATATGTGCCATGTGTATGCGTGCATGTGTCCGTGTGTGTATATGTGTGCGTGTGCATGTGTGCCATGTATGCATATGTGTGCATGTTCATGTGTGCGGGGGGGTGTGCACCTGTGTGTGGGCGTGTTGTGTGCATGTGTGCACTGTGCATATGTGCTGTGTGTGTGCATGCATATGTCTGCATGCATGTGTGTGTGCCATGTATGCATATGTGTGCATGTTTATGTGGGGGGGTGTGCATGTTGCTGTGCATGTATATATGGGTGCATGTGTGCCTGTGTGTGTGAATGACTCAGGGCCTCGGGGCCTGAGATTGCTGCTTCTGATCCACAAACCCTGCAGGGGGCCATGCGAGAGCCTGGGCTGGGAGCAGGAGCTGGCCTACAGGGGTGGGGGATGCCTGGAGCTCTAAGGACCCTGATAGCTCAGGCCAGCACCTCCAGAGAGGGGCACTGGAAATGGGCCGTAAAGGATGACTAAGAGTTCTCTAGGCAGCAGGAGGGAGGAGGTTGGAGGGCGGCACCGAGGCATTCTGACTCCCAGGCCCCTATGGGTGTGCTGGGAAACCCAGCTTGAAAAGCACAGCTCTGGTTCAACCCCCTGCAGCAGGAGACGCTCAGGTGCAGAGAGAGGAGTGGATGAGCATCTAGTCACTGGTCCTGCTCACTGAAAAAGCAGCATCAGGCCCCACACAGTCAGTCCCTGGGGACTCCAGGGTTCTCGGAACATGGTCCCCCACCCTGCCCACAAGGCCTCCCTCCGTTACTCTCCAGCAGCCCCGGAAAGGGACAGCCGCTGTAGGAGGGTCCTGGGGCTGCTGGAACAAGGCCCTGCAAACCAGGGTTCTTAAAACAATAGAAACGCATCCTCCCCTGTCTGGAGGCCAAAAACCCTAAGCCAAGGCCCTGGCTGGCTTGGCTGCTTTCAAGGCTCCGAAGGGGGGGTCTGTCCCAGCTTTCATGGCACTCCCTGGCCTGTGGTTGCATCACTCCAATCCCTGCCTCTGTCCTACGTGGCCTCTTCTCTGTGTCCTCTTCTCTTCTTATACAGATACCAGTCGTTGAATTCAGGGTCCACTCTAAATCCAGGATGATCTCATCTTGAGATTCTTAACTAATGATATTTGCAAAGAGTCTGCTTCCAAATAAAGCCACATTTGGAGGCTACAGGTAGACATGAGTTTTGGGGTCCCCTACTCAACTCACTGCACCCACGAAGAGGTTATAGGCATTCGCTAGGACAGGGCATGTCCTCGTCACCCTGCCCGGCCTCAACAGTCCCACCCTGTCCTTGCCCAGGGCAGGCCAAACCCATCTTCACCACACAAGTCTCCCATGAGCTTTGGCCTCAGCCTCTCAGCCAAGGTCTCAGGCCTCGTGACCTCAGAGGGGGGTCAGTTCCAAGTGTCCCGGCATGCAGAATGGGAATGGGATCGGGGGCCAGGGGGCAGGAAGGTGGCTACACCCCCACCCTCCAGGAGCCAAGGCATTGGGAGCTTGTGAAATGTGAGTGATCCCAAGGTTAATTAATTATTACATTAAAAATGCGCCCGTTAAGGGGCCCCGCAAACAGGAAAGTATTAATCACCCATTTCCTCAGACTGACAAGTGCATTTCCCTAAATTCCTTGGCTGCTGACTTAACCAAATGATAATCTCCCTGCTGCTGCCATTTCCCATGAAGTCACAGCTCATGAATATTCTAGCATCACAATTTGCTCTTTAAAAGGACGGACTTATTATTTCATTTTTAAGTTTGCTGTCATGAATAGTAATTTTCCAGCCCCTAAATAATGAAATGGCGGTGACCACTCTGGCCAGCCGGGACCCAGGAACTCAATGACACAACGGGGCTAGTCCCTGCCATGTGGGGGACGGGGGATGCCAGGTCGCCCTGCACCAGTTCCCAACTGCAGTCAGCCCATGGAAATAGCAGTTAATGGGTGGCCCTCCGCTTGGCACTTAACGGTTTATAAGCTGGTCCCCCTCCAGTTCCTATGTCTTTGCAGCCACTCTGTTCATTGGGCCACAGCAGTTTTGCCATAGGTAACTGAGGTTGGGAAGCACAGCCATGGAGTCAGACAGATGCCAAGTTCAAATCCTGACACTGCTGTTTGCCTGCTGTGTGATCTTGGGCAATCACTTAACTTCTCTGGGCCTTGATGTCCTCATCTGTACAATGGCATTGCAAACCAGGATTGGACCCCACACTCACCCAGTGCCAGGGCTGGTGTTTCTTCACCCTCTCTGCTGCCTCAGATCTAGAGAGACCAAGGACCAGGCCCCACTGGCCTGAAGTTTAGATCTTCTATTTTGATGGAACAGAAATGATGGCACCAAGGGCTGGACTGAGGAACAGCCACTACAGCTTCCCTGGGAGCAGCTTCCCAGGGTGGTTTCTATTACTTAATGCAATTCCAGGCTCTCCCAAGTGCCCAGGAAGCCGTGGCAGCTCACTGCACACATGTTTAAGTGGAAAATCCGATTTCACAACTCCTTTCCATAATTGTTCATGTGAGTAGGAGCTCCTCTTGATGCCCCCTTTCCAGAGATGGGTGGTGGCAAGTGGGAAGGGCCCTCCTCATGCCGTCCCTCCTCTGGGACTTGGCACCATCACCATGGCTGGCCTCCTTGTGCCCCGGCTGTTGCCAGAGGGAGCTTCCCTCCTGAAACCCCAAAGGGTCCCACCATGTCAGCCTCTCAGGATGGGAGCACCACCCCAGCTGGCCCCCAAGAAGACCGGCTCCGGGCCGCTCTGGGCTTCCATGCTTTTTGCACCCACAAAGCTTCTCCCCAGGCATCTACAGCCCAGCCCCTTCAGCCTGGCCCTCTCCCCTTCCCCCATCACCTGGCAGGAAGCCCCCACCAGGCTGGAGTTAGGACCCCCATGTCGTGGTCCCCCACATGCAGGTCCTCTGGGATCAGCGCATTGAGCACCCCAGATCCCCTTGTCTACCTCTGCCCTTTCTTGCCCTTGACAGAACAAGTCCAGGTCTTACCATTTCCCACACTGCGCTTGCCTGGGTGCAGGTAACAGCTCTGTCTGCATTTGCGCTGGATTTCTCTGAGTGAGTGAATGAATGAATGAACTCCTATCGGAGGGGCCAGCGATGCAAATTTCCCCTGAAAATGATAAACTGTTTATGGAGGGTGAGCCACTCACAGATGGCTCTGTGAATTATATTTTAATTTGCATGGCCTCCATCACAACTCACTTTTCAGAGCAATGGTAAGAAATGTGACTTCGATGGTAGGGACCCACAGGGCGACTCCCAGCAACCAGGGTATTGTCATGCAGGTCCCGGGGTTGGAGTAAACCTCCAGCATGCAATTAGTTGACAGCACTGTGTGAAAGTAAAGCATCGGCAACCCTTGGGTGAACGCTGTTGACTCAGGACCAGGGTTTTACTGTAACCAGATGTCTTTACCATCCCCGGGAATCATGTCACAGCGTCTGAGCGGGCCTACTTTCCGGAAGTCTGCGTGCTCTGGGCTGAAATGGCATTCGTGGAACTTGCAGTAATTTGTCACAGGGGCCTGGGGTGGAGGATGCTGGGGGGCAGGGCTGTCTCACACGAGTGATGTTTGGCGTCCTAGTTCCCGGGCACTAAACGCCAATAGGGCAACTCCTTGCCTCCCTGTGACAAGAACAACAACAGACTCTCCTGGAGGGGAGGGGATGACATCACCCCAGCTGAGAATTTGGTACCAGGGGGTTGCAGGCCAGGGGCACTCAAGAAAAGAAAAGAAACCGGAGCTTCTGTCCTCCCTGTGCTGGCTTCGCCTGGGCCCTTCCTGCTCTGGCTAGGCTGGGAAACCCTGGGCCCCAGAAAGCCCTCGTGGGGTGGGGTTAAGGGGCCCAGAGAGGGCAGGAGCTTTCTCAAGGCCATGGGGGTGGGCAGTGCAGAGAAGGGTGGGACCTGGGCCTCCGAAGCCCCTTCTGGGGCACTGTTGCCTGCTGGGACCTTTCACTGCATCCCTCCCTCTCTTCTGGGCCGGGGCACCCCTCAAGTGCACAGCCTCCACGAGGAACATCCGCCTGGCCAGGGGAGTGCTACGAGCATCAGGCCAGAGGGGCGGGGTTCTGGGAAGTCTCCCCAAGCACCTTCCCTGCTTCAGCCAGAGGAAAAGAGCAGGCAGGGAGCCCACAGAGGCTGCTAGGACCTCCTGCTCCTGCACCCAGGTCCAGAGGCACCGCCCAGGCAATCCAGGTGTGGTGGTGTCCCTCTCCAAGGTGCTGAAACGCCCCTATGCACCCAGGTCTAGAGGCACCGCCCAGGCAATCCAGGTGTGGCGGTGTCCCTCTCCAAGGTGCTGAAACGCCCCTAGCCTGGCCACGCTCCAGGCTGGAGTCCTTTCAGCCACAGGCCGCTATGAATTCCTGTCTCACCAACACTCCCCGGACACGCCAGGGCCCTTCACCAACACTCCTCACCATCCACATCTTTTTATTTAAAAATTCTAGTAAAATACGCATAACATAAAATTTACCATTTTAACCAGTTTTTAAGTGTGTAGTTCATTTATTTATTTACCTACTTTTTTTTTTTTTTTTAGATGGAGTCTCACTCTGTAGCCCAGGCTGGAGTGCAGTGGTGGGATCTCGGCTCACTGCAACCTCCGCCTCCTGGGTTCAAGCGAAATTCTGTCCCCATTAACACTGACTCTCCATTCCTCCCAGCCCCTGGCACCCACCTTTCTACTTTCTGTCTGTATGCAATTGATTACTCTAGGGACCTTATATAAGTGGAAGCATATAGTGTTTGTTCTTTTGCAGCTGGTTCATGTCACTTAGCACAATGTCCTCAAGGTTCATCATCCACATTGTAGCCTGTGTCAGAATTTCCTTCTTTTTTTTTTTTTTTTTTTTTTTGTTGGTGGAGTCTCACTTTGTCGCCCAGGCTGGAGTGCAGTGGCACGATCTCGGCTCACTGTAACTTCCGCCTCCCGGGTTCAAGTGATTCTCCTGCCTAGGCCTTCTGAGTAGCTGGGATTACAGGCGTGCGCCACCATGCCTAGCTAATTTTTGTATTTTCAGTAGAGACGGGGTTTCACCATGTTAGCCAGGCTGGTCTCAAACTCCTGACCTCGTGATCCACCTGCCTCAGCCTCCCAAAGTGCTGGGATTACAGGCATGAGCCACGCGCCCAGCCAATGTCCTTCCCTTTTAAGGCTGAGTAATATTCCATTGTATGAGTGGACCACACTGGTTTATCCATTTATTTATTGATGGACACCTGGGTTGCTTCCATCTCTTGGCTATTGTGGCTGCTGCTATGAACATAAGTGTGCAAATATTTCTTCGTGTCCCTGATTTCAGTTCTTTTGGGTGTAGACCCAGCAGTGGAGCTGCTGGACCGTACGGTAATTCTATCTTGAATTTTGTTGTTGTTGTTGTTACTTTCTGGTTTGGGTCGTGCACCGTCTTAACTGGTGCGTCATCACCTTCTTTTCTGACTGTGTTTTGCTTTGCTTCGCTTTGGGTTTTTGCAGAGGGAGCTGCTACAGGCAGGCAAGATGGTGGTGGAGAGCACAGTTTTGGAGCCAAATAGAGCTGGACCCAAAGCGTTGCCTCACCGCTCAGCCACACGTGACCTGAGACCGTCCTCAGAGGGAAGGAGGAAATGCATGTGGGGTGTGGAGCAGAGTGCAGAAGGAAACACAGGGCAGCTGTTTTCATCATCCTCGTGGCAGGCAGGACTTTGTGTTGAAGGGAGGACTTTAACACGGAGGGCTGTGCACACAGGTGACTGTCCCACCTGGCTCACTCAGGGGAGGCAGTGGCTGCTGCCTGCAGAGGCTCCTCTTTTTCTCACCCACTTGTCAGCTAAGCCGCAGGAGGCCCACCGTCTGCGGTGATGACCTAATGCTTCCAGTTCTGTGATAATGGCCTCTGAAGATGCACAAAATAGCTGATGTTTGGGCACCCCCGATGCAGGAAGCATTCGGCACCATTTCTGGGAACACGAGACATTTAAGTGACTTCCTTGCTGAATATTTCATGATTTACATTAATGGCTTTCTGGTGTTTTTCATAACAAAACTGTCCACATGATGATGGGTTAAAGTGTGGTTATTCCACCCACTCTCGCTGTAAAACACCATTCCCCAGCGCCAGTCCCTGCAGTCCCCCTGCTGGCCTTGTCTCCCTGAGGGCCCCCCTCCTCCTCAACGAGGCTCCCTTCCTCTGGGACAGGTGTTACCCATGCATCCAGCAGGCACCTGCATGCAGTAGCGGCTCCGACATGGGGATGGAGGCATTTGTGACAGCTCCGTGCCACAAGGGAGGGCCAAGGCCAGGGACCTGCCACACCAGCCGGCCTGCAAAGTGGCCTGGGGTCTGGGGCTGGAGGGACCCTCCCAAGCCCTGGTCCAGATGTCCCAGTTTTTGAAGCGCATGACTTGCACATATCATGACCTTGATGGGTTTGTTTGTGTTTGTTTGTTTGCTTGTTGGTTTGTTTGCGTTTGTTTGTTTGCTTGTTTGTTTGCTTTTTGAGACGGAGTCTCACTCTGTCGCCAGGCTGGAGTGCAATGGCGCCATCTAGCTCACTGCAAACTCTGCCTCCCAGGTTAAAGCAATTCTCCTGCCTCGGCCTCCCAAGTAGCTGGGATTATAGGCGCACGTCACCATGCCTGGCTAATTTTTGTATTTTTAGTAGAGACAAGGTTTCGTCATGTTGGCCATGATGGTCTCGAACTCCTGACCTCAGGTGATCTGCCCTCCCGTCCTTTGCTTCCCAAAGTGCTGGGATTACAGGCGTGAGCCTGGCCTAATGTTTGTATTTTTAGTAGAGACTCGGTTTCACCATGTTGGCCAGGCTGGTCTCAAACTCCTGACCTCAGGTGATCCGCCCACTTTGGCCTCCCAAAGTGCTGGGATTACAGGTGTGAGCCACCGCACCCGGCCAACCGTGACGATTTTGAGAATTGCTGCTCGGGTGTTTGTCGGGCGTCCATCAGTTGGGCTCCGTCTTTGGTGTTCCTCATGGTTGGACTGGGTGATGGGTTTGGACTGGGTGATGGATGTGTCATGGAGGTGACACACCCTTCCACCACACCGCATCGGGGGACACCGCCAGCACGGCCTTCACTACCAGTGTTGACCTCGGTCACCTGGCCGAGGAGGGTTTGCTGGTATTTGCTCTGTCATCAGTGACCCCCTGCCCCGCAATACTGTCGTCTCTGGAAGATGCCACTAAGAACAGGCCACACTTCAGGGGTGGGGACTCAGGTCCATCTCCTTCGGGGGTATCTACATACGTTATTTGGAATTCTGCATGAGAGACGCATCCATTATCTCCCACTACTTGCTTATTTAATCTTTAATTTACAGCAGAACGGACGCATGTGTCCTTGTTACACGGTGGGTTGTGACCTGGGGTTATGCTATTTTGTCACTCAAGTTGTCCCAGCATTGGCCACTGGGAGCTCTTTCAGGTTGGCTCCCGGGTCCCGTTGACATATCCCCATCTGTTTTTCCCTCCAAGAAATTTTTAAATACACATTTCTAAAATTTTTAATTGTGGTGAAGAGCACATAACATGAAATTTACCATTTTTTTTTGAGGTGCAGTCTCACTCTGTTGCTCATGCTGGAGTGCAGTGGTGTGATCTCAGCTCACCGCAACCTCCACCTCCCGGGTTCAAGCGATTCTCCTGCCTCAGCCTCCTGAGTAGCTGGGATTACAGGCGCCTGCCACCATGCCCAGCTAATTTTTGTATTCTTAGTAGAGATGGGGTTTCACCAGGTTGGCCAAGCTGGTCTCGAACTCCTGACCTCAGGTGATCTGCCCGCCTCGGCCTCCTGAGTAGCTGGGATTACAGGCGCCTGCCACCATGCCCAGCTAATTTTTGTATTCTTAGTAGAGATGGGGTTTCACCAGGTTGGCCAAGCTGGTCTCGAACTCCTGACCTCAGGTGATCTGCCCGCCTCGGCCTCCCAAAGCGCTGGGTTTACAGGCTTGAGCCACCACACTCAGCCCATCTTCACCATTCTCAGGCACACACTTCAGCGGCATTAAGCACACTCACACTGCTGTGCGAGCATCCCCATCGTCCATCTCCAGAACTTCCCATCTTGCAAAACGAAAACTCTGTCCCCATTAAACACTAACTCCCTGTTCCCACTTCCTGGCCCCTGGCACCCGGCATTCTACTTTCTGTCGCTAGGGGCTTGATGACCCTAGGGACCTCAAATACAGTATTTGTCCTCTTGACAGGCTCCTTTCCCTTAGCGTAATGTCTTCCAGGTTCATCCATGGACCTCGGAGTATTGTGTAGGCTGGAGTGTGTGCCAGAATTTCCTACCTTTTTAAAGCTGAATGCCCCCCACGAATTCTTAAATAGCGTGATAATAAGAAATATCTATTCCATCTTTGTCCAGGATTCCTGGCACAGACTCCTAAAACCCTTGGAATCCCTGAGTGACAAGCTTGCCTTTGGGATGCCGATGAGATGGCTGGTGGCTGGGAGCCCCTAGACAGCTTCAGGGTGGGGGTGGTATCCTGAAGGACCAACCACTGGTTAGAGAGTTGGAATCTTCAACCCTACCCCCTGACCCTGGGGAGGGGGAAGGGGCTTGAGGTTGAGTCAGTGCCTAGTGGTTGATGGTTTGGTCAGTCATGCCTATTTAATAGAACCCCCATAAAGGCCCCTAAATGATGGGGTCCAGGGAGCTTCCGAACTGATGAGCACATCCGGGTGCTAGGAACGCGTGCCCAGGGAGGACCCGGAGGCCCTGGCCACCCCACACCTCACCCTGGACATCTCTTCCATCTGGCTGTTCTGGAGCTGATCCTCTGTAATAAACTGGTAGCAGTAAGTAAACTGTTTCCTGAGTTTTGTGAGTCATTCTAGCAAATGAGGAGGAGGTTGTGGGAACCCTCGATTTATAGCCGGTCGGTCAGAAGCAGCGGTGGCCCCAACGGGGGACTGGCAGCTGAGGTGGGGGCAGTCCTGTGGGACTGAGCCTGCCTTTGGGGTCTGCGCAAACTCTGGGTAGTTGGTGTCGGCATTGAACTGAGTTGTTAAACACCCCGTTTGTGTCTACAGAGGCCTGGAGAATTGGTTGGTGTCGAAAATCCACACATTTGGTGTCAGGGTGTGGTGGTGTACAAACACCCCTGAAGCCCTTTTATGGAGCACCCCAGAGTCTGCTAGTTCCCGGGAAGTCACCGCTAGAGAGGCAGAGGGAGGCAGAGGGAGGCAGATGCAGGCACAGGGGCTTCCTACCCAACCCCCGCTCCCCTCTGCGGCCAGCTGGGCCGGGAGGGCGAGGTCCTCCTTGGCTGGAGCATTTCTCTGCACGCAGCTGTCGTCAGTTCAGTACGACATCACTGAGAGCTGGGAGAACCTGGGCCCCGGGAGGAAGAGGGGTCGCAGAGGGATCTTGCACCTTCTCCCTGGTGCAGGGTGGGGTGGTGGGCAAAGGTGGGACACAGCGGTGGGGAAACCACCCAGCCAGGGCCCAGGTCACAGGCTCTGGGGCCTCCGTCCCAGCCTCGGGCCCCTCTCACTCTGCAGTGGGTTGGCGTCCAGCCCCCATGGTGCCTTGGAGCCTCTGAATATTCCATAAGTCAAGTTGTAAAATCATAAAAACCAGAACTATCCGTGCAGTGCAGGCTGGACTCGAAGAACACAAAATTCACCCTTTCATGGAACGCATAGCCTTTCTGCAGAGTCCTCACATGTGCCGGCTGCTGGCCCTTCTCAGAAAGCATTTGCTAACTACCTGAGAGGAGCCCTGGGACACCCCCATCCCCCTAGGGACCCCCCCAGACCTCCACCCCCAGCAGCCCTGGGACACCCCCCTAGACCTCCACCCCCAGCAGCCCTGGGACACCCCCCAAGACCTCCACCCCCAGCAGCCCTGGGACACCCACCTAGACCTCCGCCCCCAGCAGCCCTGGGACACCCCCCAAGACCTCCACCCCCAGCAGCCCTGGGACACCCCCCTAGACCTCCACCCCCAGCAGCCCTGGGACAGCCCCCTAGACCTCCACCCCCAGCAGCCCTGGGACAGCCCCCTAGACCTCCACCCCCAGCAGCCCTGGGACACTCCCCTAGACCTCCACCCCCAGCAGCCCTGGGACACTCCCCTAGACCTCCACCCCCAGCAGCCCTGGGACACCCCTAGACCCCCCCACCAGCAGCCCTGGGACACCCCCATTCCCCCTCAGCAGCCCTGGGATGCCCCCTTAAACCTCCACCCTCAGCAGCTCTGGGACACCCCCAGACCACCCCAGCCAGCAGCCCTGGGACACCCCCCTAGACCTCCACCTTCAGCAGCCCTGGGACACCCTGCCTGGCACACCCCCCCCAGAACCCCTCAGCAGCCCTGGGACACCCCCTATCCCCCTCTCAGCAGCCCTAGGACACCCCCCACCCACCCTCCTCAGCAGCCCTGGACACCCCCATCCCCCATCTCAGCAGCCCTGGACACCCTCCATCCCCTCTTCAGCAGCCCTGCCTGGCACACCCCCCAGAACCTTCAGCAGCCCTAGGACACTCCCCATCCCCCACCATCCCCCCTGCAGCAGCCCTGGGACAGCCCCCATCCCCCCCACAGCAGCCCTGGACACCCCCCATCCCCTCCTCAGCAGCCCTGGGACACCCTCCATCTTCCCCTCAGCAGCCCTGGGACACCCTCAATCCCCCCCAGCAGCCCTGGGACAGCCCCCACCTACCCTCCTCAGCAGCCCTGGGACACCCTCCATCTTCCCCTCAGCAGCCCTGGGACACCCTCCATCCCCGCCTCAGCAGCCCTGGGACAGCCTCTATCCCCTCCTCAGCAGCCCTGAGGCAGCCCCCAATCCCCTGCTCAGTAGCCCTGGGACAGCCCCCATCCCCCCCCCTCAGTAGCCCTGGACACCCTATTAGGGCCCCAGCTTCTCTACCTCCCCAGGGGCTCTCCTCTCAGACCCAGGAGGGCCTGGGGGTAAGTCCAGGTGTTGGGCCTCCCCGGTGTCTACCTCACTCTCTGTGCTTCTCCAGGCATCAGCCCCTCTGCAGGGACAGGGGACAGGAACCAGCGGAGACGGAACCCCGGGCCGGGGAGTCAGTTCCCCATCCCAATGCGCTGGGCTCTGGGGGCAAACTGCTGTCTCCACCTGGACTCCATCTCCTGTCTGTCAACCAGGACTAGCACTTTGCGGGCTTCCAACTCCAGACTGGCACCGGCTTGCAGTTGTCAGGACAGACACCTCCGAGCCTGAGGGCAGAGGCTCCGGGTGGCTCTGGGTGGGGCGTGACCAGCAGCTCTGACAGCAGAGGTGCATGGGGCAGGGTGTGGCAGCTGGGGTACCTGCCACATGTCACTGAACTCTACCAGAGGGAGGCCAGGAAGCCCAGACACCAGAACCACCACAGAGCCCTTTGAAGGCATGACAATCGGGGAGGAAAATGAGTCCCCAGACACAGGGGCAGAGCCGAGCTGCCGGAAACCAGCAACAGCAGCATGGCCAGGGAGGCTGCCAGCCAAGCCCAGGAAACAGGACCGGGTTGGGGCAGCAGCCAGGCAGAGAGCCTGGGCCCCTCCCAGGGCCCTCACCCGACTGCCCCCGGGGACGCGGCTGCAGGGAGGAGGAGAGGGGGTGGCCTTCCTTCCTCAGCCAGACCCTGCCAGAGCCTCCCCCACCCCCTTCCCCTGGACCCCGTCCCCTCCTCTCTCCCACCAGAAGGCTGGCCTGGCACAACGACACCATTTAATTGTTGGAAACGGGAGCGTGGAATATGAACCACGAGGACACTGGATTTCAATCTGGCTTCAGGATCCAGGCACACAGCGTTTTGAGCCCGGTCCCCATCTGTGGCATGGGCCTCCTGCTAGGGCGTCTGGGAGAACCTAGACCCTGGGGGCCAGCAGGGACTCAGCTGCAGGCGGTGGTGGCCTGTCCCAACCTTGGGCTATGTGGAGGGCAGTCCTGGGTCTGCAGACCACCCCAGGCAGGGGTAGACATACCTGCCCTTCCTCCAGGGACACCCAGGGAGGCCCGGCACCCAGGGAACACCCATGGCTGAACCAGCACAGCCGGAGCCTCCCAGCAGGCAATGCAGGACCACGGCCCTCACTGCCTCCTCCTCTGGCCCCAAAGCCCAGCTAGTGATGGGGGTCATCCCCATCTCCATCTCCACGGCCGGCCCCCGTGCTGAGTTCACGGCCAGCCCCCGTGCTGAGGCCATGCAGGTCCCTGTGCTGAGTCCACAGCCGTCCCCCGTCCTGAGGCCACCCAGGCCTGGCCCAGGAGGGTGGACATTTCCTTTGTGTTTTTTTTGAGACGGAGTCTTGTTCTGTTGCCCAGGCTGGAGTGCAGTGGCGCGATCCCTCACTGCAACCTCTGCCTCCCGGGTTCAAGCGATTCTCCTGCCTCAGCCTCCAGAGTAGCTGGGATTACAGTCGCCCGCCACCACACCTGGCTAATATTTTTTGTATTTTTAGTAGAGATGGGGTTTCGCTGTTGGCCAGGCTGGCCTCCAACTCCTGGCCTCAAGTGATCTGCCTGCCCAGGCTCCCAAAGTGCTGGGATTATAGGGGTGAGCCCCCGTGTCAGGCCAGGGTGGGTGTTTCCATCTACGTTTGTGGGTGAGGACTGTCCCGGTCACACAGTCCCTGTGTCATGGAGGCAGGACACGCACCTGGGTCCCGCACCCCTCTTTAGACAGCATATGGGGCAACCCAGCAAGGCTGGGAAGAGGAGTGGGCTGCAGACTCGGGGAGAGTGCTGGGGGGGGGTTCCCTAGAGCTGTGGGTGGCCTCACTCCCACAGTGGCTGCAGCACCTGCCCACCTGGCTGTGCCGGCCACTGGGACCCCACCTCTGGCTGGCAGCACAAGCTCTAGGTAGTCACCACTCCTGCTAAGAGATGGGGAAACTGAGGCACAGAGAAGGCTGGTGACTGGCTGCGCTGGGTGGTTCCTGGAAATTAATCGGCTCCCTCCTCCCACCTCTACCCCTATCCCCATCCCTCCAGCAAGACCAGAACTTCCCAGAGGAGCAGGGTCTGAGAGGTGCCCCCTCAGTCAGCTGACTTTGCTGTGCAGGGCCCCCCAGCACAGTTTTGGGGCTCAGGTTGGGGGTGGTCCCTGAGCCTAGTGCCTCATTCCCATTCCTCCTCTGGCCTCTCCCCTCCCCCCATGGCCAGGCTGGCATCAGCGGCCTGGGCACCATGGCTAGGCCTGGACACACGAGCTGCATTCAGATCTGGTCCCTGACGAGGAGGCGGCGGGAACACAGCGTTCTCTTGGTGCCTGGCCAGACAGCCTGGCCCCTACCCTCCTCCGCTCAGGCACTTTCAGCAGTGGCAGCGGAGTCTCAGGCCCTGCCCACTCCCAGACACACACTGTCTGCAGCCCAGGGCCCGTGGGTGCCCCCTGCCAGGCTGAGGGACAGTGACACAGGTGAGGGAGGTAATGGGGGAGCCCTGCTGCCCTGGGAGAGGGGACGAGGACCCCACAGGGGCCAGGCCTGGCCACCACTCGCCCCAGGCTGGGAAACCAGGACATGACCCTCCCCCACCCTGCTCGCAGGTTGTCGCAGGACACGTGTTCGTGTCCAGGTGCGCTGGGAAGGGTCCTGGCGGTGCTCCTCTCAGCGCAGGTCCCGAGGAGCTACAGGCATGACGCTGCCTTCAGAACTCCCCCGAGCCTGCTCCTTCCCAGCCTTGGCTCGTGAGGCTCCTCCGAGGACCACGGGCCTTCCACGGCGTAGCCCTGCCACGAAGCCTCCCCATGTCTTGCCTCCAGCATCACCTGGCCGAGACGGACCTAGGGCGTCCTTCTCCAGCATCATCTGGCCGAGACGGACCTAGGGCGTCCTTCTCCAGCATCACCTGGCCGAGACGGGCCTAGGGCGTCCTTCTCCAGCATCACCTGGCCGAGACGGGCCTAGGGCGTCCTTCTCCAGCATCACCTGGCCGAGACGGGCCTAGGGCGTCCTTCTCCAGCATCACCTGGCCGAGACGGGCCTAGGGCGTCCTTCTCCAGCATCACCTGGCCGAGACGGGCCTAGGGCGTCCTTCTCCAGCATCACCTGGCCGAGACGGGCCTAGGGCGTCCTTCTCCAGCATCACCTGGCCGAGACGGGCCTAGGGCGTCCTTCTCCAGCATCACCTGGCCGAGACGGGCCTAGGGCGTCCTTCTCCAGCATCACCTGGCCGAGACGGGCCTAGGGCGTCCTTCTCCAGCATCACCTGGCCGAGACGGGCCTAGGGCGTCCTTCTCCAGCATCACCTGGCCGAGACGGGCCTAGGGCGTCCTTCTCCAGCATCACCTGGCCGAGACGGACCTAGGGCGTGCTTCTAGGGCCAAGGTCATGGCCACATAGCCCCCAGCCAGGAGAGATGACGCCCCCTCCCAGAGGCCAGCAAGGTGGACATGGAGACCCCACTCTTTGGAGGAGAAAACAGTGGTGGACGAGGGGCAGAGCTCGTCCAGGGTCACCAAACCTAGGACGCCAGAGTCAGGATCTGACCCACCTCTCCAGCAGGTGCCTGACCATGGGTTCAGCTGTCCCACCTCTGTGAGGATTCAGGGAGCAGGAGGAGAGAGCCCCTGAAGTGAGGAAACAGTGGGGCCTTGTCATTGAAAGGGCAGGCAGGTGGTGAGAGCCAGAGATGGGAGCATGGCCTGGACTGGCCAGGAAGCGATAGGCCAGGGGAGTGGAGGTAACGGGGCCCACAGATAACAGGGCATCTTCTCCAGGGCCTCATTCAGTCTCAGACCAAGTTTATATGTCATTTCTCCTATTGACAATTGATCAGCCACCCAGGGATGCCTCAGGGCCACTAACGCGGATGGCCATCAGCCAGGAGGAGCGGTCCCGGGCAGGGCCACCAGCACGGATGGCCATCAGCCGGGAGGAGCTGGGGATCCTGGGGGTCTGCACTATTGTGCTGTCATCTCAGAGCCGGAGCAGCCAGGGAAGGGAACGGAAAGATATTTGGGGGCACAGCTGGCTGCCACCACCTGCTAAGGTGGGTCTACGGCCGGGGCAGGAAAGAGAATGTTCCAGCAAGAAGCAGAACCCCACTGATGGCCGCAGCCTGCCCCCTCACCCACCTGTCCCCCATCTCGGTGAGGATAGCAGGCATGTTCTGCCACCTTGTTCCTGCCTCCGTCCCGGCTGACCCTGCCCCCTGCTGTAGGCTGGCCCAACGTCACACCTGGTAGCCTCTTGCTGCTCCGTGGCCTCTGAGGCCCCAGGCACACGCTGGGTCCTGTCCAGCCCTCCCCTCTCCTGCACTCCAAGGGACCCCTCCAGGGGACCCCTCCTTGCCCAGCAGCCGAGGGGGCTGCGTTTCCCAGCTTGTGCCCAAGAGTGGCGCCCGCGTAGTAATTCCTAATTAAATAGAGCACAAAACAGGGGATTGTCTAGCGATTAGCCAAACCGACTGGATTTTGAAGAACAAATATCCCGTTAGCACTACTTCTGCCGAGTCCACATGGCCATGAAGCAGAGACATACGGGAGCTCGGTAATGAATATGGAAACCTTCTTTTCTGGTGTTGCTCACTCATAAATGAAGCTGCTTTATGGAGCACGAGCAGAGGGAAAATGACTGCGCCCAGCCTGATTTATCTGCTCAGACGCTTTGTAGTGCTTCAGATTAATAAAAATATTTAATAAAGAATCAAGATGGTTTATCTGTAATGCAAAGAGAATCACATTGCCTATATTTTTATTACAGAAAAATTGGAAGCAGGAAGAAATAATGATATAAGCTACTGTATAAATGACAAAAATACCCATTCTGGTTATGTGCTTTGCGCTACAATCCCGCGCCGCCCTATAAACATAATCTATTCGCGTGCCTCTTTCAGCTGATTCCAGAGCCTGCTCTGCACTGTGGAGTTTAATATCACCCTGTTCTCAACTGCACAGGGAAGTGATTAAATAAGAAATAAATTCGGCTGTCATTGCATTTAAAATCAAATCAAGGATCATTTGTTACTCCAAATGAAGCAGTTCTCCTTCCCTGCCCGTAAGTAGGCTGCTGTTCGCTGAACCATTTAGGAATGTATATATAGTAAACTCGCCGCATAATGCCTTGTACTCTGATATGATCTTTATGGGGCCGCTCCGAGCGCGGGGAGCGCCCATAAGCAGCACATGGCTTTTTTAATTTGAAGTTACAGGTATGAGACTTCGCAGTCCATCCAAGTCTTATTGGAGGGGACCCATGTGAGATGTGGGGGCCACTGCCCAGGACCCCTCCCCCTGCACCCCTGCTCAGCTACAACCAGCCCTCCTGTCCTCAGAGGAGGACAGGGGAGGGGAAGGAGCTAAGTCAGGTCCTCAGCGATGCACCCCTAACCCCAACCCTACCCTAAAGGGCAGGAGGGGCTGGGAAGCCGCTAAGAGGCGGGAACTGGAGGAGAGGGCTCTGCTGGGCTCCGTAGTGGGTGGGGAGTGCCGGGCGATGGGATGGCACAACGGGCCCCATCCTGTGCATCCTCCTCACCTAGAGTTACCGTCTCCAGGCTCAAGCGCCCCCCATGCCTGGCAGTGGCCGAGAAACACAGAGGGGCTGGAGGGGACAAGGAAGCGGAGCAAGTCGACTTGGGGAAACGCCTGGAGGGCATCGTGGGCAGCTGTATGAGGGGCCAGCCCAGTTGCTGGGCTAGCTTGAGGGCGGCAAGCAGCTGTCCCGTCATGCCCGTGTCCCCATCCTGTGGCTGCAGCATAAAAGCCCACAGCCTGGAGGGCTTAACTCAACAGACGCTTGTCCTCTCATTCTAGAGGCCGGATGCCCAAAATCAGGAACAGCCAGGCTCCTTCTGAGGCCCCTTCGGTCCTCCTGGTGCCGCCCACCCTTGGGTCCCGGGTTCTGTGGCTGCAGGTCTCTGCCCTGAGTGCCTGCGTCTCTAACTCCCCTTCCTGTAAGGACGGTTTGTGGGGGCACACTGGATGAGGGGCCCCCCACTCCAAGATGGGCTCATCTAAACCAATCGCTTCTGCAATGACTCCATTCCCAAATAAGGTCCCCTGCGGAGGTTCTGGGGGTTGGGACTTGGACGTATCTTTTTGGGAGGACACAGTTCAGCCCGTGGCAGTCACCCTCACACGGGTCTTATCTGTTCTTATCCGGCATCCATGGGTTGGAGAGAGGCGGAGTGACGGATTAGTGCATTTCCTGAAACTTTAAACCTTTAAATGCTAAAGCCAGCCGGGCGCGGGGCTCAAGGCTGTAATCCCAGCACTTTGGGAGGCTGAGGCGGGCAGATCACATGATGTAAGGAGTTCGAGACCAGCCTGACCAGCATGTTGAAACCCCCTTTCTACTAAAAATACAAAAATTAGTCGAGCCTAGTGGCATGTGCCTGTAATCCCAGCTACTCAGGAGGCTGAGGCAGGAGAATCGCTTGAACCTGGGAGGCAGAAGTTGTAGTGAGCCAAGACTGTGCCACTGCACTCCAGCCTGGGTGACAGAGTGAGACTCCTTGTCTCAATAATAAATAAATAAATAAATAAATAAATAAATAAATAAATAAATAAATAAATGCTAAAGCCTATTAGGCTATTTTTTGTTGGAAAGTCTCCTAAAATTCACCTCCTAGTGTCCCGCCTTATCTGGGAGAGCCTGGGAATCAGGCGGGGAGAGCTTCCTGGAGGTGGTGTCGGCCTCCTCTCCCTGCCTTTTTCCCCCTTCTACCAGAAGGAAGGCCATAAGCCGCCACCCGCCACTGGGCCCTGGCCTGGCCCTTCTGGCCAGGGCTCCCATACCCGCCATTGTGTCCTGGGCATGCGGCCTTGCTGACGCTGTCTCCTCCCCCAGCTGCTGAACACGGGTGGGTCAGTCTCCAAGCTTCAAGCTTCTTGACCCCTGTGAAGCGCTCTGCTCACGTGTTGGTTGGGACTCGGGTGAACACGAGGCAGCGGAGGCAATCAGAAAGGACGCGCTGAGGGCTGCGCTTACCCCCATCTCTCTTTCCCTGGGGTAGGCCCCTTCCTCCTGCTCCTCCTGAATGCTGGCACCTGCGCAGCCCTCTGCCATGACTCCAGAGCCAACCCATGCTCACAACCTCCACGTGCTGCCCCCAGCTGGCCTGGGCACTCGGCCTCCCCCTCTCCTAGGTCCAGAGAACGGGTCTGAAAGCCTGTGGGGGCCAACAGCAGCGGCCTGTTCCCCAACCTGCACCTCCAGCCCAGGCTGTCCTCCTCATCCTGCGTTCCCGGGCCTGGTGTGGAGCTGGACACGTCCCGAATGTCCCTGTGTCCCTGCGCAGGCATCAGGTCTGAAATGCCATCGGTGCTTCAGGCTCTCGTGTCCGCGTGGCCGGCAGGATGCTTCTTCTGAAGTGGACCGAGAGCCGTTCACTCGTGCCAAGGGGTGTTTGAGAACGGAGCCAAGTGCAGGGCCTGCAGGGGCGGTGCTGGAGGGTGAGGGGCGCCAAGGGCTGTGGCCGGGCCCCTGCAGCCTCCCTGTCTGCCCTGGGGCCCCCTCAGCTTAGTCCCCTGCCACAGCCAGTGCCAGCAGCAGGCGAGACTGGAGGGGGCCTAGAGGACCTGGCCTGCCCCACTCCCAGGTGGGGAGGTTGAGGCCCAGGGAGGGGAAGGAGATCTGGCTTCAGGGTGAGATGGGCAGGGCAGGAATGCTGGCCCTGCCCAGCGTGAGCTTGAGCAAAACACCCCACCCTGAACCTTTGCTTCCTTCCACAGAAAATGAGGGTGTCCATGGCGCCCGCCTCGGGGGGTTCCTGGGAGGAAGCACCCAGGGCCAGCCTGGGGGGCACGCGGTGGGCGGTTGGTGCACACACAGGCCCTTGGCTCTGACAGGCCTGGAGCAGTGCAGGGGTGCCGTGCCGGGTCCTCAGCACCGGCTCCCAGGCAGCCAGGGACTTCCCGGAGCTCCCTGGTCACCAACCCAGGCTTGATGGAGGCCCCGGCTGCATCTCTGACCCCTGACCCCTGACCCCAGCCTGCACCAAGCCCCACACGTGACTGGAATTTCGCCTGCACGTTCGGCCTGGTACTCACAGGAGGCTCCGAGCAGCCCACCCTTTCGGACAAGCTGGTCGGGGCCTCTGGTGGTCCAGCCCTCCACTGCCATTCCCGGGGGGCCTGGGCCCCTGCCCCTCCCCTGGCTGGAGACATGGGGGTGCAGCCCCTCTGTCCAGGCCCAGCAAGCCGGGATCCCATCCGGCCAGAGTCCACACTGCCTCTGCCAAGTACGTGACGGTTAATGTCATCACCGTGTGCACAGCCCTCTGTGTTACAGTGTGTAATATAAACTCAAAAATTAATTTTCTCACCTTCAAAAAGCGTCTTTAACTGCTCCTGAAAGGAAATATGGCTAAAACCATAATTTTAACGTCAATTCTTATTAGAAGGTCACGTTTGACCAAATTCTTTTGTTAGCTCATGACTTTGCATTTTCTCCTCCTTAGAAAAAAAATCTCCTTTATCTGCTTTAGCCCCGATTTTAAAAATGCCCAAAGGGGCTGGGTGCGGTGGCTCATGCCTGTAATCCCAGCACTTTGAGAGGCCGAGGTAGGTGGATCACCTGAGGTCAGGAGTTCAGGACCAGCCCGGCTAACATGACAAAACCCCATCTCTACTAAAAATACAAAAATTAGCTGGGTATGGTGGCATGCACCTGTAATCCCAGCTACTCGGGAAGCTGAGGCAGGAGAATCACTTGAACCTGGGAGGTAGAGGTTGCAGTGAGCTGATATTGCACCACTGCACTCCAGCGTGAGCAACAGAGAGAGACTCCATCTCAAAAAATAATAATAATAAAATAAATAAACAAATAAATAAATAAATAAATAAATATGCCCAAAGGAAAATTAAACAGTCCTATCCCTGCCCAGTCTTATGTCTGCAGGTGGCAAGCGTGGTTGCAGGATGACCTTGGGTCACTCTGGGATGTAAGGGTTTTCCAGACTCCACGCCGGGTTCTGACACTGGCCCCCGTGAGCTCGGGCCCGTGTGGTCACAGGCCAGTTGTCAGAGGATCCTTGGTCCCAAGGGAAACTGTGTGGCGTTGCAGAAGGGGGTGCCCCTCTTTCTGCTGTTGGGGACCACAAGCCAGAGTGGATCCCCTCCTCCAGTATGGGTCCCCCTGGGAGCCCACAGGATCCTGAGGCAGGACCCCTAGGTGATCTCTGCCATGAGCAGCCCCCGTCCTTGGCCCCCGCCCATCCTCTGGCCTCTGGGGCCGGGCGGAGCGCGGGGCGTTGGTGCAGGAGGGCTGGGGTTGCACATCCTCCAGGACCTGAGCATCTGCTGGATTTTTCTCAAATGATGAGCACGCCCCTCCCTGGGTGGGGAGTCTCCCTGGGTTGGGAGTGTGTGGCCAGCTTTGGGATTCCCAGAGTCCCTCAGAGCCTCAGGGGCTGCTCCCCGGGGACCCGACTCACAAGCCAGGTGTCACAGGAGGCGACTCCAGGGCACTGCTCGCTGGAAGCAGGTAGGGCCCAGACAGTCAAGAGGTGATGCAGGGACCAGCGAGGTGGCCCCACCCTCATAGTGCCCCGCCTGATGGGGCCCGCTTGGGCTGGGGGCTCCTGGAGACAGACTGGCAGGCTGCTGGCTCTACCATCGTTCAGCAGAACCTCATGCGTAAGAAGTAGGGGAAGGCATGGGATCATCATCCCCTCCTGATAGAGAAGCTGAGCCGCAAGTGGGACTCCTAAGAGGAGACGCCTGGAGACGCCTTTAGTCTTAATATGTTCCCGTGTGTGCATATGTGCACGTGTGTGTGTCTGTGTGCACAGGCGCGTTGGGGTACAAGAGTGAACACAGCACCCGGGAGCATTCCGCATCTGCTCACAGTCTCAGCCTGAGGCAGCCGGGCCAGGCTTGCTGGAAAACAAGCCCCGGGATCGGACCAAGCAGCTGCCCCTCCTCGCACTCTGCCTGGCAGCCCCCAAGGCAATGGGAGAGTCCCAGAGCCACCTCCAAGCCCCCAGAGTGTTTGGTAAGTAAGCGGAGGCCGAGGGTCCCCAGCCTGAGGCGTGGAGCTGGGCCCCTTCCTCTGGGCCCCTGGGGGAGGTGGGTGCACCGTGTTCCCCGGGCAGCTCTGTCCCGAAGGCTCGCAGGCCCCTCCCTTCAGCAGGTTGATTTTCAGTGCCCAGAGAACAACAAATCACTCTCTGACAATAATGGGGATGAACAGACACTTAATTATGAGGCCACGAGACAGCGCGATTATTAATTTTAAATTGTGCAACCCAGTCCTGAAGGCTGAGCCTGGAGTGCTATCCCAGGGGCTCACGGGAGCCTGGGAGCCTCAGGGCTGGCCGGAGCTCAGAGACTCGGCTGGGCACTGGACTTGGGGGACACAGGGCCCTGAGGCTAGGGGACTCCTGGGTGGCCCTGACCTCCCCCTCCCCACAGCAGAAGGCCCAGGGAGATGGCTCTGCAGAGCCTGGCGTGGTCTGGGCTGCAGTCTACCTCCACAGGTTGATGGGGGTGTGGGTGGGGCCAGGACTCTGGCCCCCCCAAGAGGCTGCTCTGCCAGCGTGCTCCAGGGCTGATGAGGGTGTGACTGCACCAGCTCCTCACATCCACTGGGGGCCAATTCTGGCAGAGTGGGCCCACGCGGGGGTGGCCGAACCCTTCCCAAAGCAGTGGCGGGGGGCTTTACTCTCTGCCTGGCTGAGGCCTAGGCCTACGACCACTCTCCTAGCCAGAGTAGGTGTCGATGCTCAGTGTCTGCTGGGCAAGGAGGGCACCTCAGAGGAGCTGCAGGGACCCTTGGAGGGAATCCCAAAGGCAGATAAGATCCCAGGTCCCTGGAGAGCCACGACCAGACACGCAGCATCAGCTCCCGTATAGAAGCTCAAGGTGGAAACCTTGGGCGCCAGTGCAGGGCTGACCTTGAAAGGTGATAGGGTGGCCGGTCCCCAAGGCTCGGTGACACTCATGTTCCTTTCTAGGGCTCCTCAACTCTTCCGAAATTTGCCATCTCCTAAAGTTCTTTAATCTCTAGCCACGGGGGTTCCGGATTTCCTCCGGGTCTACGGGGACTCAGGGACTGCAGAGGCAGCTGTGGGGGGTGGCATGGAGGACACAGCCCTGGACAGAATGGGGACACAACAGGGCCTGGAGCCCTGGGGGAGGCTGCAAGGCTGAGCGCATCCGGGGACAGACTCCCGGCTGACTCCTGTGGGAGGCCGGCGAGCAGCCCGGTGCCAGGCCAGGCAGCTTGTGCGACCGACTGCGCAGCAAGCTGTCGGTGCTGGTGGCACTTGGCAGGCGGCGGCGGGAAGGGGATGTTTGCAGACTGCCGGCGACAGCTTCCCGGCTGAAACCTCCCCGGTTAGACTACGCAGAAGTGAGCAGTGCCCGCGGGCGGGTCTTGGAGGAGCGAGAGGCAGCAGAGGGGCTGCTGGGGCTGTTGGGCCCTTCTGGGGGCCTCCCACCGGGCCTGCCCCCCCGCCCCCCGCTGTGGGCCTGGCCTGGGGCCTGGATCCAAGCCAGCACCCCCACACCCTGCAGGCTCCTGGATTCCGGTCTCTGGGGCAGTCATGATGGGCACCGGGGGAGAATTTGAGGGAGGGCTCAGTGGGGAGGGGGCCTCGGACCCCTGTGATGGGAGGCCCCTTCTCTGTCTGTTATCCCAGGTGCGCTGCAGGGCTGAGGTGGGCAGAACCCGCCCTGTCCGTTTTGGGTAAATTCCTTCCCCAGGAGCTGTGGGAGCATCTGCAGGCAGAGACGGGGCAGGCTTGCTGTGGTGGCGTTGCCATTTGTCACTGTTACTGTTTTTTAATTCAGGAAGCACATGCACAAAGCATGCATGGAGCTGCTTCGTGGAGCAGACGGCGCCCCCCGGGCACCTCAGAGGGTCACACAGGGAGCAGAGAGCCAGCCTTGCGGCCTCTGGCCTCTGCAGGTGCAGCAGCTCCCCGACCTGCCCTCCCCAGCCCTCCCCTCTCCACGCCCCCCTTTAACCCCTCCCCTCCTGCCCTTTCCCTCCCCTCTCCACGCCCCCCTTTAACCCCTCCCCTCCCGCCCTTTCCCTCCCCTCTCCCCTCCCCTCCCGCCCTTTCCCTCCCCTCTCCACACCCCTCTTTAACCCCTCACTTCCCGCCCTTTCCTTCCCCTCTCTCCCCATCTCTCCTCTCCTCTCCCCTGTCTTGAAGTCAGACAGTCACATCACAGCCCCATCCTGTTTGATATCCCCAAGAACCCAGAGATGCCGTGTGCAGACCCCTACCCTCCTCCCTCATCCTGCCATTTTCAGGGTGCCCCTATATGTGGGGCCCTCTCTGCCGTGTGCCTCTAGCTGGAGGCAGAGGCCCCAGCAGCTTCCCCAGGCTCCCCATGGCAGGGCACAGACCTCACCCCTGGGATCTACCTGGGGTAGAGGCAGGGCCACTGGCACCTCCCAGGGCTTGGGCCCAACCTCCCTGGTGGCCTGCGCCCGTGAGTCTGGCAGGGTCTGGCCATGCAGGTCCCTCTGTTCTGGGCGTTCTGGGCCTCCTTCTCCTGTCTCTCCCGTGATTCCATGGGCTGCCCACCGTTCCCTGAGAAAAGCAGGCAGAGGTGGCTCCTGCCACTGTCACCAGAAGCCAAGTTTTCAGGCCAGCACTGCCCTCCCCCTTTAGGAACCAGGAAATGGAGGCTCTGAGAGCCAGTGGCATCCAGCCCTTGGGCTGTGATGGGCAGGGGAGCAGGGGCAGCCTGATGCCCAACCCAGGGGGACGGCAGGGCAGACACAGTCCTGAGCCCCTGTGTGCAAAGTAAGTGGGGGACACCGATCTAAACATACGAGTTCAGGCCATGGTGGCTCACGCCTGTAATCCCAGCGCTTTGGGAGGCTGAGGTGGGCAGATTGCTTGAGCTCAGGTGTTCGAGACCAGCCCGGGAAACATAGTGAGACCCCCCATCTCTACCAAAAATTAAAAAAAAAAAATTGGCCAGGTGTGGTGGTGCACACTTGTGGTCTCAGCTACTTAGGAGGCTGAGGTGGGAGAATCGCTTGAGTCCCGGAGATGGAGATTGCAGTGAGCTGCACTGCACAAGCCACTGCACTCCAGCCTGGCGACAGAGTAAGACCGGTCTGGAAAAATAAAATACAAACACGGGTTCTTGGAAAACCAGGACGAGGGCTGTGAACAAGGACGTTGCTGGAGTTGTGAGTGCGCTGTCACGTGAACAAGAGGCACCACTCGCCCTGTCCGAAGAGGCTCCCTGCTGGGGCGGCCACGACAAAAGGGAAGGTGTTCTCGGCACAGGGGTCGGGGTGGCCAAGACCACATGGCAGAGACCCGGCAGAGGACCAGACAGGATGGAGCGGGGTCTGGCGGGGAACAGAGCTGGGGGTCTTGAGCAAGGGGAGACCCCATGGGGTAAGGGAAGCTCACCAGAAAAGAACAGAACACCCACCTAAGTTTCTATTTTAAATAAACAATGAATTTTTAAAATAGAAATATGCCCCCAAATTGGATGGGTCATACACTAGAGATTGATTTGTTGTTAGTATGAAATGAGAATTTCACTGGGTGTTAAGTATTCTTATGTATTCCCTCTGGCCACCCTACCCAGAGGGTGAGGGACAGACCCTTGGAGCTCAACTGGCCACAGGGAAGACCCCTGCCACGGCTCACCCCTGCCCTGGGGGTCCTGATGTTCCCACCTAGGGCAGCCACCTCCCTCTGGGATCTCCCGGCTCTTTCATCCCAAGGTCCTTTCTTGGAGGTGACAAAGAGGGGCAGAGGAAAGCGCTGAGCCTGGCCCCACGCCAGGGCCCCCTTCCTGGAGGAAGGCAGGGCTTTACCTTGGTTGGCCCGGCTCCCAGGTGGCAGGTGGCCCCTGGCTAGACGCTCTGAAGGCCCCTGACACTTCCAGCATCCCAGCCTCCTGCCCAGGCTAGGGGTGCTCCTGCCTTGCTGGGCACCTGCAGGGCCTTAGGCTAGGCACAGAGAGGCCATGCGGCTCCCGGGGCAGCCCAGCCCTCGGCCAGGCCACCCGCCTGCACTGAGGCCTCTCTGCTCCCCGGAGCGGATGATAAATGTCTGCCAAGCAGTGATTACAAACAGTGCAGCTGCCGGTTACAGGAACTGTGGCCGGGCGGGCGTGGCTCTGCCGGCAGTTGCGAGGGCTCAGGCTTCGTCCGGTGTGGAGACTTGACTGCCCCCCTTCTTTTTCTGGAGGGACAAAAAGACCAGATTTATCGTGGCCATAAGAAATCGTCTGAGCACTTAGCAGCTTCCCGCCCCTGGTTTGAGGGGAAGTTGGGGCTGTGGGGGCTGAGATGGGCTGGCCTGCGGGGAGTGGGGGCTGGCCAGCTCCCAGAATCCCCCTTCCCGAGGCTGCTCCACCCACCAGGAGCACAGGGAGGCTGCTGCTGGGGGAGGGGCTGTGGCCGGGAAGTGCCCCCGCCCCCTTTCCCCACTGCCCTCGCTCAGCGAGGCTTTTCTCCTGGGAGAGACGGAAGAAGCCCCGACCAGCCAGGACAGGCTGGGGATTTAGGCCTCAAGGTTGTCCTTGAGGCCCAGGATGTCCAGCGGCAGCAGGCTCCCCTCCCGGGCCAGCCTCTGCCCTGCAGATGGGTGTCCCCTCTCCCAGCCCGGTCCTGTAAGAGTGGCCTGGGCCACATGGCTTCTCCCCTCTGAGCCTTGGTTTCCTTTCCTGCAAAATGGACAAAACGGGTGGATTCCAGGGCATCTGCCAGGCCGCCGAGGACAGCTCCCGGCCGTGGGGGGCTCACCCCGCAGGAGCCACTGTGATGTCCTGCCCCTCACTGGCCTCCTGGGCCCTGAGGAAGGAACGGAGGGGCAGGCTCTGGAGCTTGAGGGTGTGGGCCTCGGGGGCTTTGGGTAGACAAGCTGCCACACGCCTTCAGTGGAAATCGCAGCCATCGGAGCTGTAGGTGATCAGACTCCAATATTCAAAATAATCGGCGGGCCTGAATTTCCATACAATAACTGTCTTATTAAATCTAAATTTAATGTGTATTTGGAATCCTTAATTTAAAGTGTTACTGCACCCACCATCTGCTCCACTCTCTAAATACAAAAGCAGCCAGCACATAACTCAGTGCGGCAGCGGAAAAGCGCGGTCCCGGGAGCGGCGCGCGCCACTACTGCTGCTGCGGGTCTGCCTGGCCTGGCCGGCTCTCCGAGGGCACCAGTGACCCAGGCACTGCAGAGCCAGGCGGGAGAGGTGTCTGCTCCTGACCCAGCCTTCAAGGCTGCAGGAGCTCTGTGGCTGCCTGGCCCTCCTCCCTTCCCGGTGGGGCTCTGGTAGGCCTGGGCTCTGAGCATCGCGCCTGGGTTCGGGCCATGCCGCTGCCTGCCCGCCCTTCCCTCTTGTGTCCTGGACACCCTGCAGAGCCTGCTCCTGGCCATCTCCAGCACGAAGACTTCCCCTGCTGCCCTGACCACTGCCCTCTGCCTCCTCCCTGATGTGACGGGAGCCGGGCCGCTAGGTGACCCCCTGGGGTTCCTTTCCTGTGAACTCACTGGTACCTATGGCTGTCTCTGCAGAGGCCACCCACCCTGGACCCTGGACTCTGAGCCGCCAGCCCTGGCCAAAACCACCCCTGGCTTGGAAGGGAGGGCAGGCGGCCCTGCCTGGGGCCAGAGTACCCAGGGACAGCCCCTCCTCCACCAGGGAGCCCCTGGCCTTGGGCCAGCCCCCGTCACCCCAGCTCCTCCCTGTGACCAATAACGTCCCATGGGTGGGACTCCCAGTCCAGGCCAACCCTTCACCATGCCATCCTCTGCAGGATGAAGTTAGAGCCCTTGGAGGGGCCAGTGTTGCCCCCAGAGCGTCTTCACCACAGAGGCGAATGCATTGGGGGCAGAGCCACGTCTCCACCTCTCATCCCTGTGCCCCGGCCGCTGGGGACGCAACTGTGCAAGGAGCCACCACCCACCTGCTCACGTGCAAGCCCAGCTGAGCCCCCCAGACCCCACTCACGGCCAGCCCTGTGAGGGCACCCGGCCCGGCTGAGCCCCCCACAACACCAGGTCCTCACACAGGACAGTGGCGGGAGGGCACAGCTGCACGACCTGATTCAGATTCCCATCTCAGCTCCACCACTCACTAGCTGTGAGGTGGTTGTTTTTTTTAGCTTTTTAAAAATTGTGGTAAAATACACAAAACACGTGACCATTTTAACCAGTGCAAAGTGTACAGTTCAGTGGCATTAAGTACATTCATAACACTATTGTGCAACTAACACCATTATCTAGTTCCAGAACCTTCTCCCACAAAGGAAACCCCGACCCCATTCAGCAGCCACCCCCACACCTCCCTGGCCGCCACCCCCAGGTCCTGGCCACCCCCCTCCACCGTCTGTCTCCACAGAGTTGCCTGCTCGGGGCCTTTCATATCGATGGAGTTGGGTACACGCGCCTTCCCTCACTTAGCAGAGTCTTTTTTCTTTTTCTTTTTTTTTCTTTCCTTTTCTTTTTTATTATTATTATACTTGAAGTTCTAGCGTACATGGGCACAACGTGCAGGTTTGTTACGTATATATACGTGTTCCATGTTGGTGTGCTGCACTCCTAGCAGAGTCTTTCCAAGGGTCATCCGCGCTCGTGGCTGTGAACATTCGTGCACACGTTGTGCCAGGAGGGAGCGGCCGGGTCACGTGGTGATTCTGTGTTTAACTTTTTTTTTTTTTTTTTTTTTTTTGAGACGGAGTCTCACTCTGTCGCCCACGCTGGAGTTCAGCAGCACCATCTCCGCTCACCGCAAGCTCCGCCTCCCGGGTTCACGCCATTCTCCTCCCTCAGCCTCCCGAGTAGGTGGGACTACAGGCGCCCGCCACCACGCCCGGCTAATTTTTTGTATTTTTAGTAGAGACAGGGTTTCACCCTGACCTTGTGATCCGCCCGCCCCGGCCTCCCAAAGTGCTGGGATTACAGGTGTGAGCCACCGCGTCCTGTGTTTAACTTTTTAAGACCCGTTTCTGCTGGGTGTGACTGCGCCATTTGACCTCCTCTCTGACCATAAGATTGTGAGCCTCTGGAAGCCACGATGTTCCCGTCTGCTAATGGGAATCATCATCTCTCGGCAGCACGAGGAAGCCAGAGGGAGAGGATGGGGTCGGCTTCGCCGAGGGTGCGCACCACGGCTCTGTCGCCATGGTGACCCACGAGCCTGGCCTTTGCAGGAAGCCCCAGGCCTGTTCCACCATCTGTACATGCTGACGCCAGGTGAGCTGTGGAACTGAACAGAACCAAAGGGACTCCGATGGAACGGCTGAGGGCACTTCTGGCCCTGAGGCTCTGCTGAGCCGTCGCAAGCCCATGCTGGGCGGTCACGCCTGTCTCATCGTTGCAGCAGCTGGTCTGTCCTGATGCTCCAGGTGGACGCTTCGTTCTTGGCTCGGCCCGTGGAAACCATGAAAAGTGGAGGTCCTGTGTGGGGCATCTGCAACATACCAGCCACGGAGCTCGGGGCTCACAGTAGCTTCTCAGTAAATACTGAATGGACGCCTGGTTTCCAGTTTCCGTGACACATTGGTAAGATGGCAATCGTTACCCTGTTTTACAAAATCTTAGACAAGTTAAGTGACTCTGAAAGTCCCCCGGCCAGGACATGGAGCTGGGACCTGGTCTCAGGCTCACCTGGCTCCCGACTGCTAGGCCGCTGTGCACATGTGTGCAGGTTGCTACTGCACATGGGCACTCAGCTGAAGGGGAGAAAGGGGCGAATCTCCAGTCCCCATCCTTTCTCCCTCCCCGCCATCACGTGCCAGGCACTGCCTTTGCCCAGGGGCTCCTTGTGATTGTAACAGAAGGCCGAGTGGCCTGGTGGGTCCGGGACCCATTCTGTGCTGCTGGCTCACCCTCCACACAGCAACACCACGGGCACCGTTTCCACGGGCACCATTTCCACGGGCACCATTTGCTTCTGTTGCATGACAAGGGTCGGGCCGGAGAGAGGCCTGCGTCCCTGACCAGAGCCCATGAGGGAGGAAGCGGCACAGAACAGCACCAGCCTCTGTGTGGGGCTCAGGCCGTGGGCTCAGGCCCTCCATGTTCTGGCTTCCAGCGCAGGAGGAACAGAATGGGATTCTGCTGTGGTCGGTCCTCCCTTGCCAACTGGGGAGGTGGTCATTGTCCCATACAGAGAAGGAGACTGAGGCTCCGGGTGGCCAGGATGTAAGCCCAGGCCCCTTGCCCTTCACGGTCCTCTCCACTCGACCCGCCCATCTTGGGTAATTGTGGTGTTTGGATCCAGCTTTTTCTCAGTTTTTGGCACAGAATCCCTCAGCGAAACCCTTCAGGGGGCCTAGCGTGTGTGTCGGGCAGCTGAGCTTCCGCCTGTCCTGAGCAAAGCCCGCCTGACCAGGCGTTTCCCGGGGTGTCCTACACACAGGCAGTGCCGTGTGCTTTGTAAAAATGGCCACTTTGAGCCCCCATACCTTGCTGGTGGGCACCGGCATTATCCCATTTTACAGAGGTGAACACTGAGGCCGAGAGGAGCTGAGCTACACCCCAAGGCCTAATGGGGAGCACCCCAGGGAACCCCACACCTCCCAGCCCGAGGCCCGGGCCAGCACCTCCCCGGGCACAGCCGTGCAGCCTCCCCGCCCCCTCAGGCTCCTCTCTGCAGCATTTCCCCAGGAAGTTGTACATATTTTTACGGAGCTGGTTCTCCGCCCGGATCACAGCCGCGGTCCTAGCAGTAATTGACTGCTCTCTAATCAAATTGATTTCCATTCCAATGAGTCCCGCCGTCCTCTCCATTCCGGGAACGCTGTTTTAGCAGGCAGAGCTCGGTACAAACGCACCATCAAACTGCACAACGCAGAGCGCACCGCGGTCCTCTCTGCCACCCAGTGACAGCTAAATGGCCTGAGGGCTTAGGCCTGGCCACTCACTGATGCATTCCCACTCAGGAGGGGCACACACCCTGGGCTCATCTGCATCTGATGGGAGGGCTTGGTGTGTATTCAGAGTGGGTCAGAGTGATGGGATTTATTTCCCATCGAGTCCCACCAGAGCCTCACCTGTCCCTACTCTGCTGGGGCTGGCCCGGCCGTTGCCTTCTGTTCCTGTAGTCCCAGCTGCTCCTCTCGGCTGTGGCCCAGCATGGAGCTGGCTGGCTCTTCCTCCTGCACACTCCAGCCTGGGACTGAAGGCCCCTGGAGTTTCCACATAGGCTGACCCCAGAGTCGACTCCGTCTAGGCTATTTCTAGGTCTGCTTAGACCACTGCCTTGGGAGCACAAGAAGGCGGGGGGTGGTCCTGAGGCTGTGAATGCCCACGGCCCTGTGGTTCCTGGCGCCTGACAGACCCGAAGCCCATCAGGGCTGGCAGGGACATTCATACTCAGCCTACTTCAGGTGGGTGAGGAGAGGGGTGGCCTGCCCAAGGCCCCAGGCCCCCTGCCGCCCAGCTCCTGGCCCGGCCCCACCACCTGCACCCTCACGTGGTGTTCCCAGAAGCCGGAGCAACTTGGCGGGTGCCTTGTGCAGGTGGGGGACCTCCTGGGACTCTCCAGGCCTTCCTGGGTGACCACACCTGTGGGCGGAGTAATGGGGGTCTCCAGGTGTCTCCTTCTCTGTCCCATCAGAGGGAGCCTGAGTTTTAAAGCCAACGCAGCAGTCCCTCAAAGCTTCCTGACTGACCACAGTGGCTCCCAAGCCAGGGACTCCGACGGGAGGTGACCCCCATTCCTCCTCCCCTGGGTGCAAGGAGCTGGAGCCCGGTGGGGTGGGCACACACAGAACCAGGAGGAGCAGGAGGAGCCTCTGTGGGTTCCCCTGGCGCTGTCAGGAACCAAGGCTGCCAGCCCTGCCGCTCCAGGGAGGCACAGGCGCCTCCAGGCCGGCTCCAGAATCCTGCCAGCCCCTCTGTGCTTGGGCCTGGGGGCTTCTTTCTGCCACAGCCACTGTTACGATGGAGGAGAGACACTGTCATCAGCTTCCTGCCCCCTGGCCAGCACCTGGGCTAGGTTGGCACTGGAGGTGCGCTCACACGCCAGGTGAGATGCCAGCCGGGAGCAGGGCTCCCCAGGCCTCGCTCACAAAAAGCGTGGGATGCCCCTGCTGGCCCTCGGCTGTGGCTGCCAGTTCTCACAGCCTCAAGACTCTGATTCCAGAAACTGAAGTCAGAACAGACAGGTGCTGCCCAGGGACCTGCCCCAGCCCTGGGACCTGTGACATGGGCCCCGTGTCCCTTCTGATGCAGAATCCAGTCACCAAGCTCCAACTCTGTGGTCATGCCTGGCTGTTCTGGGGTGAGCAGACTGCTGGTGCCCCACAAGGCCTCTGCAGCGGCTGTTGGTGATTTGGCCTCTGGTGACACTGAGATGGGCCTAGAGCAGCCCCTCCCCCAGGCAGTGGGACCCTCTCTCTTCCCACCCCTCCACTGTGGGCAGCTCTGGGTGGATGGAAAATGGTTTTATTTTTATTTTTATTTTTTGATGGAGTCTTACTCTGTGGCCAAAGGCTGGAGTGCAGTGGTGTGATCTTGGCTTACTATAGCCTCCTCCTCCCGGTTGCCTAACCATGCCCGGCTAATTTTGTATCTTTGGTAGAGATGGGGTTTCACCATGGCTGGTCTCAAACTCCTGACCTCAAGTGATTCGCCCGCCTCGGCCTCCCAAAGTGCTGGGATTACAGGCATGAGCCACCGGCCGGGAAATGGTTTTAGTGCAAATACCATAAGCAAGGCAAAGGCTGGGAGGCAGTGAGGCCCACACTGTCAGCAGCCAGGCAGGGGCGGCCCAGCCATGCCCCAGGGAGGGGTGTTCCCTAGAGGAAGGGCCCCAGGGTGCTTTGTCCTCCCCTGCTCAGCAATCTGAGCAGCCAAGGCTTCCAGAACCCCATTATCAGCAGACCCAGATCTCAGGCGCCAGCATCAAAGAGAAAAACGCAAGCAAGTATATCTGGCATCTCGGAGGAGGGTACAAGATGAGTGGATATTAAAACACCGAACTTTGGGCCGGGCACGGTGGCTCACGCCTGTAATCCCAGCACTTTGGGAGGCCGAGGCAGGCAGATCACGAAGTCAGGAGATCGAGACCATCCTGGCTAACACAGTGAAACCCCGTCTCTACTAAAAATACAAAAAATTCGCCGGGTGTGGTGGCGGGCGCCTGTAGTCCCAGCTACTTGGGAGGCTGAGGCAGGAGAATGGCGTGAACCCAGGAGGCAGAGCTTGCAGTGAGCCAAGATCAAGCCACTGCACTCCAGCCTGGGCAACAGAGTGAGACTCTGTCTCAAAAATAAATAAATAAATAAATAAATAAATAAATAAATAAATAAATAGAGAAACTCAGAACTTCTCTTGGGCCAATGCCCACCCCACAGCAATGTGACAACCACGGAGGCCCAGTGAGCTGGGAAGGCCTCCAGGCCCCGGTACAGGGCTCCGTGGTGAGCAAGGAGAAGCGTGCATGTGGCCGGGACAGGTACAGGATGGCTGCGGAAGTGGGAGTGTGACCGCTGACAGATTTGCTACCATCCAGGTCAGAGGAAGATTTTTTTTAACACTCATCCATCTGGTACAAAGGGAAACCATTCGTAAGCCCCGGTGTTGGTAAGGGGGCGGCATACAGGCACATCTCCGGCGAGGACCGCGGATGCCTCTCGGGCGGGCCGTGAGGACACCTCCACCCCGGCGTTCCCATGAGCCCAGCAAAGGGAAGCTGAGCAAAGATGCGCAGAGCACCCCGATCTGGACGAGGCCTGCAGACCACAAAGCTGGATGCAGTGAGTGTGCAATTGTTGTGTGAGGCTGTCCGCACCTGGGTCCGTGTAGTCTCTGCACACGAGTCTGTGCTGTATGAGGAAAAAGCCAGGTCTCTCCACCAGAGAGTGTGGGCCGTCCTCTCTGGGCAGGAGGGATGCCCTTATGGCCTCACTCTGTGTGGCCAGGATGTTGAATGCAGAGTCCAGGCCCATGCCAGACCCCCAGAGCCAGATCTGTGCACTAACAAGATGCCCGGGGCGGGGGGGGGGGCGGGGTTGGAGGCACAGTAAATGTGAGGAGCCTGATGGAGTTCATGCCCTTGGCTGAACATGTGGGGAAACTGAGGCACAGAACAAGGCGATCTCATGAAAAGGTGGCATCAGAGGGGTGTTCCAGTGTTGTTTGGGGGTGGTTTTTGCTGCATGGTGGTTTTTGCTCCCACAGAAAAGGGGTGCTGCTTGGTCAAAGCTTCAGCGGTGGGGAGGGAAAGGAGTGGGGTGGGCAGCAGTGAGGCCCCTGGGGGAAGGGGCAGGATTCTGAGGACATCAACAAGGCAGGGCTGGCATGGGAGACAGGTGCAGGCCCCTGCTGGGGAAGTGATGGGTTTCAGGGGGTGGGGGGCTCCCTGCCCTGGTGGGGGCGGCCTGGGGTGAACCCTTCCTCCAAGCTCGTCCGACCCAGGCTACCAGGGAAAGACTCATGGCAGAGGCCTCCAGAAAGAAAGGGGCTTGGGTCCTCCCTGAGCTACTTGTTTAGAGCAAGGAGCCTCCATCTCTCTCAGACTCACCCCCAGCCCCCAGCCCTGGCCGGGTCACCTCGCCCGCTGTCAGCAAGAACGTGGCTTCAGCTTCTAAAGCAGCCCTAAGGTTGGCCGGCTTGGCCCGTTCACGTTCACGGACACTGGCCCCTCCTGGGTGCGGGAACTGCCTCAGGGTTGCAGTCAGGTTGGCTGGGCTGAGGGCGCCTCTGCTTAACCCTCTCCTCTCCTGCAGGCCCTGAGTGAACCCAAAGCCACTGCTGGGAAACACAGAACGTGCCGGGAAAGGCCTCCCTCTGCAGCTGCTCCTGGCATCCCTGCACGGGGCCTGAGGCTTGTCACAGGCCACGAGCCGCACGCCCTGCCCCGCCTGGTCCTCTCAGCAGCCTTTCCCCGGGGGATCAGTTTCTCTTCCCCACCCTGTCTTTAAATATATACACGTACTGTATATGTTTTTTTGTTTTTGTTTTGTTTTGTTTTTGAGACGGAGTCTCGCTCTGTCGCCCAGGCTGGAGTGCAGTGGCATGATCTCGGCTCACTGCAAGCTCCGCCTCCTGGGTTCAAGTGATTCTCCTGCCTCAGCCTCCCGAGTAGCTGGGATTGCAGGTGCGCACCACCACGCCCAGCTAATTTTTGTATTTTTAGTAGAGATGGAGTTTCACCGTGTTAGCCAGGATGGTCTCGAACTACTGACCTCAGGTGATTCGCCCGCCTCGGCCTCCCAAAGTGCTGGGATTACAGGCGTGAGTCACCGCACTCGGCCATATACGTATGTTCTAAACCCACCATTTTGGCCATTTTTCAGTGCACGACTCAGTGGCACTGAGCACAGTCCCCTTGTCCTGCAGCCATCACCCTCCGTCTGCAGAAGGCTTCATCTTCCCCAACTGAAGCTCCGCCCCCACGAAACACTGGATCCTGCACCCACAGCCTGGCCCCTCCATCCTACGTACCGTCTCTGTGATTTTGGTGACTGGGCACCTCACGAAGTGGACGCTTGCAGGAGGGAGTTGTCAGCCTGGCTCCTCTCACCGAGCCTCGTGCCCTTGGGGTGCATCCCTGTTTTAGGGCCCATTGTGTTGCACTTGGTGGGTGGACCTTTTCTGTGGGTTGTCATCCGTTCATGGGCTCTGGGTGGCTGCACCTCTGGGCAGTGGGGAGGGGCGCTGCCGTGACCGTGGTATCCTGCAGGGTCTTTGGGGCCACCCGAGTGCTTCTCCCCAGGGACCCCGATCCACCTGCCTGGCTGCAGCCAGGCTGGTCTGAGGGCGCCCCAGGGAGGATTCCTTGCCTTTGGGATGGCCAGGCTGAGCCCAGTGCCCAACCCAGCTTTGGTGCTGACTCCCTCACAGGTGTCCTGAGCTTCAACTGGCCACTGTGCAGGCTCTTGCCACTGCTACTGTCAACCTTCCCAAAGAGCCACCTCCATGTCACCCTGTTCCCTGAGGAACAGGGCCAAACAGCCCAATCCATCCCTCCTTGGAGGAGAGCCGAGGAAGCCCCTCGTGGTGCGGGTGGGGTGACGTGAAGGGACAGGTGGCACCTCAATGTGTGTGTGTGGTAGGAAGGAGACCTCAACCCTGGGCTGGGATCCCAGTTCCAGGGCCACCCCTGGGCTGAGGCACCTGGAAAGACACGTCCCCTCTCACCAGCTCACAGGCCCCAAGCCCAACCTTGAACCGGGTCTTGTCTGTCCCAGAGCCCCTTCGTCACTGGGAAGTGCCTGGTCTCCAGGAAGGGTCCTGGCCGACTGATGAGGGACATGGGACAGCTGGGGAACCAGGTCCAGTGGCCAGCCAGAGCTGCGGACATTCCTGGGCTGCTGGAGCCTCCCAGCTGGAGGGGAGGGAGGAGCGGGGGATGAAGACACGTGTCCAGGGCCTCGGAGGCTGTCCCTCTGTCCCTCTGCCTCCTGACTGTCCCATGTGACCATCCCTCCTTCTCTCCCGAGTGCAGCCCACAGCGGGGCCGCAGCTGCTTCCTTGAGAGGGAGCCTAGTTTTGCCCTCAGGAGGACTCCAGGAAGAGGGGCTGAGGGGAGTGAGGGGTGGGCACCGGGGAGCTGGCTCCTCAAGGGCTTGGCTTGGAAGGGGGGGGGGGGCACCCTGAAGCTCCCGTGCCAGGGAGAGCTGCCTCCTGGTGCCAGGGTAGGCATCCGGCGCTGGTGCTCAGGGAGCCCCATTCCAGAACCTGCCCGACTACGGGGGCCAGAGGGACACATAGTGACCTCCCCAGGTGGCCTCATCTTACCTGCTGGAGCCGGGAGCCAGCCAAACACCTCAGCCAGCCCTGGCCCCATCTCGAGGCCCCTGCCCCCACCTCAGGATGCCGGCTCTGCCCAGCCTGGGTCTCGAGCGCGGGTGGGAATGGTGTTTGGCAGAGACCCAGTTCCTTTGCTGGCTCGGCCTGGCTGTTTGCCCACTGAGAGGTCCGTGCACCCCACCCAAACTCCTCTCTCTCTGGGCCCCAAGCCTGCCCCAGGCAGCTGAGCCCTGCCTGGGAGAGGGGCCCTGGAGAGGCTGGGTGGGGACTTCCAGTCATCGGGAACCTTCCCACCCAGGACTGCTCAGCACCCTTGGCCCACCCAGAGTCACCTCCCTTAGCCTGGTGGGGTCCCAGGCAGCCAGGCGGCCCCTCCACAGCAGCTCCCCACTCCCTCTGGAAGCCCAGCCCTCAGCTCACTTCTGCTGCATTTCCAGTGGGGCTACCTGGAATTCCTCCAAACCCCACCCTAGGCCTCCTCTACCTGCTCCCAGCTCTAGCCCTCCAGGGTGGCCACAGTTCCCCAGGGAGCCCCAAGGGGAGGGTGTGGCCTCGGGCCCTCACCCTGAGGGCGGGGATCTAGTCCTCTCCAAGCCTCTCCACCCCACATCTCTGTTACAGCCCGTGGAATCCTGTGGACACCCCACCACTCAATCTACCTCCTGCCCCCCACCCCTGTGTGCTCAGATCTATGTGGGGCCCCCAGTGATCAAGAGGTCATGGGAGCTGGGTTCCTCTGGGCGGCCAGATGAGGCCCCATCCTCCCCCCACCCGCCCCACCCCCTTCCTGCCCCAGGGATCTTCTCCCAGCCTGAGATGTCCACCGCCAGACACCTTCCTGTCTTTGAGACCAGAGAGTCCTGGCCTGAGGGCCACAGTGCCCCACGGCAGGGTCAGCTGCTCCGGCTGTGTGGATAGGGACCCTCTGCCCCTAACCTGCTGCCCCCGCCCTCCTTCCTCTTACCAGTGAAAGTCCCCCCACCCCCACCATGGTTCCTCCCCAAGAGGCCTGTGTCCACCACCAAACAGAATGTCTGGCCAGCCTACCCCTCACGGGCCGCCTGGTGGGACAGGCACAGGGAAGGGCTGGACGTCCCCCAGCCCCTCTGTAACAGCAGAATCAGGCCGGGAGGTGGGTGAAGGCAGGGGTGCTCTTACTGGCAGCCCGAGGAGCCTTCATCTCCTCATCAGAGTGGGGTCTGTCCAGCCCACAGGTGCCAGAAGGCACACGTGACCCAAAGCGGCTGAGCGAGGGTGGTCACAGGGCCCCAACCCAGCCCCTCGGGCTCCCCGCAGGCACCCTTCCCTCCCCAGACTCTGGGCTCAGATCCCTCCCAGGCCCCTCCCCCACCCAGGGCTCCTGACCCTTTTGTGCAGAATCACAAAGGGCCGGGGACAAAGCCGTGGGTCCTGCTGACACAGCGCCCTCCTCCTGTCCAAACTGACAAAGGGGGTGGGAGGCCCATGCAAGGCTCCTGATGCCTCAGCCGGTTTCTGTCGGGGCTGCAAGGGCGAGGCGGCCGTGGGAAGGATGGGGGACGGGGAATGGGGGACAAGGGATGGGATGGGCAGCAGGTGCCTGGCTCCCCCTCCTCCTTGGAAAACCAGGGCCGACTTGGTGGAGGACTGGGCTGGGTAGGCCCCCTCCCAGAGTGGCAGGATTCCTGGGCCAAGGTGGGGCATTCTCCACGACCCTCCCTCCCCTAACTGGGCCACCCAGACCTCAGCAGTCCTAGCTGCTGAGGGGGCCTGGGACCCACCTGGGTGCGGCATTTGGGGTCTTGCAGGTGTGCATCCAAGCTGTCTGTCCTCACCAAGCTCCCCACCAGCCAGGCAGGTGCTGGCCCTGAGAGCTGGGGGCTCTGCTCCTTCTCCAGGAAGTTGAGTCGGATACACTTACCCTGGAGGCCTGGGGCTGGGCTTGGTGGTGGGATGGGGACTGGAACACTCCGTGTTCCCTGGCCCCCACTGGGGAACAGACCCCTTGGGCATTCCTGGTGGGGACAGTGTGGTGATGTGGCTCCTGTAGGAGGCAATGGCTCAGGGTGACCTCAAGCGCCATCCCCTTGCCACATGGGCCCTTCCATCCAGGGGGCCCATATGGAAACCACATCCATCCATTTGAGACAATCAGGGGCTGCCCTATGCTGGCTCCAGAGGACCCTCTTCTGGGAACATGGCCATGAAGCCCTGCCCAATAAATCCACCACCTCCCTCCAGTACGGCGGGTGCCATGAACCCTGTGAAAGGGGAAGAGAGGCCAGGGAGGGGTGCCCGTAAGGTGATCAGGGGTGGTCCCCTGGACGAGACCCTCACAGGACCGCAGGAAGTGAGGAGCCTGCCAGGAAGGTATCCAGAGGAAAGTGCTTCCAGACGTAGGAGGCACCCATCAAGGGCCCGGCAGGACAGGTCTGGGGGACACATGATTGCAAAGCACTCAGCCTGTCCTTGTGGATACGCCAGAGGAGCAAAAGGGAATGGGGCTGGCCACGCAGCCTGAACCCCAGGACACCAGCCCCAGAGCTGGAGAGAAGGCCAACCCCGCGGGCCCAGCTCTGCCCACCTGCACTTGTCTCTCTGTTCACCTGGGGGCAGACATGGCCCGGGAGGGGGTGGGGGAGGGGGAGGGAAAGAAGGAGCCACGCACCTTTTGGGTGGCAGGTGAGGCAGATGAAGGGGCTGCCCCACTTCTCAGACAATAAAACCAAGGTCCCGAAAAGGAGACCCCCCGACCCTGGCAGGTTGCCTGCGGGTCCGGACAGGGCCCCCCTCTAGCAGGCACACTAGTACCTGCAGACATCCTACCCACCTGCCCCTTCCCTTGTAAAACACTGGGGAGAGCAAGAGATGGGTCAGGTGACCTTGAACCCCACAGCCAGATCCCTGCCCTGTTGTGTGGACAGCTGGCCTGGGGACGCCGCTAACAGGGACGGGGTCCTGAGGGTGCCCCTGGGGGACCATTGGCCACCCCTGCCTTCAATAGCCCAAGCTTGGCTTCTCTGTGTCTCCCCCAAACCCCACAGGGCCAAGCCAAGTCCAGGAAACTTAGGTTTGAACTGACTTTATTATTTTGTAAATGTGAATTTTACAAAGCGCTTTACAATTAATGATCACATCCTTTTGTTTGTCATGGATTTCCACTGTCTGAAACGGCTCTGAGCACGCTTGAAGCCCTCGGTTTCCCTGTTCGCTTTTGAATGTTTCAGTTTTAGTTATTGATACAATGTCAGCCATGGCTAAAAAGTAACAGTCTTGACTCTACCGAGTAACAGCACAAAAACAGAGTGAGGGCTCAGGAAAACAAAACAAAGGCTTCCTCCTTAAAAAAAAGACAAAAAAAAAAAGCTAAGCATCTGTGGCTGAAATCTAACTCAGTGGTACTGTGAAACCTTCCTTTACAGCACAGGAAAATTTATTTTTTAACAGTCGTGAGTTACAGTACTTTAACCCCTAAACAGACTCTTTAAAACAACCGTCTCCTTTTTAAAAGTCTCTTTTTTCCAAACATTCCATCCGAAGGATGGATGCTCTACTTGCACCCAGTGCCATCCAAATCTTCAAGTCAAAAATATTTATACATTTTATACTTAGTTCTTTTTTTTGTCTGCTAAAAATAGTATTGCAAGTTTTGGCTTCTTTTGACATAAAAATCACAATCGTGTACGATGCTAACAATGGAAGCGACTGATCGGAATACGAGCCGGTCGTCCAGTCTGAATGCTTGCGATTCTGCATGATTTTCCTTTCCTTTTCTTTTTCCAAAGAAACAAAACAAACAAACACGAAAAACCTTTGCCATTTTAGAACCATCTTGTACCAAACCCTAAATGCTCCGGTGGTGACGTGCACGCGCGTGCACACACACAGACACACGCGTGCACACATACACAGACACGCGTGCAGAGACACGCACGTGCACACAGACGCGCGTGCACACATACACACAGACGCGCACACACACGCGCACACAGACGCACACACACAGACGCACACACGCACAGACACACACATGCACAGACGCGCACACACAGACGCACAGACGTGCACACACAGACACGCACACACACACAGACACGCGCACACGCACACTCTCACCCACGGAGCTGGCTGGCTGACATGACAAAAGTATGCAGCAGCAACATTCTGAAACAGTAGTTACAGCTGAGGACAGCTACGAGCTCTGGATTCTGCGCTTAGGACTCGCTGCTGGCAGAGGCAGACAGAGGGTTCTTGGAGTTTTCAGTTGGTTCATGGGCCATAGATCTTTTTCCACTTGCTGCCAAGATGTTTCCATAAAAATTTCCCTTTGAGGGGAGCCCAGGCAGTACACGGCTGGGTGGGGTGGGGGGACTGGGCCAGCGCTTAACAGTTTCAGCTGTCGAATGAGGACAGGTCAGGGTCAGGCACTAGAGCCCCCTCAGAGGGGGACCAGCCCTCCCTCCCTACCTTCCGCCTTCCTCCTGGCTCTAAACACAAATGCCAAAGAATGACTCTTCCTGGAGGAGAAAGGAGGCCAGGCAGCCGGCTCCTATGTTCTAGGAGCCCCGACCCGCAGTCACCAACGCCGGCACCCCCAGGCGGGTCCTGCTGACCTCTTGCCCACAGCTTTGTCCACATTCAGGGGCAAAGTACAACAACCAAATCCAATGCAAAGTTAAGTGACGACAGAGAACTCGGGTGGACAGACACAATGCGGAAAACAAGACAGAATTCAAGTACCGAGGCACCCAGCCAGGCGCGGCCCGCCGGGCTCACAGTATCTGTCACACCTCCGGTCCCTCCTGGACCTCTCCATGCAACCCAGCTGCCTCCTGGGCCCATCCCCTTGGGGAAGAGGAAGGCAGGGCAGGAGAGGCGGCTAGATCCCAGGCCCACCACCTGCCAGGCGGCAGCTCCAACACGGTCCAGTCCCTTCTGTCCTCCTCAAAAGGTGTGGAGATAACGTAGCTCTGTAATAGATTCTATATAGGATATGCGTATTGCTAATAGTCAGGCTTAGGGATAAAGGTGCAGACATCTCATAAATACTGAGTGGCTCGTCTCTCTCTACAGGGTCTGGATGAGTCAGGGTCACACTCACAGGACAGGACAACCCCGGATTCTAGAATTAGTCATCTTGTAAACAAAGGAGGGAAGGGTCCGGCTTTCTTAATTGGTTTCCTTGGGAAAAATGATCAAAGGATGCTAAGGCACTCTGGAAGGCCCCTCTGAGCCCGGGCCGCCGCCCCCGCCCCACGGTACATTCAGGACGTGGAGGGAGCACACAGCAGGTCCGCTCAGCAGCCACGCACGTCCACAGACACTCCCGACTCACGCCCACCGTGGGACACATTAGTGCAAAATGCTCGGCCTGGCCCGCCCGGGGCGCAGGGAGAGCTCAGAACCCATTCACATTAAATTATTATTATTTAAGTTTTATCTATAGCTCTTGCCTTCCTTACCCAGAACAAAACAGACGGCGATTACAAACGAGTGAGGAAGGGGCACGGGACATTGTGCGGGCCTGAACAGCAGTCAGGCGTCCTCTGTGCAGCCACCACCTCCGGCAGCAGCCAGCGGCTCCCTCCCTGTCCTGGCCAAGGGTGGGGGGGCACCCACTTTGGAGTGGAGGGCAGAGAGAGCCCTTCTGTCAGCAGCCAGGCCCCCAGGGATGGTCAAATTAAAGTGCAAATTTGGGTGTGGGGCAGATGAAGGAAACTCCAGAGGGAACTCAAGTGCAGCTCAACCTCACCTACCTGCCCCTGCTCCACCCCGCGGCTTCCTCCCATCTCCGAGGAAGGCTTGGTCCAGGTTCCCAGCGGGCCCCATGGGGGCTCCAACCCCACCTGTGCCCAAGACAGGGGAGGAAGAGGCAGAGAAAGGCTCCCTCTAGGCTGGGTGGTTCTTAGTTCAGCAGAAGGTCTGGATGCCTCTGCACCACTGAGCCACCTGCAGCCCTAGGAATGCAGGTCTTGGTCCCCCTGGACGTGGGCCCTGAGGAATGGGTGGAGGGGCCGAGGTTAGCGTCCACAGTGCCTGCCCATGGTCCCCCACCTCCTTCTGGAAAGCAACGTATTTTTCTGGAGGGCAGGCATGTGCTGGGCCTGGCTGGAGGCAGCCCAGGAGGCTGAGTGCTGTCTGTAGAGGCGGCCCCACGGGAGGTCTCCTAGGGCCTCGCCACAGGGGTGGGCTTCGGGGCAGAAAGGAGCCGCCCAGTGGGAATGCGTCTAACCCACACCCTGTAGGTCCCCAGGCCAGGGTGCAGCACATGGTCCTCCCCTAGCGGAGGCGGCCTCCGCTTGATGGGTTGTGGAGGTTGGGGGAGTGGGGTGCGCTGGTCGGCCACCGCTCACTGGCCTGTGTGCACACCGGAGGGGGTGCTGATGGGCGCAGGGCTGCACTTGTTTTGCAAGTGAAGATGGGGAAGCCGAGTTCTGGAGGGACAGAGGTGAGCAACAGACATTTCAAGTCTTGGGATGGGGGGTTCTTCTGGCCACACCTGGGAAGGAGGGCTGCCCCTGGACAAGGACACAGGCCTCCAAAACAAAAGGGAGGGACACCTGGGTAGGTGGCCACACCAGCACTTCACACAGGACTTCACACAGTCTGTGAGCCCTACCACTTAAAAAACAGTAATTAAATTTCAAAGGAAGCACTCCAGCCTCAAACCAAACAGCCCCATCTTCCATGGGCCCTTCCTCCACTGTCCCTGGCCCCCCAACATGATCCCTAACCCTCTGTCCCCTACCAGTGCCCATACCTCCAACTGCCCCAGCCCAGGCCTGTCCCGGTCATCCCCTGCCTGCAGCCTCAGGCACCCTCCATCCATGCACACCCCTCAAGGCAGACGGGGAGCCCAGCACCGGGAGGACCGACTCTCGCCCTGGCCCAGCCCTGGCCGCTGCCTCCTGCCCGAGCGGAGTCCCCCGCTCCCCAGGTCCGGCCCTGAGCTCAGCTTCACACGTACTAGTCGCCCACCCGGGACCCCCTTTTTCCCCCAGTGGGAGACGAGTGGTCCCTGGCCCTGGGCGGGGGAGCAGGGGGACGCACCCTAACGGCCACAGATGACCCACCCCAAGCCATGGTGGGCTGGGGACAGGGACACCCATCCCACCCAAAGTTTTTGTTCTATTGAGTCTGAAAGTTTCCAAACCATATATGAAATAGATCTAAATTACAACAAAACCTAAAAAAAACAAGACAAGCATAATCCCAAAGTGGCTGAGGCGGCAGAGGGCAGCGTGTGCTACATCAGCTGTGCACGTCCCACAGTGGGCCCGGGCGGGACAGTGGGAGGCCAGGCGGGGTCAGCGGTGCCCTGGGGGTCAGGGGACCGAGGGGCTGCAGAGCCGAGACGGATCGGGCAGAACAAGGACAGGGTGTGGGGGCAGAGTAAAGTACCCTTTTCTCCACCCCGAGGGGTGGGCCACAGCCATCACTGCCCCCTCACCACACCCCTGCACACACACGCACACACACACACTCGTGCACACACCCCACACAGGTGGAAGGCCCGGTGGGCCTGGCCCCGAGTCTCCGAAAGAAGGAAAAACGAGGAGTTAGGCCCTGGAGCCTGAGCCCTGCCCCGTCGCCCCAGAGAGGTTCCATGGGGAAGGAAGGAAGGGTCAGTGACGCACAGCCCAGCCCCCTCGCCACAGACCACCGCCGGCCCCTGCTTCGTCTTCCGGGCAGGAGGAGCAGGAAGGGCAGGGAGGAAGGGGCAGGGCTGGGCACCAGGGGCCTGGCGGCCTCCCACCCTCCCCAAGAAGGGGGAGGGAAGCTACACTTGGAGGCTGACCTTGTGAATATCAAAAGGGAGCCCTGGGAACTTCCTCGCAGGAGGCTGCCAGTGGCCTAATTGTTTACAGTATAATGAATGCATTTGTTTCCTTCATCAATTTTAAATACAAGCAGAATAAAAATCACATTTTTCTCAGGCAACAGTAGCAGTTCAGTAGGTAAGTGGCTTGATCACATTTGTTTGTATTAGTAACGCATGCAAGCAGCTCTAGTACTCGGTCCCTCGCGCAGCCACCCAGCTCCGCTTACAAGGTCCCTGCATAGGTGCCCTCCGGCCTCCGGGCCGCGGCCGCCGGCGTCTGGGGCCTGCTGGGGCCGCCCCCGCCCTGCTCAAAGGGCTGTGGGGGGCTCTGGCCATCGGCGGGCAGCGGCTCGGGGGCGGCCACCTCCTGGATGACCGAGCCAGCCCCGTCCACCTCCTCGCCGGCGTCGAAGGCGGGGTTGGCGGCGGCACTCAGGTCAACATTCACGGCGTCAGTTCTCAGAGCCACGATGGTGGCGGCGTCGCCCCGCCGCTCGGCGTAGATGCGTTGCTCGAACACCTGTGCCGCGGCAGGCGGGAACTCGGGGTCGAGGGGCACGCTGGCGGCGGCGGAGCCCATGACCGTGCGGTACATCTCCACGCCCTCCGGCAGCATGGACTTGATCTTGGGCAGCCAGCGCTTGCGAACGCGGCGGGCGTTGGTGCACATGTCCGCGGCGATCACGTTCATCTCGCTCTCCTTGAAGCTGGGGGCGAAGTTCTGACAGTACACTGTGAGGACGGGGCGGCGTGAGCTCAGCCACCTGCCTGCCGGGAGGCCCGCCCCTCCCCAAGGCCACAGAACCATGATGCCCTGGATGAGCCTCCCCGGCCGCTCCTGGGGCCCATGTGACCACCTGGGGCTCTCCTGGCCTCAGCCAGAAGACCAGAGGTCACGTTTCTCACTGCTCGGCCTGGGAGGCCTCCCCACCCCATTCCTCTGGAACAGTCTCTGGCCTGGTCAGGCCCAGCAGCCTTGGCCGTCCGCCAGCTGTGAGGCTCAGGCCTGTTTTTAATCTCTCCGGGCTTCCGTAGCCCCAACGGCTAACGGGAACTGGTCAGAGGGTCCCCCTTTCGGGAATAACACACCCCTCCCCGTCCCAGTCCCAGCCTGGAGGAGGGGAGTGACAGAAGCCATCACTTCAGCAACACTCGCCTCCTTTCTCTGGCAGGAGCCCAGGCCAAGGCCGGGTCATTCCTCCCAACGGCATCAAACCCAGAGGCAGGTCCCAGGGGCCACGTCCACCTCGGTCCCTCCCAGAATCTTCCCAGAGCCTCGGCTGCCACCCCACACTTGGGGACTGTAATTCCTGGCTGCAAAGGCCCCTTTTTGCTCTAAAACAGAATTTGCCTCACAAGGTTTTTTTTTTTTTTTTTTTTTCTTTTTTTTAGGAAGAAAACAAGATAGTGCTTCTTGGGCCGAGGGCCACAGGAGGCTGTGCTCTTGGCCACCTGGTGCGAGCCGGCAGCAGTCAGCATCTTCCACATCTGGGGCGCGGGCCGGGGGCGGCGGTCTGCCCTGGAGATGGACCGGGCTCCGCCCCCACACGCCCAAGAGCGGGAGGCAGAAGCCGGCCGAACAGATGGCAAAGGCTCAAAATAACCGCAAAATGTAAATAAGGGGTTTTGTTCAAAAAGGAAAATTAGATCTATTTCACATATTAAAATAGTTTCGCAGCTGAATTCATCACACTTGGAAACCTACCAAGAACGTTAACACCTCGAGACCTGGCTTCTGAGAGCTGCTCTTTTCTCCTCATCTTCCCCTCAATCAGACCATGCTCGGCCCCCAGGGACGGAAGCTGCAGGTGGCCGGGAGCACCCCCGCGGCCCACCCAGTCCTCCTCAGGCTGGGATCTGAACCCAGCCCCGGCCCCACCCACCCGAGAGACCCCCAGGCTCTTACATTTCACAGCGTTCAGGACCCGGCTGTCCAGCGGCTTCCGGCTGGGGTCGCTGGTGGACGAGCGGATGCCAGTCCCGCAGCTGTTGGCCAGCGTGTTCCTGGTGGAGGGACCGGAAAGGCAGGCAGGGTGAGGATGATGGGGAGGGTACCTGGAGGCGACCCGCCCGCACGAATGCCCTGCTGGGAGGCCACTTGGCCTCACCCTTGGCTGGTCTGCGTGTGTCCCAGTGGCAGGAGCCGGCCCAGCCACCCTCTAAGGGACAGGACAAAGGAAAAGCGTCTGGGCTGAGAAGATGACCGGGTGATGGGGCTGCAAGGTGACCTGAGCCTTGTCCTCAGGGACTCCGGGGACGTCTGAGGAAGCCGCTGTGTCCTCGGGAAGGGTTCTGTTGGCCCATCAGCACAACAGAATAAGTGTGGCTCTTCATTTTTCTGTTGTGGGGGTTGCATCCACAAGCCCGTTTGAGAAAGGCCACGAAAGACAGCCCCTCCCTCCCTCCCTGGGAGCCTCTCCACCGTCCTGGGGCCGACCGGCCACGGCTGAAGTCAGGAATGCGAGAGGGCTTTCAATGCCACAACCCTGGACGATCAGACAGCTCATAGCTAAAGGAGCCAGAACCCTCCGCAGCTCCATTGTGCCCTCCAGCACTCCTGCCCCGACCTACCTGTCAAAGAAGGTGGCCAGGAGCCTCCGCAGCAAGACCTTATGCTTCACCCCTGCACACAGGTGGCAGTTCATCAGCTGGCCGCGTGTGATGTAGACCCCAGAGCCTGCAGCCACCAAACAGAAAAAGGGCTCGTGGCCTTCCCGGGCCATAGGGTCCGAAGAGGCGCACAGATGGGTGAGGGGGAGGGGGGGAGGTGGAGGGGGAGGAGGAGCTGGAAGCTTCTAGGACTTTTTTTGGGGAGGAGCAATTTGAGGTCCCACCTGCTGGTCACCAGGAGAGGCCATGGCCAAGGCCAGCCCCAGCAGGTCCCAAATCACACATGGAACTAAGCAGGGGGTGGGGAAAGCCACAGCGCCCCCCACCCTCCCCAACGAGCCCCAAACTCCAAGCTCTCCCGGCCATGCTGCGGTCCCCGGCCTCAGCTCCCTCCCCAAGAACACACTTTGTTGTTGTTTAGAGACGGGGTCTTGCTCTGTTGCCCAGGCTGGAGAGCAGTGGTGCCATCATGGCTCACTGTAGCCTCGACCTCCCGGGCTCCAGTGATCCTCCCACCTCAGCCCCCTGAGTAGCCGGGACCACAGGCGCCACCACCATGCCCAGTTAATTTTGATGAAGTCTCCCTATGTTGCCCAGACTGGTCTTGAACACCTGGCCTCAAGCAATCTTCCCACTTCGGCCTCCCAAAGTGCTGGGATTACAGGAGGAGGGGCACTGCACCTGGCCTAGGGAACACACTCTGAAGGGCTGGCTGTGGCCCTGGGTTTGGGAAACACTCATGTCTTTGCCTTTCTGCTCCGTCCCAGATACCAGAGAGCCCTCAGGCAACGATGAGGGAGACGGAATCCCCTGGCTGGAGGGTATGGCTGGAGCTTTGCAGGGCCCAGTGCTGACCTCCTCTGGGTATGTGTGAAGAGGAAAACCAGCTAGGGCAGAGGCGTGGCCAGAGAGGTCCACGCTGTGCTGTTTACCCTCGGAAACTTGACCACACCCCAGGTGTCCCACCAGGGTCTGGGTGAGCGAGGGCATGGACAAGCAGCAGGACTGAACCCTCTGGGAACAATGGGGAGGGAATGCTTTCTGGGGGCAGCCAGTCTCAATGACCATGAGATGTCATGTCCTGAAGGACACGATGTCCAGGTGCGCCTGCTTCCAGGAGCCTGTGAGTGCCCATGACCTCTTCCTGCCATGGCCCGTCTCCTGCCCCACCACTCCCACAGGCCCTTCCTGCCAGGGTCTGGGCTGGAGGAACTCTCCTGAGGAGCTCATAAACTGAAGCACGTCTCCAATCCCATCAGCCCCACACCCCAAACAGAGGCCACAGCTGCTGGAGGCTGGGATGACCGAGAGCATCTTCCTGGGACCACACCTATGTGAAGCACCAGGGCCCGCGTGGGCACCTGCGCCCCAGAGCCCAACCCCAGGGGCCCACCCAGCCGCCCCGGCAGCCCAGCACTGCGCTCGCCATCCAGAAGCAGTGCCGGGGCAGGGTGGGAGCTCAGGCCACAGCAAGGTGGGCCCCTACCCCTCCTGGCCAGGGCAGCCCAACACTGCCAGGTGCAGCCCAGGAGGCCACTCTCCCATGAGGACCGAAGTCCCTGGCAGCTGGAAGGCGAGGCCAGCCCAGGCAACCCTCAGGCAGTGGCTCACACCTGAGGCACTCGTCCTGCTGGGAGGGAAGACCCCGAGACGCTGCCCAAGGTATGGCCTTTGGGGGTGGACAGGAACAGGACAGGGCTACGCAGAACTGCTCAGGCTGTGGCCAAGGAAAGCGCCTGAGGGCCCAAGCTTGGGGCTTCCTGGAAAACCGGGAAGAAATCCCCAGAAAATGGCCCAATAGTCACCAAAGAAGATGCCCATGGCGTGGGTCAGACTGGCTTTAGCCTGCCCCATCTTCTCCTTAACAGTTGTAAAAATCTACAAGGAGCTATGACGCCAAAGGAATCCAACACAAAAGGTAAATTCCTGAGCGAGGCCCGGCCCCCACGGGCTTCTGGACTCGGACGTGTTTGTTCTGCCAGAAGGATCCCGCCTTGACTGCTGCTGCCACTTGGAACCTGGCCGTTACCCTCAAAGGCTGCAACTGGACCCTCGCGGGGCGGGGGGACTGGCAACTATACGTGACATGGTTTTATCTGTGACCTAAATTAAAACACATTGTGATTGCAGCCCCTGCCAATCAGGAATGCGACCAGCCCAGGGGATTCAATTAAAATGCTAAATTAATTCAATTGAATAACTTCTCTTAATGACACATTCTTCTAAAAGGAAATTAGAGGAAATTTAAGATTTTTTTTTTGACTGATTGGTGATGAGTACATTGTTCAGAGCTCTCCAATAAATAAATAAATAAATAAATGAGGACATTTGCATACAATAGATGGGTGGGAGGCAGCCTCACCTGCCACCAGCTCCAGCTTCTCCCCGGGGTCCCCTTCCGAGTAGAGCTTGGGATGGCAGCGGTATCCGATCTGGCTGATGAGGCTGGCAGGTAGGGCCACGAGGTCGCGGCGGATGAGGACGCAGGAGCGGCTCTCCAGCGGCACTGGCTCAGGCTTCTCTTGCACTGTGGGCCCAGAACCAACCTGGTCAGATGGGCATCTGGGGGGCCGGGCTGCTCTGTGCCTGCCCGCCTGCCCTCCATGCTCCCTGGGGCCTGTGTTAGACCCACTCTGCCCACCTGGGCCCAGGTGAGGCCACTCTGTGCCGCTCTCCTGCTGGCCTGGGTCAGACTGGCTTCAGCCTGCCCCATCCCTACTTGGTGCCCTCTTGCCCACCTAGTCCTGCCCTCACAGGGAAGCTCTTGTGAACGAGTGAGCAGAAGATGTGAGGCGAGAGATGCCCGCTCAGGCCCAGGGAATGAGCTGCTGAGGGCTGACTCCTAGGAGGGTGCTATGCAGAGCCTGCTTGCCGGGCAGGAGTGACAGCTCAGTGCTTGGGTCCCCAAGGGAGAGTACGGCGCAAGACAGGATGGAGGATGGAGGACGGCTTGGCAGGGCCAGCAGGGCAGCCACTTCTGGGGCCACAAAAACTGCTGGGTGGAGGAGAGGTGGGTAGCTGGACAGGGGTGACAGGTACTGTGGCCCCCAACTCTTCTCCCAGCAGCTCCCAGCAAGGGGCAGTGGGGCATGGCCACCTGACTCAGGGGCAAGGACACGGGGGACTCAGTGCATCCAAGAACACAGCCCTGGGACTGTGCTGGCCTGACGAGGAGCAACTCCATAAACACTTGCCAATAGCCAGGCTGGCCGACACGCCACCGCCACCGCCACCAGGGGCAGCCCTCCTGCTGTCTGGGGCTGTTCCCGACAAACCACTGCTGGGGCAGATGACGGCCAGGCGCCCTGCATCCTCAGGACCTGCAGCTGTGCAGCGCGACCCCGATGGCACCACGCGTCAGAGACGGGCCCCTCGGAGGCTCCTGGGCCACACAGCCCATGGTGCCACCCCGAGGTCCCTGGGCAGGACTCTCTGCTGTCAGGGTCACAGAGCCCCTCTAGAGCGTTCATGGAGGGCCAGGGCTGAGACCCCTCATCTGACGACCACCTGCTGGACACCCAGCATGCACCAGGTGCGCGGGGCCAAGGAAACACAGCCCTGGCCCCAAATCCTGCCCAGCAATGCCTGGGGCTCCCACTTCCCTGTTGCCCCCCACCCCCACCACCCTGAGTCCCAGGAAGCCTCATAGGGCCCACCCTCACACAGGGGTCCTCACAAGCCCAGCAGGGTTCCAGGGTGAAGATCAGCTCCCCTGAGCGGGCCCCCGGTGCTCACATGCCACGGTGGACACCAGTCCGGCACTCCTCACACCCCAGCCTGGTAGGCTGCCAGCACAGCCACCCTGCTCAGGTGAGGGCGGAGCACCGCCTCCCTCATTCCTGTGTCCCAGCACAAAAGGCAAGGCCCTGAGAGGGCCACCTGCCCAGTCAGCTGCCTTCACTAGGGAATCAATCCCACTGCCCTGGGCTCCTGCACACCCTACCGAGCGCAAGGCCTGCAGGGAAGGCCCCAAGGCCCAGCCTCCACCTGCCCGATTGCACGAGGGCAGCCTGCAGGTGGGAGAGGCCCTTGGGCCACCCGGGGCTGGACCTTGCTTGCCGAGGGCACGGCATGGTCCCCTCGGCAGCCTCAGTGTGATGGGAAGTCCCCCGGTGGGGGGCGGGGGGCAGCTTGCAGGACCTGCTGGTCTCAGCTGTGCAGAGGGAGGGGTGGGGTGGAACCTGCACGTCCAGCAGGCTCGGGGCAGGCAGCTCCATGCAGAGCCCACCTGCGGCCGCACCGCACCAGGACGCTCAGAGGCAGGTGCACCTGGCCATGCTGTCCCTGTTCCCAGTCCCTCCATGACCCCCACCTTGGAGAGTCACAGAAAAACTCTACAGGGGTGGCTGAGCCTCGGGGCGTGGGGGGGCTGCCAAGGGGGCTGCTGGGGAGCAGCCTGAGGAGGGCAGGAGGCAGGGAGGGTCCCAGAGTCACCTTTGCACCCAGCGCCTGTCAGGGAGGGGCAGGCCACCCAGCCCTGGGGGGCTGAAACCTTGGTTTCTGAGGACCCCACATCCTGAATCCACAGCGGGCGCCCCACTGAAGGCAGCAGGTGTTCCACTCCTGAGAACCATGCGGGGTCTGAAACCACCCACCCTGGAGTCACCCTGACACTCCCTCCCCAGGGACCCACTGGCCCAGGATGAGCGTGGTACGCACTGCACCTGTCAGTCCCAGGAAGGGGAGCTTCCCAAGGCCCAGGGACACCCAAGCAGAGGCTGCAACAGAACAGAGGCCAGAAAGGGGGCCTCAAAGGTGGGTGCACAGCCCCTGCCCGGCCACTACAGGGGTCAGGCAGCATTTCCCGGTGGGGCAGAGCATCGCAGGATAAGCCCAGAATTACCCGAGTGCTCAGGGAACACAGCAAAACAACCCGGGTGGTATTTTAAAACATAATTACACACCCCCACCCCCGGTGCAGCCTGCTGTGATTACACACGCGGAGAAGCCGCACGGTGCGTGGCATTTACATAAAGAGTTCACCAACAGAAATAATTCCCCATCCACAACCACCTCGTCTCGAGATGTTTTTCTAAACAGCAGAAGTTGTTTGTGCTTGGAACACCCGCCCCTCCCCAGCCCCTGCCCAGCTCCCCAAGAGCCAGAGACTGTCAGCACCAGAGCGGCCAAAAAAGCCTCTTCTATTTCTGCCTTGCCGTGCACCGGGTGCTGCTGGCTAAAAACACCCCGCCCCGAGTGGAAGCTCGTCCGCAAAGGTGCCTCAATGTCTTCACGCAGCCTCCACCTCCCCGGCCCCCAGCTCACCCTCTGCAGGAGCTGAGCTTCAAGGTCCAGGCTACAACTGGGCTTTAACGGAGAACCCGCAGAGAGACTTGTTCATGGCAGAGACAGGACGGCTCATCCCTCGTGGCCCCCGGAAGGGCCATTCAGAGGCCCCGTGAGTCGGGGCCAGAGCTGGGTTCCAGGGTGGCAGGAGGCCCCTCGATGGGCTTGTGAGCAAGGAAGAGGCCCCTGCCGGTCACACTGAGGTCCCTCCTGAGCCTGGGTCTCGGGTACTGGGGGACCCGTGGCCTCCTGTCACCCCAGGACTGGCCGCTGTAGCAGAACTGCCACCTTCACCCTCGACAGCCCTGTGAAGAAACTCAGGTGCCAGGACGGTGCCCTCCAAACCTCTCAGCATGGTGACATCTGGGAACAGCTCATAAAGAGCAATGAGCTAACTGCATGGAGGTGAACAACCGCGCCCCCACACAGGGAAGGTGCACCAGGGTCACGACGAGAGGGCCCGGAGCAGCAGCCTCCCGGGCAGCAGGGCCCAGCTACTGAGGGTAGGCAGGTGGGCAGCCTCCCTGGACCACACGGGGCGAAGCAAACACAAGGACAAATGCTGCCCGGGGCGCGGGGTTGGGGCCTTCAGGGACCCAGAAGGAGCCCCCGCCGTACCTTCCAGGCCCTTCTGCTCCCAGCCGGGCGACACCAGGGGAGCTTGCGAGAGGGCGGCTGAGCCTGGAGGACACCACACTCAGGAAGCTGCCAGACACAGAAGGACACATCCCGGGGCTCCACTCGCAGGCGGCCCCCAGAGTCGTCAGGTCCACAGAGGCGGGAAACAGAGGGTGGGTGCCGGGGCTGGGTGGGGGAACGGGGAGGGACCGTTTCATGGGGATGAGAGGTTCATCTGGGGAAGATGGGAAGTTCTGGAGCCGATGGCAGTGATGCTCACAAAACAGTGGGAATGCGCTTAGCATCACCGAACCACGCACGTAAAAGTCACTGCAACGGCCCCTCTCACGTCCACTTTACCACAATAACAACGCTCAGAAAGAACAAATGAACGAACGTCAGAAGGAGGGGGCCATGCAGGTCTGGAGGGAAACCGGGTCTCATTGGCCTCACCCTGACTTTTCTCAACTCCCTGGGTTACTGATTGGGTTCTGAGGTGCTCCACGTCCTCACCAGGCAAAACACCCCGAGATCCCTGCCCACGGGCCAACACCACGGCAGGATGTCCCAGATGGCGAGCCCTGTTCCTGTCCCCAAGGCAGAGTGTGTCATCGGGGACTCGCCCAGGTGACACCATCAGAGACCACGCAGGCAGCCCCACCAGGGGAGTCTGTGCGGATGTGGGCGGCAGTGGCGAGTGGTAGGGCCGCCTGGTGGAGCCCAGCAGAGCCTCGGCGGGGGTAGGAGGGAGACGGGGAGGCCTACTCCCTAAAAGTGTATACCATTTGTTAAAATGCACCACAAGAAAATGAGCCCCTAGTCCTTGATGATACAGAAATATACAACTTAAATGCAAATGGACAGAACAGTGCTGAATCAACTGATTTTAAGACTTCCTGTACAGCTACAGTCATGAAGCCTGCATGGTTCAGGGAAGTGGACAGACAGGTCAATGGCACAGAATAGGAGACCCACAGACAGACCCACATGGCCATGCTCGATTGGCTTTTGACAAAGGTGCACCAGCCTTTGTCAACGGAGGAGGCAGCAGCCTTCACAAATGGGGCTTGAGCAACTGGCCATCCGCACCCACACGTGGCACCAAAACCACCCTCCGTCTCAGCCTCGCACCCTACACAAAAACTGCAGAAGGTCTTTATGAGCTTAGGTTAAGCTAAAGTCTTAGACAAGGCCCCCAAAGCACGATCCACAATGGAAATGATTGACGAGCTAGAATTCATCAGAATGAAAAACTTCCGATCTCTGAATGAAGATAAAAAAACAAGCTAGCCACAGACTGGAGGAAGATGCTTGCAAATCACATATCTGACAAAGGACTTGTATCTAAAAAATATAAAGAAATCTCGATACTCAACAGTTAAAAACCAACAATCCAGTTCCAAGAATGGGCAAAAGATTTGAAGACTCTTCCCCAGGGGACTTACAGATGGAAATTAGCACATGAAAAGACACTCAAGCATCCTTAGCCATGGGAGAAATGCAAATCAAGCCATGTTGCGGTCCCACCTCCCAGTGCGGGAAACGTAAAAACACCGACGCCAAGTGCCGGCGAGGATGCGGGGCAGCTGGGACGTCCTGACGACGTGGTCTCACCTCCCAGTGCGGCGAAACATAAAAACACTGACACCCCCAAGTGCTGGCGAGGACACGGGGCAGCTGGGACGTCCTGACCTCACTGGGGAGAGTGCAAAGTGGCATGGCCACTCTGGAAAACTGCTTGGTGGCTTCTTGTCAAGTTCAACATACACTTATGACCCAGCAATTATACTTCTAGGTATTTGCCCAAGAAAAATGGGAGTTTATCTCCAAAGACAGCCTGCACAGGAACGCTTATCCCGTCTCTACTCTTGAATGCCCCAGGCTAGACGCAGCCCGGATGTCCTGCAATGGGCATGCAGATAAAGACACTGTGAACCATCCACATGACGTGTTACCGCTTGGCTGTGAAAAGGAACAAATGATTGGCACACAACCTGGATGGATCTCAAATCGTGCTGTTACACAGAAGACGTAAAATGATTACATACTGGTGATCCCATTTGTATGACATTGTCCAGGAAACTAAACTTGGGGGACAGAGAATCATTTCCATTGTGGCCACCAGGGGCTGGGGTGCGGACAAGCCTCAAGGGCAGCATGGAGGGGTTTGGCGAGGGAGCCATTGTGAATGAGGAAAGGTCGGGCTACACACCTGTCCCCACGGGGGCAGCCTGCACGACTCTAGGTGGCCTCTGCTCATGGATCTGGAGGCTGACCTGGCACATGCCCTGCACTATCTCTGCAGCTGCCGGCTTGGCACAGACCAGCTCTGGCAACCTGTGAGGGACACTTGTGAACTTGGTGGCATCAGGCGCAGAGCAGGTGCACAGGGACCCAGGTGGAAATGGTGAGGGGCAATGTGGGGGCACCACAGACGGGTGACCAGGCCCGGGTGATGAGGTAACGGGTGCCCCACATGCAGTGGGCCTCGGGGAGATGACCACACTCTCCACATGGGGCTGTGTCCCACCCCCGAAAGCACACAGGTGTGGACTCAACACCCTCCTGCCCGATGCCCAGCAAGGCTGGGACCACAACTTGCTTCCCAGCTCCCCGCCCAGGTGCCTCCTGATGGCCAGAGCCCAGGGCCGGCTGTGGGGCCAACTGGTGCAGACGTGGCATTTAGTGTGGTCACTGCAGCTCGGGGAGACCTGCCTTCCCTGCTGTTGCCCCTTCCACCCAGCTTTGGGGGTGGGTCCATGGTCCCAGCTCGCTGCCTCCTGGCCAGTGAGCCTGTTCTGGGTCCAGTGCTTCTGGCAGTGAGGGGGGCTCACCCTGCTGGTCAGTGTCCCCAGGGCCTGGCACACAGCATGCGCCTAACACACAGGGCCCATCAACTACCAGTGCTGGCTGGGGCAGTGCCTCTGTCATCCTCCAGAAAGACCAGAAACGACTTCCACGCTGTACTTGGTGGGAGCACAGAGGCCACAATTATAAGGCATGCCATTCTCTCATGTGCCACAGGGCAAAGGTGCCACCAATTTAATCATGCCACGCCATAACTGGGAAGGCAAACCATCACCAATTACCACGCCATGCCACGCCACACCGTGCCTGTTAAGACACAGCCCGTTTCGTGGATGCTGACACATGGGGAAATGCAGAAAAGCCCAGCAGGGAAAGCCAGGAGGAAGAAAAATGAAGGCAGAGAGGGACATTCACATCAGGAAGGAGGGAGGGAAGGAGGGAGGAAGGAGGGAAGAGGGAGGGAGGAGGGAGGGAAGGAGGGAAGAGGGAGGGAGGAGGGAGGGGGAGGAGGGAGGGAGGAAGGACCTGTACGCATATCCTGGCCTCTCTGGGTCTCCTGGAAACCCGGATGGAAAGGGGCTCGCTGGTCTCTCGAGTCCCCATGCCCACACTCATGGGTGCAGCTGCGGGGGAAGATGTGGGGGCCACTAAGTAGAATCCTCACTGGCACCCCCAGGAGCTTGCTCCCGACGCGAGGGGCCGGCATGACCCTGCAGCCCGCCAGGGCACCTGGGCCTGCTCAGCTCTCGGAGAACGTGGGATCCCCGAGTGAGTGGGACCCTCTGGGCTTCTCGACCAGCTCAACAGTCCCATCAAACCTGGCCCCTGCCCTGCCCCACCCACACTCCTGGCCAGTGCCCTCCTTAGAGCTGAGGCTTCCTCCAGGCCTGGCAGGTGCTGTCATTTTATCTCCTGCAAATCCCAGCACCCACTCCTACCAGCACCAAGCCTGGTCCTGGAGACTCAAGAAGTCCCCAAGTGGTCCAGGCCTCCGACAGGGATCCCAGCGATGATTTTTATTGCTGATCTGATGGCATCCCTTTCCTGCTCTACATCCATCCACACGTTTCTCAGACTTGCCCAAGGACATCCTCGAGGCAGCAGGTGGCCCGCCCTGCCTTTGCAAGAGCTTGTCCAGCCATAGGCACAGGTTGAATCAATCCCACCTATCACAGCACATGGCACGGGTCACTGTGAAGACACTAGCAGGGTCTGTGTGTGCTGAGAAGGACGACCAGGACACTAAGGACAAATGAAGGGCAATGCACGGGATGCCACCCACACAAGTGTGTACCCACCGCCATACACACGTGCATGCCCCCAACCACACAAATGCACAACCCCCCCCACACACACGTGCACATGCGTCAGACATGGAGGAAGCTCCCGGGATGTGTGCCAGCTGTGAGTTCCTCTGGGAGACAGAGTGTGTGGGGACAGCGTGTGTGTGTGAGGCCAGAGTGTGAGTGAGGGCCAGAGTGTGTGTGTGTGTGGGTGAGGACAGAGGGTGCGTGTGAGGACAGTGTGTGTGTGGGGACAGAGTGTGTGTGTGTGTGTGTGTGTGAGGACGGAGTGTGTGTGTGTGAGGACAGAGTGTGTGTGTGTGAGGACAGAGGGTGTGTGTGAGGACAGAGGGTGTGTGTGAGGACAGAGGGTGTGTGTGAGGACAGAGGGTGCGTGTGTGTGAGGACAGAGGGTTTGTGTGAGGACAGAGTGTGTGTGTGTGAGGACAGAGTGTGTGTGTGTGAGGACAGAAGGTGTGTGTGTGAGGACAGAGGGTGTGTGAGGACAGAGTGTGTGTGTGTGAGGACAGAGTGTGTGTGTGTGAGGACAGAGGGTATGTGTGAGGACAGAGGGTGCGTGTGAGGACAGTGTGTGTGAGGACAGAATGTGTGTGTGTGTGTGTGTGTGTGTGTGTGGACAGTGTGTGTGAGGACAGTGTGTGTAAGGACAGAGTGTGTGTGTAAGGACAGAGTGTGCATGTGAGGACCAGCAGGGGAGAATGGCTTTCACTCTATGACCTTTTCCTAGTCTTTAAGACAGTGAACACACATTAGCTATGCAAAAATAAATATATTTAACTTTTAAAACGCCCCAGAGATTCCCACTGTGGATATGAGGGAGCAGCCAATATTAGACTAACTCCCTCATCAAAAACAACTACCAAAATTATCAAAAGACCAACTACAACCCTGAGGGGCTGCGATCCTGAGAACTGGGACCTGCCAGCCCTGGGGTGGAGCAGCTGAGGCGGCAGGGCCTAAAGGCGGCAGTGGCTGACAGAGCCGGGAGCCTCGGGGCCCAGGATCCTGAGAGCCGGCCTCAGGGTGCAATTTCGGAACTGTCCCTTGGATATCTGCTGACTACTAAGTAGCCATGCATGCAGGCAGAGATGGAGCAAAATCAACTGCCAAGAAACGAAAAAAACAAGGAAATCTAGAATTTGGCATCTCGTGTATTGGAGAGATGAAAATGGACTGATTTCAAGGCCAGCCAAGAGGAGGGGTTCTGGGGAACACCAGGCTTTCAGCTGAGGCCCTGGAAGGGCTACAGGCTACGGTGTGAGGCAAACCAGAAGCACACCGGCCTTGGAGAATGTGGGCACGGGCGCTGCTGGATGGCACAGATTTCCCCTCACTGCAGACCTTCACGCAACAGTCCCCAGACCCTTTGAGGAGTGCTGCTTACGACTCCTCACCTGTTTTCACACGATGTCCGGCCGTCCATAAGAAAGGGCCAGGAATCCCAGAAAACAGAACCAAATGATAGAAAACTATTTCACAAAGAGATGTTAGATGTGGACCCATAGACCAAATGATAAAAAACAAAACAAAACAAAACAACAAAACAAAACCAACAATTTACAGAAGGACATCAGATCAGACAACTAGCAGACACCGAATTTAAAATAACAATTTTTAATGTGTACAAGAAATACAGGCAACAAGATGGAAAATTTCACCAGAAAACTAGAATCAACAAAAGGGATTAAGTCCTATTAAAAAAAAAAAAAACGCAGCCGGGCGCAGTGGCTCATGCCTGTAATCCCGGCACTCTGGGAGGCTGAGGTGGGCCAGTCACTTGAGGTTAGGAGTTCGAGACAGCCTGGCCAAAACGGCAAGACCTCGCCTCTACTAAAAATACAAAAAAATTAGCCAGGTGTGGTGGTATGCACTTGTAGTCCCGGCTACTCAGGAAGTGGAGGCAGGAGAATCGCTTGAACCCAGGAGGCAGAGGTTGCAGTGAGCTGAGATTGTGCCACTGCACTCCAGCCTGGGTGACAGAGCAAGACCATCTCGAAAACAAACAAAAAAAATCCAACAACTAACAATATGAACTCAAAAGAATTATTTAGGGGAAAATTAAATAGTGCAGATGAGATTTGTGAACTGGAAAATAATTTAATACAAAATATCCAGATTGATGCAGAATAAGAAAGAATAGGCCAGGCGTGGTGGCTCACACCTGTAACCCCAGCACTTTGGGAGGACGAGGTGGGCAGATCACTTGAGGTTAGGAGTTCGAGACCAGCTTGGCTAACATGGCAAAACTCCGTCTCTACTAAAAATACAAAAAATTAGCCAGGTGTGGTGGTGCGCACCTGTAATCCCAGCTACTCTGGAGGCTGAGGCAGAAGAATTGCTTGAACCCAGCGGGGGTGGAGGTTGCAGTGAACCAAGATGGCACCACTGCACTCCAGCCTGGGCAACAAGAGCAAAACTCCATCTCAAAAAAAAAAAAAAAAAAAAAAAAGATAAAAGAATAGAAAATACAGAAAACAGAATAAAAGACACATGGAACACATAGGACTTGGGGAAAGCCTAACATACATGTAACTGGAGCCCCAGAAGGAGAGGAGGAGAGGAGGCTGAGGCTCTGAGGAGACAGACTGAGGGGTCCCCAGACCGACCAAGGACATGGAGCCGCATCAAAAGGAAAGTGATCTCAGATAGGAGGGAGTGAGGTAACGCAGGAGACAGTGAAAAGCATGGGGAAAAAATGTGCAGATAAATATAAACACAATGATGTAAAATGACAAAGGCACGTCTAGTGGTGCTTACAACATACACAGAATTAACACACAGAACATTCTAACTCAGGATGAATGCTGAAATCCCTAACCTACAAGAACAGTATACAAACTTTTAATAGGCATATACAGGGGAAAATGGAATACCTGATTAATCAGAAAGGAGGGACAAGAAAGGAGAAGCAACAGGAGGTCAGAGGGGAAGAGCAGAGACCAATGGACAAGACGGTAGATTAACCCAGCAAAGTCAGTAACCACGTGAAATGAAAGTCAAAACACTCCAGTAGAAAATAACGTTTGTTGGCCGGGTGCAGTAGCTCATGCCTGTAATCCCAGCACTCTGGGAGGCTGAAGCAGGGGGATCACCCAAGGTCAGGAGTTCAAGACCAGCCTGGCCAACATGGTGAAACCCAGTCTCTACTAAAAATAGAAACAGCCGGTGTGGTGGCACATGCCTGTAGTCCCAACTACTCGGGAGGCTGAGGCACAAGAATTGCTAGAACCCGGGAGGCGGAGGTTGCAGTGAGCCGAGATAGCGCCACTGCCCTCCAGCCTGGACGATGGAGCAAGACTCTGTCTCAAAACAAACAAAAAAAATTAATGTTTGTGAAGAATGAATAAAACAAAACCCAAGAGAAAACCTCAAACAAGAGGACAAATGATAGAAAGAGATGTACCAGGTAAATATTAAACAAAAGGGAGCTGAGGTGGCTCTGCTGTGGCCAACACAAGATAAAAACACACCTGAAAGAATATACATTTGCCTTCCTTATCAGCACCGTTTATGCTATTTCTTTTCAATGTATATGGAACATATACAGGGGCTCAGGGAAAGTCTCAACAAACTCCAGAGTAACAAACTAGGCTGAGTGCATTCTATGTCCACTGGAAATTTAATTCAGAATTCATAACAAAAAAGATGACCAGAAAATCCAAAAAGGTTTGTAAATTAAGCAGTACATTGCTACATAACACAAGGGCAAAAGGGAAAAAAAAATCACAAATGACTAGAAAATACCTTTATCTGAATGATAATGAAAATCTGACATGAAAATGTGTTAGAATTAGGCAGTGCTGATCAGGAAATATAGAGCCCTAAGTGCTTTACTTTAAAAGGCTGAGGTATCAATGATCTACAGATCTCTCTCAAAAACTAGGAATATAATAGCAAAGTAAACACAAAGAAAGTAGAGATAAACTGAAATAAAAAAATATATAAATACATACATAAGAGAAAAAATCCAGAAGTTGGTTCTTTGAAAAGACAAATATAATGGAAACTCTCTAGCAAGTCTGAACAAAGAGAAAAAGAGAAAAGACAAAAATTAACATCGGCCTGGCACAGTGGCTCACACCTGTAATCCCAGCACTTTGGGAGGCCAAGGTGGGTGGATCACTTGAGGTCAGAAGTTCGAGACCAGCCTGGCCAACATGGTGAAACCCCCATCTCTACTAAAAATACAAAAATTAACTGGGCATAATGGCAGGTGCCTGTAATCCCAGCTACTTGAGAGGCTGAGTGGCAGGAGCCACTCCAGCCTGAGTGACAGAGAGAAACTCCATCTCCAAAAAAAAAAAAAAAAAATTGACACCATTAAGGAACACTCCATTACACAACAGGTTCTACAGAACAGGGCTGGCAAACTTCTGCTGGGAGGGCCAGAGAGTAAATACTTTAGGTAGGCTGACCACATGTACTTTCTGCCACTTGTCCTTCTTTGCCTTTGCTTCCTTTTTTTTTTTTTTTTTTGAGACAGGGTCTCTTTCTGTCACCCATGCTGGAGTGCAGTGGTGCGATCTCAGCTCACTGCAACTCTGCCTACTGGGTTCAAGCAATTTTTCTGCCTCAGCCTCCTGCGTAACTGTGACTACAGGTGATGGCAGCGGTGGCCCGTCTGGACCAGCCACTGCCATGATGCCAGCTGTAGTGGGTGAGGCGTGGCCAGGGCTGCACGCTCCATGGAGCTGGCAGGAGCCGGGAACAGGTAGAAATCTTGCCCGCTTCCAAGTTGGAGGGGTGGGAGTTCCACCCTCCCAGGCGCAGCTGCAGTTGCCCAGCTGTGGCTGCAGACCTGAGCATCTCTGCACTCTTGGGGGCCTGGGAAGCCCCCCTGCCTGCACAGGCTCAGAAGTGCCTGCTCCTGCTGCCTGGCCCTCTCCTCACTTCCAGGACCTGCTCCGATTTTGGAGCAAAGTTGTAGCTGAACCTGGGCACTGTCATGACCTGGCCAGGTGTATGTGCGCTCAGGGCAGTGCTGACATGCCAGGCCCCTGCCGCCTTGGCCCCCTCTGGATGTTGGGCACCGTCGAGCACAAGAGGGAGGCCGAGGTGGGGCTAACAGCCTGGGTGTGTGTGGCCACCATAAGCAGGTTAATGGTGGCAGGAGGCAGACAGGCTCCTGGATGGAAAGGGGTGGGTCCTGGTAAGCCCTACCTTCAAGCCAGGAATGGCCTGAAGCCCAGGGCCCAGGCTGTCAGTTCCGCAGACTGGAGTGAGAACTTATGTTGCCTTTTCCGGGCCCACTCATGGCTGCCCATGGACAAATCAGCATGCACATCCTGCCCTCTGAAGGCCATAAAAACCCCAGACTCAGCCAGACAACAGGATGGCCTACCTGAGGAGGGGAGCTACCCACTGTGGGTCTCCTCTCAGCTGAGAGCTGAGCAGATGTTGAGGAGACCTGCCTGCAGAGAGGAGCTACCCACTCCAGGGTCTCCTTGAGAGCTGTACTGTCCCTCAATAAAGCATTTCTTCACTTTACTTGCCCTCCAGTTGTCTGCATACCTCATTTTCCTGGATGCGGAACAAGAACTCGGGACCTGCCAAATGGCAGGATTAAAAGAGATGAAAGAGCTGTAACACAAACAGGGCTGAAACATGCCCCTTGCCCACCACGTTGTGGGCAATGAGGAGAGAAGAGCTGCAGCCCTTCGGGGATCCCAGACCCAGGAGGTCCGTGAGCCGGGGCTGTGACACCTTCTTTGGGGCTCTGCAGTTCCTGGCATCTCCAAGCTTCCAGGTGCCACCGTGTTTCCCAGTGTCAGCAGAAGCTGCTTGAGGTATGCCTGGTACAGCTGCAGCCCTGCAGGGAGCCGGCGCCTGTGCCAGTGCCTGGAGCTGCCCACCCCACTGCAGCCAGTGTGCCTGGCTGTGCACAGTGGCTGGGCCTGGAGCTTGCTCGCTCACACACCCCTTGCTGCTCTGTGCCTGGCTCACCCTCAGAGGTGTGGGATCCGGGCCGGTAGTGCAAACCTGGCACAGCCTGCTGGGCCGAACGGGTGGAATGAGCCCAGCAGGCACGAGCAAAACTTGGGTAAAGGCACCACCGGCCACAGAGGTTTCTGGCGGGTGAAGCGACACCCCAAGGATCCTGTGACACACACTGCACCTGCTTAATTTTCGTAATTTTAGTAGACATGGAGTTTCACCATGATAGCCAGGCTGGTCTTGAACTCCTGACCTCAAGTGAGCCACCCGCCTCAGCTTCCCAAAGTGCTGGGATTACAGGCATGAGACACCACACCCAGCCCTTCCTTGCTTTTTCAAAGGAATCCTTTAGAAATATACACCCCATCCTTAGTTTGCAGGCTGTACAAAAACAGGACACGGGACAGATCTGCCATAGTCAGAGGAGGCTCATCCCTGTTGTAGACATTCAGAAGATCTTAAAGAGGGTACTGGAGGCCGGGCGCGGTGGCTCACGCCTGTAATCCCAGCACTTTGCGAGGCCAAGGCAGGCAGATCACGAGGTCAGGAGATCGAGACCATCCCGGTGAACACAGTGAAACCCCATCTCTACTAAAAATACAAAAAAATTAGCCAGGCATGGTGGCAGGCGCCTGTAGTCCCAGCTACTTGGGAGGCTGAGGCAGGAGAATGGCGTGAACCCAGGAGGTGGAGCTTGCAGTGAGCCGAGACTGCGCCACTGCACTCCAGCCTGGGCGACAGAGCAAGACTCCGTCTCAAAAAAAAAATAAAAAGAGGGTACTGGAACAATTTCATGTCAATACATCTGAACTTTAACACTTATTTTGAGATGGCAGTCTCGCTCTGTCACCCAGGTTGGAGTGCAGTGGTGTCATCTCAGCTCACTACAACCTGCGCCTCCCAGGTTCAAGCGATCCTCCCATCTCAGCCTCCCGAGTAGCTGGGACCTCAGGCACACACCTCCATGCCTGGCTAACTTTTTGTATTTTTGGTAGAGATGGGGTTTTGCCATGTTGCCCAGGCTGGTCTTAAACTCCCAAGTTCAAGTGATCTGCCCACCTCAGCCTCGCAGTGCTGGGATTACAGGAGTGAACCACCGTGCCCGGCCAATACATCTCAACTTTAGACGGAGCCGATGAACTTCCAGATATACACAACTTACCAAACCTGACACAAGAGGAAATAGATTATGTGAACTATTCCTGCAGCTACTCAAGAAAATGAAGCTAAATAAATATCTCCCTACAAAGAACTCCAGACCAAAATGACTTTGCCTATGACATTTTTTCAAAGGTTTAAGAATGAAATAGCACAGCATTATACAAACTGTTCCAGGTCATTAAAGACAAGGAAATAATTCTCAATTCATTTAATGAGGCCAGATAATCTTGATATCAAAACATTGGGAAGGTAAAGAGATGAGAACGTCGGTATCAATGTTAGTGCCCTTCCCTCTCCTTTACTCCACAGCCTCATTCATTCATTCATTCATTCATTCATTCTGAGATAGAGTCTTGCTCCATCACCCAGGCTGGGGTGCAGTGGCACAATCTCGGCTCACTGCAAACTCTGCCTCCCGGGTTCGAGCAATTCTCGTGCTTCAGCCTCCCGAGCAGCTGGGATTACAGGTGTGCGCCACCACACCAGGTTAATTTTTGTATTTTTAGTAGAGATGGGGTTTCACTGTGTCGGCCAGGCTGGTCTCGAACTCCTGAGCTCAAGTGATCCACCCGCCTCGGCCTCCCAAAGTGCTAGGATTACAGGTGTGAGCCACTGTGCCCGGCCCACGGCCCCATTTTAAGACAAAGAAAAAAGAACAAGAAAACACAGAACTTTTCCTTAAAGCAAAATTAGAGGGCAATCTCTCTTGTGAACATGGTGACACAAATCCTAAAGAAGTTCTAAAGAAAATATTAGCAAATAAGAAATGTATGATCTCATCCCATACAGCTAGTGGCCACTCATGGAACCGATTTAACCCACATGGCTTTTACTGCTGCCTCCAGGCCCTGGCTCTGCATTCCCACCTCCTCTAACTGTGAGGTTTTGGCATCTGCACCAACACCCACAGCTGATGTGTATGGGCAGCTGTTAACAGCTTTCCCGATGCTAGGGCCTGGTGCTCTGCATAAATGAATGGGGGGCAAGGGTCGTCCTCGGCAGCACCCCTGGTGATCACTGCCCAGGTTTGACCACAGAAGGGATGATTTCCCTCCCGCCAGACTCCTGGGATCCCACCGGCCTTTTCTGTCTCAGGCTCTGTCCAGGACTTTAACAGAGAAGGATCCATGGCTCTGGAGAGCCGTCCAAAAGGAGGGGAAGGAATATCAGCGAGCTGCATCCAGAGGCATGTATAACAGAAGGCTGCCACAGCACAACTCAGTTGAATTTATTCCAGGAATACGAAGTTATTTCAATATTTGGAAAAGCAGTCAATGCAACTAAGCACATTAGCAGGGCAGCAGAGGAAAACCACAGGACTGTTACAATGCTTAGAGAAAGCTTTTGTTACAATGCAACACTTACGAGGAAAAAAAAAACCCTCTTAACCTAGGAAATGAAATAAATTTCCTTAATCTGATAAAATGTATCACAGTAAGGCCTAGAGCAAACATCCTACTTAAAGAGGAACAGTGGAAGCTTTTCCTGAGTTTAGAAATGAGACAGGGATATGTAAGAAGTTCTGGCCAGTTCAATGAGGCAAGAAAGAAGAAATAAAGAAATTGTGGTTATGAGCAGATGACATGTCTGTATCCAGAACAGGCCAGGCCTGGTGGCTCACGTAGGTAATCCCAGCAGTTTGGGAGGCCAAGGCAGGCGGATCACTTGAGATCAGGAGTTCGAGACCAGCCCATCCAACATGGTGAAACCCCATCTCTACTAAAAATACAAAAATTAGTCTGGGCATGGTGGCTCATGCCTGTAATCCGCCACTTTGGGAGGCTGAGGTGGGTGGATCACGAGACTAGCCTGGCCAACATGGTGAAACCCCGTCTCTATTAAAAATACAAAAAAATTACCCAGACATGGTGGCAGGCGCCTGTAATCCCAGCTACTCGGGAGGCTGAGGCAGGAGAATCACTAGAACTCTGGAGGCAGAGGTTGCAGTGAGCCGAGATCACACCACTGAACTCCAGCCTGGGCAACAGAGCAAGATTCCATCTCAAAAAAAAATAAGTTGGGCATGGTGGCACACACCTGTAATTCCAGCTACTTGGGAGGCTGAGGTAGGAGAATCACTTGAGCCCAGGAGGTGGAGACTGCAGTGAGCCAAGATCATGCCATTGCACTCCAGCCGGGGCAACAGAGTGAGACCCTGTCTCAAAAATAAAATAAAATAAAATAAAATAAAATTCAAGATAATCTGCAGGTAGACTCTCAGAGTAAATCAGTGAGTTAGCAAGGTAAGCAGACTTCAAAGATAATCCAATTTGTTTCTATATATTAGTAACAGACATGAAAAAAACAAAGTTAAGTACTATGTAATTCAAATTAAAAAATGAACTTCTGGCCGGGCACGGTGGCTCACGCCTGTAATCCCAGCACTTTGGGAGGCTGATGTGGGCGGATCATCTGAGGTCAGGAGTTCAAGACCAGCCCAGCGAACATGGTGAAACCCCTACTAAACCTCTACTAAAAATACAAAAATTAGCCAGGCGTGGTGGCGGGTGCCTGTAATCCCAGCTACTCGGGAGGCTGAGGCAGGAGAATCGCTTGAATTCGGGAGTTGGAGGTTGGAGTGAGCTGAGATCTGCCACTGCACTCCAGCCCGGGGGACAGAGCAAGACTCTGTCTCAAAAAAAAAAAAAAAAAAAAGAACTTCTAGGAATAAATCTTTTTAAAAAAAGATGTGCAGAGAACTACAAAATATTCCTAAGAAAAAATTATTGCTTTGGAGAGTATCAGTATGAACCCACAATTCTTAATATATAAACAGAAGGATGTACCACGCCCATGGATTGGAAGACCCAATACGGTAAAAATGTCAGGTCACCCCGCATCAGTCAAAAGAATCAATGCAATCCCAATCAAATTCCAGCAGGTGTGTGTGTGTGTGTGTGTGTGTGTGTGTGTGTGTGTGTGTGTGTGAGATATTTGGCAATCTACTTCTGAAAAGCATATGAAAATGCAAAAAATAGCCAACGCAAGGCAAATCATAAGGAACTCAAACCTGAAAGAGTTAGAGAAAATATTTAGAAAGATTCAGAAAAAATTTTTAAAAACATGTACTGCCATAGGGAAAAACAGAGAGATCAAGGGTATAGAACAGAGTTCAATTACAAACACATATAATTTACAGACTCCTGATACACAGCAAAGGGCCCCGCAGGCCAGCGGCGGAAAAGACCTTCTCAGGGAGAACGTAGGTCCACTGGAAAGTAAAACGGGAACAAGTGAATTTTGAGCCCTGGATCACAGCACACACAAAAATCCATGCCAGACGTACTACAGATCTGAAAGTCTTTAATAACAAATCGTAAGAGAGTCCGAATCTTGACTATTAGGAAAGAAAAATAGGAAGAGAAAAAGAAAAAAGGAAGGGAGGAAGGTCAGGAAGAACCCCAGAGTGTTGATTGCTTTGGAGAGTATCAGTATGAACCCACAATTCTTAAATATGTAAATTCCTAGCTCTGACTGCTAAAAGGCTATAAAAACAAAAATACTTAGTGGCAATGAACAAATCTAGCACCAAGATCCTGGTTTCTAAATTCCCCACTACAGGAGAAATAACTGATTCTAGGGCTAGGAACCAGAAAGTCTAGGATGCGCCTGGAATGTTTTGCTGAAAGCAAGAAAATGCTTTAAAAAAAAAAAAAAGTCTACACTGATAGTAAATAAATAGTAACAATAAATGAAGGAATAAAACCAGTGAGTGGGGGATATAGGGGAAGCTCTTTCCTGTAAGACTGCTAACTAGTAAATATGGGAGTTGTGGAGTTAGAAATAATCATAATTGGGGGCCAGGCACAGTGGCTCATGCCTGTAACCCCAGCATTTTGGAAGGCACTGGCGGGCCGATCACCTGAGGTCAGGAGTTTAGGATCAGCCTGGCCAACATGCTGAAACCCCATCTCTACAAAAAATACAAAAATTAGCCGGGCATGGTGGTGGGTGCCTGTAATCCCAGGTACTTGGGAGGCTGAGGCAGGAGAATCACCTGAACCCAGGAGGCAGAGGTTGCAGTGAGCTGATATCACGCCACTGCACTCCAGCCTGGGTGACAGAGCGAGACTCCATCTCAAAAACAAAACAAAAACCAATCCTATTTGCACCCATCAGAGAGCAGTACCTGATTCAGGCAGGAATCATCAATAAATACTAGAATTAATGGATGGAAGGCTGAGGACAGGCAGGATATTTACACAGCCTCTTCTCACAAAGGGGAGAACAGTGACCACCTGGCAGAGACCACCTGCACCAAACCATCAAAGGAACATCACCAATATTGAGCCAAAGTGGTGTCACGTGACTCCTGTGACGCACTGAGAAGGTTCCGCTGCTGTGAATTGCAGCTGAAATGCACAACCTGACCCCAGTCCTGAGGAGAAACCTGACAAACCTAAAGAGAGGGACATTCTACAAAATAATGAACTGCGCTTTTCAAAGGATCAGTGTCAAAAAAGATAGAGGCTGAGACACTATTCTAGAATAAAGAGATGAAAGAGAAGAACCACAAAATGCAATGTGTGATTCTGGATTAAATACCACATCAGGGAAAAAACCACTGCTCTAAAGAACAATATTGAGACAACTGGAAAAAGGTACAGTCTGTAGTTACATGAGGATGATGGATTGAGATAACACTTCTTGAATTTTGCACAGCGTACTGTGATTATATAAGAGAATGTCCTTGTTTGTTAAAAAAAAAAAAAAGTTCAGCCTTTTGATGTAAAGGGCATAATATCTGCAACTTACTTTCAAATGGTTTAGTGAAAAACCTCTACATGTAAAAAGAATGACAGAGCAGATGTGGTAAATTCCTACCAATTGTGAAGGGGATACAGAAGTTCTCCGTACTTATCTTACAACTTTTCTGCAAGTTGAAAATGATTTCAAAACAATGTGTGTTTTTTGTTTTTTTACAAACATAGAACATCATCATGATCCTGAGGGAGGAAGAAATTTCTTTAAATAGGATATAAAAACTGCTATTGTACAAAAAGTTTGATAAACTTCACTATAAAAAATTATATTAACAAAACGGAAAGTTGCACAGTGGGAGAAGCTACTTACGTGTCTGACAAAGGATGCCAATTCACAGTGTAGAACGTGCAAAGTGGCAAGAAAAGGACAGATAACTCACTCTGCGAAGAAGTGGGGCAAAATATTTAAATAGGCACTTCACAAAGGAGGATGTCCAAGTGGCTGATAAGCCTATGAGAATGTGCCCAACGTCATGACTCATTATTGAAATTCTACCTAATACCACTGTGAGAGAATCAAGGACGGCAACTTGGAGATGCTCAACAATGTAACAATTACAATGTCCAGCATCTATTAAAAAAAACAAACAAGTGAAAAACCACAGAAAGGTCACCTTAAGGAGAAGAAAAATCAGTAAACAGAAACAGACCAAGAAATGACAAAATGCTAGCATTAGCTGATACAGGTTATTTTATATATACATACACACACACATAAATACATATATATACACACATACACATACATCTATATAAATACACACATATACATATACATATATATACACACGTATATTAGCTGACAACTGGCTATTATAAACATGATCAGAGCATTATAAAACAAAACAGGAATGAGGGGAGAAATGGAAAGTATAAAAAAGAACAAAACAGAACTTTAGAAAAGAAAGCCCTTGAGCATGAAGAAACCACAGCAGAGATTACTCGGCTGAAAGCCTATAGAAGAAAAAGTCTAAATAATAATCAGAACCTCAGTGACAAAAACATACATTTAGTTTAACTTCTAGAGGGTAAGGGGCAGAAGAATATTTGAAGAAACAATAATTTTTAAAATCCCAAATTTGATTTTTTAAAAAAGTAAAAATGCACGTGTTCAGAAAGCTCAACAAATCCTAAGCAGAATAAATACAAAGCAACACAAAGGCATCTAATAGTCAAATTACTGCAAACATGAGATAAAAGCAGCCTAAGAAGAAGACACAATAAACACAGAAGAACATAGATAAGGATGACTGTGATTTCCTGGGCAATCCAGAAGACAAAGAATATGACACCCTTAAAGTACTGAAAGCAAAAAAGAACCGTCAACCTAGAATTCTATATGCAGCAAAAGCTTCCTTGAAAGATGAAGGTGACAATAAATTACACAAGGAAAGCTGATGCCTTTTATTTTATGCAAGGTTTACCTCACTTAGGCAGATATTTTTATATAAAGTTTTTTCTTTTTTTGAGATGGAATCTCACTCTTGCCCAGGCTGGAATGCAGTGGTGTGATCTCGGCTCATTGCAACCTCTGCCTCCCGGGTTCAAGCGATTCTCCTGCCTCAGCCTCCCGAGTAGCTGGAACTACAGGCACACACCACACCTGGTTAATTTTTGTATTCCATTGTATGGCCATACCACAGTTTGCATATTCATTACTAATTACTCATTAGTAATTATGAACTAAGCTGCCATGAACATGTGCATATGTGATTTTGTATGCACTTAAATTTTCATTTTTTTTTTTTTGAGACAGAGTCTAGCTCTGTCACTCAGGCTGGAGTACAGTGGTGCAATCTCAGCTCATTGCAACCTCTGCCTCCTAGGTTCAAGCGATTCTCCTGTCTCAGCCTCCCAAGTAGCTGGGATTACAGGCACCCGCCACCACATCTGGCTAATTTTTTGTATTTTTAGTAGAGATGGGGTTTCACCATGTTGGCCAGGCTGGTCTCGATCTCCTGACCTCAGGTGATCCTCCCACCTCGGCTTCCCAAAGTGCTAGGATTACAGGCATGAACTACTGTGCTTGGCCAAGTTTTCATTTCTATTGGGTCAATTAACCTAAGAGTAGGTTATATGGTTAAAAAAAAAATGAAAACTTAAGTGCATACAAAATCCAGTACACACATGTTTATGGCAGCTTAGTTCATAATTATTAAAAACCTAATGTCCTTTAACCAGTGAATGCGTACACAAATTGTGGTGTGGCCATACAATGGAATACTACTTACTCAGCAACAAAAAAGAATCAATGCTAATACAACATGAATGAATCTCAAAATGTATTCAGATCCAAGAGGCCACATACTGTATACAACACCATCTATAAGCCAGGAAACAGATTAGCGGTGGCCGGGAGTCAGGGGAAGCGGGGGGAAATGACCACAAAGGGGCAGGATGAGTTTAGAGTGATGAAATTGTTCTATATCTTGACTGGGGAGGTGACTACATGACTATACGTATTTTTTTAAACACCAGGCTGGGCGTGGTGGCTCATGCCTATAATCCCAGCACCTTGGGAGGCCAAGGCCGGTGGATTGCTTGAGCCCAGGCGTTCCAGACCAGCCTGGGCAACGTGCTGAAATCCTGTCTCTACAAAAAAAATCCACAAAAATTAGCTGGGTGTGGTGGCATGTGCTTGTAGTCTCAGCTACTCAAGAGGCTGAGATGGGAAGATGGCTTGAGCCCGGGAGGCAGAGGGTATAGTGAGTTGAGATCGTGCCACTGCATTCCAGCCTGGGTGACAGAGTGAGATTATGTCTCAAAAAGTAATAATAATATAAATTTTTTTAAACTTCCAAATTGTACATCAAAGAGGAAATGTTATAATATGTAAAATTTAAAAGTTATTAAAAATGGAAAAAGATTACTTTATGGTAAAAATTACTTCTTCATATGCTATAAGCCTGATGTTAAGTGCAGGACAACATTAGCACAAAGGACTGGAGGAGGAACATGAGAATATACCATTTTAAGGGTCTTAAGTTATGCACGAGGGGCATCGCACAATTGAGGAGGTGGGCTGAGGGAAGTGAGAGATGCTACCGTGCGGTCTAGAGCAATTGCTAAACAACTGAGGCAGAAGCAGGAATAGCTAGTAAGCAATCGTGGAGCTAAAAACGATCATATTCAACAGAGAAACATGCAGGGAAGGAGAAAAGGTAAATGAACAAATAGCAAGATGGTAGACGTACACCTAAAGCCACTGAAAGTAACAGCAAATGTAAATGGTCTAAAGATTCCAAATAAAAGGCAGACTGTTAGACTGCATAAAAATGCAAATCCCAACCATATGCCGTCTCTAAAAAATACACTTTAAGACACAGGTAAGTTAAAAGCAATAGGACAAAAAGAGCCAAAACCACACAAATACTAAATATAAGAAAGCTGAAGTGCTATGGTGATATCAAAGTGACTTCAGAGATGGATAAATGACATGAAAGACCATTACCATGACTAGAACAAGATGAAAGAGAAAATCCTAATAGTTCTATGTCTAAAGTAATATTGGTAATTAAAGTCAATTGTAATTGGTAAGAATGCTGCTAATTACAGTAAATTGGTAATTAAAAGCCTTCCCACAATTAACAACAGCAACAAACCCCAGGCCCAAGTGGCTTCGCTGGTAAGACAAGTTTATCAAACACTTCAACAACATCAAGCTTATATCAACTCTTCGAAAAAACAAAGGAGAAGGGAACATAAAGCCAGCATAATGTGGATACCAAAACCAGACAAAGACATTAGAGGAAAATTACAGATCAATAACCTTCATGAACATAAATGCAAAATTCCTTGAGAAAATATCAGCAAGTTGAATCTAGCAATATATGTAAACACTGTAATACAAAATGACCAAGTGAGGTTTCTCCCAGGAATGCAAGGGTGGTTCAATACTGGAACACTAACTGATGCAATACACCATATGAACAAAACTAAGAACACCCACAAAATCACTTGCATAGATAGAAACTTCTACAAACTGGTCAAATGCAGCCATGCAAAAACTACAAGTGACATCACACGTAACAAAGAAAGGCTGATATGTTCCCCCCGAGAGAGAGCATGGCAAAGAGATGTTTGCTTTCACCACTTCCACTCAATCTGGAGTGGAGATCCAGAAATACAAGGTGTGCAAACTGCAGTAAAACTGTCTTTATTCACAAACAGGATGATGGCCTATGTAGGAAATGCCAAGGAATTTACGGAAAGCTATTAGAACTAATCACTAAAGGTAGCAAGGTTGTAGAATACAAGGTCAACATACAAAGAAACCAACTTTATTCCAGCTGGGCACAGGGGCTCACTCCTGTAATCCCAGCACTTTGGGAGGCTGAGGCGGGTGGATTACAAGGTCAGGGGATTGAGACCATCCTGGCTAACATGGTGAAATCCTGTCTCTACTAAAAATACAAAAAATTAGCCGGGCGTGGTGGCGGGCACCTGTATTCCCAGCTACTCGGGAGGCTGAGGCAGGAGAATGGCGTGAACCCAGGAGGCAGAGGTTGCAGTGAGCCAAGATCACACCACTGCACTCCAGCCTGGGCGACAGAGCAAGACTCCGTCTCAAAAAAAAAAAATCAACTTTATTCCTATGTACTGAAAATAAACAATTGGAAAATGAAATTATAAACAATATAATTCACAAACACATCAAATTAAAATAAAATAGGAGAACGGAGAAATACATGCAAAAAATATGTAACATCAGCAATTCTACTCCTAGGTATGTAGGCAAACATGCAAAACACATGTCTGTAAAGACTTGTACCTAAATGCTCACAGCCGCATTATTCAAAATAGCCAACAAGCGGAAACATTCCAAAAGTCCATCCACTACTGAACTGATAAATAAAATGTGGCATTATCCACACAATGGAATTTGACTTCACAAGAAAAATGGCCAGGCGCAGTGGCTCACACCTATAATCCCAACACTTTGGGAAGCCAAGGCAGGTAGATGGCTTGAGCCCAGGAGTTCAAGACCAGCTTGGGCAACATGGTGAAACCCTGTCTCTACAAAAACGCAAAAAAATTAGCCGGGTGTGGTGGTGCACGCCTGTAGTTCCAGCTACTCTGGGGGCTGAGGCTAGAGGACTCCTTGAGTCTGGGAGGCAGAGGCTGCAATGAGTAGAGATTGTGCCATTGCACTCCAGCCCAGGCGACAGAGTGAGAGTGAGACCCTGGAAAGAAAGAAAGAAAGAAAAGGAAGGAAAGGAAGGAAAGAAAGGAAGGAAGGAAAGGAAAGGAAAGAAGGAAAGAAAAGGAAGGAAGGAAGGAAGGAAAGGAAGGAAGGAAGGAAAGGAAGGAAGCAAAGGAAAGGAAAGGAAGGAAGGAAAGGAAGGAAGCAAGCAAGCATTCTTGGCTGGGCACAGTGGCTCATGCCTGTAATCCCAGCACTTTGGAAGGCCAAGACAGGCAGATCACTTGAGGTCAGGAGTTCGAGACCAGGCTGGCCAATGTGGTGAAACCTCGTCTCTACTAAAAATACAAAAAATCAGCTGCCATGGTGGCGGGTTCCTGTAATCCCAGTTACTCAGGAGGCTGAGGCAGAAACTGCCTGAACCCAGGAGGCGGAGGCTGCAGTGAGCCGAGATCGCACCACTGCACTCCAGCCTGGGTAAGAGTGAGACATGATCTGAGAAAAAAAAAAAAAGAAATAAAGAAAAAAATGAAGCATTGACCTATTCTTCAACATGGGTGATTCCTGATGCCAAAAGAAAAAAGCCAGTCACAGTATATCATACGATTCCATTGAACCAAAGTGCCCAGAATAGGAATCTACACAGAGAGTAGACTAGTGCTTGTCTAGGGCTGAAGGGAATACGGGGAAATAGAAATATCTGCCAAATGCCAAGGGGTTTCTTTGGGGGATGACAGAAATATTCCAAAATTGATTGTAGTGATGGCCACACAGCTCTGAATATACAAAAAAAACACTGGATTATTACTTTAAACAGATGAACAGTATGGCGTGTGAATTACGTCTCAATAAAGCTATTACATCTATGAATGACATCCATATATTAAAAGCTGGGGGAAATTACAGTGGCAAGAAATTGAGAGATGTACTTTCTTCATGGATTAGAAGCCTCAATATTGTTAAGAGGTCAGTTCTTCTCAAACTGATTTACAGAATCAGTGCAACATCGATCAACATTTTAGTAATCTTTTAGTTAGAGATCAGCAAACAGCAAAGGACTACGATAATCCTTCAAAACAATTTCTTTTTTTTTGAGACAGAGTCTCACTCTGTGGCCCAGGCTGGAGTGCACGATCTTGGCTCACTATAACCTCCACCTCCTGGGTTCAAGGGATTCTCTCGCCTCAGCCTCCTCAGCAGCTAGGACTACAGGCGCATGCCACCACACTGGCTAATTTTTGTATTTTTAGTAGAGATGGGGTTTCACCATGTTGGCAAGGCTGGTCTCGAGCTCCTGACCTCAGGTGATCCACCCATCTCGGCCTCCCAAAGTGCTGGGATTACAGGTGTGAGCCACCTTGTCCAGCCCAAAACAATTTTCAATAAGAAAATGAAGTTGAAGACCTACACAACCTGACTTCAAGAATTAAAGCTACAGTAATCCTGACGGGGGGTATCTGGCATAAGCACAGACACACAGATCAATGGAACCGAACAGAATCCAGAAATAGGCCTGCAGGTACGTATTCGACTGATTCTTGTCAAAGGTGTGAAGGGAATTCAGTGGAGACCTGGTGCTGCAATGACTGGACGTCCACAGGGGAAGGAAATGAACCTTCCCACTACCTGACCCCTTCTGCAAAAACGAGCCCAACATGAACCATCCACTAGACCATCAGAGCAAAACTGTTAAGACTTTTGCAAGAAAACACACACAGACTCACAGACACACACACACAGAAACACACACAGACACACAGACATACACACACAGACACACACACAGACACAGAGACACACACACAGACACAGACACACACAGACACAGAGACAGAGACACACACACAGAGACACACAGACACACACACACATAGACACAGTGTTGCCCCATCCTGGATAGGCAGGAATTCACACACAGACACATACAGACACACACAGAGACACAGAGACAAACAGACACACACACAGACACATACAGACACACACAGAGACACAGAGACAAACAGACACACACAGAGACAGACAGACACACACAGACACACAGAGACACACACATAGACGCAGACACACAGACACAGTGTTGCCCCATCCTGGATAGGCAGGAATTCACACACAGACACACACACACAGAACACAGAATTTTAGGTAGACAAGGATTTCTCGAACAGGCTACAAAAAGCACTAGCCGTAAAATACAACTTTAATAAATTGATCTTCATCAAAATTTAAAACTTCTGGTCTTTGAGAGTCACCATTACAATAATGAAAAGGCAGGTCAGACTAGGAGAGAATGCCCGCAATACCCATATGTGAACTTACTTGCAAATTATATAGGGAACTCTTAAAATCTAATTTTTAAAAAATGGACAAAAGATCTGAAGAAATACGTCACAATAAAAGTTATAAAGTACGGCTTATTCAACCTGTGAAACGTGCTCAGCGTTACTGACCATCAGGGAAATGCAAATAGAAACTACAATGGGATGTCACTGATATTCCACCCACGAGGAAGGGCTGAAACGTCAAGGCTGACAGAGAACCCCGGCTGCCGTAAGGCCGTGGGGCGCCTGCTGCTCTCACGGGCTGCTGGTGGGAGTGCGGCCTCATGCAGCCCCTTGGCCTCATGCGTTCAACCACATGACGAACAGAAACCATGACACACGGAAATATACAGGATCTACCGCTGCACGGTCTCACGCACAGGGATCCTATGAGAAGCAAAAGGGCAGTAGGAGGCAGCAGGGTGGTGGTCCCGTGGGGCCAGGATGGGGTAGACGACTCTGTGCAAAGAACCCCAGGGTAACATTCTACAGGAGGGAACTGTTCTGTATGTTGATTGCAACATTGCACTTGATTGCACAGTGAACTCACTGATGGCACACTTTGTAAAGGATACAAATACTTTTGGTTTTTGTTTTTTGGTTGGGGACAGGGTCTCGCTCTGTCACCAGGCTGGAGTGCAGTGGCGCAATCTCAGCTCACTGCAGCCTCTGCCTCCTTGTTCAAGTGATCCTCCTGCCTCAGCCTCCAGAGTAGCTGGGACTACAAGCGTGCATCACCACACCCGGCTAATTTTTGTATTTTCAGTAGAGAAGGGGTTTCGCCATGTTGGCCAGCCAGCTCTCAAATTCCTGACCTTAAGAGATCTGCCCACCTCAGCCTCCCAAAGTGCTGGGATTACAGGGGTGAGCCACCACGCCTGGCCAATACAAATACTTTAGCAAGCAAAAAAGGCGGGGAGGAGAGAACAATGGCCTAGACGGGCCACACCACAGATGCACCATATCTACAGGATGCTGATGAAAGCAGACAGATGGTCCAGTGCGGTGCTCCCACCTGTAATCGCAGCTTTTTGGGAGGCTGAGGCGGGAGGATTTCTTGAGCCCAGGAATTCGAGGCCACCTGGACAATATAGCGAGACCCTGTCTCTATAAATAATTACAAAATTAGCTGGGCATAGCGGCACATGACTGTGGTCTCGGCTCCTCGGAAGGCCTGAGTTGCAGGGGTATTGGCCCTTCAAAGCAGAAGGAACCCTTCACCCCCGACCCCTGCAGCCAACGGCACTCCCCGGTCTGGCCATCTCTGCTTGGGGCCTCCTCTTGGGCCCCACCCTATCCAGGCCAGAGATGAAGGCACCCTCTGCTCCCTGGGTGGTGGTGGGGGGGCTCTAACAGTGCGGACGCCCCCGTCCCAGGCCACAAGGCAGCAGAGTGGGGACGATGGTGCGATTTGCATACTCAGCAACCCCAAGTTCAGCCCCTCTTCTTGCTTCTCTCTGGGAACCCCAAACAACAGTCCTGAGTTTTGAGCTGCTGGTGGGAGCGGCCTCGGACATACAGCCCTGCTCCCCGACCGGGCAGGTGTACCTTCCGGATGGGTAATGGTGGGGGGTGAGTGGCTGCAACGGAGACCACCCTAGCCAGCAGCCCTGGCCACCTGGGTTCTGTGGCCCAGGGCCGGGAGCACCCCACCCAAGCCTGGGTGTTCAGCCGGGGGATGGACGGGGCCAGTGCTGACCTTGCAGGTCACCCTGAAAAGGGTGGGGCCCGCAGCAGGCCTCTCCTGATGGGCAGAGCCAGGACAGATGTGCTGCTGTGTGCCACGACCCACACCCAGTGGCATCTGTCCAGGGTCCAGGATGTGGGCAGCTGGTCTGAGGCTGGATGGGAGGGTCTCCTGGACCCTGAGCAGTTCCAACTTTGCCTGTTTTGCCTGAGTTCAGACCGCCCCATGGAAGTGGGTACCCAGCTTAGGGATGGGTGCCTGACCCCCATGCCCTGCAGAGAGGCACACAGGGGACACCGGGTGGACCCCAGAGAGGTGGGGGTGGAGGGAGCCAGAAGGGAAGGGGAAGCGGACATGCACAGGGCCACCCACTCACGGGCCCACAGGCCCTGTGGCCAGAGCTGTCCCCTGCCAGGAAAGGGTTACCGTCACGGGCCCACGGGCCCTGTGGCCAGAGCTGTCCCCTGCTGGGAAAGGGTTACCGTGGAAGTGTGCAGCTGGTGTCAATACCCAGGCGTGGCTTTGTCTCTGCCAGCCACACAGAGTGACATCTGCCAGCTGCAATTAAACATCTGCCCGCCCGAAGCCACTGCTGAGGGCATGAAAGGGATGGCCGGGCGAGCCCCATCAGGCACAGGAGGGGGTGTGGGCGCAGGTCCGGGCAGCCCCCTCCCCTTCAGAGGACAGGAGAGAAGCCCCAGCATGGCACTACCCCTTCCCTCTGCGAGCTCCATTTCCCTGTCCCTCGACCTCAGCGGTCTGCCATGCCACAGGTGCCCGTCCTCAGCTTGGGTGACAACGGCCACCCCCACTCAATGAAATAACCGTCAGGGCCCCGTGCTGTCATCTGCCCTGGGGTAAAAGCAGCTGCCATGACCGTCTCGGCTGTTGCAGGGACCTGTGGATCCAGATGTGCCAAGGAGACCACGGGAACAGACCCCTGAGCGCAGCTGGGGAGCCCCCACCCCAAGCCCAGCCCCAGCTGGCGCTGCCCACCCGGCCGGCTGCCTTGCCGGGGAAGCCCCGGCTCCCGGTGTCCCTGCTGGACGTTCAGATGCCCCCGAGCCCTGAGCCCCAGCGGGAATGCAGCCGCACCCTGGGGGAATGAAGGCGGGTACGCGAGGAAGAGGGCCCGAAGAGGAAAGGGGCTCCCGCTCAGGCCACAGCACCACCAAGTCCCAAGGCACAGGCTCCCTCTGCCCGGCCCACCTCCTGCTCTCTGGAGGGGCTGGCCCCTGACTCACCCCCGTGGTGGGGCGGGAAGGGATGGGGGTGCAGGGGAGGCGGAGGCAGGCATTTCGCAATCTCTAGCTCAGATGCAAGGCCCCTGACAACGCCAGGCAGGGACGCCTGCGCCTCACCCTCTGGGAGGTTTCCCCATCAGCCAGAGGGGAACTGCACTGGGCGTTTCCCTTCCGGTGGATACGATGTTTTTCTTTCACCCCTGGGTGCACCCCACCCCCAGCTCATCTTGCTCCGGGGTCTCCCGAGGCTGCCGGCCACAGGGCCAGGAGGAAGGTCCCTGCCTGCCGCAGGGGTGATGGCTTAAGGCCCAGGAGGGCGCCCTGAAGTGACTGCTGCAGAGATGAGGGCTGGTGGGTGGGAAGCACTGAGCGTCCCGAGCCAGCGTCCACCTGATGGGGACCGAGACGGGGCCTGCCTCGCTGCGGGTGGGGGGGCTTGAACTCGGCCCCATCAACCTCACACACCCATGCATGGCGCCTTCTCGCAGCTTTGCTCCTGACTGCAACAAACTGAAAACAACCTGAATGTCCTTTGATAAGGCACTGGAGAAATCAAACGTGGCGGCTCCTTCTGACGGGTGGTGACGCGGGACCTGGAGGGAGGGAGGAGAGGCACGAGACAGACACCGCATGGAGACCCTTGCCGTGAGGCCACACAGACCATGGGGCGGGGGCTGTGCCGGGGACAAAAGGCAATTAACTTTATCTGTAATATTTTGACTTATTTCAAAAACAGGAGAACAGCCCTACAGGACAAACTGTCCATGGTTCTTAACGCGAGAGAGGGTGGAACAGGCACACGCATTACCACACACCAAGGTGCAGCTCCGGGACCCTCGGCAATCGCTCAGGCCCGCCTCTCACTCAACAGGTAGGGAGACTGAGGCCAGGGAGGAGGAGGAGCTCAGCCTGCAGGGACCTTAGAACACGCTAGTCCTACCAGCCCAGAGAGACAGCTACCTGCCTCCACTCCTGCACGGCCTGGCGAGGGCAGCAGCCAGCCTCCTGCGTGGGTGTGAGGACGTTCCCCGGACGAGCCCGGGACACGGAGGGCACGGGGAGCTAGCACCCAGGGGCAGCTCCAGGTCAGGCGACGGCCCCTCCCTCTACCTGCTCCCCCCATGGCACCGCCAACCCAGCACACCCAGCGACGCCAGCAACGTCACAGCCAGTAACCTAGATTTTAACCAAGAAATCACACACCCCCTTTCTCTGCCCCACTTATGGGCTTGCCGAACAGAAAAACCATGACAAGAAACCCAGACTGTGGCATCCAGAGCCAAACTGTATGGTAGGTGGGCGGGAGCAGGCCTGGCCTCCCAGCCGCCCACTTTCCACCTCGCTGGCATCAGCGACACCCGTGCAAAGGCAGAGAATGCCGCGCAGCACCTGCGGCCTGGACAAAGCCCTGCAGGAACATGGCCTTGAGGGTGTCCCCACCCCTCAGCCCCAATGGGACTGTACCTCGTGTGGTCTGAGTACGGGGGAGTTGGAGGGAAGGACTCACCAGAGCAGCTGCCTCCCGTCCCCACCCAACACACATCCGGGACTCCACAGAGCCGCTTCCTGGCTGCGGTCCTGCTGACTCCCCAAAAACCCATCAAGGCAGGTGGGCGTGAGGGCTTCTAGCTCACGAAGTCCAGGCGATGTGAGGGCTTAAGGCTGACCCAGCACCCAGGGGCAGATGCATGGGACAAGTCACGAGGCTTCACCGTGCTCCCAGCAAACCCGACACCCAGCCCTGGCTCCCATCACCCCAAACACACCAAGGCCCAAGGTCACATTGGAGCAGCAGGGGGCTGTGCAGGGAGGACCCTGGGAAGATGTTTGGATACGATGGGTCTGTTTCCATCTCCATGGTGCAGCTCCCTGACCCGTCGGCAACCCGTCGGCAGGGCCCTGTCTGGCTGCCATTGTCGGCAGGGCACTGTCTGGCTGCCATCAATGGGGGATGTCCTCAGGGACTGTAGGGGTGCCCAGCCTGTCTGGGGTTCTGCCCTGGGACTGGAGCCCATGGACAGAGCTCCTTCCCAACAGGGGCCCTGGGTGGGCCTTGGGAGCCTTCCCCAGCAGCCTCTGGCTGGTCCCCTGCCTTCCCTGGGGTGGCTGTCAGCAGGGGCAGAGGGAAAGCGCACATGGGGCGGATTCCCCGGAGGCCTCAGCCAGCCGGGTCCACAAGCACTGACATCCTGTACGGCCTCTGTGGTGAGCCGGAGCCCGGTGTGCTCTGCCCTCAGGAAGGGCCAATTCCGTAGCTAGCAAAGCTCCCAGTCTCAGGACAAATCAAGCCCTACCCCCTACCACTAAAAGAAAACAAAAGCTGTGAAGCCCAGATCGAGGTGGCCTGTGAGCTGGCATTCTGTGGGATTCATGCAAACACAGCAATATACATTTAAACCAAGTGCGGAGTTCTCAGGAAGACACCACGGAGCCCAGAGCACCTGCTGGCAAGGCAGTGGCTTCTCCTGCAGGCGGAGAGGGAGCCAGGTTGGCCAAAGCAGTGGTTACCCTGCTGTCCCGGCTGTGGTGACAGACGCTGCACAGGGACCCAGCTGGCCTAGGGGTCCAAGCTGGTGGGTGGTCCTGGCCCCCTCTGCCCCCAACCAGCACTGCAGGAGGGGAAGGGCAGGGGGGCGTCCCATCAGGGCACAGGGATATGCGTGGTGGGGTGGAGAGAGTCCCTACACTGCCCCTCGGGGTCCACCACCTGCCCGTGGCTGGCATTATGCACCCGCACCCAGGCCCAGGCCGCTGCACACAGGCCCTGCATGCAGACCAGCCAGGTGGCCAGCCCAGACACACAGTCAGGTTGCAGGGACACCCGATCCTGGGCACCAACTGTGGGACTCTGCCCAGCAAAGCCTGAACAGTCTCCAGAGGCTGTAACCAGGAATCTCCAATTAGGGCAACCTGGGTTTGTGGGGCCCAGGACGGGGAGCAGCCCTCCTTGAAAGAAAGGAACGGAGAGGAGGGGGAGCGACTGCTCACTCGGCTCAGCACACTGGGCGCTTCCTGGCCCATCCCTGGCGCGGGGCCTGGAGAGGTGGTGGCAAAGGGGCTGGGTTCAGGGGACTCTCTAGACCTGGCCGGGTGAGGCGCAGACTGAGGTTAAAGGGGAAGTAGGCGGGTCCTCCCGTACACCGCGTGGCGCCAGGCCCTTCACAGACGGGGAACGTGAACCCTGGGGCAGGTCCCTGGGCCACGGGACACCTGCGTTTCCTCATCTATCCAGTGGAGACAAGACCCTTCCTACAGGCTGGCAGAGTCTCCTAGGAGTTCTTGTCTCATCCAGGACCAAGTCTGAACCCCATGGTGAACAGAGCTCTGCCACCTCCTCCAGGCTTGGTGGGGGGCTCCCCTGTGGCCCCGCAGGCCTCCGGCCCAGTGGCCTCCTGAGCCACCCGGGTCCCAGGCAGGCCCCGCTTCCCAGCCAGGTGGTGTGGGGCTCCACCCCGCCGCGTTACCTGCATAGCTGCCGGAGGCCTTGATGTACATCTGGCCGTACTGCTCCTCCACCATGGTGTCGTAGGCCTCGTCGTCCTCCTCGTCCTCCTCGTTGTGGTACGAGGTGGGGCTGTCGGTGGTGGGCAGGCTGCTGGCGCCTGGACTGGTCCGCTCCCCCTGGGGGTAGGGCATCTGCTGGATGCCGGGGATGAGGGTGGCCAGGCTGGGCACCCCGTAGTAGGAGACACGGGGCAGTTTGAGAGGGGCTGTGCCCGCCGCCACCGCAGCCCCCGCGGCCACCGCCACGCCGTCCCGGGGCCCCGTCTCCAGCGGGCGCTTGGGGGCCAGGCCTGGGCCGGCCGGCGGCAGCTCCATGGCTTCATGCTTTACTCGGGTCAGCAGCGGGATGGGCACCGAGGGGGACACGACGTAGGGGGCCGCGGCGGCGGCGGCCGGCTGCAGCTGGTTGCAGGGGCTCTGGGGCTCGGAGCCGGCGTCCTCGATCACAGCGGTCTGCGAGTCGCAGTGGGGCGAGCTCACCTTGAACATGAGGTCGGTGCCGCGCTCCACGATGTGCTGGATCTGCAGGAAGCCGGCCGTGTACATGACCACGAGCTGCTCGCTGGCCGTCATGGTGAGCCTGCCCGTGTAGCAGAAGGACAGGATCTGCTGGAAGCAGGCGGGCGGCACGGAGCCGGGCAGCTCGAAGGCGCTCTTGCTGTTGCCGCTGAACAGGTCGCGGAAGTAGAGGCTGCTGGCGGCCAGCACCGCCCGGTGGGCCTTGAAGGCCTGGCCCTTGACCACGATGGACACATCGCAGTAGAGGCCCAGCAGGCGCTGCTCGTTCAGGCAGCCCAGCACTGTGTTCCCGAAGTTGGGGATCTCGATGTGCAGCATCTGAGACATGGCGGGCGGGCAGCGGCGGGGCTGGGCTCTCAGCGCGGGGCGGCCCTAGCGGGGCTCATCTGTGGGGGGCAGGAGGCACGTGGTCAGTTCCTCCAGGTCACGGGCTCCCCGCTCAAGGGGCCGTTCCCACCCCCTCCTCCCCCGCCGGGGGCTTACAAAGAGCGAGCCTTCCGCACGCGCCCTCCCCCGCCCCTCCTGGCTGGGACACTCCAGAGAAGGGACACGGGGTCTCCCAGACCCCCTGGCAGACGGGCAAGAGGGCCCGGCCAGCACTGCTGCAGATCCCCGGGGTGCTGCCCGGCAGGAGTGCGCCCACGCCACTCCCAGGGGGCTGCTCTTAGCGACTCGGTCTCAGCAGGCGAGGAGGAGCGCAGGCCTGAACCTGCCCCGGGACAGGAGGTGGGGGCCGCCGGGGGAGCCTCTGGGCAAACCTGCAGCCACTCTCCTCCCCTCAAAAAAGTTCCAGCCCGCACAGGAGCTCCCGGGAGGGGCCGCGCTGGAGCAGCGGGGAAGGAGGGAGGGAGGGGGGTCTCTGGAGCTGTGCAGTTTGCGGTTTGCTTTCCCTCTCTTCCCTCCGAGCAGCCTCGCAGAGGGCCCCTGCGGGGAAGGCGGGCCAGCGTCCCCTAGTCCCCCTGAGCCTCCCGGGCAGGTAGGGAATGGCTGGGGGTGCCGGGAAGTCCGCTGAAGCCGCGTCCACTCCTCCCTCGCGCAGAGAGACCACCCTGGGCGCGCCCGCTCCGTTCTCCCGTGCTCTCCTGGCTCGGACCAGACCCAGGTTCCCAAGCCGCCGCCAGGGCAGGAGTTGGGAAGCCTGTCGCAGCCCCACTCGCGGACGCCCCCCACCCCGCTCGCCTCGCTCCCCACGCGGGCCAATCCCGACGGCCCGGCCCCAACCCAGGTGACTACAGGGGTCCCAGCCCTCGCCGGGCTGCCCGGACCCCGGGGCTGGGAGCTGGGGAGGGCGCCGCTGTTTATCTGGTGCGGACTCCGGAGGGGGCGGGGGCGGCCCAGAAGGCGCCAGCCCAACTCCGCAGGGCCGCACAAAGGCCGCTGTGTCCCACGGGAGGAAAGTGCGGGCGGCCGCAGAGGCGCCGGGTGGCGGGAGGAGGGCGGAGCCACCGCGCCGGGAGCTGGGCAGGTGGACGCGCGCCGGGGGCGGCCCGCAGTGCCCCCGCTGCGGAGAAGTTGCCGGCCGGTCGGGAAGACCTACCTTCAGCCGCTGCGGCCGCCGGCCGGCACTGCCCGCTCCGCCTGGCAGGACAGGCTCCCCGCACGCAGCCCGCCTGCCCAGCTGCTCCGCGAATGCAGCAAACGGAGCGGGAGCCCTGGGGCGGGGAGGGCGCAGGGAGCCGGCAAGGAGGAGGAGGAGGAGGAGGAGGAGGAGGAGGAGATGGTGGAGGAGGAGGAGGAGGAGGAGGGCAGAGCGCCTGGGCGCTGGGCTCGCGGCCGCAGCTCAGCTGCACCCAGGCCGGCCCTCCCGGGCAGCGCACCGCATCTCAATGAAGGGGCCGGATGCAGACGAACGTTCCGGCGGCTCGGGAATGAATAGCCGCCTTTGATTTGGGAGCCGAAGTAAATGCCAGCTCCCAGCCCCGGCTTTAAAAACAGTGGAGTGTTGGTGCCAGAGGAATGCGCGGCCCCGGGTGCTGGTACGAGACAGACTTTTGATGACTCACTGCAATGCAAACAAAGATGGCAGAAATACTGTACAGTAGTGGAGAAATGCTTCCCGGTGCCACGGCAACTGAGACAGCCTGGAAATTTATGGTGCAGTTTTGCATATGAATTACCCAGTAAACTGCCTCCCGGCCTTCCAGGACAGCCCCAGTGTCAAAGCATTTAAACTATTCCAAACAGTCTGCAGAGCTGGCAGAGCTGAACTCCTCCAGCGAGGGTGGGGAATGGGCAGAGGCGCCAGGGGGAGGGGGTGAGGGGGTCAGGACAGCTAGGGGAGCCAGGGAAGGGGAGGGGAGGTACAGCAGGGGGTGAAGAGAGGCACAGAAACGGCAGGCAGTGGGTGGGTGAGGCGGCACCCCAGGTCCTGGGGGCCTTAGAGCTGTGTCCTCTGCCCAGGCGGCAGGCCCGGGAGTCCAGCCCCAGCACCCCTCCCCATCCCACTCCCAGCGCCCTCCTGGCACTTTAAGAAAAGAGCGACTTTGTGGCCGGGCAACCAGGAGCCGGAAGGGGCAGCCCCGCCTGAGAGGTCCCAGCAGAGGGCAAAGCGGCCGCCTCGCTCCTCCCGCACACTCCTGGCTGCGGCCACACAGGCTGCACCTCCTGCCCAAGGGGGTCTGCAGCGTCTGGCTGTTATTGAGCCTTTTCCTGGGAAGGGGCTGCTGCTGTGCAGGACTTGTGGTGGCCCCGGGACCCCTCCAGAGAATGTGTACTTCATCCTGGGCTCATACCAGCCTCTCTGCGTGGGGCCCTGAGGCTGACCTCTGGACTGCCCAGCCTCAGTTTCCCTGCCACTGGCTGTGACCCCCAGGAAGAGCACATTCCACCCAAAAGAAGGGGCAGGGTCCAGGCTCGAGGCCTTGAGGTGAGCCCCCTCCTGCTTGGCCAGCTGCCTCCACCACCCTCGGGGTAACCCTGGCAGCAGGATGCGGAGGAGGCCCGAACAGGCCTGGTGGGAGGCAAGGCGACACAGCCCTGCCCCTCACTCCCGGCGCCCCTCTGAGGCATCCGGAGACCAGAGAGAGGGCCATCTGGCTCCTCCCTAGTCACACACCATGGGCTCAGCTTCTCCAGACCAGACAAAAAGCCACTGAATGGGGACGGGAAGAGATCCAGGTGCGGGGAAGCTGCCGGCAAAGGCCCGTGGAGGTGGCTTCGTGCCTAGTGTTTTCTGCCTCCTACAAGGGGCTGGTGACAACTCAAGGAGACTGGGATGGGGGCGTTTACAGAAACGTCCCCACTCGGCCATGCTGATGAGCTGGGCTCCACCGGGCCAGGAGACACAGGGCCCAGCTGTCACCCTCCCCGCCACACCCTCCACCCTCAGGTCCCCACTTAGTTTCTGCCTCATCCAGGAAGTCTGCCAAGTGCCCTCATAAGCTCGGCAAGGGCTGAATGCTGGACACAACCCGGGCAGGGGGGTACAAGAGAGGGGCCTGTGCAACACAGCACAGAGGGCAGAGGCCCCTAGACAGCTCCCTTCACAGACCCACTGCGCCCACCACCAGGAGCCTCCCAGAGAGCCCGTGGCTTCTGTTGTGGGCAACTTCGCCCCAAGGACGGGGGGGTAGGGATGTCTGAGTCATACAGGGGCTTTTGTACCAAAAGAGGGGACAGGCAGAGGCCAGCACGGCGCACCGGTTCCTGGGGGTCCCAAGTACCTGGGCTGGGTAGGGCAGCAGCCAGGGCTGACACAGACAGCAAGGGACAATGTAGGCTCTCAGCCTGTCCCTTCCAGCAGCAAGAGGGTCCTGGCCTGTTGGCAAGGCTGAAATCCTAGGTCCCGTGGGCACCAGCCACTTCCTGTAAGGACACCTCAGCCTCAGACGCTGAGCTGTGAACTGGGGTTATGATTTACCCTCAGATGGTTCCTGGGGGTGAATGGAACAATGTTTGTGAAGCCGGCGGCTGAAGCCTCACACACAGAAAGCCGGTGATGCCTGCAACCTGCTGTGACCTGGGCAGGAGAGCAGCTCTCAGCTGGGCATCCAGGTGGGCGTCTTAACGCCCAGCCCAGTTCGGCCTGCGTCCGCACCTCAGGAGCTGGAGCCCCAGGGCTGGGGGACAGACCAGCTCTCCCAGAGAAGGGACCATTATTCCCTTTGAAGGTGATGGGGCCGTGTGGTCCCTGGGGATCGAGGACAACTGGAGCTTTTGCTGGCTTGTCCTCAGGCCACCTGCACCGGTGAGGCTGCAGCCCCACGCCCCAGCCTGCTGAGAGCCGGACAGGAGCTGGTTTTAGGTTGCTTTCTTGGAAGGCTCAAGAACAAAGCTGAACTTTAGGAGAAAAGAATAAAATAAAGGCTTGGCTCACGCCCCCAGGGCCAGGAAAGCAGACACACGGGGGCTGACCCTCCTGCTACACCCAGAGAGGAGGGGGCCGAGGGCCCAGGTGGGCCCAGGGACGTGAGCAGAGCTGTCTGCTCAGGAGGGCAGGGGCCAAGCCTGGTTCTCAGACATCAGGGCATCCCCACCCTCCCCTGCACATTCTCCAGTGACTCAGTTTCCCCACCACTTTGCTTCCCAAGCAACACCTCCTATTGTTTCCCCTTCTCGGTGAGATTCAACACACTCATTCACTTATGGAAAGTTCTGCAGAGCCAGGCAAAAAATCAGAGGTCGCCAACTTTGTTTACCCCAGCCATCCTCAGGGTTGTGGCACCAACGACCCTTGCTCTCAAAACGCCCTTCAGAACAGAACCCACTTTGGAGAACCTCTGCAGGTGACCCAAGGCCCGAGTCCACTCCCTGCAGCTGTGCCAGCCTTCGGTGCCCCACCCCACACAGACACACAGAGGAGGCTGGGTTCCTCTGAGCCCACAAGCCACCCTCAGGAATAAGAAAATACAGGTGGCTGTGGTGTCGGAGTGGGGGGTCTCTCCTCTGCAGAGCCTCACTTGAGGAAGGCTGAGATCCAGGCCTGCCCTGCCCTGGGGTTAGGGGTTGCCCACCATGATGAGCCCCATACCCAGCAACCTGCCGATGGGTGAGAGGAGCCCGCGGGGAGGACAGGGGCTCACTGGAACTGCAGCCAGACGCGCACACAGGGGTTGGGGCAGCGTCTCCAGAACGACCCCCCTGCCTGAGTGTCGTCCCGGCAGGATTCACACAAGGACACAGGTTACAAGGTTGGTGCCAGGCCAGGGCACCTGGGTCCTGGCATCAAGTACCCAGGAGCAGAGGCTCTGGCAGGTACAAGACCCCTGAAAGCATCCCCCAGGCCAGAGGACTGGGACAGGGACCAGTCAGGCAGCCCAACAGGAGGAGCCCTTTTCCTGGGGCCCAGCCAGGCAGCTCCATGGTCTGAGGGCCTCGCCCAGAGTCCCCAGAAACCCTGCCCCCTCCACCCCTAGATTGTAAAGCACTTTCTAAGCCCAGCACAGCAAACCAGAGGAATGCGGCACTGAATTTCTGCAGGATCACCACCAGCAAGGGGAAGGGAGGCGAGAAAAATTAAATTAAATTAAATTATCTTGCAGGATTTAATTTCACCAATCTAATAAGAGGTTCTGGACCTCAGCAAATGCACAGCCATTAAACACGTGGTAGAGGAAGGAGAGAGGCGGGGCACGGGAAACGTTCTGCGGAGGGGAGAGTCCCTCTACCCCGAGCCCCGGCCCCTGGTGGAGACTGCCTGGCAGTTAGTTAAGTGAGGACATCTCCTAAAAGGTCAATCGAAGGCGCTCCTGGAGCGTGAGAAGGTGTGGGGATGGGGCGGGCCTGCTGTGCCAGGTGCTCTGGAGTCAGCAGGAGCACAGGGGGTGTTAGGAATACAGTCTGGGGGCTGCTACCCCGTGGACCTTGCCCACCTCCGCGCAACGCCTTCCCTTTCCCATACGGTGCAGGCTCCAGGAGGATTTGCTTTGACCCTATACCTTCAGAAAAGAGGCCCTAGGGAGGACAAGGGGGCGGCAGGGGGCCCGGAGGTTAACCCTGGGGGGTAGAGGCTGCCCAGCTCCGGATGTGCCAGGGCCTCAGGGAGCTGGGTGTGGCACCAGCTTAGCCCTCAGGTTTGCATTAAACTTTTAAAATGCCAGAAAGCAGAGCTGGGCTGCCCGGAGGCCTGGCTGCTAATGGAACCACCAGCTCCATGCAGATGAGATGCAGCAGCTCTGGGCCAGGGCCCTCGGCGGCCAGGAACTCCCCCCAACCCCGAGGCCCCCACAAAAGCCAGGATGGCGTGTGCCGTGTGCTCACCTCCCCGCTACTGGACATACAGATGAGGAAACTGAGACCTCACAGTCGGGAGGCAGCGGGGCCAGGCCCCTAGCCATCATCCTTCCTGGGTGGTCTCTGGTCATCAAGTCACAAGAGCCAGAGAGGATGCCTGGCCCCGCCCAACAGACCCCGGGTAGCTACGACCCTGACCTGCCAGGGCCCTAAGGACTCTGTGGCAGAGAGGAGAGTTCCACCCAGGAAAGGGGCGCAAAGGCCCCCAGCTTCAGGGTCACAGAGGTACGGGGGGTCTCTGGGATGACGGGCCCCCTCGGACTATCACTGTCGCCCCAGCCTGGGAGGTGGAGGAGAGCCATGCAGGGCTGGGCCCAGGCCGGGCTCTCTCCGTTCAGCCAGGTCCCTAGGCGGCTTCTACCCCAGACCACAAGCCAGGGCCAGCATCAGCCATCAGAGCCGGCGGTAACTGCACTAAGGAACATCTGCCTGGAAGCTTTCTTCCCAGATGGAGAAGGGCAGTACTCCAGGACCTGCAAATCCACAATTCCGTGTATCAGCCCTTCCTCTCGGCCACCCGTGGGCAGGCCCACAGATAGAGGGGATGAAGCCAGGGACACAGCAGGGGGTCTCTGGACAGCACAGCCCCCAGCCCCCACCCCCAGGGTGGGCCTCCAGCAGCCAGTACCTCGAGGGAGGGCTGGGAGGACGCTCCATCCTCGGCAGCAGCAGGCTCTGCGTCCGATAGGGCCTTGTGGGGTGCCCGTGGCGTTGGCTCTGCCGGGGGTCTGGTCCAGGGGCCTGTGTGACTGAGCCGAGCCCTGCGCTTATGGGGAATGACCCAAGCAGCCACGGCTCACCTGAGGCATGGCCCCTGGCCACCAACACGCTCATCTCTAACCTTCACTTGCAGAATATTCTTTCTTATGGGTAAGGACTTGGGGGACAAACACAGCACAGACTGTCAACAGGGATGGCTCAGAGGAAGAGAATGACTCGAAGGGTGGGGAGGGACAGCTGGGGCTGGGGTGGCTCCTGTTGAGCCCCAGATCCGCCCTATGGCCCCACCCCAGCCAGCAGACCCACTGGGTCCACACACTGTGGGATGCTCCCTCACACCACAAAACATTCTAGAAGGTTTCCAAAGAATTAAGCTGTGTTTCGAAAAGAGCCGACAATCTCCCTCACCCATATTTGTAATTTAAATAACGTAAGCTTGAAGAGCGTCTCCCTCGGGCATAGTTTAATAACTTAAAAAGCCAGCGCCAGCTCCAGCGCAGGGCCCCCTCCTCCCCCAGGGCTGCAGTAGGGTCTCCCCTGCACCGGCTCGGCCGGGTGGAAGCTGAGATTGGGGCTGCCCAGGCGGAGCGGCCGGGAGGGGAAGCACCCTCCTCACTCGCTCACCCCCTCTCTTGATGGCCTGGAGCAGCTGTGGCCTGATCATCACCACTGGGGCCGGGGGTTGTGGAAGCGGTCGGATCCCAGGCACCGACAGTCAGAGGTGGGCAATGGGAGGCGGTCTGGAGCGTGCTGGGCCCCGCTGCTGGTCACCCAGCCCATTAGAGACGGCGACTTCGCGGCACACTCTCATGGTTAATATTCATAGCTCTCCTCATCTGCATATCATGCCATAAATAGTGAGGCGAGGTAAGACACAAAGCTCCCCTGCATTTCTAATTATGCTTAAAACTCTCATGTAAATCAGAGCGACACAGAAACACTACATCAGCCACTGGGGGCGGGGGGGGCCCAATGACGCCTGGAGCCACACGCCTCTAGGCCCTGGCTGGCAAGGGGGCTGCTGGCACCACCTCCGCCTGGAGTTGGGCAGCAGGGAACCCAGGCTATGTCCTTGGGGTCACCAACCTCGCCCTGCCTTTGCCCCAAAGGGCGAACTACAGGGCAGACACCCGCAGCACCTCATGGCCACCTCCATCCCTGCCCCACCCCATCCTGCCCGGTCCCCACGGCTCCCAGTGCCTGGCCCAGGCCCTTCCCAGCCAGGGACCCGGGATTCCCATCCTCAGGGGTGTCCGGCGGAAGCAGCAGGCACCTGCTCAGGAGGGGGCTCCGGAGGCTCCCCAGGGCCCTGGCCATCCATATTTTACCCTCTGGACATTCCTGTCTGGGACCTGGGCTTTCTCAGCTCTTCAGAAAGATGGGATGTTGGATACACACGGACATAAACATGGGAATGACAGACTCTAGGAACAACAGGATGAGGGAGGGAAGAGGGCAAAGGCTGAAAACTAACCCACCGGGTACCATGCTCACCACCTGAGTGACGAGCTCGATCGCAACCCACCTCAGCATCGCACCATGCACCCAGGTGACAAACCTGTACACGTATCTCTGAATCGAAAATAAAAGTTGAAAAAAGGAAAAGATTCAACTCACACAGCACCAGAGATTCGGAATAGCCCCCACCTGCACACTTCGGGCAATGCCTCACGCTGGGGCATGGGATTGGACAAAAGTCCTTGGCAGAGCTCAAGCCATGGAGGGGACGCAGGGGCCGGGGCAGGATGGTCTCCTGACCGCCACCCCACCCCAGTGGATAGCGCTGCCCCTGGATGGGTAGCAGAGGCCCAGGTGTGGGAGGCGTGACTCTGGCCCCTGGGCCCCGCCCTCCTGTCTGCAGGGAGAGGCAGTGTGGGGGCTGTAGAGGGAAGGTGCTGGGTCAGGGGCAGGGGAGAAGCGTGATCTGGAACCCACATCAGAGCCTGAGACAGCCCCAACCCCTGCAAGCAGCACAGAAACAATCACAGGGTCCCTGGAGATGAAGCTTTAGCTGGGACATCTGGGGGCAAAACTGCCACCCAGTGAGCCCAGGAGCAGGGCCATTCCCCGGGACTAGGGACACCCTCAGGGCTAAGGCCAAAGGTGCCCAGGCCAGAGCCACACGCACAGGGGCCCGCAGAGCTAAGCAAGGGGCACAGCCATGCTTGGTGTCCAGATGCATGCACCAGCCCATCCGGAGCAGGGCCCTATGACATGCCAGCTCAGCACCTCCAGAGAGAAGCCAGCACGGGGGCTGCGCGAGAGGCCCCAGAGCCCAGACCTGGCGCTCCTGAGAAAGTGGACAGCGGCAGCCCAAGGGGAGTGACCTGAACTCTGGCTGGGAAACCCCACCCGGGCCGCCTCCTTGGGTGTGTGGTCCACTCAGGGAGCTGGGGGGTTGCCGAAGTCGGCTAGACGTTAAACAAAAGGCAAGTCCCTCCTCCAGCAACGCGTCCAGGTCAGCAGGCCCAGCAAGGAACCTGAGCAGGCCGCAGGGCCGGGACTTCCAGCCGGCCACGGGGACACCCTGCATACGGCTGGCCTTGGTCCTCTCCACCATGACAAGGACGGGACAGCCTGCCTTGGGCAGGGCTGCTGGCTACATGGGGACTGTTGGGCCTGTGTGTGTATCCGTGTGGCCCATGAGCATGTCACCCGGCTTCCCCAGCCCTCTAGTCGGCCTGGCCTCCGTCAGAGTCCCTACCTCGCCGTCAAAAGGACCCCAACCCCTCCACCCTAACTCAATTGCAGCCAAGACCCACCCCGATGTCCTGACCAGCAGAGAGGGGCCGCACCCTGTCCCCTCCTCAGGGCGCACGGGGAGCCGCCTCGGGGGACCTGCAGGAGGCACAGGGCCGAGGGACACAGGGTGACCCCACTCTGCCATGAGACAGGGATGCAGAGATGCCGGCTGCCCGCATCTGCCCTGGCGGCATGCCCAGACCTATTTTTAAGCCCATTTACTAGAAATCCCACAAATTAAAGGAAGTACGGATAATGTAGTAAGAATCCTAGGGGCCAAATGAAAGCTGCCACATAATTGTCCTCGTGCGCCAGTGTGAGAATCTTAACCACAAAACCCAAATCTCCCAAAGCTCTTTTGCAACACCGAAGAATCTTGTGTAAAAGAGGGAAAAACGGCGGAAGGTGGGGAGGCCTGCACTTGGCTTTGGGATCACGGGGAGGCCCTGGAGCCGGCTGGGCTGCCTTTAAGCCGGGGCCATAAAAGGTAATTACCGATATGAAAAATAAAGACCATAAATACAAACACCCAACTTCTACAGCTCGGGAATGGCAACTGTGAAACTGTGGCAGCAGGCGCTTCTTTCCAGAAGACAGGGCCAGGCCCAGGCCCCATCCCTCTCCCCTCCCTGAGGGTCAGCTCCACACTGGGGCCGGGTGGGGGGTGCCACTCTGCCTTGACTCATCTGGTTCAGTCCCTGGCCCGAGAAGGCCAAGCCCTGCTTGATCCTCCCTGGCCAAGGCCGCACCCCAGCACCACATGCTTAGCCCCGTCGGGTCTCAAAGGTGCCAGTGGGGGCTGCAGGACGCTCCCAGGTGAAGAGCGTGAGAAACATAGCCGGTGAGCACGGAGCCATCAGGGGGACCCTCAGAGCCCTGGGCACGTCCCCACCAGCCTGCCGGTCTCCAGGCTTCAGCCCTCCCCTGCTCATCCCTCCCACCAGACATGGCTATCCAGGGATCTGCCAGCCGACTAGAGCCTTCTCCTCTGCATCCAGGAAGCCCCCCAACACAGCCAGTCCCTGAGAGACTGGGTACAGGGGTCCGGGGGAAGGTGAAAGGGGGAGGGGAGGGTGTCACCCCAGGATGCCCTGGCCTGAGGCCATGGTTTGTTCTGCACCATCACAGGGTGGGGACAAGGGCCCCCTGGTTCTGTCACATACTGGAACGGACGGACGCCCCCTCAGTGGCTAGGGGAGGAGGAACAATGCCAGGTAAGGGGTTCCTCTTCTGCCTCCTCCCCTTGAATGCCCCTAAACCCCATCCGGGTCTGCACAGCCCCCACCGTGAGCTCAGACTGTGCCGGCTACCGGGGTCTCCCACTGCCTGGTCGGGAGGGACAGGCCAGGACTCCTGACACCCCAGCTGGAGTGGTCACCAAACCCAGGCTGCCCCAGCCTCCAGCCACTGGGACCCACAGCAGGCTCTGCCCATGGCGGCAGCTCCGTTTCCCGGGCACTCACCACACAGAGGCACAGCCCTCAGATAGAGGGGTCCCCTCCCTCCAGGCCCAGATGCTGGAGGTCACCAGGCCCAGCTCCCAGGCTGCCCCCTCACCCAGGAACCCTGACCATTGAGGGGCCCATGGCATTTGGCCGCAGGAAGGGGCTGGAGGCAGAGAGAAGGCAGCTGGGGTAGGGGAAGGCGGATGGATGGGCCGTGCTGATTGTACCCAAGAGGATGCGTGTACACGTTCGGGGGTTGAGACCCTGTGCGGCTCACACCTGGACCCAGCAGGTCTACCCCAGCCCCCAGCCTCAGCCCTCACACGGCCAGGTGGCAACATCCTCCTGGTCAGAAAGAGGCAGATCGGAGGTCTAGCAGGCTCAGGAACCAGCGAGAAGCCAGGTGGGTGGGCGGGGACAAGCACATGAAGCAGATACAGATACAGAGTACAGAGGCCCAGGTACAATGGCCCAGGTACAGAGCAGGCCATTACGAAAAGTTGGTGGCCGGGCGCGGTGGCTCACAACTGTAATCCCAGCACTTTGGGAGGCCAAGGCGGGCGGATCACCTGAGGTCAGGAGTTCGAGACTAGCCTGGCCACCATGGCGAAATCCCATCCCTACTAAAAATACAAAAATTAACTGAGCGTGGTGGTGTGCACCTGTAATCCCAGCTACTCAGGAGGCTGAGGCAGGAGAATCGCTTGAACTGGGGAGGTGGAGGTTGCAATGAGCCGAGATTGCACCACTGTACCTGTACTCCAGCCTGGGCAACAGAGCGAGACAGGACAGGACAGGACAGGACAGGACAGGACAGGACAGGACAGGACAGGACAGGACAGGAAAGGAAAGAGAGAGAAAAGAAAGAAAGAAAAGTTAGCAAGAAATTAGCAACTAAGCAACATGATGACTGCAAATACTTCCCCCCAACGCCAAGGGACCACCCAGCAGTCACTCGCTTACCTAGGAGGATGCACCTTTGACCTGCCATCTACCCGGACCCTGGAAAGTTACAGGTATACATGTCAGCTTTTGTCCAGGAAACATGCAAAGATTTCTCTCTATAGAAAAGACAGTCCCAAAGACAGTGAGGTTTTGGCCCGTGGGGCATTAACCAGTTTTAGACCTTGTCTAGCAAGATCTGGTAGCACTTCGTCTTCAGTGCCTAGGCCCAGAGGCTCCTCTGGCCCTCTCCCAGCCAGTGACCATCCTACCTGCTCCTTCATCGATGAGTTAAATACATAATACCTGTTCTCTGTACGTTCACACCAGCCTCATTTATCACTCTAAAAATTATACAGGCTGGGCACAGTGGCTCATGCCTGTAATCCCAACATTTTGGGAGGTCAGCGGGGGTGGACTGCTTGAGCCCAGCAGTTCAAGACTAGCCTGGGCAACATGGCGAAACCCCATCTCTACAAAAAAATACAAAGACTTAGCCAAGTGTGGTGGTGTGTGACTGTAGTCCCAGCTGCTTGGGAGCCTGAGGTGGGAGGATCACCTAAGCCTGGGAGGCCGAGGCCGCAGTGTGCCGTGATCGTGCCACTGTACTCCAGTCTGGGCAACAGGGCAAGACCCTGTCTCTAAATAAGTAAATAAATAAAATTATACGTTCACAGGACATCCCAGAAACATGAGGTACATGGCCTGTGCTCAACCCCATGCCTGTCTTCTTGTGTCTCCCCAAGAGAAGAAGCCCGACTTTGCCGTCACTGTTTTCTTCTAATTTTTGTTCTCGTTGTTGTTGTTGAGCCCTTTCACCCCGGGACTGTTTCTGTGTCTGGTTGTGGGCCAGGTCTGTCGATCTGTCTCTCTCCTGTCAAACGTGTGGTTTGAGCCGCATTCCCATTACGTGGCGGGGACCAGGGATGAGCAGCTCCCGGGACCCCTGGGCTGGTCTCGGCCATGCTGTGCAGAGCACCTGGGAGCAACGCACCAGCGAGGGGGCCCTGGAGGCTGGGGTCTGACTCTGTGGGCTGATCCTGTGGAGATGCCTGCAGGGCCAATGAGGGGCTCGAGTCCTGTGCCTATTGGTCATCTTTGTTCTTCAATCCAGGAAAGAGGTCACGTACATTGCAGAAGCAAACACCTCCCTCTGAGATAAGAAGAGGGGCCATTTTCCAGATTTACGTTTGACCTGTGGCCGAGCCTGCAAGTTCTCTGCATGTCCATCACCAGGACCAGGACGAGCCTTTCCCTCCCATAAAGTATAGAGTTTTTCCTACCTGGGAAGGGTATGCACAAACAAGATTAGGAAATCTCTTAAAAAGGCCGAGCACGGTGGCTCACGCCTGTAATCCCAGCACTTGGGAGGCCAAGGCGGGTGGATCACCTGAGGCCAGGAGTTCTAGACCAGCCTGGCCAACAAAGTGAAATCCCATCTCTACTAAAAATAGAAAAATTAGCCAGGTGTGGTGGTGGGCGCCTATTATCCCAGCTACTCAGGAGGCTGAGGTAGGAGAATCACTTGAACCCGAGAGGTGGAGGTTGCAGTGAGCCGAGATCATACCACCTGCACCCCAGCCTGGGAAACAGAGCGAGACTCCATCTCAAAAAAAAAAAAAACAAAAAAAACAAAAATCACTTAAACAGCTGTGCCCTCATCGGCTAGAAGATACTGTGCAACTTTACAAATCTAACACTGTTAGAGCCCCCAGAATATAATGAAACTGTAGGCCAGGCGTGGTAACTCAGGCCTATAATCCCAGCACTTTGGGAGGTCAAGGCTGGAAGATCACTTGAGTCCAGGAGTTTGAGACAAGCCTGGACAGCACGGCAAGACCTCATCTCTACAAAAAATTCAAACATGAGCTGGGCGTTGTGTTGTGTACCTGTGGTCCCAGCTACTCAGGAGGCTGAGGGGGGAGAATCACTTGAGCCCAGGCGATCGAGGCTGCAGTGAACTATGACTGCACTACTGCACTCCAGCCTGGGTGACAGAGTGAGGCCCTGCCTCAAAAAAAAGACAAAAGTAAATCCTAATCCTTAAAAACTACTGGAAGAATGAACAAGCACAGCAAGATTGCAAAATATAAACTCAGTATACAAAAATCACAAGTATTTCTCTACACTTGCAATGAACAACCTAAAAATAAAATCAAGTAAACAATTCCATTTACAACGGCATCAAAAAGCATAAAATACATAGGAATACATTTAACAAAAGTAGTGTAAAACTCATACTTTGAAAGCTTCAAAATTTTGTTGAAAGAAATGAAAGATCTAAAGAAGTAAAACATCCATATTCATGGGATGGGAAGACCTAACATTATTAAAGTCTTCCTTAATAATGTTAATTAAGGAATATGTCCCGAATTTATCTACAGACTCAATGCAATCTCTATCAAAATTCCGGTTAATTTCTTTGCCAACATTGTCGAGCTGATGCTAAAAATTCATATGGAAACGCAAGGGACCCAGGAGAGCCAAAACAATATTAAAAAAGAGGAGCGAAGTTAGAGCAGTCATACTTCCCAATTTCTGCTATAAAGCTACTGTAATCAATATAGTATGGTGCTGATCTAAGGACAGACTTAGATCAATGGAACAGATGAGTCTACAAATGTATTCATGTGTCTGCAGCCAATTAATTTAACAAGGGTGCCAAGACCATTCAATGGGGAAAGAACAGTCTTTTCAAAATGTGGTGCTGGGACGACTGGATAGCCACATGCAAAAGAATGAAGCAGGACCCTTCCCTCACACCATATACAAAAATTAACTTAAAATATTTCAAAGACCTAAATGTAAGAGCTAAAACTATAAAACTCTTACAAGAAAAGACAGGATAAATCTTTGTGGTCTTGGGTTAAACAATGGATTCTTAGATATGACACCAAAGAGCAAAGCAACAAAAGGAAAGAACAAACCAGACCAGGTGAGGTGGCTCACACCTGTAATCCAACACTTTGGGAGGCTGAGGCAGGAGTATCGCTTGAGCCCAGGAGTTCAAGACCAGCCTCGGCAACATAGTGGGACCTCGTATCTACAAAAAATAAATAATTAGGCTGGGCGTGGTGGCTCACACCTATAATCCCAGCACTTTGGGAGGCCGAGGCGGGCAGATCACTTGAGGTCAGAAGTTCAAGACCAGCCTGGCCAACATGGTAAGATCCCGTCTCTACTAAAAATACAAAAGTCAGCCAGATGTGGTGGCGCACGCCAGTAGTCCCAGCTACTCAGGTGGTTGAGGCAGGATAATTGCTTGAACCTGAGAGGCAGAGGTTGTGGTGAGCCAAGATTGCGCCACTGCACTCCAGCCTGGGTGACAAAGCGAGACGCGGTTTCAGATACATAAATAAGTAAATAAACAAATAATAAAAAATTAGCCAGGAGTGGTGGCACATGCCTGTAGTCCCAGCTACTCAGGATGCTGAGGTGTGAGAATCACTTTAACCTAGGAGGTTGAGGCTGCAGGAAGGGGCTGGAGCCGTGATCACGCCACTGTCCTCCAGCCTGGGTGACAGAGACCCTGTCTCCAAAAAAAAAAAAGAAAAGGAAAGAAAACCCAGATACATTAGACTTCCTCAAAATTTAAAAATCTTGTGCTTCAAAGAATACCATAAAGAAAGTAAAAAGAGGCCGGGCATGGTGGCTCACGCTTGTAATCCTAACACTTTGGGAGGCCAAGGCAGGTGGATAACCTGAGGTCAGGAGTTTGAGACCAGCCTGGCCAACATGGTGAAAACCCATCTCTACTAAAAATACAAAACTAGCCGGGTGTGGTGGTGGGTGCCTGTAACCCCAGCTACTCGGGAGGCTGAAACAGGAGAATCACCTGAGCCCGGGAGGCAGAGGTTGCAATGAGCCACAAACGTGCCACTGCACTCTAGCCTGGGCAATAGAGTGAAACCCCATCTCAAAAAAAAAAAAAGAAAGAAAGAAAAAGAAACCAAAGAATAGAAGGGAATATCTGCCAACCATACAAGAGACTTATATCTAGAATGTATAAATAATTCTGACAACTCAACAATAAAAAGACAAATAACTCAATTTAAAAATAGGCAAGGCATCTGAAAAGGTATTTCTCCAAATACTATACACAAATGTCCAATATACACACGCAAAAATACTCAGCATCATTAGCCGTCAGGGAAATCCAAATCAAAACCACAAAGAGATACCACTTCATACCCACTAGGATGGCTATAATCAAAAAGACAGAAAACAAAGGTTGGTGGAAATGTAAAGAGATGTAGCGATCGGGAATGCAAAATGTTAGGGCCACTTATGGAAAACAGTCTGGAATTTCCTCAAAAGGTCAAATAGAATTCCTACATGACCCAGCAATTCCAACCCTAGGTATGCAGCCAAGAGAAAGGAAAGCATGCATCCACACGCAAACTTGTTTGGAGTGTCCTAGCAGTATCATTTGCAATAGCCAAGAAGTGGAAATACACAAATGTCTATCACGGGCTGAATGGGTAAGTAAAATGTGGAATATCCATACAATGTCATTCAGCAATGATAGGAATGAAGTACTGGGAGAGCACGGATGAGCGCTACGCTAAGCGAAACATTACGCTAAGTGTGAAAAAAAATGCTGGTCACAAGAGGGCACATATTATGAGATTCCATTTATATAAAATGTCCAGAACAGATCATTTAAAAAGATTAAAAAAAAAAAAAAAAGATTTAGCTGGACGCAGTGGCTCAAGCCTGGAATCCCAGCACTTTGGGAGGTCAAGGCAGGCGGATCACCTGAGGTCGGGAGTTCGAGACCAGCCTCGGCAAGCAACATGTCGAAACCCCGTCTCTACTAAAAATACAAAATTAGCCAGGCGTGGTGGTTCATGCCTGTAATCCCGGCTACTCGGGAGGCTGAGGCAGGAGAATCGCTTGAACCCGGGAGGCGGACGTTGCGGTGAGCCAAGATCGCACCAAGATCGCACACAGCCAAGAGCTAGCCTAAGCAACAAGAGGGAAACTCTGTCTCAAAAAAAAAAAAAAAAAAATTGTTGTTGCCTAGAGCCGGGAGCAGTGGGGGTGGGGGAGGGATGGGGAAATGAGAATGACTACTAAAGGGTGTGGTTTTTGGAGTGATGAAGATGTTCTAAAATTCACGATGGTAATGGTTGCATAACTCTGAATACAGACGTGTTGATTAACGACGGGGATATATCCTGAGAAATGCATCATTAGGTGATTTTGTTGTTCTCTGAACACCGCAGGTGATTTTGTCGTTCTGTGAACACCACAGAATGCACTTAAACGATGCTCGATGGGCCGGGCGCGGTGGCTCACGCCTGTAATCCCAGCAATTTGGGAAGCCAAGGCGGGCAGATCACGAGGTCAAGAGATCGAGACCATCTGGCCAACATGGTGAAACCCTGTCTCTACTGAAAATACAAAAATTAGCCGAGCGTGGTGGCGGGCACCTGTAGTCCCAGCTACGTGGAAGGCTGAGGCAGGAGAATCACTTGAACCCGGGAGGCGGAGGTTGCGGTGAGCCGAGATCGCGGCACTGCCTCCAGTCTGGCAACAGGGCGAGACGCCATCTCAAAAACACAGAAACAAAACCAAAGCCAGGTGGTACAGCCTAACTGTGGTTAGGCTATATGGCATAGCCTAGTGCTCCTGGGCTATAAACCTATAGAGCATGTTACTGTACTGAATAGCATAGGCAACTGTAACACAATGGGAAGCATTTGTGTATCGAAACATAGTAAAGGTTCAGTAAAAATATAGGATAAAAGATTAAAAATGGTACAACTCTATAGGACACTTATCATGAATGGAACTTGCGGGACTGGGCATTGCTCTGGGTGAGTGAGTAGTGAGAGAATGTGAAGGACTGGGATATTACTATATGCTACTAAAGACTGTATAAACACCGAACATTTAGGCTACACTACATTTATCTTTTTTAAAAAAGTAATTGTGTGGCTGGGCGCAGTAGCTCATGCCTGTAACCCCAGCACTTTGGGAGGCCAAGGAGGGCAGATGACCTGAGGTCAGGAGTTCAAGACCAGCCTGGTCAACATGGCAAAACCCTGTCTCTACCAAAAAATACAAAAATTAGTTGGGCATAGTGGTGTGTGCCTGTAATCCCAGCTACACAAGAGGCTGAGGCAGGAGGATCGCTTGAACCCAGGAGGCAGAGGTTGCAGTGAGCCGAGATCACACCATTGCACTCCGGCCTGGGCAACAAGAGTGAAACTCCGTCTCAAAAAAAAAAAAAAAAAAAGTAATTGTGCAATGACATTATGATGGCTACATCGTCACTAGGCAATAGAATTTTTCAGCTCTATGATAATCTCATGAGAGCAACACTGTATACGCTGTCCCCTGAACTGCTGTTATGCAGCATGTGACTATATACTAAAAACCACTAAATTATACAGTGTATGAGTGAATTGTATGGCATGTAAACTGTCTCAATAAAGATGTCATTTCAAAAATAAAAACACAGATAAACCAAAAGGAAATTTTAAAAATCGAGTGGCTCACAGGAAGGCAGGAAAAAGAAACAAAAGATAGAACAGAATCAAAAACTAAAATAGGAGACAAGGCCTCAGTACATCAATAATTCCATTAAATGTAAATGATCTAAATACACCCATTAAAAGACAGAGATTGAAAGAATACTTTTTTTTTTTTTTAAAGATGGAGTTTTACTCTTGTTGCCCAGGCTGGAGTTTAATGGCACAATCTCGGCTCTGTCTCCCAGGTTCAAGCAATTCTCCTGCCTTAGCCTCCCAAGTAGCCAGGATTAAAGGCATGTGCCACCACACCCAACTAATTTTTTGTATTTTTAGTAGAGACGGGGTTTCACCAAGTTGGCCAGGCTGGTCTCAAACTCCTGACCTTGTGATCTGCCCGCCTCGGCCTCCCAAAGTGCTGGGATCATAGGCGTGAACTGCCGTGCCCAGCCTGAGGTGAGTTTCTTTTAGATAGCATATAGCTGAGTCATATTTTAAAATGTATTCTATTGACTGGGCGCGGTGGCTCACACCTGTAATCCCAGCACTGTGGGAGGCTGAGCCAGGTGGATCTCACCTGAGGTCAGGAGGTCGAGACCAGCCTGGCCAACATGGTGAAACCCCTTCTCTACTAAAAATACAAAAATTAGCCGGGCGTGGTGGCAGGCACCTGTAATCTCAGCTACTCGGGAGGCTGAGGCAGGAGAATTGCTTGAAACCAGAAGGCGGAGGTTGCAGTGAGCCAAGACTATGCCACTGCATTCCAGCCTGGGTGAAAGAGTGAAACTCTGTCAAAAAACAAAACAAAACAAAACAAAACAAAACAAAAAAAACACCTCACTTCAAATATAATGATATAGGTAGGTTAAAATAAAAAGAATAGAAAAAGATAAATTATGCAAACATAAAAGAAAGCAAGGGTTGTTTTACTTCAAATAAAGCATATTTCAGAGCAAATAAAATTATCAGAGATAGAGTAGGACGTGACATAATAATTAAAGCATCAATCCACTAAGACACAGCAATCCTAAATGTCCATGTACCAGACAACGGAACTACAAAATACATGAAGCACAAACCAATAGAACTAAAGACAAACCCACAATTCTAGTAGAGACTTCAACAGCCTTCTCTAAACAAGGATAGAACTAGATAGAAAATCAGCAGAGATAGAGTGAGTTAAATAACATCAGCAGGATCTAACTGACATTACAGAACTCTCCACTCAACAACAGCAGAACATATGTTCTTTTCACGTGCCTGTGGAACATATGCCAAGACAGACAATATTCTGGGCCAGAAAGAAAACTTCAAGAACTTTACAAGACTTAAAATTACACAGTGTGTTCTCTAACCACAGTGGAATCAAACTAGAAATCGTAACAAAGGTAACAGGGAAATCTAGAAATGGAAATAACATACATCTAAGTAATCCATATGTCAAAGAAGAAGTCTCAAGAAAATCAAATACGGGCCGGGCGTGGTGGCTCACGCCTGTAATCCTAGCATTTTGGGAGGCCGGGGCGGGTGGATCACAAGGTCAGGAGTTCAAGACCAGCCTGGCCAAGATGGTGAAACCCCGTCTCTACTAAAAATGCAAAAAAATTAGCCGGGCGTGGTGGTGGGCGCCTATAATCCCAGCCACTGGGGAGGCTGAGGCAGAGAACTACTTGAACCCGGGAAGCGGAGGTTGCAGTGAGCCGAGATCGCGCCACTGCACTCCAGCCTGGGCGACAGAGCGAGACTCGTCTCAAAAAAGAAAATCAAATACAATGAAAAGAAAAATACAACATACCAAAGTTTGTGGGACACCACTTAGGTGGGGCTGAGAGGAAAATTTATAGCATTAATGGATGTATTAGAAAAAAGGAAAAGTCTCAAATCAATTATATAAGCTCTCATCTCAAGGAATCAGAAAAAAAAAAAACAAAAACCAAAAACTTGAAGCAAGCAGAAGAAAAGAAATGATAAAAATAAGAACATAAATCAATAAAATTGAAAACAAGAACAGAGGAGGAAAAAAATCAATGAAACAGCTGGGTTTTTGAAAAGATCAATAAAGTTGACAAACATCTAGCAAGACTGACAAGAGTAGATACAAATTAATTTTAGTATCAGAAATGAAACAGGAGACATAATTACAGACCCTGCAGATAGCAAAAGGATAACGTGGAAATAGTAAGAACAATTTGACTGCTGGGTGCAGTGGCTCACACCTGTAATCCCAGCACTTTGGGAGGCTGAGGTAGGCGGATCTCTTGAGGTCAGGAGTTCAAGACCAGTCTGGCCAACACAGTGAAACCCATCTCTACTAAAAAAAACTTTAAAAATTCGCCAGACATGGTGGCTCATGCCTGTAATCCCAGCTACTCGGGAGGTTGAGGCAGGAGAATCGCTTGAACCTGGGAGGCAGACGTTGCGGTGAGCCAAGATCATGCCACTACACTCCATCCAGCCTGGGAGACAGAGCAAGACTACGTCTCAAAAAAAATAAAGTAAAATTTAAAAAGGCTGGGCGCGGTGGCTCACGCCTATAATCCCAGCACTTTGGGAGGTCAAGGCTGGCAGATCACGAGGTCAGGAGTTTGAGACCAGCCTGGCCAACATGGTGAAACCCCGTCTCTACTAAAGATATGAAAATTAGTTGAGCGTGGAGGCAGGTGCCTGTAATCCCAGCTATTCAGGAGGCTGAAGCAGGAGAATCACTTGAACCTGGGAGGTGGAGGTTGTACTGAGCTGAAACCATGCCAATGCACTCCAGCCTGGATGATAGAGTGAGACTCCATCTCAAAAAAAAAAAAAAAAAAAAAAAATACCAGCAAGACCTTTTGTAAATATAGATGAGCTCATTCTTAAATATATATGAAAAGGCAAAGGAATGAAAATAGCTAAGACAATTTTGAGAGAGAATTAAGTGGGAGAAATCAGGCTACCTGATTTCAAGGCTTATTATAAACTATAGTGATCAAGACTGTGTGGTATGGACAGAGGGACAGACATATGGATCAATGGAACAGAATTTAAAAAACCCAAAATAGACCCACACAAAATTTGCCCAACTGATTTTTTTAAAAAAGAGGCAAAAGCAATTCAGGGGAGAAGAGCCGGCCTTTGAAGCCAATGGAGCTGGGGCAACTGAACGTCCAGACGCAAATGTGCTGAACTCCACCCAAGCCTCACACCCCATTCAAAATTACCCAAAGGCCAGGCACGGTGGCTCGAGTCCGTAATCCCAGCACTTCGGGAGGCCCAGGTGGGTGGATCACCTGAGGTCAGGAGTTTGAGACCAGCCTGGCCAACATGGTGAAACCCCGTCTGTACTAGAAATATAAAAATTAGCTGGGCATGGTGATGTGCGCCTATAATCCCAGCCACTCGGGAGGCTGAGGCAGGAGAATTACTTGAAACCGGGAGGCGGAGGTTGCAGTTAGCCGAGATCGTGCCATTGCACTCTAGCCTGGGCAACAAGAGTGAAACTCTGTCTCAAAAAGAAAAAAAAAAAAACCCAAAGGCAGGGCATGGTGGCTCATGTCTGTAATCCCAGCACATTGGGAGGCCACGGTGAGCAGATCACTTGAGGCCAGGAGTTTGAGATCAGAATGGCCAACACAGTGAAATCCTGTCGCTAATGAAAATACAAAATTAGCCGGGCGTGCTGGTGTACACCTATAATCCCAGCTACTTGAGAGGCTGAGGCACAAGAATTGCTTGAACCCAGAAGGCAGAGATTGCAGTGAGCCAAGATCACACCACTGCAATCCAGCCTGCACAACAGGGCAAGACTCTGTCTCAAAAAAGAAAAGAAAAGAAAAAAAAGGCTGGGTGTGGTGGCTTATGCCTGTAATCCCAGCACTTTGGGATGCCGAGGCGGGCGGATCACCTGAGGTCAGGAGTTCAAGACCAGCCTGACCAACATGGAGAAACCCTGTTTCTACTAAAAATACAAAAAATTAGCTGAATGTGGTACATGCCTATAATCCCAGCTACTTGGGAGGCTGAGGCAGGAGAACCACTTGAACTCAGGAGGCGGAGGCTGTGGTGAGCCTAGATCATGCCATTGCACTCCAGCCTGGGCAACAAGAGTGAAACTCCGTCTCAAATAAATAAATAAATAAATAACCCCAAAATGAATTGGAGACTTAAACATAAAACTAGAGGGGAAAGAAAAAAACACACAAGAGAATAAAATATTTGTAGAATCCGGGGCTAGGCAGAGAGTTCTTCCATAAAAGAAAAAAACTGATAAACTGGACTTTATCAAAATTTAAAAACTTTTGCTCAGCACAAGACACAGGTAATGGGATGAAAAGACAAGACACAGGCTGGTAGAAAAAACATGCCAGGAACACATTTAACAAAGGACTAATATCTAGGCTACATAAAGAATTAATTGGCCGGGTATGGTGGCACGTGCTTGTAGTCTCAGCTACACGGGAGGCTGGGGTGGGAGGATCACTTGAGCCCAAGAGTCCAAAACCAGCCTAGGCAACATAGGGAGACTCTGTCTGTACAAAAAATAAAAATAAACTAGCTGGGCATGGTGGAGCGCACCTGTGGTCCCAGCTACTTGGGAGACTGAGGTGGGAGGATCGCTTGAGCCTAGGAGGTGAAGGCTGCAGTGAGCTGTGGTCTTACCGCTGCACTCCAGCCTGGGTGACAGAGCAAGACTGTCTCAAAAAAAAAATTTTTAATAAAAAATAAAAAATGAGGACCCCAGTAGGAGCTGCAGTGGACAGGGGGTGTGAGCGTGGATCCAGCTGTATCAGAGTATAGTCCTGCCCATCAGGGGAGAAGAGGCGCTTGTCTCAAAGTGAAATGCACAATTGGTCTCGAATGCCAAAGAGAACAGGAAAAGACAAAAGACTCCAGTGGATGTATGGACAACCCAAGAATGTTTGCAGAAAGTCGACTTGATTTCCCTCGGTTCATAATACCTGGAAATAAGGAGTATGAAAAGCAGCTGCGTGTGTGCTACAATTTTGGCACAATTTGCTCAGTTTCAATGGGTCTATTCCTAATTGTTTTAAAGGTGCTTATGCATCCTCTACTGCCAAGTACTGCATTTGCGTCCAAGCAGGATTTGGTGTTCTGTCTGCTAAAATGCTGCCTGGTCTTGGAGTATCTGGTCTGCCCAGAAGCAGGGTCAGCAGTAAGCGGTGATCCTTCCCTCTGCCCTGAAAGCAGACCCTGGCTCTCACCGAAGTAACCAACAGGGATTTGCACAGACTCCGTCATGTCCTTGACTATTTTTTTAAAAAAATTAAGATCTTGGCCGGGCACAGTGGCTCATGCCTGGAATCCCAGCACTTTGGGAGGCTGAAGCAGAAGGATCACTTGAGTCCAGGAGTGAGAGACCAGGAGAGATGGTAAGATTATAGTCTCCACAAATAATTTGTTAAAAAATTAGCCAGGCATGGCCAGGCGCGGTGGCTCATGCCTGTAATCCCAGCACTTTGGGAGGCCGAGGAGGGCAGATCACGAGGTCAGGAGATCCAGACCATCCTGGCTAACACGGTGAAACCCCGTCTCTACTAATAAAATACAAAAAAATTAGCCGGGCATGGTGGTGGGCGCCTGTAGTCCCAGCTACTCGGGAGGCTGAGGCAGGAGAATGGAGTGAACCCGGGAGGCGGAGCTTGCAGTGAGCCGAGGTTGTGCCACTGCACTCCAGCCCGGGCGACAGAGCAAGACTCCGTCTCAAAAAAAAAAAGAAAAAAGAAGAAAAAGAAAACAAAGTTCTTCATTCCAGAAACATTAAGGTTCTTTATAAAGATGTTAATAATTTCTGAGGTTATTTAAAATTATGTATCATCCCTTCAATTAACACAGACGGACAGGTCAAAACCATTCCTCGTTCTGTCACAGCAAGGCTGCCTGCCTTCCTCAAGGAACCTATCTCTGGTTCAACATTGACTCAATACTGACCGTGCCTCCACCAAGTCACACCCTAAACTGCACCGACAGATGAAGCTGGACCTTCCGAACGACCATCCCCTGTGACTCCCAGAGGGCCCATGTCGGTGGTCACATTCTGTTCCCAGCTCACCTGCGGGGCTCGGGGATGTATCACTCAGCCTCGGCGTCTACACCTCACACAGAGCGGCAGGAAGCGTGGCCTTCCCAGCCGAGGCGGAGTCGGCAGGGCCGGGGGATGCTGGCGGGAATGGGTTCTCGCACGGCCTCCTTCTGGGAGCCCGGGAGCTCTGTCCCCCACTCACTGTCGCGTATGGGGCTGGGGGAACAGCAATCGGATCCTCACGAAACAGTGACGTGAGGCCCAGTAGAGGACGTGACCTCCTCCAGGCCGACGCTCTTGGTTCTGCGTGAAATGAGCCGATTCCACCTTGTCCTCAATGGCGGCTTCTGCTCCCTCAAAGCGGCAGGCCAGGAAGTGGGGAGCCCCAGGTGTGGGTGCAGCAGGCTGCAACGCCCCCCACACACAGACTTGGCCTCAGACAGCTGTCACATGGCACCAGGGAGGTGGCCAGGACTCCAGGACACATTCTGGTCCAGTCCGGCACTGACCGGGATGAGGGAGAGCTGGCTGCGGCCGCCTGGCTGGGATACTTGGGGGGAAAGCCCTCCCTAGCTCCCCCGAGGCTGGCTGCTGCGAACTGACTGAAGCGCTCATTACAGGGTGTCCACTCTCCCCGGGCTTGGAACTCGGAGGCGAATGTCTCCCCGAGCCTGTTTCCCTTTCGTAGACGTCGGCAGCGGCTCCGTGTGAACCTGCCGTCTCCTACATCGCGGTACAGTTTCTCAAACAGATCGCGCAGCTGGGGCCAAGCCCAGGCTGTCGTGCCTGAGGACGCATCTTCTTTTATCGGGCATAGGCCCACATTCAGGGTTCGGGGTCGCAGGTCCTGCGGGAGCAGAGCCTGCAGGGCCCCCTCAGGAAACCTGTGCTGATGCTGTCCTGAGCTCCCTGTGCCCGGTCTTCCACACGCGGGGAGGACACCCCCGTGCAGACTGCGCCCAGGGGAGGAGACCCACCCAACACCCACAGGCCCTGTCGGTGAAACCTCAGAGACAGGGGTCTTGGGTTTGGGCTCTGAGGCTCGGGACACAAGATTCAATAAGAGCAAAGTCATCTCCTCTGGAGTGAGAGGCTGCTGAAAACGGAACCCAGGCTTTCCTACAAAGCGCCCAGGAGCAGCCCCGCAGCCCTCCATGTGCTCAGTGCCTGTGGCCCTGGGGCTGCTGCCCACTCCTCTGCTGCATCTGTGACAAAACTCCGAGACACCCGCTTCTCAAAGCCCTGCATGAAGGTTACGTGTGGTCACGAAGAGATCCTGCAAAGAACAGTCATCGAAAACTTGGAAATAAAGTAAACAGGCACCCTTCGCGGCCTCTGCCTGATTTGCAACTCAGTAGTGATGACACCCCATACCCCGTGACATCCTAAGTCTCCTATATGCAACCAAAAGAAAAGCAAATGATTTCCATCCAGTAGCAAAGAGAACCCCAAGGGGCAGCGTTTCCCGGCCCTGCGGAACTCGAAGAAGTGCTGTAACTAACCCAACAATCTATCCAGCCTCCTCTCCTCAGTGACTCTAAACACCCAGTTCCTCAAATGTTCTCTGAGCCAGGTTTCCTGCCCATACCACGACAAAAATGAAATGAAATTCTGATGCACCCCCCAGCCCGGTGAACCTCAAAGACACTATGCCGAGTGAAAGCCACCAGGCACACACAGACAACGCCACGGGGTTCCACTCACACGCGGGCACAGAGCAGGACAGTTCAGAGACAGGAAGCAGAACGGAGGTTTCCAGGGGCTGGGGGACTGCGGAGGGGAGTTGGTGTTCAATGGGTGCAGTTTCGGTCAGGGATGATGAAAACGTTCTGCAAACAGAGGTGAGGGTTGACAGCCATGGGAATGTTCTTACTGCCACTGAACTGTGCGCTTAAAAAATGGTTAAAATGGTGAATTTCATGTTGTGTATATTTGACTACAATTTTTAAAAAATGTATTGGCCTGGTGGTGGCTCATGCCTGTAATCTCAGCACTTTGGGAGGCTGAGGTGGGTGGATCATGAGGTCAGGAGATCGAGACCATCCTGGCTAACACGGTGAAACCCCTTCTCTACTAAAAATACAAAAAAAATTAGCCGGGCGTGGTGGCGGGCGCCTGTAGTCCCAGCTACTTGGGACTAGGCGGAGAATGGCGTGAACCCAGGAGGCAGGGCCTGCAGTGAGCCGAGATCGCGCCACTGCACTCCAGCCTGGGCGACAGAGCGAGACTCTGTCTCAAAAATAAATAAATAAATAAATAAAATAGCCGGGTGTGGTGGCGGGCGCCTGTAGTCCCAGCCACTTGGGAGGCTGAGGCAGGAGAATCGCTTGAACCCGGAGGTGGAGGTTGCAGTGAGCCGAGATTGCGCCACTACACTCCAGCCTGGGTGACAGAGAAAAAAACAAACAAAAATTAGCTGGGCGTGGTGGCGGGCGCCTGTAGTCCCAGCCACTTGGGAGGCTGAGGCAGGAGAATTGCTTGAACCCGGAGGTGGAGGTTGCAGTGAGCCAAGATTGCGCCATTGCACTCCAGCCTGGGCGACAGAGCAAGACTCCGTCTCAAAAAACAAAACAAAACAAAAAAAGCAGAAGAGAAACATGGCCTTTGGCAAAACAAACAAACAAACAACAAAAACCCTAACAGGGCACAAAGGACATTGTTGATAAGTCGTGCTTCATTAAAATATTGAAAAATAAAGACCAACACTAAGAGAAAAAACAAGCCGAGAAGGACAGACCTTTGCAACATATGTATCTTCAGCAAAGGGCGTGTGGTCAGAGTATGGAAAGAATTCTACAAATTCTACAAATCCATCAAGAAAAGGGAAACGCACAGAGGAGGGAGGGGCAAGAGCCCAGAACAGGCCCTTCACAGAGGAGAAGGTCCCCAGGCGGTGACACCTGAGCAGGGGGCAGCTGTGTGGTCACCCGGGAAATGCGAGGGGACCCCAAGGACTCTGGCCACCCCCACACCGGGGAGCAGGCAAGGGGGCAACAAAATTGTGCTTAAAATTATTTATAAAGTAATAAAAGGTAAGTGAAAGTAGTTTGAAAAGTGAATAAGGAATCAGTGATGAATACTGACTTGTGCTTTATACGCAAAGGTGTGCCTTTGGGAGTGAAAACCACGTAAATAATATCAGTCCAATCATAGTTTTGTTTTGGGTTTTTTTGTACTTCTTTTTAGTAGAGACGGGGTTTCACCATGTTAGCCAGGCTGGTCTCAAACTCCTGACCTCGTGATCCACCCGCCTCGGCCTCCCAAAGTGCTGGGATTATAGGCATGAGCCACCGCGTCCGGCCCAATCATACTTTTATAATCACGAGGTTTGCCGTACTATCTTTAAACAATCCATGCACGAGTTTACAGACACAGTGGTAGAGAGTGGGATGGACCAGGCACCCACTCAAACCCTCATCCCCAAGGCCGGGTGCATACCCACCACCTGGCAGGGGTCCCCAGGACCCCCACCCCCCGCAACCTTGTGGCCAGCCCCACTCGCCTGCAGGCCAGAAGACGCCAGAATTCCACGAAGCTCAGTCCCTCGGAATGCAGAATTCATGAGGGGGACAGGCACATCTGGGGGCAGGTTCTCCAAATAATTCTGGCTCTCTCATTTCAGGAACTAAAGGCCCAGGCTTTTCCATTTAATCTTTAAATGGCAATCCTTAATACAGGTTTTTCCATTTAATCCTTAAAGTAAGCGCAGGAGAAATACCATTACCCTACTGTACAGATGAGAAAACTGAGGCTTGGAGGTGGGACGTGGCCCGCTCACTGGCCCTGGAACCGTACCTGGATGCATAGACGGGACTCCAGGGGAATGTACTCCTAGGCCATAAACCTGTGCGAGGCAAGAGGGGCCAGCCCAGCCCCGACATCGGGACAGAAAGGGGCGTGGGAATGGCTGGGGGACAGGTCAGGCACCTGAATCTCAGCCACATCAGAGCTGAGCAAAGCGAGCCCCTCAGGCAGGGCTGTCATCACGAGTGTGGCACCACAGCCACCGCCGCATCCTGGTCCCCAGTAAGCACCCCCAGCGTGGTCCCCTCCAGGAACTGAGGCTCTCAGGGCAGGGCCTCTCGCCCCTTGTCCAGGCGACCTTGTGGGTAAGCAGGGGAAGCCAAGGCAAACTCAGGAGCACACACCCATCCCCACGGGGAGCAGATGCCCTTAGCACCGTCGCCGGCATGATGCCGCGCCGCCGCCGCCCCTCTCCGATTCCCTAACGGTTCCCGAGGGAGCACTGAAGGTAAATATGTTAATTTGACTTCAATCATAGCTTCTTCTTTTTTTTTTTTTTAAGTGCACACGGTATTAGTTTAGGGCACGTAACCTGAAATCTACTCACGTATGTCTGTGCGTCCCGTCCTTAACAAGAGAAAGCTTGAGCTCTTGCCAAGAGGGCTAAGGGCTGAAGAGGCTGCAAGGTGCAGACATCCTCCCAGGGTGGGAACTGCACTCTCTGAGCTGAGGGGGAGACCAGGGAGAGGCAGGGCACTTGCCCAGAGTCCCACACCCAGGAAGGGCTGCCTGGCACCCAGCCACCTTCAGGCCTGATGGAACGGGGTGCCATCCTCTGGCTTCCAGGCAGGAGACACTCCTACAAGCACAGGATGCCAACTGCAGAAGCCAATGCGTGGACTCCGGGGGCCCTGCAGGTGCAGCCAAGGAACCAGGATCTCCAGACAGGCCCCAGGCTGTACAGGCTGGACGCCAGCAGGTGGGGCAGCAAGCCCCTCCTCACCCGCAGGCATGGGCACCCCATGGCCTGCTGAGAATGACACGAAGGAACAGGCTGACTCACTGAGTGGAAAGGCCACTTGGCCCTCAACCGAGGGCAGAAGAGAGGCCAGAGGCCCCCCAGAGCTCCTTCCTGGGGCCCTGCCGTGGCCGGCACTCCCCGAATGCACTCCAGGGTCACCAGAGCCCTGGAGCGTGGCTGCAGAAGCCAGATGGGTCTCAGGCCTCCCACTACCCATTCTGCGACTAGGAATAGGAAAGTTACGAAATCTTGAAGCCTGTAAGATTTCAGGCCACCAGGACAGGCAGCAGCCGGGGAAGTCTCAACTTTCCAGGACCCCAAGGCCCCAGGGGCCAGGCCACAGCCGTGCTGTGGAAGGAGCCGCTAGCCCTGCCACCTGTTCCCCAAGGAAAGCTTTTGGAGCTGTTCCCCAGGGAGAGGCGGCCCTCCTGGAGAGCTACAGATGGGCTCTGCTGGCCATGGGGCTGCCTGGGCCAGGCCTGGGGCTGACCTGATAGCCCACACCCTTGGCCACCCACTGTAGTCATGGCCCAGCTGGCAGAGACACACAGTCCCTACCCCGGGCGTGGCTGCCAGCCAAAGCCCATGCCACTGTGCCCCACAAAAGCCAACGGTTTGACCACAAGGGCCTCCTGGCAGGGCCCTGTAGCCACGCCACACCAGGGATGGTGCCAGAGCGGTACTGCACCCCCAGCCTGTACAGCCTCATCCCAGCAGGGCCCCCGCACCCATCTCTGTGCTCTCCTTCTCTGAGCCCAGGCCCCTTCGCTGCCCCTACATGGGATGCCACCTCTCAGGGCATCCAAAACCCAACCCAGGTTCTAGGAAAATCCGCCCAGCAGCCCACTGCAGTGGGGTATTAAAAACGTCTCTATTAAAAATACAAAATTAGCTGGGCGTGGTGGCGCACGCCTGCAATCCCAGCTACTCGGGAGGCTGAGACAGGAGAATTGCTTCAACCTGGGAGGCAGAGGTTGTGTGCTGAGATCGTGCCACTGCACTCCAGCCTGGGTAACAACAGCGAAACTCCATCTCCCCACTACCCTGCTCCAATAAAAAAACTCCAACGCTACTGCCAGCACACCATCCCCCACCCCACAGACCGCACAGAATCAGCCCAGGAAGGACACTCCACGGAGCTCTTGCTTATCTGATTTGGAGGTCGTGGAGTGTGGGTTAGCTGGGGGTCTCCTCCTCTCCAGACACGTGGAGACGGGGGGCCGTGACACACACCCAGACCCCAGCGGAGTCACTGCAGAGGATGCAGGGAGAGCAGACGGCAGATGACCACAGGCCGGCCTGTGCCCGGCGCAAACTCCAGCCAGCTGCATCAGGCCCCCAGCAGAGCCGCCCCTGCGTGCTAGGGTGCCAAGCCCCAGCCGCTCGAGTAGGTCGGGGGGACACAGGCCTGGGACAGGTCCAAGGTGGCAGCCCCTCCCGCTGTCTCCCACCCCAAGCACATTCTGATTAACAGAGGTGATGGAGGAGGAAGTTTTCATCCCAGAACCCCACGGGCCCAGGGTCACGGATCACGAACGGCTGCGGGGAGAAGAAACGCGCGTTTCCCATATTTCTCGTAACACAGGAAACCATTCCCAGAGGAGGAAGCCCAGACCAAACGGACCCTCAGTGGCCACTCGGGGACTCTCCAGCCACCCAGGCCGCTGGAAACCCAGGGGAAGGAACCAGGTGGACTCAGTCCCGACGGGCACTGGGGGCTCCGCAGGACAGGGCAGGGGTCAGCATGCCTGGGCTTGAACTGTAGAGTAACCGGAACGACCTGCACACCACACACCCCCAACCAAGATGAAGCCAGCCACCCGCTGGGCTCCCCATGGCCCAGCCCCACCCGCTCACAGCCATGGTTCCCATCCTCCACGCGTCCTCCCAGCTGGGAACTCAGCACTCGGACCTGCTCTCTGAGCGCGGGGTGCCCAGGAAGGCGGTGCCGGGCGTCCGCTTCCACCTCGGGCTGTAACAGAATTCCCTCGTGACGTTTCTTGGAAATCAGTGGCTGTAATCACAGCTGCCGAATCTCTGCAAAGGCCTCTCAGCTGCTGGGTTTTGGTGTAATTATTACGAAAGCACACTTAAAGTGAGGATGAGCTGAAGCCTCTGGGAAAACCCAAGGGCCCAGGGAGGGCAGCTGCGGCCCCCAGGCCAGGAACACACACAGCCCCTCCTGGCTCGGGCCCTGGGGCACCATCCCCACCAAGTGGCGGCAGCAGCTGGCCCCTGACCAAGCTCCCTCTACCTGGATGGCACCTGGCCCAGGTAACCAGGCAACACCAGGCTGAGGGCAAGGCGGGGAGGGCAGCCAGCCCCCACCCCCGCCCACCGGACCCCTGCTGTCTTTGCACCGCTTCTCGCAGTCCAGCCCACCTGCAGCAGCACCCCGAAACCCCAGGGCTCCTGCAGAACTCAGAGATCAGGGTGGAGCTGACGCGAGAGCCAGGCTGCAGCAAAGGCCAATCTGCCCTGGCCAGGGCCTCCAACCTCACTGGGCCCATTTCTCCTTTCACAAAATGGGGGCACCAGCCATTCTCCAAAGACTCTCCACCTGAACACGACCTGCCGGGGCCCTGGGTCAGCTCATCACTAAAGCAGGTGACCGCCCAGGACTCCCAGCAGAAGGGAGAGGTGGGGCTGAGGGATGCCCCCTCTGCCCGTCTCCCCAGGGTCTTCACCCTCAGGACCATCGGTGTGGCCACGCCACGGCCTGATGGAAGGGGGCGGGGAGCCTCAGGTCCCACACAGGCTTGGGAAGCAGAGGCCACCCCAAGGCCAAGTCCGGGCTCTGCCCCGCCTGTGCCACGTGCTGAGCCGGCGGATGGGCCTCCGGGATGCTCAGGTTCACCTGCCTCCCCACCATGCCTGTGAGAGGTCTGGGCAGGTGTGCACAGGGCCGAGCTGATGGTGGCCCTCACCTGTGAGAGGTCTGGGCAGGTGTGTGCAGGGCGGAGCTGACAGTGGCCCTCATCTCAACGGGGTCACCATCCATGAAGCACTGGGTCTGGCCCTCGGAGCCCGACAAACAAAACCAGGTAGAGCCGAGGCGTCTTAGCAGGTGCTGCTGAGCTGATGGAGACCCTCCACCCGCCAGGCCCGCGCTGCCTCCACGGACCTGCCTCCCAAGAAGCACCCCTCCTGCCAGCACCCAACCCCAACAGGGGCGCAGCCCTCAATCCAGCGTGTGCACCATCAGATCACAGCCCCCTCTCCCCGGCGGGTGGGGCTGGCTCTTGGCCAGCGGATCCCACAGACGCCCCGTTCTCTGGGTGTTGACTGCCCTCCCTCTCCCCAGAAGGAAAGACAGACACCATCTTCCATAAGCAGCTGAGTGTATTTCTGCTCATTTCCCACCGTGCATGGCCCTCTCTACGCCTAGGATTTTGTGCTGCCTGCCTCACTCCTGCCAGATATCAGGGCGAGGGGGAAGACGCCGTGTTTTACGGCTGTCATAACTTCTGCCCCATTAGACATCTACACTCACATGAAAGCGACCAGATTGATCTCCTGACGACCGAGCACTTCACACGGCAGAACCTTTCTGGCACCGCAACAGAAACCTGAGGGCCCTCTTCCTCGATGCCAGAAACGGGGCCACCCTGCTGGAGCGGAGGCTGTTGACATCACACGCTCCCAACAGAAGAGCCAGTGGCCACAGGGCTCAGGGGAGCTGGTGGGGGTCAGAGCCCCTGGGGAGCTGCTCTCCTGAGTCCAGGTACAGTCAATGCTTCACCCCAACCTGAGCCTAGGCACGCGGAGGTCATCTCCTTGCTCAGGGAGGCAGCACCGCCCTCCCTTCCTTCCCAGGCTGGGTTGGGGGGGAGGCAGCCACAGAGAAGAGGGAGTGGGGCAGGTGGACACTTTGGCCTTCACCCCTGTACTAGGAATAGCATCTCTCCAAAATCCACATGCACCCCAAACTCGAATGTGACTGTATTTGGAACTAGGGTCTTTGCAGATGTAAGATCAAGTTCACATGAGAGCTTCCCAGATTTAGGGCAGGTCCAGAGGTGTCTTCTGAGAAGGGAAAACGCGGACACCTGTGAAGAGCGCCGTGCAGAGGCCAGGCCGAGACTGGCACGAGACGGGCATGAGCCCAGGGCACCACAGGCGGCTGGCACCACGCTGCGGAGGCAGGCGGGGGCCCCGAGACACTGTGGCCTGGGGCTTTTGGCCTCCACCGCTGTGCAAGAAGAAATTCCTGCTGTTTCAGGCCTCCCCACCTCTCCACCTGTTAGTGGTGGCACGTTCCGGCCGCCCACGACATTCATCTCGACCGCTGCTGAGGGGACCCCCGGCCTGGCTGGGTTGAGGGCAGATCTTCTCAGACAGACGATGTCCACCAAGAACCTGGCTGGCCCAGGCAGCTCTGGGGCCCAGAGACAGATGCAGTCAAAGCTGAGAAAGCCTCTCCGCCTCACCCCAACTTCTCCCGCATCACTGGGTGGGGAGACCCAAGACCTGGCCACAACCCCATCTCCTAGTTCCTCTACAGCCCCACAGCCTGAGGAAGAGCGGGGAGGTAGGGAAGGTGGTGCTCGCTGAGGGTGTCCCTCACTCAGTGGCTCCAGGGACAACTGAGGGACATGGATCCAGCCAGGAGGGGACCCGTCTTTCCAGGAGCAGTGGGTTCCGATGAGACCCTCAACACCCACTCACCAACCTGCAGCCTCCCCGCTCCCAGGTCAAAGACCTCCACACCCAGACCTGGTCCTGGGTAGCCAACCCCTCCCCTACTGCATGCCCCAGCCCCTCCTGTGTCCAGCCCTGTCCCCATGCACACCTGGGGCCTTCACCAAAGGCGGGTTGCTGGAGGGCTGCTTCCGAGACTCATCCATCACACAGACACCTCCTACGCAATGTCCGGTCTCCGCTGGTGGGGCAACGTCCAAGAAGGCGGTATCTCTGACGTCCCTGCCCAAGACGCCAATCACCAGGAGGCCACAGACAAACCTACCTCGAGGGTCCATCTATCAAATCTGTCAAACTGGCCCAGACCCCGGAGTCAGGGTCACGAAGGCCATGGAAAGGCCACAGAATACACCAGGCTGGAAGAGCCCAGAGACACAGCAAGACTCAAACAGACGCGCACGCCACGTCCATAGCGGCAGCACCAGACAGCCAAGAGGCAAGTGGCCCCAGGGTCCGCCAATGGGTGACAGTCAAAGGAAATGGCGGCGGGCGCACACACACACATACATCACGCAGCCTGGAGAAGGGACGGGCTCCGCCACTCCCTGCAACCCGGAGGAGCCGTGGGGAGAGGGTGCGGAGCAAATGAGCCAGTCACACGAGGACACCCCCTGTGGGACTCCACTCACATGCAGTCCCGGAAGCAGGCCTACAGAGACAGGAAGTAGAAAGGTGCCTGCCAGGGGCTGGGGCAAGGATGGGGAGTTTGTGTCTAATGGGGAAAGGGGTTCAGTTTGGGCAGATGAAACAGTTCTAGAGATGGTGCTGAGGGCAGCGCAAAAATGTGCATGCTTCATTCCACTGAAAAAGCTAAAACGGTAAATTTTATGTATAATTAATCAGAAAGTTTTTAAAATTTGAATTTATAGCCTGGGCAACATAGGAAGACTCCATTTCTACAATTTTTTTTTTTTTTTTTTTTTTTTTTGGCGAGACTGAGTTTCGCTCTTGTCGCCCAGGCTGGAGTGCAGTGGTGCCATCTCAGCTCACTGCAACCTCCGCCTCCAGGGTTCAAGTGATTCTTGTGCCTCAGCCTCCTGTGTAGCTGGGATTACAGGTGTGAACCACTGTGCCCGACCCAAAAAAATTTTTTTAATTAGCCAGATGTGGTGGTGCACAAAAATTTTTTTTAAATCAGCCATGTGTGGGGATCCACACCTATAGTCCCAGCTACTCCAGAGGCTGAGGCGGGGAGATCACCTGAGCCCGAGTTTGAGGCTGCGATTGCACCACTGCACTCCAGCCTGGGCGACAGAGCAAGACTCTCAAAAAAAAAAAAAGTTTTTAATTAAATTTAAAGAGACTCAACAAGTAACTGTACTGAGGGGTCTGCACTGGATCTGCTGGTGTAAGGCCAGGAGGGGCCTGGGAGGCGGCTGCCAGGGGGTGGGTACAGGCGGGTGGCGGGCAGCCCTCTGCCCACACTGGAACAAGACACACAGGTATGCAGGGGAGGTTTACCTCAAATCGTTCGGGAAAATGTTCTTTGTACAATACTTGACATTTTTCTGTAAGTTTAATTACTTTATCTTTTACCTTTTTTCTTAAACATCTGAAGCAAAGTCCCCACCTGCCAATGCTGGGTAGCCAGGTGGGGTAGGTCCCTCCACAATCCTGAACTCACTGTGGAAACAAGGGGTTGGCAGAGCCCAGAGGCCGGGCGCCGTGCAGGGCAGCTCCAATGGGAGGGGCTGGCAGAGCCCGGAGGCTGGGCACTGCACAGAACGGCTCTGATGGGAGGGGTTGGCAGAGCCCAGAGACTGGGCACCGCGCAGGGCAGCTCCGATGGGAGGGGTTGGCAGAGCCCGGAGTCCGGGCGCCACGCAGGGCAGCTCCGACGGGCAGGAGCCGCCTCCAGGCCCTTCACCTCGGGCTGGAGAAAACCAAGTCACCCCTGGGGACCCTTGTTGGACATTCTAAAAACCTTCAGAAGCCACTCCCTGAATGTGGCCAGGACCCTCCATGGGCCTTCAGAGCAGCAAAGCGCAGTGCCTGCCTTCCTGTGAGAGAACCCTCACACCGTGCAGCTGGGGACAGGACGAAGGGCACATGCCCCCCGAGGCCTCCCACTCAGAGCTGGGAGGGGTTTGGGGGGTGGGGGTGCCTCTGTTTTCCTGCATCATCAGGAGCCTGGTGAGGCCTAGGGCTGAGCCCTGGGGCAGCTGCTGGTCTGGATGGCACCGGGCCTGGCTCTTGAGGTCCCAGGTCTGCGAGCGGCTGGGCTTCCCTGAGGTCTGGCTTGGTGTGGGCCCCAGGGACGTCGCATGCCCCCAGCTTCCCGACAGCCATCTGCCTGCCAGCACCCAGCCACGGTCCCACCCCGGGCTCCACTGTGACCCACACGCTGTCATTTCCAGGCCACTTCCTATGACATGGACTCACCGCCTAAACTGGGTTACAATAATTAACACGAATCCTGTTCCCAAACTTACATAACCGCAGATGACAACGCCGACTCCTAGGAAAACCCTCCCCGACCAGTGGCCCCGTTTCCCTCCCACGACCCCCGCTCAGCTTGGGCCTGGAGCTGGCCAGCTGCACTGGTTTCACGCCCATCCAGGTGCCATCCCAGCAGCGGCTGCTGTCTGTGCCTGGCTCCTCCCACTGTCCTGGGCAAGTGCAGAGCCAGCCCCCCAGTGCCCTCTACGCACTAAAGGCTTTCTGCCCCTCCCACACCACACCGGGGGTTCGCATCTACCTGACCCTTTGAATGCGGCCTTATTTGGAAACAGGGTCTTTACAGATATCATTAGTGAAAGGTAAGATGAGATATCCCGGATTTAGGGTGGACCCTAACATGCATCCTTACAGAAGGGAGAAGTTTGGACACAGATGCACAGAAGGAAGGTGGCCGTGTGAGGACGGAGGCAGAGACTGGGCCCATGATCCCACATGCCAAGAAAGGCCCAGGACAGTGGCAGCCTTGGGAGCTGGAGGGCGGCATGTGACAAAGTCTCCCTCAAAGCCTCTGGAGGAACCAGCCCTGAAGATGCACAGAGTGTCAACTCCGGGCCTGCAGAACTGGGACAGGAGCACTCTCTGAGGCTTCCTGCCACCAAACCTGTGGGCTCTGTCGTGGTGGCCCCAGGAGATGGATACCCTGCCCCCCTCCAACACACCCCAGGGTGCTGGAAAAGCCCCTTCCCTCCTCCTGGCCTGTCACCTGCACAGCTGCAAATAGACACCCTGCCCTCCTGGAGCTGGCAGACTCCCACGGGGACCCCCAGAGCGGCATTCGCAGGGGTCGGGCCAGCCCCACTGGAAGGGAGGGCGACAGAGCCAGTCCTCGCAGGGCCCGGCTGGGGAAGGGCCCCGCAGCTTCTGGGGCCGCCTGGGAGCCCTCTCTGGGTCTGCCTTGGGCTGGCCCTAGACCTTCCTGGTGACCAGAAAGCAGGATACGGTACCCCATTCGGAGCTCACAGCGGGAAAACTGAGACCCAGGGAGGCCATGGTGTTTGCCCAGCTTCCACCGCAGCACGGGGGGAAATGAGGCTCGAATCCCAAGAGAACACTTGCTCTCCAACCCTGGAAGTGGCTGCTCAGCTGAGGACAGCCCAGGACGGCACCGGCAAGATCCCCAACGAGGCCCCAAGCGCCCTGTCCTCCCCGGTCTGAGCTGCTCGAGGGAGGGCAAGCCCTCCCCGTCCCTTGTCTGCTGCCCAAGGCCGGCCGTGGCCCAGGAAGGCCCAGTTTCCCACCCCGGGGACTCTGCTGGGAAGTTCCGGGAGGTGACCTGGGGACTCTGCTGGGAAGTTCCGGGAGGTGACCTGGGGACTCTGCTGAGAAGTTCCAGAGGTGACCTGGAAGACGGGCACCCCCAGTGGCTGTCATCTCATGCACGGAGGTCAGCAGTATTCGGGGACTGTCGGGCTTGTACGGTCGCCAGGTGGACAGTGGTTCAGAGAGAGCATCAGCAGCCCCTTGGCTGTGCAGGGTCAGCGGAATTTTGCTCTAAACGTGCTCTGTCCGGCTCCCTTCCAGTGGGACGGAGCCTCTGGGGAGAATCTTCAATCTGGGAACTGTACCACTGCCCACATCAGGCCCAGATGGAAGGGATGACGGGGGCAGGGGACACACTGTACTCAGCAGGGTGGGAGGGACCCTCAGACCCCACTCCCTGCCTCTCTCCCCTAGGGCAAAAATTTGAGTCCACACAGCAATGCTGGATCCAAGCCACCGTCCACATCTTTCCCAGCAGCTGCCCCTGAGCCCCTGGAAGCTGCAAAGCCACAGTGGTCAGTCAGCAGGACGAGCCACTGCGCATGGACATGGCCCAGTCCGTGGCCAGGGACTCTTTCTCGGGGGCACTTGGGGCTCGTGGGGACCCAGGTCCGGTGACCACCGCAGTCAGCCATGGTTAACCATCAGCAGGGGCTTCACTGCCATCCCAACCACGATGGCCTCATTGAGGCCCCCACCCAGCCGGCCAGGAGGCATCGTGGTCTGGGGTCACTGAGACACAGGGAGGCAAAGGACTTGGTCTTTCCTGACCCACTGCTTCATGCCTCCTAGGGTCCCCTGGCCACAGATGAGGGCTCAGGCCTGGGCGTGGAGGGCGGGATGGGCAGAAAGCACAAGGGCTGGGCTGTCCCACAAAGGGACCTACCCCAAGCCCCGAGGGGAGCCAGCCCAGCCCCCGGCATCCTGGGGGAAGGTTTCCCGGAGGAGACAGCAGGCAATTTGCATAATATTCTTTGCAAGTTAATATCAGCCTCTGATAATGATCTCGGCATCGCGTGGAGCGGCTGAGGCGGCTGTTACAACACTAAGTAATCATATTTTAAATTATGTTTCCCTTTATAGAAAGGTGTTGCAAAAACACACAGACACGAAATCTGTCTGTTGCAGCCCCGCTGCCAACCACCTGACCAGCTTTCAGTTACGCGGTTACGTTTGCAGCACTGCAGCCCGGGAGAACCAGCGGGGCGGCAGCCACAGGCTACCCCCGGGCCCCCACCCAGAGCCTCCCCCTGCCAGGGGACCCTCCCAGCTGGGGACCCCACCCAGATCTGAGCCAGGCTCTGGCCAGGGCCCAGGGCCTCAAAGGAGGACCCACGGGCCACGTCTTCCTGAGGTCCCCACGGCCCTAGGAGGGAGACAAGGGGGCTCCCCCTCCCCACAGCCACCCCCCTTGCTAGAAACCTAGCACCCGCGAAGGCCTGACTTCCAGGCGAAGGGTAGGGGGTACAGACTTCAGAGAACTCAAGGCCCTTCAGGTTCTGCTCTGCCTGAGCCTCCATGTCACCCCCCACAACCCCACCTGGTGGGGGGCTCCTGTTAGCCCCTCCCCCAGCGCTGGGGGCCTCTCCCCAAGAAGGTGAACCCACCCTCGGGGTGCCCTCCCTCCTCTGAGGCTCCCCCAACTCATGTACCTCTACACCACTTGGCACATCCACAGTTGGGGGAGGCCCTGGGTGACCCCTGTCCCCATTCAGAATGGGGGACCCCAGCCCCAACAGAGTGAGTCATGTTCTTCTACTTTCCCTCTTCATTTAGGAGCCACGGCCGACCACTCAACCTCTATTTTCTTAAAAGCTTTTTTTTTTTCTTTTTTATTAAAAAAAAATCCAATTATAGCACAAATCTCTCAGCAGGGGTCAGTGTGGAATAAGAATAGCCAAAGTTAATGGACATGACACAGGCAAGATTAATGCCTAAAGGGTTTCAAAAGTTGTGTGATACGGATTTCATTAACATTTTAATTGTAATGTATCTTTTTAATCTTCTCTCACCCTAATGGATTTATATCCAAAAAAAAAAAGAATAAACTGCTGACAACAAAAAGTATCAATATACAAAATTTAACAAAGGCGCTTAGCTGTGCAATGGAAATGAAATTAAATGAGCAAAACTCTGTTAAAGCTGATTTTTTAACAGCACAAAAGTCAAGAATTCAGCAAAGATGGTACTTCCCCTTTCTTGGCACAGACACCAGCTGGGTGGTAGAAGGGAGATGGGCACAGCCCCCGAGGCAGATGCCCAGGGCCTGGGTGGGGGCCCTGGCCAGAGGGGATGCCTCAGGGGTCCCTGGGAGGAGGAAGATGTGGGACAACTTCCTTCTGCTCCGATCCAAAGGCAGGGCCAACGCTGACTCCCTCCAAGACCGCCGCAGAAGAACCAAGGAAGGCCCACAGCTGCCCCCTGACTCTAGGCAGTGCCCAGGAGTGAGAAGGTAACTCCTCCAGAAAACACCAGCCCACTGGGCGGAAGCCCCAGGACAGTAGGGGTGGGGAGGGAGCATCTGAAGTGTCCCTGTAAAGAGGGGGGCACTAGCATTTTGTGGGGTGGGGGCTGGGTTGCTAGCAAGTCTTCCCTCAGCAGGCACCCAGCTCCCAACGCCCTCCATGAGGGACCCCAGGCAGCTCTGGCCAACAGCACAGCCCGGATTCCAGCCTCCAGATTCCAACATCAGCTCCTGAAATGTCCTCAAGCCTGACTATGGAGGGCTGGGGGGACTTTTATTTTCAATCAACAAACATTTCTTGAGGCATGACTATGCGGAGGCTGATGCTCTACCCCTTCACAGACTACCAGGGAGGCCACCCCCAGCCCAGGGCCGGGCTGCCCTCGGGGCCCCGGTGGCTGAGCTGGGGCCGGCCAGCCCTGGGCTTGGGAGGCATCTCTGCAGCATGGCTTTGCCGTTCACCCCAGTGACTATATATGGGCACTTTCAGGCCCCTCTGTTCCCCGCCCCCAGCCCTGCCTGCTTCCCAGGCACAGGGGCAGGAGCTGGGCGGGCCCAGGAGCTCGCGGCCGCCCATGGCCCTGTGCCCTCCTGGATGCCAGGGCCCCGCACTGGGGGAGGGGAGATTCCTTTAGAGAGACCCGGAGCCAGCCTCTCCTCCCTGTGGGTCCCTGCAAACAACCTCTGGAGAAAAGCCTGCCTCTTGTTCTCCCGGGAGACTCCATGGCGGCCTCCTCTTAAAGGGTAGTGAGCCTTACATGGGATTCAGTGGCTTCACTGGCCCAACAGCCCCCAGGCCAGCCCCAGCCGGCATGAAGGCAGAAAGGCCGGGCTGCCCACATTCAGCCTCCAGCTCCTCGGAGGAGGCAGAGGATGCTACTCTGTAGCAGGACGGCCTCAGGGAGGACGGGTTCCTCACTCAAGGTCACACAGCCTGGGCTGGGCGTTCTCCCAGGAGACCTGAGCCCAGGGTTCTGGCTGCCAAGTGCTCCAGTGAGGACCCAGGCCCAGCAAGCAGACACTGGGGATGTGGTGGGGCCCCAGGAGCCCTGGGTCAGGGTCCCAAATGCCCTCCCCTACTCAGACTAGCTCCCAGGCTGATCCCCTGTGTGGACAGGGGTGAGTGCCGGTCCCGGAGTTCATGTCCCCAAATGACAAGCAACCAATACTTCCAGACAGATGCCTTCACGCCTGCCCACTGCGCTCTGCTGAGACCCTATACAAGGGTGTGTGCTTCCAAAACCCAAACCGTAAACAGCAAACGCAGGAAGGCCACAGCTGAGGGAGCTAGGGCTCCCAGCAAATGGGCAGCTGCAGGTGACACAGTAAGGAGCCCCAGCCAGCCAGGAGGCATATTTTACAAATGATCTCATCTCACCAAGAGCCAGGGCTGGTGAGAGCAAGGATTTGCTTAAAAAAAAAACCAACAACAACAACAAACAAAAAAACAGAGGTCACCAGGATCCCTGCCCCGCAACAGAGGCGGAGGCAGGCGTGGAGCAGCAGCCCCTGGCCTGGGTAACCTCGCTCCCCGGCCCCCACAGCCAAGGCCCAAACAACCTTCCAGTCACATCTCCTCTGTGACTCTGGACAGGCTGAAAGGGAAACGAGATCCACCTGGGGATTAGGGGGCGCCTCAGGGAGGCCGGTGTGGGGGCCACACACAGCTCTGAACTGGGGCCCAGTGGGGAGACAAGAGTAGAGAAACGCTGGCCAAGCTCCCCCACCCAAGGCCCGACTGCCCACCTCTGGGAGGACCAAGGGCGTGCCCAGAGAGGGTGCCAGGAAAGGAACGAAATGCTGGGGAGAGGGCACTTCGGGGAAGGCCCAGGACCCAGGGAGCTGGGTCTGCAGACACTCACCGCCGGGGAGCCTGACCGGAGATGGGGTGAGAGGCCCCAGTGAGCCAGCTCTACACAGGTTCCCAAGACCCCTCATCAGCCCCCAGTGAGACCAGACCCAGTCAGACCTCACAAACTCCCGCACCTGCCCACATGCATCAGACGGCGGCTCAGGTCCAGCGTCCAGACGGGCTAGCGCTACTTCTCTCCTGCCTTGGAGGGCGCTCCACGGCCTCACACCACAGGGCTTTGCTTCTCCTTCGAGCCACGCCTGGAAGCCCAGCCCCAGGTTTCCTCAGCCCAGGCCAGAAATGTCACCCTGAAGTGGAAGGTGGCCTACCTTGTCCTCAGAACCACAATGGGAGGCTGGTCAGCCTGGGCCACTGAGGCAGGGACATGTGCTACCAAGGTGAAGGTGGACTGGGCCGGAGGAGCAGCAGAGTCAGGGGGCCCCATAGTCAAGTTCCCAAATGTGTTCGTTACACTGGGGTCTGTAGAAGGCCTTGGTTCTCCGGAGAAACATGCTGGTGTATCCTGGGGTAAGGGGTGCCACCTGCTGCCCCCCTGTGGACTCCGACCCTCATCCCACCGGCCACAGTCCAACTGGATCTCGGAACCCACTGCGTGACCCTGCAAAGGGGATGGAGTGACCCCAAGGGGCTGTGAGATGCAGAGAGGCAGCCTGGGGACAGTGTGTGGAGGTGGCTAGAACAGGGCTGGCTGAGGAAGGAACATGGGCTCTGCCCCACTGACGGTGGCTGGGGCCACTGGGCACTCGGTGCCCTGTGCGTTCCAGGGACACAGGTCAGAGGCACAGACCTCAGAGGAAGGGGCACAAGGTGGAACCTTGGGAACTCAACATCCCGAAAAGGACAACACCTTGGTTCCCCATTCCATCCCTCGGGCCTGGGAGACCACACTGCCCACAAACCAGGAAAGCAGGACTCCGGAGGCAGAGGCCAAGAGGAGTGCAGGCCTGGAAGAACCGCTCAGCACCAAGATCGTCACTGTTGTTTCATGAATAATGCAGCCTCATGCTTTAATTGGAAAACAAAGGGAGGATTGAAGAATTTTTTAAAAGTCACCACTAGCCCCCTGCCCAGGGCAGAGCAGCCCTGCGAACCCTTCCAGCAGCCGGTGGTAAAGAACAGAGCCTGTTCTCGCAGCCTGTAGCAGCCCAGCTCCCACTGCTCCCAGCAGGAGATCTCCCGGGTGGCTCCTCCCCGCCTTCCCGCCAGGCCAGGGCCAGCACCATCGAGCCCTGGGTGTGACCACTGCGAAAGGATCCCTGGCCACTAAGAAGTGACAAGTGATATCTTGTTCCACTCTCTGTGCCCATTCCAAGTGGCTTTGCCGAAAGGACAGGGGGCCACCACCTTGGGTGGCAGCTCCTTTTATTTCCTCCCCTTGGACTCTGGCCCAGCTACCACCCAACAGTGACCCCAGGGGAAAACGCCAAGAGGCCTCTTTAAGGGAGGGGCTGGGAAAGGCCCCACAGAGGACCAGAGGGGTGCTCCAACGGTGGCCGGGAGAAGAAGGGGTGGGTGGCTGAGAGGTGGCGGGTGGGGCGGGGGCTGCCTGAACCCTGACCTAACTCTAGGCGCCCCTGCTGGGGGGTGCTACAGGCTAAAACACCCTGCAGAATGCTGAGCTGAGTGTCCCACTGGAGAACAGGAGGGAAGGAGGTCAGGAGCCTGCCAGACGAAAAGAGGGGTGGGTGAGAAGAAGGGGCGACCTGGAGGGACACGGACTCTGGCAGGAGAGTGCGGCCGCGCTGGCGGGCGGGAACACCAAGGTGCACGCGCTCCCGGAGGCAGCTCCACGGGATGGGAGTCCGGGCTGCCTTGGGCACCCCCGGGTCAGCACCCCCGCCACACACAGGAAGGAACGCGCAGCAGAGAACACAGCTCAGGGCACCCAGCGGCCCAGGGAGACGGGCCCACCAGCACGTGGGTGAAACACCTCCAATCCGGAGGCCCCGCGCGGGGGTTGGGGGAGGGAGTGGAACGGCCTGGGAGGCCAACTCCAGGGACCCGGCCTCGCGGCCTTCAGACCCACAGGTTTAAGCGGCTCCACGACGAGAGTCCAAGACCAAACTTCCCCCAGAGCCTGGCAGAGGGGCTGGGAGGTGACCTCTGACCTCCGACCCCACACGATCCCAGCAAGAGAAGCAGGAAACTCCGTCGGAAGGCCTCGGTCCGCCCTGGCCGTGCGGGGTGCGCGGCGGGCCCCGGGCTCCGCTGAGTTTCTTAGAGAAGGAGCTGGGGCCCCCCGACCTCAGCTCCGCAGAGGCACAGAAGCTGGCAAGAGGCAGAGCCCCCTCCCCCTGCGGCCGGACCCCAGTTTCTCCCCAGGCTGGGGCCCGAGTGGGGGAGGCGCGGGAGGCGGTGACGACCCACGAACGGGCCCACCTGGACCGGGAGGGCGAGGCGCGGGCCCGGCTGGGCCAGGCAGCTGCGCAGATGCGCCGGGAGGGGTGGGTACCTCCGCCCTGGCCCCGGGCCAGTCCTGCCCCGGCTTCCCCACCCGGAGGGCTGGATCGGCCAGTCGGGTCCCTGGGGAGGCCGCGCGGGTCCCCAGAAATCCAGGGAAACCCAGCAGGCGGCGGGGAGCGCCCCGGGACGCCCGGAGCCGGGGTCTCCCCGAACGCGCGGCGCGGCGTCCCGGCCCGGGGTCGCGGGCGCCTCCGCCGGGACCCCCCGGCCCCGCCCGGCCCCCCTCCGCGGGCTCCCGAGGCCGGTTCCCGCGCGCACGCCCGGGCCGGCGCGGAACTCGGCCGCACCCGCCCCGCGCGGCCGGCACTGCGGCAGGGGGCTCGCGCCAAGTTGGGCGGCCGCGGAGTTTGCGGGAAGTGCGGGCCCGGCCCGTGGGACGACCCCGCCCGGCGGCGTAACCCGGGGGCGGCCGCGCGCGCCAAGTTGGCGGTACCTGCGGGCGCCCGGCCCGGTCCGGCCTGGGCAGCTGCGGCGCGCCGCCCGCGGCAGGAAGTGCTTGGCGTCCCGGCGCTCCGGCTCCCATGGACTTTCTCCGACCTCGCCCAGCACCGGCGGCCGCACCGCGGCGGGGGCGGGGCGGCGGCGGGGGAGGTGCCCGCGGGCCGTTAAAGGGACAGCGCGCCGGCCGCGCGCGCGCGCGCACTGGCAGCCAGGTGGGCTCCCGGGGTCGGGGCTGGGGTCCGGGGGCCGGGAGGGTCCCCAGTGGGGGCCGGCGGGGCGTGGGGAACCCCGAGCGCTGGGGAGGGGAGGCGGCAGCTCCTCGCCCCTCGCGCGTCCTCCTTCCGGAGCTGCCGGCGGTCGACCCTGCGCGGGACACCCGGCGGGAGCCGGACGCCGCGGCGCAGAGGACGGAGCTCGGCGGCCGGGTCGGGAAAGGACCTGGAGCGCCGCCCTCCGCCCTCCCCGGGCCCCGGCCTCGGCCGGACTCGCTAAGCCCGGGAGAGCCCCCGGGCCCCCCTACCCCGCCCCCGGCGCGCGCCCTGCCCGCGGCAGTCGCGTCCGCACGGTGCAGCCTCCGGGATCCGGGCGGGGGAAGTGCGCGCATCCGCAGCCGCCCTGGACGCTCAGGCGGGCCGTGAAAGACGAGGATACGGGAGCGCCCTTGGGCGAACGTCTGCGGGGCTCCGGCGCCCGTCCCTGCGGCCCGGGAACTGCAAGCTGCCTGGACTGGGCCTGGCGCTGCCTTCAGGCCTGGTGTGATCCGGGCGCACTGGGGCGTTGACAGTCATTCCGGCACCGGCCACGCAGCTCTCCATCTGCCCAAGGCCACGCTCCTGAGGACAGAGGTGCAGTTTTAAAACAAGGGCACGGAAATAAAACGGCCACACACCCGGAAAGACCCAGAGACCCCTCCTCAGCTGCCCCCTAACCTGGGGCCTGAGGTCAGGACAGGCTGCAGTGGTCCTCAGAGGCTAAGCCAGCCTCACTCCCACAGCACGCTCAAGGGTCCTTGCAGGAGAATGGAGTGATACCGCCTCAGTGGTCCCGAGCGAGGGCGCTGGGAGAAGGGTTGAGAAGGAGATGGCCACCAGCATCCCAGAGAACGCCTTTGGGGCTCTGGGGATCAGAAACCTGGGGCTACAGCCCTTCTGGCACAGTCAGCCAAGGTCATTCCCTGGACAAATCATCAGAAGCTTGGCCAGGTTCTTGTCACCCCAACCTCAAGCTAGGCCCTTGATCTTGGCCACAGACTGGCCCTTGACCCCAACTTTAGGTTCTATTCAGCTCTGCGTCCAGAACACACACACACACACACACACACACTTCACTCCCTGGCTTGCCTTGTATGGGGGTGAGTATGGAACCCCGCAGGGACTCTGGGCTCTCCCCACAGAGTCCCATCTAGACCTAAATGCAGTCCCAGGTCCCACACCCCAACCCCCCTCCCCCCACCACTGCCACTTCCAAACCCGCCCCGCAGTCTACTGTGGGAAGGAGGTGGGGTAGGAGGGTTCTGAGTGCCTCCTACACCCAGGGCATGAGCTCAGCAGCCTCAGGGTTCTGGTGCTTCCTAGGCCTGACTTTACAATCTCTGCAGGATCTCTCAGTGAGCATAGCTACCCCAAGCCCCTGAGAATCGTGAATCCCAGAGACAGATGCCTGGAGCTGCTTCCAGCCCTGGGGCAGGCCTCAAGGGGCTACCCACTAGGACCCGTGGCCCTCCAGGGATGGGAATGATTGTTTTAATCACTTTTATTTTCTAAATATTAAAGACATTCTTCCTTAGTGAAGGATATTTGGAAAGCATTGAAAAGTGTTTAGAAGATAGCGGATAAGCAGAAATCAATTCCCCAATTTCTGTGTGCCTATACGTATGTACACCAACATATATTTGCACCTTTTAAAGCAAACCCTGCATCCCTACTGAATTCCAGGCCCGTGCTACTGAGTATGTACACCTTACCGCATTTAACGTTCACAACAGTACCATGAGGTGAGCTCTGTTTATTCCTTTTTTTTTTTTTTTTTTTGAGTCCGAGTCTCACACTGTTGCCCAGGCTGGGGTGCAGTGGCGCGATCTCAGCTCACTGTAACCTCTGCCTCCCGGGTTCAAGCGATTCTCCTGCCTCAGCCTCCCGAGTAGCTGGCATTATCGGCACGTGCCACCACGCCCAGCTAATTTTTGTATTTTTAGTAGAGACGGGGTTTCACCATGTTAGGCAGGCTGGTCTTGAACTCCTGACCTCAGGTGATCCACCTGCCTCAACCTCCCGAAGTGCTGGGATCACAGGTGTGAGCCACTGCGCCCAGCCTTATTCCCGTTTTACAGCTTAGCCTGGGGCTCACTCAGGGGTCCCCAGCAGGGCCTGGGCTGAGTGGGGCTCACCCCGGGTGCATCCTCCGCATCTCCTCCCTGCATTTGATCTTGTTGATTCCTGGCTGCTACAAGGGCCTGGGGGCCACAGTCTCAACTGAGCATAGCAGCACCGCTGCTATGGGTCTCCAGCTCAGGGAGGCCCCATCCGGGATCCAGGCCTGAGTTCTCACGGCCTTGCAACTTGATTTTTCCCCTTCCATCCAGAAAGCATTGGGCAGGGGGTAAGGGGAGGTCACAAGCCACATCTGCAGACACTGCAGAGCCCCTGGGTGCGCTCAGGAGTCATACACAGAGGACCAACCTGTTTGCCTGGACACCTGCGTGTCCTCCCCTGGATGGCAGAAGCCTTTGATGGCTCTCCAGGTGCTGCTACCATTGTGCAGGTGGTGACATCCCACCCCAATCTCACGCCAGATCCAGTCTGTGCCCATCCTAACAGCTCTGTGTTAAAGTCATGTCGGAGCCACCCTCCTGGTCCACAACTGCCCTGTTCTCCAGTGATTGCCACAGCCCCCTTCCCCACCCCGGTCCCTAGCCTCCCCTCCAGCCCTGCCCCAGCCTGTCACAACACAGCAGCACAGGGCTGCTTCTAAACCTGTTGGATTACCCCCACCCGCTCAGAACCCCCAAGAGCTCCCCAATGTCCTTCTTGCTCAGAGCACAAGCCCGGGTGATTGGGTGACCAGGACCCAGCTCACCACCCCCGCCTCATACCCCACCCCACCCATGCCCCACATCCTTCCCCACCCCACATCCCACCCGTGGTAGCCTCGTCCACGCCAGTGCCTGCTCAGCTGTAGCGAGGCTGGCTTCTGCTGTACCTGCTGCCCCAGGGCCCTTGCACCCGCTGTTCCCACTGCCTGAACCTTCTGCCCCTGTGTCTCCAAGGCTTGCTCTGTCACTTTCTTTGAGTCTCCACCCCAATATCCCTGGCTCAGGAAGCCTTCCCTGACCCTTCCTTATGAAAGAGCCACATGGCCGTCGGCAGCAGGCACCCAGACGCCATCCTGACACTGGTCCGCCCTTGGCTTCCATCGGCACGGTCTCCCACCTTGTCCACTGTCTCATCACTGGCTCAGTGTGGTGCCTGGCACACAGCAGGTGCCCTGAGGAGTCTCAGAATTGGAGCCTAGGCTCCATCTGTCTCCACCCTGTTTCCTGGGGCTGCTGGGGGATGCTGTGCCCCCTCTCCCACACCTGCCCGAGTTCTGATGCCTCTTCCCGGTCCTCAGAGTGTCCGGGGAGCTCGGTCAGCAGAAAGGGAAGTAGCAGGCGGGGGGCCTCAGGTGCCTCCCTGGTGCTGCTGTTCAGGTCAGCCCTTGGCCAGGGCTGTTGGGCTGAGAAGACCCCAGGAGGACCTGGAGCCTCTCACCAGCCCAGCACAGGCTCTCTCGGCTGTGCTTCCGGGACAGCTCCCCAGAGCCAGAGTGCGCCTCTGCACCCCTGCGGCAGGAGGACAGCCAGAGGGCTTCTCTGCCCACTCTCTCGCTTGCGTCTCGCCTGTCAACACAGAAGAGAGGTGCAGAACAGCCTTTGGTGAAACGGCCAGTGGTGCCGCTGTCTCGGGAGGAAGCCGCTTTCATTGTCTGAAGAGCAGTTCACGGGGGGCAAGAGAAACCATCTGATTTCAGTCCGGTCCTCTGCCTTCCTGGGGCAGGGCTTGCTGGTGGGGGAGGACTTTCCTGTTCACTGGGAGCCTCCGTGGTCCCCCACAGACACCCCAGTCCCAACAGAGAAGACGTGGCCAGGCCCCTGGCCTTGTAGCTTATGTGCAGCAGATGATAAAGGCCCCGTGAAGACACGTGTGCCCAGTGAGACAGCCAGAGAAGGCTGATCCTACTCGACGGATGGGCTGAGGAGGAAACGAGGGAGTGGGGGACCCTCAGGGGTCGGGGGTGACAGGAAGCCGAGCCTGCCAGGGCCTGCACCCTCACCTCCACCCAAGGGGGCCCTGTCCTGTGAAGCTGACCCAACGCCTGGCCTCAGAGGGCTTGTGGTCCAGCAGGCAGCACAGGGAAGATGTGGCAGAGGTGATGAAGAGCGGTGGTGTGTGTGCGGGGCGGCGGGTGGGGGTGGTGTGCGGGGCGGTGGGGGCGTGTGTGCGGGGTGGCGGGGGGTGTTTGTGTGGGGCGGCGGCAGGGTGGGTGCGCGGGGCGGCCGGGGCGTGTGTGCGGGTCGGCGGGGGGGGGGGGTGTGGGTTGGTGGCGGTAGGGAGGGGGGCGTGCGGGGCGGCAGGGACAGGCCCAGGGCCATGGACTCCAGACCAGAAAGGCAGAGACTGACTTGGGGTGGGCTCTTTCCTTCTTCTTTTTTTTTTTTTTTTTTTTTGCCTTTTTTTTTAAATCGAGGTGAGATTCACCTAACTGACAGCAACCACTATCAACTGAACAACTCCGTGGCATTTAGCACATTCCCGGGGCTGTGCGTCCGCCACGCCCAGCTCCCAAGCAGCCTTCGTCCCCGCGGCCGTCTCCCCTGCTTCCCAGCGCTCAGGATTTTACCAGCGGCGCCGCCTCCATACCCTGCACGAGGCCCCCTTTCTGTTTTCTGAGTGCTCGCTCCTTTCTTCCATCATAATCCATGGTTACATATCAGTGTGTCGATTTCGCTCCCATCCACCCTAGAGAGAGGCTCCAGGAAAGCCCCGGCTGCTCCCACAGGGCCCCTTGTCAGGGCCCCGCTCTGTGCCAGCCTGAGGGGGCCGAGAGCGGAGCAGCTGAGCCGGCCCTTGCGACTGGGGGCTAAGCTGGGCCCACCAGCCTCACCCTGGGCCCTGGATGCAGCCCCCATACTTGGAGTAGAAGCCAGGCCCTGTGTTTCTGCAGTTGGGGTTTTGGCTGGTACCTCCAGCGTGGGGTTCAAATTGAGCCCATTGCCCTTTTTTTTTTACTAAAAGTTTCCCAATCCTGTAGCCCCCAGGCTGCTCCAGGGGGCAGCCTCCTCCTACCGTAGGAAGTCAACCCAGGAGCCCAGGGTGGTGCCTGCTGAGTCCTGGAAGAGAGTGAGGGGCCAGGGGGCCCCAGAGCCCAGGGGACGAGAGCTGTGCACAGCAGAATGGCCCAGGACACTGCACAGGGCCTCACCCACCTGTCCACCCAGGGACCGAGGCCATACTCCAGCCAAAGCCCCACTCAGAACATCAGGTCTTGGCAGGCCCCCAGGGAGTCCACCTTGACCACCACCCCCTCGGGGTCCTGAGGCAGCTCCGGGGAAAACCACCTCCGCTTTCCTGGAGCCAGTTCCTAGAAGATGTGCAGTTTGCAAGACCAAGCCCAGCTGGCCCCGCCCCCACCACCGGCTGCACTGGGTGCGGCTCCGCCCACCTGCAGGACAATGGGGGATGCAGGCAGGTGTTTGTGACTCTGCAAGGCCCTACATCTCCCGCAGAGCTGGCTCGGGCCCCTGGTCACTCCCCCACTGCCATTTCTTTCTTTAGGACGGTTATTCTAGTGAATGGGTTCAAAGCCTGGGCCGGACTGCCCTGGGCCCTCCACCCCTTGGGGGGTCACCATCCTGTCTACGATCCTGCTGGGCAAAGGGCACTTCTATGGGCCTCAGATGCCAGGGACACTTGCCATCCTGGCGGCTCTTTTGGGTGTCCCTGCTGTGACCACCATGAAGCCGAGCGTGCTGATCCCAGCAGCTCCCGCCTCTGCCTGCTGGGCTGACCCTTTGAGGCCTGTGTCCATACCAGGCACTGGGCTGTGTGGACGGGACAGGACTAGCTCCAGGAGGCCAGAAGGACCCCGTTTGCCCTGTAGTGAAACTGTCCCTCTGTGCTCAGAGATGTCCCTCCCAGCCTGAGCTGCTGATCTCGCCCACTCTTCAGCCTTGGTCCCCCCCCCACGCTGTCTCTTGCAGTACACTGGGGCTCTCTCTGAGCTGCTGACACAGGACCTTTGCACCCGCTGACGGACACAGGGCCTTTGCACCCGCTGACGGACACAGGGCCTTTGCACCCGCTGACGGACACAGGGCCTTTGCACCCGCTGACGGACACAGGGCCTTTGCACCCGCTGACGGACACAGGGCCTTTGCACCCGCTGACGGACACAGGGCCTTTGCACCCGCTGACGGACACAGGGCCTTTGCACCCGCTGACGGACACAGGGCCTTTGCACCCGCTGACGGACACAGGGCCTTTGCACCCGCTGACGGACACAGGGCCTTTGCACCCGCTGACGGACACAGGGCCTTTGCACCCGCTGACGGACACAGGGCCTTTGCACCCGCTGACGGACACAGGGCCTTTGCACCCGCTGACGGACACAGGGCCTTTGCACCCGCTGCTCCTCTGCCAGGACCCCCATCTCCCTGCAGCAGCAGGTGAGCTCCAGCTCATCCCCAGGGCCCAACTCGGGACTTCAGGGAAGCTGTCTCTGAGCTCCGGTGGCTCTCCCAGCACGAGGCTCCCTCCTCAGGGCCCTTGATGCGGCTGAACTTACATCCCCCCACACCCCGGACGAGGAGGCACAATTTGCTGGAGGAGCCGGGAACCCGGTAGACACAGCAGAGGCCTCTGTGGGTTCCCTGAAGGGCCAGATTTGGGGTCCAGCTGGCCCAGAGGGAAAGTGGCCAGCAGGGCTGCAGGTGAGGCCCTCCGTCCCTCTGGGCTACGTGGGCGGGCCGGCACCCCTGACTCCCAGGAGTGACCAGGAAGGCATTTGGCCCCTTTCAGAACAAGTCACTGGCCCCTGCTCATCTGGGGCTCCTGTTCTAGTAGCAGGGGTGGCAGGCTGGTTAAAAAAGAAATCCAGGTCTGCCATGGAGGAGGCAGAGGTGGCGAAGGAAGAGCCTGGGCCAGGACTCCGCCTCGTTGGAGCTAGCGGCTGGAGGGGAGCCTCTGAGGTCTGGCTGCCGGGGAGAGGGCTCTATGAGACCTGCTGGGTTCCCTCCCTGGGGTCCAGTGAGGGTGGGGGCGGCGGTGGAGGGGCTGTGAAGGTGGAACCCGGAGGAATGAGGAGGGCTGGGAGGGAAGGGGAGGTGGGGAGCGTTCGGACTGAGGCCGGGCAGGTGGGCCCGTGAAGGCCACGCCGCGTCCTGGGATAGGGAAGATCGGGACGAATGGCCCGCTGCGGCCACCCAAGTAGGGAGAGGCAGTTGCTGCTGGATTCTCAAGTGTCCAGGGAGTGAGGGCCAGACTGGGCTGGGGTCGATGACGCAGGGATGGTCTCTATGGCTGGACAAGGTTACTAGGGTGTGGAAGTCACTTGGAGTAACATTTGCTCCAAATCCGCCCCCAGTTCCTGGTCCAGGCTTTTTTTTTTTTTTGAGACGGAGTCTCGCTCTGTCACCCAGGCTGGAGTGCAGTGACGCGATCTCGACTCACTGCAAGCTCCGCCTCCCGGGTTCATGGCATTCTCCTGCCTTAGTCTCCCAAGTAGCTGGGACCACAGGCGCCCGCCACTACGCCCGGCTAATTTTTTTTTTTTTTTTTTTTTAGTAGAGACGGGGTTTCGCCATTCAGAGGATGATCTCTATCTCCTGACCTTGTGATCCGCCCACCTCAGCCTCCCAAAGTGCTGGGATTACAGGCTGAGCCACCGCGCCCGGCCATTTTTTTGTATTTTTAGTAGAGACGGGGTTTCACCGTGTTAGCCAGGATGGTCTTGATCTCCTGACCTCGTGATCCGCCTGCCTCGGCCTCCCAAAGTGCTGGGATTACAGGCGTGAGCCACCGCGCCGGACCCTGGTCCTGTCTTAATCTCTAGCGTCTGGCCACAGCTGCCTCCCCCTCCTCCACCTTCTTCCAGTGGCCCTGGAGCCTCGCTGCTCTCCTGGGCTTTCGTGCCTCCTGGATGCTCTGCCTACCCTCCGTCCCTCGAGACCCCCAGGGCAGAGCAGCTGCCTCTAAGAGAGGTGGAGCCATTGGAATCACAAGGTCCCGGGGCCAGACCTGCTGAATCGGAATCTCAGGCGACCAGTGTGCAGGCTGGAGTCCACGATGGAATCTGGGGGGCAGCCCCTGAGGGCTGGGGGGCAGCCCATCCTCTGCTCCAAGCTGCAGGTCCTGGGACCTGCTGGTGCCTGTGGAACTGGCTCAGGATCTGGCCCTGGGAGGAAAGGGAGGCTCTTGGTCATCCGAAGGTGCCATGGTGTGAGGGTGAGTGAGGGAGAAGAGCATCCCAGGGCGGCGGAGGTGGCGGGAAGGTCCCCACCATGAGAAGAGGGACGTGGCACGTGGGGCCCCTCCGGGCCGGGGGTGCAGACGGTGCAGCACAGGTGCCAGCAGAGCCCTTTCCTCCAGGTGCCCACAGTCAGGCCACACTCCACCTGTCCACCCTGGCGCACCCCAGTGGGATGAATGCCGCCCCCACACCCCGTGCATAGGGGCCTCCGGGGCGGGGAGGAGTCCCTGAGGTGTCCACGCTGCACCCCTGGCCTCCTGCCAGCCAGCCTCATGGCCGTGTGTCTGCTGGGGTTCAGGGAACTCGGAAGGGCTGGAGGGGAGGCCAAGGTCCCAGGAATGCACCCCAGAGCAATCCGGAGTGCCTCTGTGCAGTGGAGGGATGGGGAAGCGGGGCGTCGCCAGGGACTTGGGCTTCAATTCCCTAGTAACAACGATGGGCCAGGAAGCCACCCTGCTGAGCGCCTGCCCGGACGCTGGGCTCGGCGCACTGCCCTGCTGCTGCTAGAGCAGCCCCTGAGCCCCCAGCAAGTGCAGCCAAACACTGCCCGTTTCTGTGACCTTCATGCCGGATGCCCAGGAATGTGATCTCAGGAGAGAGAGAGCACTGGTGTCCCACCCCACCCTGCAGGTCGCCCCCCCCTCCACCCCTGCAGCCTGCCCATGCAAGCCCAGGGCTTCTCCAGATACAGAGAGCTCACCTGGCTCCGGGCAGGGCGTGCCAGCAGGTGTGCAGGTGCACAGCCATCTGGAGGTGGCTGCTCCGTGACAGAACGGCCCCTGCTTTAGTGTCCATGGGGGAGGGTGTTTCCTGGTGCTTCTTACATACAAGCTGAAGGACGGAACAGGCAGCTGAAGATCACATAAACCACCTCACTTCCAAAAACCCTGGGCAGAGCACATTTGCTTTTATTATGCTAATTCACCTTACCAGGACCAGGGCAGGAATGCCTGTCCATTTCAAGTCCTGCTATGCTCAAGCACTAGTCTGTAACTGAAGCATGCATTTGCTTCAGAGATTCCTAAATCCCCCCAAGAAAGCAGCATCTGGGTGGGCCTGCAGCTCTGCCCCACTGAGAGGGTCTCACTTTCCTCAGTTTCTCCGGCCCTGGCCTATTGTCATTTGGTAGACCCCACTCCACTAGAGGCTAAGCCAGGGCCCAGTACAGTGGATCTGGCCGATGGTGCCAGCACACCTGCACTGCGGGGGTCAAAGGGGACCCTGGCAGCTCAGATGCTGGGTGCATGGTGGGGTGGGTGGGGAGTGCTCACTGGCTTACAGACCAACCCGGCAGGCAGGCCCAGTGTGCTCCTGAGGGCAGAGCCAGGGTTCCCAAACCATTGGCCTCCCTTGTTTTGCTTTTCCCCTCGTCTCTGTGGTCCTGTGGTTAAAGTGAGGACTGGGTGCCCTCATCTCGCAGCTGGAAGTTGCTGAAGGCTGGTCTGGAGATAAGAGACCTGCTCATCTGGCCCCATACCGAAAGCCCCACACGGAAAGCCCCCGTCTCTGGGCAGCCTCTGCTTCCCTGGGACCATCTTCTCCAGTGGACAGCAAGAGCCAAGGGACACAGCAGAGTTGACCAGCCAAGGGGGCCACACCCCTGTCCCCAGGAGGAAGCACCATTGCAGATGCTGACCCGAAAGCAAGAGTGTTGTGCCCCAGGCCCAGGAAGGCTGGGGTCAGACCCTGCTGTCCAGTCCCTGCACAGCCTTAGGCTGGGCCAGTTGGTCCAGGGAGAGCAGAGAGCAGGGAGGGAGCTGGGGGGAGCTGCCTGCACAGTTGGATGTGGCTCCTTCCCGGCCACTTCTCAGCCTTGCTCTGGCCTGCCACAGCGGTGCCCACAGAGTCTTGGCGGAAAGAACAGAACATCCCATGGCTCTGAGCCAGGTCCCTGGAAGGATGGTGACCTGGGGCATCTGCTGTGCCCTTGGCCAGCTGGCATGGGCACGGAGCGGGCTGCATCATCCCCTGGGGAGGAGGTCGGCTCCCGCAGGGCCTGGGACATCTGTGGGCATCTTGTCAGGCAACTTTGGGTCTCTTTTGCAGAAGAAAACTGGGTGAGTATTTTGGTTCTTGTCAGCGGTTGCAGAGCCCGTGCCTCCCTCTGCTCCTGAATTAGGGCAGTGCCGTTTTGGGTTCCGTATGCCCTCCCTCGGTTTAAATTGGATGCTCTAATCGTCTTCCTCTTTTGTCCTAAATTTCCCTCTAATGTTTTATGCAGCTGTAAAGCAGCTGCTGCCTCCTGCTCCAGAGAAGGCTGAGGGTCGGGCGGCTGCAGTGACTCACCTCCTCCCGGGAGGCACGGCAGAGCCCCTTGGCCAAGTCAGGCTCAGGGGACAGCCACTGTCCTTTGCAGGAAACATGTGAGAGCTGGGCTTGGGAAAGCCTTTGGCAGCATCTAGAGGCTCCCAGATAGGACAGACAGAAGGACTTTAAGGGGTCAGATTCCAAACAGCAGGGCTGCTTTTCCGGGGTGTATTGGGGGGGCCGGGGGGTAGTTGGCTTTTTTGTTTGTTTGTTTTTGAGATGGAGTCTTGCTCTGTCCCCCGGGCTGGAATGCAGTGGTGAGATCTCGGCTCACTGCAACCTCCACCTCCCAGATTCAAGCGATTCTCCTGCCTCACCCTCCCGAGTAGCTGGGATTACAGGCGCCTGCCACCACGCCCAGCTAATTTTTGTATTTTTAGTAGATTCGGGGTTTCACCATGTTGGCCAGGCTGGTCTCGAACTCCGGACCTCAAGTGATCCGCCCACCTCGGCCTCCCAAAGTGCTGGGATTACAGGTGTGAGCCACCGTGCCCAGCCTGGGAGTGGGGTTAGTTCTAAGTTGGTGAGAGGCAAGCACAGCTCTCGAGGGACATCCTGCCCGGAAGACGTACTCGTGGGGGCCTCAGCTGGCCCTTGGCACAGTCATTCAGAAAGTGAATGTGAAGGCTTGCTCTGCACCCAGCCCCAGGAACCCGTGGGGCAGCAACCTGTTCTTTTGTTTGTTCGTGTTAGGCTCGGAGCTCCCAGAGAGGGTCTAGCATCCTTCTACAGACCGACCCCTGGAGACAGCCCCCACCAGGATACATCCTTGAGAATAAGCCCCAGGAAAGGGTTTGGGCCACAAATGGCCTTGTCTTCCTGGCCCAAGGTCATCAGATCTGCCTCAGGCAGGGCCTGCAGCCAGCCCCCGGCACCTTCCCTTGAGGAGAGGGTCTGCCCAGTTTTGGTGGAAGGAACAGGGCACCAGCCTCCAGTGCTGCTTCTGCAATCCCATGGCCCCGACCCAGGCCCCAACCCAGGCCCTGGTAAGACGGTGACCCAGGGAATCTGGAGCTCCCTGGCCCACTGCGGCAGCCGTGCCACAGGTGACATCGTGAGCCCCGCCCCCCCGCCCCCCGCCCTGAGTCCAACCCCAGCCCTGGTTCCTTCTCCCTGAACTTCCCACCTGGGGACAGAATGCGGGCCTAGGGCTTTCCCTGGGGGTGACCTGAGAACAGCTAGTCCAGCACCTCACCTCACTGCACGCTGTAGGCCCAGCCTCCCTGGGTTCCCGCCCCCTTATCTCACAGGAAGAGCTGGGCCTGGAGAGGGGCAGATGGCTGCACAGCCTCACGAGGGGCCGGGGAGCCGCACCTCTTCCTGCCAATCAGCCCAGCAACCGGCGACCCCAAGCGCGGCGACCGCAAAGGGAGTGCTTGCCCATCCGCGTTTGAAAGCAGACTTTTTCTCGGCAGGAACACAGGACTCACCTGCCAGTGGCTACCCAGGCAGGGGCTTCCCTGTTCCTCAAGGGGCCGGAGTCCCTCCGTTCTTTGGGGGACCATCTGAGGGAGCACGGGAAGGAGCCATGGATGTGGAGGGCGGCAGAGCCAGGACGTGAGACACGACAGCAGAAAACACTTGGGCACACAAATGCCACACCCCCACACGCACATACGTGCACACATACATGTGCCAGGCACGCACCCCAGCCAGGTGGAGGAGGGTGGGGGTCAAACCAGGCTGCACCGAGCACAGGTGGTGGCTGAGTTCCGGTTGGCCCAGCTCCAGGCTGTGGGGAGAAGAGAGATGGCGGCATTCTTTCGGACGCTTTTATCCACTATGGGAGCAGGAAGACAGCCAGGGTTATCACAGCACAATTTGAAAAACATACAAATAATTCATGTCAGCATAACGTCATGGTGTTGTCAATAATGAATCCACACTTAAAACCCAGATTGATAGCTTCAAAGGGCAGCCCCCACCCCTGGACAGGTAGGCAGGGCGCAGAGCCAGCCCCTCTTGGTTCTGAGAAGCAAACTCGGAAGCAGTTCAGGTCAGAGGAGTCCAGGGACCGCCCTTGCTGGGAGGAAATGGGTGCAGTGCGGCCCAGCGCAGTGAGCGGGGCCAAGGGTCTAGCAGCACTCGAGTTCTGCCCAAAGACGAGAGAGAGGGTGCCGGCCTACGTGCGCCCGCTGGGAAGAACTGGAAATCCATGTGCTCCCGTTCTGCGAATCCCTTCACCAGGGCGTCGGCCACCGGAGTGGGAAAAAACCTCTCCCGGCGTGAGAGCTGGGGGCAGGCCCAAGGTGCTAGGGGCTCCCGGGAGGACTGGCCATGGCCACCCAGCATCCCTGTGCCTGGCCTGGGCCTCGGTGGCCAGTCCTCCTCGGCTGCAGACCCCAGTGAGGACAGGGACCTCACCACCCACTGCCTGGCTTCTGAGGCAGCAGTGCCCCCATTAAACCTGAGATGAACTTCTCTGGGTCTTTCAGGAAGGAGCCCCGCCCCAGCATCTGGGCTCCCAGGACGAGGGCAGTCACTAAGTGGTGATGTCATGTCACTCATCGGCCTCTTCTGCCTGTGGCCATACAACAGGCCCAGGCCTGTCCCATCCCGAGGGAGGCAGATCCTGGCTGGAGCTGGCGGAGACTTACGGCCACACCCTGCCAAGGTGTGCCCACTGGGACCCGGGCCCAGCCTGTCACGGCGCCTCTCCCTGTGCCATCCGCCAGCCCAGGCTTGATTGAGCTCCATATGAATATTCATACAGCATTCTGCTGGGACCGTCGTTAATATTCTGAGGAAGCGGCAAGAATGCCCGTCCCCATGTCGTGAGCCATGGTCAACGTGCTGCTGACACGATGGTGGCTGTGGATTTTTCGGATGCAATTGTCAGGCCTCCAGGCTCAGGAGGGTGGAGGCAGCACCGCCATCTCCAGGCCCCACCAGCACCCATCCTCTGACCACGGACCTCCCAGGCACCCCACCTGCCCCCTGGCCTTTGCCTACCACCGTGTCCTTACCTGACCCAACCTCGACCAAATGCCCCTCTTCCTCACCGCTCCTGCCCCTGCTTCTCCTCCTCAGCCCTGACCCCTCTGCCCTCCCCGCCCTGCCTCCTGCCCCTGCTTCTCCTCCTCAGCCCTGACCCCTCTCCCCTCCCCGCCCTGCATTTACCCCACGCCCACAGCCCTCACAGGGCGGGGACACCGAGGTTCTCCCATAAATTAACCAAGCCCCTTTACGAAGCCCCTTCCCAAATAGAGCCGGCGCCCTCCTCCCCTGGGCCCGGGTCACCGCTGGGTCAGCGCCTACCGGCTCCCCAGGCCTGCCCCATGCCCTCAGCTAGAGGCAAACCCAAGCTCATGGGCGCAGCGAAGCTGGCAGGAGGGGCCCTGGGGGCTGTGGCTCACCCCTGCATGGCCCTCCTGCTGCCCTGAGAGCCCCTTGGCTCCGGCTGTCCCCATTAGTCGGGTAGGACTCTTGGGCCCCGCCCCACCTGCCCCTTCCAGTCTCCGCCCAGGTCAGGACGGCAGGTGGCCCCAGCAGGGCTGGCCTGAGATGGAGGAACGCGGCCCCGACCCGGGCTATGGGGAGACTCTGGATGTGGCGGTGGATCCGCTGACGGGGCTTTGGGATGTGATTATTTCCTGGGGGCTGACGGTAGCCCAGGAGCACCAAGACCCAGCTCTGCCTTCCGCCTCCCACGGGGCCTCTCCTCTGCAGGAGGCCATACAAGGACTGCACGGAAGGGGAGCGGCCCCGCAGGGAGGGGGCGCCTGGCAGCCCGCCCGCCGCAGCAGCCTGCAACCCCGCCCCCAGGCGCAGTGCGCGCCACAGCAGCCCTGCCAGAGCCCGTGTGACACAGCTGCCGGCATGCCCGGGCACGCTGCCCAGCTGGGCTGGGGGAGGGGCGCCGGGCCAGGAGCCGCTGAATCAGCTGCACCCGGACGGCCCCGCCTGGGCAAGGATGCTGGTGCGGCGGGGCGCTCTCTCTTTTGGGAACCGTCAGGAGGCGCGCCAGGCGGTGGGGTGGGGGGTGTTTCTGGACTGCGGCCTCTGCAGCCTGCTGCATGGGAAGTGCGGCTCACCGGGGCTGGGTGCAGGGCAGCCCCCGCCTCCGAGGGCATGAGCGGAGGCCTGCAGGGAGGGCCTGGGCAGAGAGGGGCCCTTTCCAAAGGAGACCCATAAGGAAGAAGAGAAACGCACTGGCCTCTGCAGATCGAAGCACGTTTGTCTCCCCCAGAAAACGCTGAATCAGCACTCACAGCACTGCCAGGGCCCGCGCCCTCCTCCGATCGCACGCTGGAGGGGACAGGCCCTTCCAAGATCACGGAGCATCAATATCACCATCGACGCAGCGGCACCGGGGGAGTCATGCTCTGGTCTGGAGTGGGGGCCGCGCCTGGCCCTGCCGTCCTTCCTGCTGGGGGCTGTGTTTGGAGCCGGGCACCTTCCCCCTCAGCCCCTGCTGTCCTGTCCTGCCCCCTGCGGAGGGGCGGGAGGTGGAGGACATTCCTGTGTGTGTGCGTTTGGGGTGGTTTTGCCTGTGGAGGCTGCACATGGGGGCTCTGACGGGGCAGCCTTCCGAGGCCACCCTGTGCTGGGGATGGGACAGCACGTGGCCCATCTTGACCGAGCATCTTAGATCTTGAAATCCCCAGCACCACCCCCTTCCAGCCACTGCCTGCCCTCTGCTGGCTCCTCAGCTTGGATTCCACTTTTCAGCAACAGAGACCCCCGGTCTGGTGCCCAAGCTGGTGTCCCCGTGTGGTGGACGACGGGGAAAGGGGGGCTCTGGGAGCCACTCGGCACAATCCCCCTGGGCCAGGCACAGACTGAAAATCAGACCCCACTAAGTCAACAGCCCCGGGCTGGCTTTGGTGGCTTCCTCCACACCCCGCGCCCGGCTGTGACTTCCTGACTCAGCACTCTGTTCAGCCTGAGATGGAGCCGCTCCCCACCTCCAGGCCTCCCTCCCACCCGTCTCCACCCAGGGGCCGCCCTCCCCAGAGCCCCTCTGATTCCTCCCTCCCCGGCCCGCCCAGCTCCCCCTCAGCTTCGCGCCTGCCTTGGGCTGGACACCTTCTCTGTGGTCCAGGCTCAGGGATTGGTCCAGGGCCGCCCACCCTCCCCCATCCCCCAGGCCGAACACTGACCTCTGGTGCCAGGCTCCTCACTGCCAAACCCATGACTCCCAAACCCACTGCTGTCACTGGGGGCCTCTCATCCAGCCAGCGCCGGGCAGCTCTGATTCCAGAACCTTCCCGGCACGTTCCTGACCTCCAGGCCAGTCTGCAGCTACCTCCACTTCCCACCGTCCCCAGGAGCAGCCAGCGGCCCTCCCTGCCCACACCTGTCCTTCCCAGCTCACTCAGGTCCGGCCGCCACCCTGAGTCCCCGGGGCCACTTCCCTCCTTCGCAGGCAACCGAGGCCACTTGCAGTGGGAGGGGAACCGCTGTATGGACCAGCCGCCTCGTAAGGATGGATCCTGTCTCCTAACCGGCTCCCAACTCCCTCCGAAGCGGCTGCGCGCTGCCTGAGATCTCTGCAGGAAGCCGCAGCGGCCACATGCTTAGGTTCTGTCTCAACACCTTCCCAGTCCTCGACTCCTCACCACTGCTGGAAGCTTCTGGAAGCCTCCAGGCCTGCAGGTCACTCCTGTGTTTTCAGACATGTGGAGCCCACCACCAGCAAATCAGGCTGTTCTAAATGTGACGTGTCCGTGGAAAGCGCTGGTCCCCCAGCAGTGGTCCTGGCACGTCTCCCCACCCAGCAGAAACACAGCTGCTGCTGGGAGGGCCCAGGAGGCCCAAGACAGACAGCCCCAGACATACAGCACCATCGGCGGTCCCTGGAGATCCCTCTCTGGGTGGCACCCTTACCAGTCACTGCAGCATGGTCTGGTCTGGGTGTCTGTCACTGTGGACAAAGGGCCTGGGGACAACCTCCAAGTAGCTCCGGCCTTCCTTGGAGCCGTGGCCCTTGCACAGCTCAGCCGGTCATCTGGGACCTCAAGGGGAGAACAACTTTGAAAACAGAACCTGTCAAACAGGGGAAACGCCTGGTTAATACAGCCCGAGGATGGCAGGTCTGCTGGGGAGCGGTCGTAAGCAGCTCCACCGCCCCTCAGATCCCCCACAGGGCTCTTCAGCCCCCCCCAGAGGAGCCGGGTTAGCGGGGCTCCCGCAAGGAACACACTGTGGCCATGGGGAAGCTCCTTGGCTCTTGGAGCCTGTGACATGCCTCTGCCCGGGGAATGGCCTGAGCCTAGGAGGTCGAGGCTGCAGTGAGCCGTGATCGTGGCCACTGCAGCTTTGGCAACAGAGCGAGACCCCATCTCTGAAAAAAAATAAAAAATGGAAAAACGGAAAGAAAAAAAAAAGCCCTTGTTATAATCCAGCTGAGTGGCTCCTTCTGTGGGAACTGCTTCCTTGGGTCTGATGAGACATTCAGTGGTCACTGTGGCGCCTGTCCCTGTACTCAGTGGTCCCATGGGCTGGTGGCTCCTGTACACGACAGTGTGGATGAGGCGTTGCCACTGTCGCGGGGAGTTCTATCAGATGGAGATGGCCCAGGCAGGGAACAGCAGAAAACATGCCAAATCCACTGAAAACCAGAGTGAAGCCAGGCGGGGAAGGCCAGGGAAGCCCCCAGGGAAGGCAGGAGCCCTTGTGCAGCCTCTCTGGTGTGGTGCGTGGCCGGGTGTGACCACAGTCAAAGGCATAGCCACCTTCGCCCACACCTGGCAAAACAACAAGACCAGGCAGCTCTCCCAGGCCGAGCCTCAGACGGCCCGTTTGCTAACTGCCCCGGCTTTGTGTGCACAGGTAAGGCTGCGTGTCCAGGCCCTGAGCCCACCTCAGGACTCGGCTGTGGCCTGGCACCCCCTGTGGGGCACACAGAGCCCCCAGACCTTCGGATCAGAAGGCTGGTCTGGGAAGCAGTGCTCCACACCAAGCTTCAGCCCTAGGTTTGGTAAAACAAGTGTCACCCTCCTAAGCTTTTCAGGGGCAAACATTTTTGTAAGGATTTCACAAACTCTGCCATCAAAAACAAAACCCCAGCAGTTTGGTGAAACAGTTCCACAAAACTCTACAATGGATAGGTTGTTACGTAATGGAATCCAGAGTTTTCCTTTATTTTCTTGAGAAGGGGTCTTGCTCTGTCACCAAGGGTGGAGCAGTGACAAAATCATGGTTCACTGTAGCCTCAACCCCTCCCCGGCCTGGGCTCAAACAATCCTGCCCACTCAGCCTCCGGAGTAGCTGGAACTAGAGGTGAGCACCACTACACCTGACTCATTTGAAAATATTTTTTTGTAGAGATGGGGTCTCCCTGCTGCCCAGGCTGATCTGGAACTCCTGGGTTCAAGCGACCCTCCCGCCTTGGCCTCCCAAAGTGTTGGAATTACAGGTGTGAGCCACTGCACCCGGCTGGTTTCCCTTTAAGTGACACTTTCTTGCCATAATGACTGCCTGGGAGGAAATCGTTGTCATCTTCACGTTGTTAGAAGCCTTTGCAAGTGAAAAAATGAGAAACGTGAACTTCCTCCCTTCACAGAAACTAAGAAAGCCTTTACAAAGCAAAGATTCTACAATAGTATGAATAGTATGTCTCTCGATCTTCAAACTTTTTTTTTTTTTTTTTGAGACAGAGTCTCACTCTGTCACCAGGCTGGAGTGCAGTGGTGCAATCACGGCTCACTGCAGCCTCGATCTCGTAGGCGCACACCACCACGGCCAGCTCATTTTTAAATTTTCTGTAGAGATGGGGTCTCACTATGTTGCCCAGGCTGGTCTTGAACTCCTGGGCTCAAGTGATCCTCCTGCCTTGGCTTCCCAAAGTGCTGGGATTACAGGCGTGAGCCACTGCACCTGGCCTCAAACGGTTTTTTTGGATAAATAAGAACTTTGGTTTTATTTTTCTTCCAACCTTTTTTCGTGTGTGCGCATCTTCCCGAGGTGGATCGGGCTGTCCTTACTCACAGCCCTGAGGCCTCTTTCCTTTCAGCAGCGTCGGAAACACCACCTCAGCTTTAAGACTCTGAACTAGGCTGGGTGGAGGGGCTCACGCCTGGAATCCCAGCACTTTGGGAGGCTGAGGCAGGTGAATCACCTGAGGTCAGGAGTTCAAGACCAGCCCGGCCAACATGGCGCAACTCCATCTCTACTAAAAATACAAAAATGATCCGGGCGTGGTGGTGGGCGCCTGTAATCCCAGCTACTTGGGAGGCTGAGACACAAGAATCACTTGAACCCGGGAGGTGGAGGTTGCAGTGAGCTGAGATCGTGTCAATGCACTCCAGCCCGGCTGACATGAGCAAAACTCCATCTGAAAAAAAAAAAAAAAACTCTGAACGGGCCAGTCAGCCGAATGCAACCTCCACCGGCCTGCACAGCAGTGTCCCGGTGACTGCCCTGCTGACAAATCTTTGCCTGTCAGCTAGGCTATCTCCCCAGGGCAGCTTCCCATAAGGAGAACCCTGGCCTCAGGGGCTCCTTCCCCAGCACGGCAACAAGTGTTTGGGAAAACTTTCCCATCTTACACAAGATGATTTCTATGGTGCTCTGGGTGATTATTATGTCCTTCAAAACGGAATAAAACAATTGAACTTTAAGCAATCACTCCATCAACACATTAAAAAAATAGGTTTAATGCAGGTGGGTCATGGCATGACGAATTTCACAGGCACCGGGGACAGCAGGCGGCCAGGTGCTCAGAGGGCACCAAGGTGCCACAACTCCCTGCAGCGTTGACACCGCACGAGCGGCACCACCAGCCCCCTCCCGCCTCCCGTCCCACCTTCACCCTCAGCCAAGAGGCTTGGGTGACTCTGAGTAATACGTTAACAAAAAACAAAGCTTCTTTGAGGAAACAGCATGACTTAGTGCAAAAGATTCTCTGCAGCAAGAAATGAGGCCCACGCAGGGAAGCTCCCGCCTACCTGCCCAGGGCGTGGACGCAGCCCGGGCTCATCAGAGGTCATCCACAGAAGCTGCCGATAAATTAGAGAGCACGGTTTACGGCCAGAGATTTTTTGCTTTCTCTACCTGATTTAGGGTTTTTCAAAAAGTTTCTCTTCCAGTGGCACACAACTGTCCTCATGGCTCCTGGGCCACTGGTCCGCCTGACAGGGTAGGGTCACAAGTCCCACCCATGCCCAGAGTGTGGGGACATGGATTTGAGGTGACACTAGGGTTGTCAGTACCACACCCTGTGTCCTGCTCTAGGGTAGCCTCTGCCTGTTGTCCTTGCAATCATTATTCAGGGCGCCCTCCCACTTGCCCCCAAAGTCACACGGCCATGGGCAGTCCACCATAGTGCTGCCGTGACTGCAAGGCTGAGGAGCAGAGCAAGGGGTCCTGGGTGAGACCTCGGCCCATGGTGGCCACCCTCCCTGAACACAGGCATCTGCGCCCCTCCAGCCCACCTGCCCCTGTGCCATCATTTGGGCCCCCCAGACACTGGAGGACAGCGTGAGATAAGATCTCAGCATATACCTGGGGCTCTAAGATGCTGCTGGTGCCACACAGGCTCTGGGGCTGTGTTTGCCGCACTGAGGCCTCTGCCGCCTGCTCCGGACACTTGGGACACGCGTTTCCATCCTGGCTCACTGAAGCCTCGATCTCCCAGGCTTTCTTTGACGGTGTTCCCTCAAAGAAAGAGGCCCAAAGCCCTCCCCCGCAAAAAAAGCCAGAAAGGAATGGAGGTGCCTCCGCAGAAATCCAGAGCATCTGCAAGACATCCTCACAGCCCTCCCAGAACAGGCAGACAGGCCAGTGTTGCTGGAGTCAGCCCCTGGCTCCCAGGGTTCCCCCCAGGCCAGCCCCTGAGCTGGGAGCCTGCTGAGGCCCCTCCCACCTGAGCCCTTCTCCGGCCCCCCGCTAGACTGCATCTACACAATCCAAGGGGACCCTGAAGGCTGGCTGGGGACTCAGGACCCACACAGCCCCTCAGGATGACACACACAGGGTGGTCCGCGGGCAGTGCCAGGCCTCAGGCGGCCCAGGGCAGAGTAAGCAGCTTTGTGGCAGTGTGGTGTGTCAGCGAGGGGAGCCTTCCGTGTCCCGTTGGCTGGGGCTGGGGCCAGGGCACGCAGAAGGGGCTGTGCAGCCAGGAGGGCCCCCCTCCGGAATTGCTCCTGGGCACACAGCCCTCTGTGTCCAGGGGCCTCCCAGGGTGATGTCTAAAGTCCCTGGCAGCTGTGGTCCTGGAGAGAGGCCCACAGAGAGGCGGAACGGAGGGCCCACCCCGCAGTACGACCCGAAGACATGTGAGCAGGAGCCACCGGCAGGTGGGCGCTGCCCCTGAGAGTGCATACGGGGAGGGTGGGTCCAGGAAGCCAGCCTAGGGGTGGTGTCCGCGCCCCCATCACAGAAGTCTCAGCCCTTTCTTTTCTCTCCGTGGGCGCCGGGCAGCAGCGACTGCCTGGGGGATGGGCGAAGGGAAGGCGCTGGCCGACCCCACCCATGGAGAGAACACAGCCACAGGCCGGGACGATACATCAAGCTCGCACCCACGGCCCTCACATGTCCACGAAGACCATGAAGCACCAGCCCAGGCCCCCGACCAGCAGCATGGTGACGTGGATGCCATAGACGAGCAGCTCGTTCACCAGGCGGAAGTCCACGCGCCGGCGGCCCAGCAGCAGCAGCAGCACCGACAGCTTGCGCTGGAAGCGCAGCAGGACGCGAACGCCCAGGTACTGTAGGCAGAAGAGGGCGGCCAGCGCACCCCAGAGCGCCGCAGTGAACAGGCTGCAGCTAAAGTAGAGTAGGAAGCGGATGAAGCCGTACAGCCAGCGCGTCTTGATGTACACGTCGAAGTTGTTGTACTTGGTGCGGGCCAGGTGGGAGGCGCGCACGGGCCCGCAGGCCGCATGCAGGCAGGTGGTGTGCGGGCCGTGGAAGGAGCGCACCCGCCGCGGAATGGGCATGACCGGCATTGGGCCCCGGCGGCGGCGGCGCTAGGTCGCAGTGGCGGCGGCGGTGTCCAGGCGGCTGTTGGCGTAGGGGTCATGGGCGCCTAGGCCTGGGAGCCCGCAGCTGACCCTGGGGGGAGGCGTCGGCCTGCGGGGAGAGCCGCAAAACCCACGTCAGTATGAGGACACCATGCGGATCCCTCCCCAGGCAATCAGCTGGCGAAAGTGGACACAAACTCCAGCACCAGGACTACGGGAAAATGGAGTCCAGGGCGGGATCTGCAGGCACTCCTGGGCTCTTTTCCACAAACCCTCCCAAGGATACTTCCAAGGGGCCCACCACCTGGGGAAGCCAAAGTGCTTGTTCTAGGGCAGCACTGGGGAAAGGGGGCCTTGGGGACAGTGGCCAGGGGAGGCCCCCGGAAGTGGTCAATGCCAAAACGGATGGGAAGGGGCAAGAGTGGCTCTTTCCTGCAGGATCCTCGCAGCTCCCCACTAGCTGGACCACACTCTGCTCTTAGGCAGTTTGCCCGTTACTGCCCTGGTCTTCTGCGGCTGCCTGACCCAGGGCTGATGCAAGCCCTTAAATGGCATCTGCAAGAAGCCACCACAGGGCCGGGAAAAGGGACTCCAGGGCTCGCAGGTGAACCGAAAACGAGCCCGGCGGGAGCAGGTGACTCCAGCAACCTGCTGGGTGCCAGATGGACGGCTCGGGGGCCGTGGGGTCACCTTGCTGGGCCTGAACCCTGGCACTGTCCTTCCCTAGCAGTGACTTTGGGCAGGTCACCTGACCCCAAGACGGCTCCTGCTCTGTCCAATGGGGGTGCCAATAGCACTGCCTTTGTGGGTAGCTGTGGGAGGGAAGGGGCTGGGCCTGGCGTGCACAGTGGGGTCGGCCCGGGGCCTGGCAGCGGCCCTTACAGACTGGGCTGCAAAGAGCAGAGGCGGCATTTGGCTCTCCAGCTTCACCTAGTAAAGGCCGTTTATACCTTGCCGAAATAATCTGTAGACGGAATGAACTCAAAGGTCAGGAAATAAAATCTGAGCAGGAAAGTTGGTAACATTACAGGGGACTGTTGCCAAGAGCTTCGCCTGCCTTCAGATTCAGCCTGGGGCCCTGCCGTGGGGACCTGGCCAGGGCGGAGGAGGGAGGGGCCGGGGCCGCCTGACCCTCCCGTGCCCGCAGGGGCCCGACCTCGCCCTCTCCCTCCGCCCGGCTCCTCCACGGGGTGCAGGGGCCAGAGCGGCCCTATTTAAGGCCGGCCTTGGCCTGGAGCTCGCCCCGGCCGGGACCCCGGCCATGGCGGTGCCACTCAAACGCGACTCGGCGGAGCTGTGTCCCCGCAGGGTCTCGCGGCCCGCGGCTCCATCCGGGTCCCTGCGTTTCTGCAGACGCCCGCTCGGCCCGGCCCATGGACCCAGGACTGTTTCCTCGGGGCCGCAGAGACGCAACGGGCCCCGGCCAACTCCGCGTGAGCACCGGGCCTGCGCCGCGCCGCGCCGGGCCCCCTGGCTGCAGAGCCCCTGCCGGAGCCACTTCCGGGTCCCGCGCCGCGCGTTGCCCTGGAGACGGCCCCCGCCTAGGCCGGGTCCCCGACCGCAGCTCACCCGGTGCCCTCTCCGCGGCGGCGCCGGCGTCCCGGACCTCGGGGCCGGCCGGCGGTGCTAGGGGCCGGGCCTGCGGGTGCCCCTGTCCCTCGGGGCTCCGTGCGCAGGGCGGCCGCATGGTGCTGGGGCGCGCGGCTGGGGGCGCTGGCAAGGCGGCTGAGGGCGTGGTTCACGCGTCGCCGGCTGGGGTCGCCCTGCAGGTGAAGGGGCTCTCGGGCGCGGCCGCCGGAGGCGTTTGGCCTAGCGTGGGAGCCGTAGCGCCGTCCCTCGACGGCCACCGTAGGGCGGCCTCACGCCCCCTCCACCCGCGCCGACCGAGCCGCACTTCCCTTCCCCCTGCTCCGGGCCCGCGCTGGGCGTCCCGGACTCGTCGCTTCCCGAGGGCGTGCGTGCGTGCGTGCGTGCGCACGCTGCGAGCAGTCCGTAGCGTTCCCTCCCCCGAACGCCCTCGGTGCCGCGCCTGGTCTTCTGCGCCTGCGCTTGCCGTTCCTGGGCCGCGCCTCCGCGCACGCGCTACCGCATCCCGTGGAGAGGCAGTGCGCAGGCGCGCTTCCGTGGAGCAGTCCTTTGGCCCCAGCAGAGGGCTTGACCGTGGTCCTGGCCCCGGACTGAGGTGTCTGCGACCCGGCGCGCTGCTGCCGTCGCTGGGGTGGGGCCGGGCCCCGGAGGAAGCCGCTTTCCCGGCGGGGGTGGGCGGCCCAGGGACCGGGAGCAGGTCTGGTCCTCGCGGGGCCGTGTGCGAAGGCCTCCTGCGCGGCCTGGGGCTGGGAGGACAGGGCGGCGGCGGGAATGAGGGCGCCCCCCAGGCTCCAGGAGGGCGGGGAAGGGTGGGGGCGGCTGACGCCACGCGGACCCGGGCGGCACGGATCGGGTGTGTAGCTGCGAGGCCCGGTGGGCCGGCGGCGACGTCGGCAGCCGAAGTAGGGACAGCCCCGGAGCACGAGCAGGCCCAGCAGCAGCCCCAGGGCCGCCCCCCCGCCGCCCCCCAGTGAAGGAAGGGGACTTGTGTTAGTGTCCTCACGCCTGGTTCGTACAGGCTGGCGGTTGTCCTGGGGGTTTCCAGCGAGGAATGTGTTGGGGAGCGCTCCTGGGTGTGGCTGCTGGGTAGGAGGGGAAGGCAGGGTCAGCAGCCCCTGGGGCGACCGTAAAGTGGGTGGCCCTTCAAATTCAAGGCACTGGAACAAGGGGGCTGGGCCCTCCTGCCCACCAGGCCCGTCATTGGCTGCAGGCCTCCCGGGACGGCGAGCTGGCTCCTGGGCCCCTGTCCTTTGGACCAGGGCCGCCCTGAGGGCTGGCACAGCTACCTTCTCCACTGTGGCCCCATCCCCGCCACAGGAGAGAGAGCCGCCTTTACCCGACATGAGCAGGAGTTCGAGGAACATCTGGACGAGCAAAGGCCACCAGGAGGTAGCACAGCAAAAAAGGCCAAGAGCCTGTTTTCTTTACCGATGGCTGGCGGCAAATATTCCGAAAGAAACGTGTCAGGCAAGAAGCGCTAGTTCACGCCTGTCATTCCACCGCTTTGGGAGGCCAAGGCAGGGGGATCACTTGCCCCAGAAGTTTGAGACCAGCCTGGGCAACATAGTGAGGCCCCTGTCTCTACAAAAAACTTAAAATCAATAAACAGGTCTCCTTCCTTCCTCAATAGTCCTGTTGGTGGCTCACCTCTCTGCCTCTCCAGATGTGAGGCAGATCCACACGTTTAGCTATTGAGATAAGGCTGGGCGTGGTGGCTCACACCTGTCATTCCGGCCTCAGATCTCTTGTGCCCAGGAGTTTTAAGACTAGCCTGGGCGACCTGGCTGGCAACATGGCCTCCACAAAAATAAATAAAACATTTTAAATATATAAACATTGAGATAATAGCATCTTGATGCCTGTCTTCATTTTTTGTCTTCTGTTTTAAGGACTATTAGAGACAAACTAACCAAAGATAATTCTCCCCTCCCATGTGGCTCGTGCTGGGACGCCGGCACCGTGAGATGGCGCCCGTGGCCAGATAGAGGGTGGCGTGTAAAGCAGGTGGTCACCCGTCACTCGACTTTTCGCGTGCTGGTGAGGGTGGTCGCATGTCCATGGATCAGGGCTCACACCTGGCCCATCTGGTGGCTGTGCCATGGGAGGAGCAGAGCCACAGCCCCGCTCCTTGCTGTGGGTTTCCCGTGTCCTCCCTGCCCTGCAGTCCCCTGACTCCAGCTCTGGATTAGACACCCCCTGCTTCCCACTGTGCACCCGCCCAGAGAAGCACAGCATGCGTGCCTGCACTTGCCCCCACGCTGCTACCCTGCTCTGGGTACCAAGGACACAGGCACAGCAGAGCCCCCACCCTCGAGGCACCTGTCATCTTGTGACAGGGACAGGCTGAGGGGCAAATGACCAGAAAGGGTGGCAAGTGCCATGTCAGACATATGGTCTTCATACAGGGGATGTCCCAGGACTGCTGGGCCAGAGACCCCTCCATGTGGGTCAGCATCACCCAAGCCAAAGGCCAAGGAGGTCTCTTGGGGGGTGTGGCCGTCAGAACAAAGCTGCCAATGCGCGTACTTTTAAAGGTGCGGTCAGCTAGTGAGGCTGTGGCTGGCCCTGGCTGCATCCAGACCCTGGAGTGTCCTGCAGCCAGGGGCGGATGCAGGTTTTGTGGGGCCTGAGGCTTCTGTGGTTTAAGGGACCTTCCTTAAGAAAATACAAAATTAGGAACAGGCCTTGAAGCTTCTGCTGCTAAACAGGGTCAGGTGAACCCACTGCCAGCTGTGCCCAGAAGACAGTCCCCCAGGCTGAGTCAAAAGTGGTTCATAGGCCGGTCATGGTGGCTCACGCCTGTAATCACAGCACTTTGGGAGGCCAAGGTGGGCAGATCTCAAGGTCAGGAGATCAAGACCATCCTGGCTAACACAGTGAAACCCCGTCTCTACTAAAAAACTACAAAAAAAAAAAAAAATAGCTGGACGTGGTGGCGGGCGCCTGTAGTCCCAGCTACTGGGGAGGCTGAGGCAGGAGAATGGCATGAACCCAGGAGGCGGAGCTTGCAGTGAGCGGAGATTGCGCCACTGCACTCCAGCCTGGGCAACGGAGTGAGACTGTCGCAAAACAAAGAAAAAAAAGAAAAAAAAAGTGGTTCACAAAGTCACGTCTAGTGTGACCCCTCATCAGCACAGACGTACTCCTAGGTGTCCGTTTCTGGGTGAAGTCCTGGAAGCAGATAAATGTTTGCAGAGGTGATCTATGTGTGGTGGGATTAAAGAGATGAATATATTTTACTGTTTTTTTAACATTTCTGTACTTTCTGATTTTATTTTTTCAGCATGAACAAACAAAAAAAAGCCGGATTTGGACAAATAAAAAGAAGTGCATGTCAGCCCGAGTGTCCTGAAACATGTTCCTGTATTAGAATCTCCAGGAAAGCTGGGGCCCCCACTCGCCACTACCTCAGGCTGGGCCCGCAGTCACGTGCTTCTCCCTACAGGAGGGTTCTGTGTCCTGAATTCCCAAAGGGTGCAGCTGTCCCCTTGTCGCCTTGTCTGTGTTGATGGTTCCACACTCTCTGGTCAGCCACCTGCCCCGCCAGTCTCTGCTCGCCCATGGATGGGGATGACCACTCTAGCTGTGAGGGTGGCTTCCCGGGCTAACCCTGCTGCTGCTGCCCATTGCTTCCAAGGCTGGGATATCACTTGGGGTTTGGGGTGAGGGGACAGTAAGGGGGAGCCCTGGTTGCCCTTTCCAGGAGAATGAGTATTTAAGTGCGGAGTTGTTTATTACTTGACTTCAGCAGAGGCGCCATGGTCGGGGAAACGCTTCATGTGCCTTGGGTTATAGGGCAAGTCCCATCTGTCTGCCTTGAATTTCGGTTTGGAGAATCTGTAAGCTCCACACACGTGGAAGCGTCTGTGCCCCGGGTGTGGGTTCTGATCTTGGTTGTGTTCGTGGCTGGACGCTGTCCTTGAGGCCACCCCTTGGCACCCTTCACAGAAGACAGTGGGGGTCGCCCTTCCCTGGCTGACCCTCCAGAACCGCCAGCCTCCCCTACCTCCCTGTGAAACCAGGGTACAGGGCAGGAGCCTGGACCTCTTTACAGTTGCCTTTTCTCTCTCTCTGTCCCTTCTCCATCTTCCGAGCTCCTACTCGCCCTTCAGGACCCAGCTCGAATGCCCCATCTCTGGGAGGCGCCTTCAATCTTGGGCTGCCCCTTCCGTCACACCCCCTGTCCCCTGTCTCCTGCCTCCCCTTCCTCCTCACACAAAGCCACCCCCGCCTGTTGGTGGCCTGTGTCTCCGCTGGCCCAGGGCTCTCTTGCCGTGGCCACCGTGGGTTTTGGCCTCGTGACCCAGTCCATGCGTGCACAGCGCAAGTAGCTTCCCAGGACACCGATTTCCTCCCCGGCCGCAGCTGCTTCTGGTCCTCTGCCCACTCCCGGGTTCTGCGCCTTCCTGCGCCCCCGGCCTGGCCACAGCTCGGTCACCCCAGAACCACCGTGTGCTGGGGATTTGTCACGGGTTTGTCCTGACGTGTGAGGTCCAGCCGGGGTCCCCATAGCCTCCCTGTCCCCGTCCCTGTCCCCGTCAGGCCTCCTGCTGCGCTGTGGACAGTGGCTTGGCGCCATCTGCTGGGCTGGTGCCTGTGGTGCCGCCAAGCGCAGGAGGGACCCAGCGGCTCCAGGTCTGTGGGAGACTTTAAGTTGGGGCCGAATGTGGTGCTCGCTGCCGACGCAGAGCCCCCAAGCTGGACGGGACCCCTGGCCGTGCGGCTGGGAACACCTGGGGTTGTCCTACCTTTGCAGGGACAGCGAGCCAACCCCTGCTTGGAAGGAGCACTTTCCCCACCGAGGCCGGCCCAGGGCGCGTGCTGAGCAGGTGGGTTGAGTGGGTGGAAAGAATGCAACCCCTGGTTGTGGGACATGTTGAAGCCCACCCCAACCCCTCCAGTACCGTCCTTCTGTCCCTCCACTTGCTGGGGCTGGGGGCCAAGGATGGGGTCACTGTGGGGACTTTATCCAGCTGGTTGACTTCAGGGTCCTGGCAGGGAGTGGCTCTTGCTGCCAGGACAGTAGAGGCCTAGAGAGTCCTATCTCTGACACCAGCCACCTTGCAGGGTTCGGGCCAGGGAAGGGGAAGGGATGGGAGAGAATGGAAACCTCCAGAGTCATTTTAACTGGTCGTTGGACAGAGCCAGTGCGACTTCAAGTTCAATGACAAACCCCCTCTCCATGTCTCTGGGGTGGGGTGGGGCCTGTGGCCCCACAGAGCTGAGCCACCCAGGAGGCCAGGGAAGGAGACGCAGTACACAGGAGGCCAGGGAAGGAGACGCAGTACACAGGAGCCCAGCATCCTCTCAGCTGCATGGACATCTCTACCCAGACCCTTCTGCAGCCACCTCCCCACTTACCCAGCAGGAGACCAAGCCAATCCTTTTCTGCGAAACTGTGCTGGCTTCTGTGACTGTCCTGCAACCAGATAGAGGCCTGAGGGACTCTGCACAGTTTCTGGGCTGAGGCAGAAGAAGCCCCATGGCTTCCCCTCTGCCTCCTGCATGCTGCCTTTTAGCTCTTAGCACCTGCTGGGAGAAGCTGGCCCCAGCGTGGACAAGCCTCCAGGAGACCGGAGCACCCACCGGAAGGAAGGGAGGGAGGGAGGGAGGAAGGGCCATGGAGGTAAAACGAAGTTATTAGGGTGGGCCCAAATCTGACTGGTGTCCGTAGACAAAGGGGAGATTAGGACACAGACATGCACAGAGGGATGACACCGTGAGGACACAGGGAGAAGACGGCATCTGCAAGCCCAGAAGAGAGGCCTCAGGAGGACCCAACCCTGCCCACACCTTGATCTTGGACTTCCAGTCTCCATGACTGTGAGATGGTAAATAAATGCATGCTGTTAAGGCCACGGAATCTGTGGTCCTTTGTTACGGCCGCAGGGCAAGGCAATCCCAGGGGTACTTATTGTTTGAAGGCATCCCATTCTGGATGTTCTCTGATGGGGAGTGATGGGGAACTGTGTACCAGGCACTCCACTGAGCATGGCAGGGGCCTTGGTCACAGCGACCTGGGAAAGTGTGTTGTGGCTGTCCCTGTTTACAGGGGTCAGGAGGTGCAGCAACTTGCTCGAGGTCACTTGGGCCATCAGGTGGGGGCTGGAGGGCAGCACTTGGACCAGGGCTTTCTGTACCCTGTTGGTCTGGACACAAGCTCCCCATGGTGTCCTCTTCGGAAGGATGGGGAGCAGTGGGCCCCTCGGAGCCCCTGCGGGAGAATCCCCTTCCCTGACGGAGGCAGACACTCAGGTTAGGGAGAGAGTGGGCAGCCTCAGAGCCCAGGTCCTCCCCTCCCTGCGGTCCCCTCAGCCTGCCGGCACTGTCCAGATCTTTCTAAGCCCGGCTACATCACTCGGTCTCAGTGCTGAGTGCTGGGTGCAGAGGCCCCGCTGCCTTTGCCATCTCAGGGTCTTTGTTACTTTCATGCTTGTGCTTTCTTGTCCAATCTCTCTGGAGCTCAAGCTCTGAAAGGAGGCGCCCTCCTCTGTTTCCCTGAGTTCCTGGTACCTGGCAGGCGGTAGGGCTCAGGGTGTACTTGCTTGGTTGGTTGGATGGTTGGTTGGATATGACTGGTTGGTTTGATGGATGGATGGTTGGTTGGATGGTTGGTTGGTTGGTTGGATGGTTGGTTGGTTAGATGGTTGACTGGTTGGTTTGTTGGTTTGTTGGATGGTTGGTTGGATGGTTTGTTGGTTTGTTGGATGGTTGGTTGTTTGGTTAGATGGTTGGTTGGCTGGATGGTTGGTTGGATGGATGGTTGGTTGGTTGTTTGGATGGTTGGTTGGTTGGTTGGTTGGATGATTGGTTGGTTGGTTGTTTGGTTGGATGGTTGGTTGGTTGGATGGTTGGTTGGTTGGTTGGATGGTTGGTTGGTTAGATGGATGGTTGGTTGGTTAGTTGGTTAGATGGTTGGTTAGTTGGTTGGTTGGATGGTTGGTTGGTTGGATGGTTGGTTGGTTGGATGGTTGGCTGGTTGGTTGATCAGTTTGTTGAATGGTTGGTTTTTTGTATGGCTGGTTGTTTGGTTAGATGTTTGGTTGGTTGGATGGTTGGTTGGTTGGTTGGTTGGTTGGTTGGTTGGTTGGATGGTTGGTTGGTTGGATGGTTGGTTAGTTGGATGGGTGGTTGGTTGGTTGGATGATTGGTTGGATGATTGGTTGGTTGGTTGGATGGCTGGCTGATTAAAGTGCCTGGCTTGTGCTGGGTTTTCAAAAATGGAGGCCCAAGGACTTTGGAGGGCCACAGGCCTCAACCTGGCATGGCCCACTGGCATCCACAGGCATGTAACTCACCCGGGGCAGCCCTGGCACCATGTGCCCAGTAGCCTGTTGGTGCCATGCAGGGGTGAGGGAGACAGTGGGCACAGATCTGTGTCTGGGGGCCTTGTAAGTGGTGTCAGGGGCCATCAGGGAGGCATGGATCACAGATGTGCTTGATTTCAGAAGTGTCCCCATCCCACCATCCCAAGCTGCAAGAGGAGATTCTACGGTTGGGTGAATGACTTCAGATTCCTGAGCATGCACATCTATGTGCTGGGCTTATCCTTGGTGGCCATTAATGATTTAATGATGCGAAGCCCTTAGCTGAGGCTGAGGCAGAGTAAGTGCTTAATAAACACCACCGTTGGAAAGCAGTGATGTTCATGGAATGCAGGCCGTTGGCTAGGCTCATGGACGGAGACCCCAGCTTCTCAGCATGGGGAGGACGGGGCTGCTTGCCCATTTTCTTGGTGGTCCTGGTCTTCTCCGGGCAGCAGGTCCTTGGCTGCCTAAAGCAAGTGGCCTCAGAACACCCAGATTCAGATTACAAAGGGGGCTTAGGAAGCCTGCATTCAAGGTTAGCGCTCACCCTGGGCCCTCCTCCCAGGGCCACAATGTCCCTAGACCCAGGCCTGGGCTGTATTTTCTCCTGTGCTAATTTCACAAAACACACAACTCATATTCCTGTTGATTGAACAGTTTTGCGTTGACAGCAGTGAAGATTTGTGACCAAGTTTATCATTACCCCAGAGCATGGACGATTTGTATGGCTCCGAGGAGCTCACGGGGGGGATATATTTTATGGCACACTTGGAAGACAAACATACGCATTTATATGTCACTTGTTGCAATATAAATGCTAACTTGTACTTCTTTCAAAACTTTTAATGAATTGTATACATTCTGGAAGATTTACAGGGTGAATGGGATGGCTCAAAATGTTACTTTAAACATATTCGTCACTTTGGCAATAGCATCAAAAAAATCTGGAAGATATTGCATTCAGAAATAAATCATAAAAAGATGCATCTTAAAAGAGGTTTATTTTGGTCGTTAATGGTTGACGGGCCCCCCCATGCAGGATTTAAAGTTAAATTATGCAAAATCAAAAACAAACCTTATAATACTTAATCAAACATGCATAAAACTGTCAGGCCCAAATAAATTCTCTCAATTAACTTGCTTCAGATTGTGATTGCATTCGCTAATTTAATCAGCCCCAGAGTAATCTAGCGGCTGGGAAATGATGAATTCCTGTGAACATGAGCCCAAGGGGGGCCAGGGCGGGACACCAACGCTGGGGCCGAAGGCCTTCCGAGGTGGGGACGGAGAACCAGCTCTCTTTCCACCTGGGGAGCTGTTTCAGTCACTCCCTGACGTGGAGGTAGGTTCGGTCAACCAGGCACGGGGCTCGACTTCACTGCTACCTGGGAACGGCCTGGGGCAGCCTCCTTCCCACACCTGAATCAGCCAGACCTGGGAAGCACCGTCTGGAAAAAGCTCCACTCCGGTTTTGTTTGGCTCCACCAACCTCGGCCTGGGTCCCTCTGTGTCTTTTCCCGAACAATGAGAACCCAAATGTGCTCAGAATGGCTGTTTCCTTCCACATCACCCTTTCAGAGCCCGCTTGTACCTACTGAAGATTCCCGATTAAATCAGGATTATGTCCTTTTCTGGGGGAAGGGGGCCTGTCTCGGACACCGCGGGCTGGAGGTGGCGCCTGCACTGCGGGCGCGGAACCTCTCGGGTGTCCGCGGCTCTGCCCCAGGCTTACTCGGCCACTGCAGGAGGCCGCCTCGTCCAGCAGGAACCCCAAACCCAGGCAAACTGCACCGACACCCCGAGACCCATGCAGGTGTTTGTGCTTAAAAATGGGACCAAAGTTTTGTGGGTGTTTATTTTTGTAAAATTTAGTGAAACTAATTCAACCAGAGCCAAACCTGCTTATTGTGTCATTCTAGTGGATGAGGAAGAGACAATGGAGAGAGAGAGAGAGACAAAGACAGAGAAAGAGACAGAAAGACAGAGAGAGGGAAGGAGAGACAGACGGAAGGAGAAACAGAGAGACAGAGATGGAGAGAGACAAAGAAAGAGACAGAGAGAGGGAGGAGGAGGAGGAGGAGGCTGGTGCGTGCCTTTTCTGAGCTGACCGTGAGCTGAATCACTTTGGTGCAGTCCAAGGCCTTGACTGTACCTGAGCCCACCTTGGGACCCCACCTCATTCCCCCAAGGCCCCCGTCCCCCCACCTCTTGGTGGAGGACCTCTGTGAAGCCCTCAGCATGCATCCCTGTGGGGCCCTGCGCAGATGGGGCTCCAGCCCAGCCTGGGACGTTTGACGGCCCGTGCTCTCCGTCTGGCTAAATGCTTTATTTTATTGAATTTCAAAATAGGGCTGATGGGACATACATGGGCTTGCATTCTGCTTTTTCCCTGCTTGACCTTATGGAATGAACATTTTTTCAAGTCCGAGTACCCCTCATAAATCTCATGTTCAGTGGCCACGGTGTATTCCAGAGCTCGGATGCACCATCATTCACCTCACCTTTCTTCTCTGATTGGATGTGTGAGTTGGTGCCAATTTTTTATTATAAATAATGCTGTGATGAACATCCCTGCACATAAATCTGTGCACACACACATTTCAAATGCCGCTCTCTGGTTGGACCTGCTGATGGGGCTGACCTTTCTGAGGCTGCTGACGTGCCCTGGCAAGCTCCGTGCTGCCCGCTAGCTGGCAGGGCTGAGGGCTCCCCGCCTGCGTCCCGCCATCGCCACCCTCACCCGCCCTCCCTGGGGTCTTCTGAGAGACGGTGAGGCTGTTTTCTGCCAAGGGAACCAGGCCTGGCGTTGGCCACTTCCAACGCAGGCAGCTGAAAGCACCCCTCGCAGGGAGGAGCTCGGGGGCTGAGGGGCTCAGGAGAGTCTGTCTTGGGAAGGGAAGGCCCGAAGGCCCTGGGGAGCTGCTGAGCTGTGACCTGGCTGGAAGCTGGGAGGGTGATGTCCCTGGAAGGAAGACACTGGCATGCCGCAGCCAGGTGCAGGCAGCCAAAGGACAAACCCGCGTGTGAGTCTTCACGCCCAGAGACTGGAGGTGGAAAGGTGGGTGCCAGGGGCTGGGGCAGGGGTGTGAGTGTTCCATGAGGACAGAGCTTCAGTGGGGAAGATGGAGACTTCTGTGGATGGAGGGAGGTGACAGCCGCAGCGTCAGGTGAATGTGCTCAGGGCCACTGAACTGTGTGCTTAAAAATGGTAAGATGGTGAATTATGCGTATTTTACCACAATAAAAAGAAAGAAAAAAGAAAAAAAAAAAGGATATCAAAAGCGACAGGGAGCCCAGGCAGAGGGTGGGTAAAGTGAGGAGGGCTGGAAGGTGACAGTGAGAGCCGTTTTCATCCAAACTCCCAATTCCAGCATCGCTGGGCAGCTTCTGTTTGAAGAGAATGGAAATAAACGCTCTGCCAGGAGAGCAGGTCTACACAGGACAAGCTCTGGGACAGACGCAGGACAGGGATGCATCCGGAGGGGCATCCCCACACCTGCCTTTGGGGCCTCCCAGACTGCGAGGGCGACGGGGTCCAGACTGGGCACTCACAGTGGACCAAGCAGGGCCACCACTGACGGACCCCTGAGCCGTGGGCGGAATGACAGGCCGTTCCCAGAGCTTCTAAGGCCGTGGAGCTCTCACCGGAAACACCCTCCCATCCCGCTCAGGCATCTGGGGCTCTCGAGACCACTCACCACCAGGCTGGGAACAAGGGGCGTGCCAGACTCTCCTCCTCACTGTCACTCCTGTCGGCCAATCTTGCTGTCATTACCTGTTTTGTTTGTTTGTTTGTTTGTTTTTGTTTTTTTCAGACAGAGTTTCGCTCTTGTTGCCCAGGCTGGAATACAGTGACATGATCTCAGCTCACTACAACCTCTGCCTTCCAGGTTCAAGTGATTCTCCTGCCTCAACCTCCTGAGTAGCTGAGATTACAGGCATGTGCCACCACGCCCAGCTAATTTTTGTATTTTTAGTAGAGATGGCGTTTCACCACATTGGCCAGGCTGGTCTCGAACTCCTGACCTCAGGTGATCCACCCACCTCGGCCTCCCAAAGTGCTGGGATTACAGGCATGAGCCACTGCGCCCGGCCCCGTTACCATTTTTTAAATGTAATTTTTTTAGTAGATATGACATTTCCATGATTAGAGATCAAACCACATCCTGGCTGTGATTAGGAATGTATCTTTTCATTCCCTTTTTATTTTTTTTTTTGTAATTGTGGCAAAAGACACACAACAAAATTTATCATCTTCACCATTTTCAAGTGCACGATTCCGTGTCAGTGAGCACCTTCACAGTCCTGCAGCCACCACCCTCCATCTCCAGAACTCGCTATCTTCCTAAACTGAAGCTCTGTCCCCATGAAACACTCACCCCCGTCCCCTCCCAGCCCCGGGACCCTCCATTCGACTTTCTGTCTCTGTGGCTCTGAGGGCCCTGAGCAGAATCACAGGGTCTGTCCTTATTCATCCTGCCTCTCTTGCATTCAGGCTGGAAGCATGCCATGCCTCTGCGGTCAGGTAACTGAGGCCTGGAGCTCCTTCCACAGCAGAGCACAGACGTCCTCACCCACCTGCACAGCTGCGTGGCTCTCCCTGGGGGGATGGACAGGGAGGCTGTGGCGTCCCTGCTTGGCTGTTCAGGTACCTGCAGTGTCAACGCCTTTCCAACTGTGATCTGTCCCCTCCCCGCATCACACCCCACAGCGCTGGCCCAATCCTTCCAGATGTTTCCACAGGTCCTCCTGCAGTTGCCTCCCACTCAGAGGGAACCTTCTCAAAGGCAAGCCTGACCCACAGGCAGGAGTCCGAGCTCCTTTCTGAGCATCTGGAGACTCTAGCTTGGCCCAGTCATGGCTGAGGCCACCCTGTCCCGAGGACACCAGGCTGTCCGTGGCCAGGGACCACACCCCCGACGCCCCTGAACCTTTGCCCACGTGGCCCCCTGCACCCCCTTCTTGGCAGTCTCGCATACCTTTGCGAACTTTTCCTTTCATGTCCTTCAAAATTCAGCTCAAGGCCTCCTCTTCCAGGAAGCCTTGCTGATTGTGGGCCGGACTCACCCCAGTGCCTGTCCCACAACCGGCCCCAGGGAGGGAGGGGCTGTCTGTTTGCACACCTGTCACCCGCTGCGTCACGTGCTCTCTTCAGGCAGGGCTGACCTGGTTGGAATGAGAGAAACGCTCTCCAGGCATCTCTGACAAAAGGTTCTTGGCAACCGTGCTGTCTTGGTTGTCCTGGGGCAGGTCCTTGCCTCTGATTGCTCTGTCCTCTGTCCTGGCAGCAGTCCTGGACACCAAGGCCAGGCTGGACCTACCTCTAGGAGTGCTCTAGTAGGGAATGGGGCAGGTGGGGGTCTACGAGGAGGCCAAACAGGGATCAGGAGGGCGGAGGGCGGAGGGCGGGCCCGGGAGAGAGCTCTCCCTGCAACCTGGGGTGTGGGCCAGGGGCCTGTGTGAGAGCAAACCTCGGGCAGGGCTAGTGGCCTTCTAGGCAGGGGTTTGGGAAGCGCCACACTTGGGTGCGGGGGGGGGGGGAGGGGAGCATGGGGGTGGTGCCGGGATGTGGCACCGAGACCATGGGTATGAAGTGCTGGGTCTCAGAGGTGAATGCGGGTGGCCCAGACAGGCTGCAGGGTAGACTGAGCCCTCAGGGAGGCAGCAGTTAGTGCTGCCGGCAAAGTTGGTGGTTGCAAGAGCAAGGACGGGGCATGTCGGGGGTGCCCCACACTGCACGAAGCCCCCCGGGCCGCTGGTCCTGCTGGCGCCATTGTCTCCCTCTAGGTGGGAGTCCCACAGCCCTGGGACTGGCTCATGGTGTCCTCTTCTGGGGGCATTTGGGCTGCAGCTTGGACACAGCCTGATCATCTTCCCCCCAGCAGGCCCACCCTGCCACCTGCATACCCAGCATCCGACTCAGCAACTGGGCAGGAAAAGATACTGAAAGAGCGTTTGTCTTCGGCATCTTCCCAGGCACAGAGTGGGGTGGGCAGGCCAGCTATGGCCTCCCATGTTCTGGGGTTTCTGGAAAGATCATTCCATTAGGTCTGCGGGGCAGGACGGACAAGTTCAGACGGGAGATGGTCCCATAAAAGCATGGCCCGTGTGAGCACAGTGAACACTGATTCCAGACACCCTCAACCTCATCACCAGGCACTGACCCCTCAGATCACGGCGCCCCGTGTCCTGGAAGCCATTGCTAGAGCGCAGCTCTCCTCTGTGCAGTGTGCGTGTGGGGAGTGGTGACCGTGTCTCTGATGGGCACAAGCTGAACACAACCCAGGCAGGTGCCCTGTCATCATGGGAGGGGCAGCGGGGGCACACCCTGCCGTCCTAAAACCCAGCCCTCTAAAGTGTCAGTTCTCATCGGTGGCTGGGTCTCCTGCCTCCCTGGGTGACACTGGGGACCAAATAACCCCTTCCCTTCCGTGGCCTCCTACCCATGCCCCCGGGAGGACCCAGGCGCAGGGCTAGGGTCTGTGTTTTGGGGAGCGCACGGCTAAGCCCTCCTGCGCACTCCGGACACTCAGGCCTCAGGTAGGGAGTGGGCAAGTGGCCAGTGCTGCCCCTTCCGGGTGGGCTGTCCCAGTCAGGCCCCTCGTCCCAGCCTTCTCCCTGTTTGAGGGGTGAGGCCGGTTGGATGCCTGCAGGGCCACCTCGGCCTCTATGCGCGACCCCCGGAGACTGAGACGGTAAGAGAGCTCCCCTTCCCACTGCGCCCCCGCGTCCCTGCAGCCAGGGGTGCGCGCCCCGCCGCCCAGTCCTGGGATGGAGCTGGGAAACGCCCGCTGCGGGGTGCCTGGGACCCCCGAAGGCGTCGGGAGTTGGGGGCAAACGGCCGCCGCCGGCCCGCGTCAGGCGCCCGGCCTCGCTGGGGCCGCGGCTCGGCTGGGTCCCCCCACTCCGGGTCCGGCTGAATCTCCATCCTCCCTGTGCGGCTCCTGCACCCCGGCGAACCTGGCTCTCTCTGTGCCTCAGTTTACTCCTGAGGTCCGCTGAGCAGGAAGTGCAGCCCTGGCTCCGGGACCTCAGCCCGAGGCCGGCGCTGCTGCGGAGCACAGGCCTCCTGAGGCCGCCCCACGCGCAGGGGCGCTGCAGAGCGCGGAGCCCGGGAGCTCGCACCGCCTGTTCGTGGGGTCCCTGGGGTGCAGGGGTGGAGGACATAGGAGTGTGGGGGTCGTGGGCAGACCCAGGCGGGACGCTGTGCCAGTGCCGCCCCGAAGGCCCAGTGCGCAGGGTCCCCCGCGCCCCAGAGCCTGCCCCGCCCCTACGCCGGTACCCCCTCCAACCCCGGCCTGCCCCCCCAGCCTACTCCCCCCACCCCCGCTCCTGCCCCCACCCCTGCCCCTAAGCTTGCCCCGCCCCCGAGCCCGCCCCCAACTCCCGCCCAGCTCCTGCAGCCGCCCCGCCCCGCAACCCCGAGCCTGCCCCGCCCCGCCCCGCAACCCCGAGCCTGTCCCGTCCCCGCACCGCATACTCCACCAACCCCGGCCTGCCCCGCCCCGCCCCGCAGCCGCGCAGTCCCCGCGCTGGCTCCGAGCTGGTCTGGGGAGCTGCAGCGCTCGCCAGCGCCAGGGGGCGGCCTTGTCCTTCCCGCGGCTCCCGGACCCCCGCGTGCTGGGTCGGGGAGACCGCCCGGCAGCACCGCCCCCAGCCCCGCGCCCGGACTCCTGTGCCCCTTCCCTTCCTCCTGAGACGGGAAGAGCGGCCCCGCGGCCTGGGCGCGGGCTTTTCTTGCAGGAGCACAGGCGGGGGGTGGGGGACCCAGGCCAGGGCGCGTGCGTGCTCGGCGCCCACTCCAGACGGTCACCCAGCAATCACCAGCGGTGGGGCGGGGAGAGACAGAGATAGAGAGAGATAGAGAGGGAGAGAGAGAGAGGGAGAGAGGGAGAGAGAGAGGGAAAGAGAGAGAGAGATGGGGGAAGAGAGGCAGAGACAGAAAGGGAGACAAGAGCGTACGAGGCATGGGTTGGTGCGAAGCCCGGGTGTGCACCGGGGCTCAGGTGAGCCAGGCTGGCACCGGACGCCTCCCGTGGAGACAGCGCGGGGTCCCGGTTCCACCAGGATGTTCCACAGTCTCCTTCGGGGCTGGCAGCGAGGCCGAGGGGAGGAAGTGATTTGTCTCCGCGCTGACAGGCTGCGGGGCACAGACCGAGCCCTCGGGGAGGCAGCCGTTAGTGCTGCTTGTAAGATCAGTCAGTGGTCGCAAGAGAAAGGGCTTGACCTTTCAAGGGTGCCCCACACTGCACAAAGACCCCCTGGCCGCTGGTCCCGGCTGGTGCCATTGTCTCCCTCTAGGTGGTCTGGGCTGCTGAGGGTAGGTGTAGACAGGAGTCCCACAGCCCCGGGACTGGCTCACCCCGTCCTCTTCCCGGGAGCGTTAGGGCTGCAGCTTGGACACGGCCTGGTCATCTCCCCAACCTTCCCCCCGGCAGGCAGTTCCTCCACTACCCACCCGTGTCCCCAGCCTTCCCACTCAGCAACTCGAGCATAAGACAGACACCTGTTGGGTAAATGGCTCTTCCAGACAGAGACAGCTTCAGACAGGAGGCAGGTTGGCAGGCCAGCAATGGCTGACGATGCTCCGGGGTTTCTGGAAATAGTTCTGTGAGCTCTAGGAGACAGGGAGGGACAGTTCAGAAAGGAGTTGGTCCCGTAAAAGCATTTGCGTGATAATGGGCCAGGCGTGGCTCACATCCATAATGCCAGCCCTTTGGGAAGCCAAGGCATGAGGATTACTTGAGGGCAGGAGTTTGAGACCAGCCTGGGCAACATGGTGAGACCCCTGTCTCTACAAAAAGATTTTCTTTAAAAAAATTAGCCAGGCATGGTGGTGTGCACTTGTAGTCCTAGCTTCTTGGGAGGCTGAGGCAGGAGGCTCACTGAAGCCCAGGAGGTGGAGGCTGCAGCAAGCCATGATCAGGCCACTGCACCATGGCACTCCGGAGTGACAGAGTGAGACTTTGTCTCAAAAAAAGAAAAAAGAAGAGAAAAACTAAATATAGACTTTTTTTTTTTTGAGTTGGAGTCTGGCTCTGTCACCCAGGCTGGAGTGCAATGGCGTGATCTCAGCTCACTGCAACCTCTTCCTCCCAGGTTCAAGCCATTCTCCTGCCTCAGCCTCCCAAGTAGCTGGGACTACAGGCGTGAGCCACCACGCCTGGCTAGTTTTTGTATTTTTAGTAGAGACGGGTTTTCACCATGTTGGCCAGGCTGGTCTCGAACTCCTGACCTCAAGTGATCCACCCACTTTGGCCTCCCAAAGTTCTGGGATTACAGGCGTGAGCCACCGCGCCCAGCCTAGACTTTATTGTTTAGAGCAGTTTTAGGTTCACAGCAAAATCATCATTCCTCAGAGTCCACAGCGTACATTAGGGGTCCCTCTTGGAGGTGTGCATGGCGTGGCTTTGGACAGGTGCATAAAGACAGCACCCACCCTCACAGCGCTCTGTACAATAGTTTCCCTGCCCTAAGGGTCCCCGGTGCTTGCCTCATGCCTCCCTCACCCCTGCCCCGGGGTTTCACTGATTCTATTGGATTCTTTCTTGGGATTCTGGCCAGGCAGGGGCAGGGGTTCACATTGCTCAGACAGGAGACAGGCTCCTGGGGCAGGGGCACTCACCCTCAGGACGGGCTGAGGCCTGAATCGAGGCCAGGGCCACCCACCTGGAAGCGTGGCTTAGCCCCATCCTGTGGGCAGCTGGTCGGGCAGCTGCCGTGGCCCTTGCTGGCTACTGTCACATGCTGCCCTGGCCCTTGCTGGCTACTGTCACATGCTGCCATGGCCCCTGCACGCCCCTTGGCACAATCGTGGCCGTGGGGAGCTGTTCTGTTGTGGAACGTGAAGGTCATGGAGACCCACAGTGGCACAGGCAGCATGTGACCAGCTCTCAGTCAAGTGCTAAGGGAATGTCCAGCAGGGCTCTCACCCCGTGCGGAGGGACAGCCCTGAGGTGGCCCCAGCATTTCCTGCCGTTGGCCGGGGAGGCAGGGTCAGCTGCTTGAGTGTCTGGAGGCTGCTCCCCTGCCCAGCCCGCCTGCTGTGTGCCCACAAGCTTGGTGGCCAGGAGACATTTGTCAAAGGAATGCCTGATTGCATGAATGAACAGATGCCTTCTCCCATGAATTGCCTTGGTGCCTACAAAGGCAGGACCAGAGGCTCCCGCCTGGCTGTCAGAACTACAGGGCGATAGGGTGGCCTGCTGTGCCCACCCCCACAACCTCCCAGTGGCCATTTATCTGCAGAGCTGGTCCCCACAGGGATCAGAGCTTGGCAGGGGCTCCGATTTGCCCAGTCTTGAGGACTTGGCCATCACATACCAGGCTCCAGGTAAGGGCAGCCAGTCTATTGTCCCTGGAGTGACGCTTGTGGTGGAAGCCACAAGTGTCCCTCACTCCAGATGCCCGGGATGCGCCGGACACAGGCCGCAGGGGGCACGGGCGTCGAATTAACATTGCAGGAGGGTCCCGCGACTGTTGATATCAGCACTTCGGGGTTATTTATGAATTCATCTATTTCCTGGGACAAGCCATTCTGCATTTGGTTACCATGGTAGCTTTAAACCCGGTATCTTATTAATTCTGCATGTTATGAAATAAATATAGATCAGACAATTGCAGTGATGGTTCTATCTTTTTATTATGCATTTGGTTCTTGGTGCCGGGGATGGGATGCTCCCAACACACCACCGTCAACACACATCCATCAGCCTCGGGGGCCTGGGCGGGCTGCAGGGGCGCACTCCTGCGCCTGAGAATGGAGTGGGGCTGAGGAGGGGACACGAGGCTGTCTCAGGGAAAGGGTGAAGCTTGAAGACCCCCCAGGGCACCGGCAGCTCCTGAAGGAATTCCTACAGCCCGGCAGGGATGGACGCACCGGGGAAGGAGGCCGGTGTCCTGGGGTGCTTCGGCTGGAATTGCAGGGCCAGTGGGTTGGAATGGCTCCCACCTGCGGACTGGGACCTCGTGGCGCTGCCGAGTGGAGGTGCCTGGGGCAGGGGCCACTCAGCCGCCCCTGGCACTGCCTGAGCAGAAGAGGAGACTCCATCGGAACCAGCACTCAGCAGCATGAGCAGAAGAGGAGACTCCATGGGAAGCAGCAGGCATCGCGGTCCCTGATGTTCTTGAGGTTTCAGGCTGGCAGGAGGAGTCCAGTTAGAGAGGGCCCAGAGGTGGAGAGGGGGCCTGCCGGGATCTCTTTTGGGCACCTTGGCTTTCGCTTAGTTTCGTGGGCCATTGTGGGGACTCAATGAGCACTTTACGTGCCCCGGATAAAGCTGAATCCCCCAGCGGGCTGGGAAGCGGGGCTGTTTCCACCTCCACTTTGCAGAGCCCAGAGACACGAAGTCACAAACTCACCGGCTCATGGCGAGCAGGACTTGAACCCAGGGCTGTTTACTGCGGGGCCTGGCCCTCCCTAGGCTCTGAAGCAGAGTCCCCTGTGCATTCCTGATCTCTTCGCCCCCAGAAAAGCATCCCCACGTCTATCTGTGCTTGCCCACTGCAGACCAGGCAGGGGCCGTGTGGCCAGGTGTCACCTCTGTAGCAGTCAGCACCCAGGGCTGGCAGCAGGCAGTCTGAGGACCAGTGAGGGCAGGGCGCTGTGTCTGGCAGAGTGGCTGCTTGGGAGAGACATTTTCTCCCGGAGTCTCCCCTGCCCAGGGTCATGGTTCTGGCACAGATGGCTCTAGGGAAACAATGACAGCCTTTGGCTGGGTCAGGCCTTTGCTTCCTCTGACCACTAATGGCCCTGGGCTGAAGGCCAAGAATGCACCAGGAACCGGGACGGGCAGGGCCAGGTGAGCAGGGAAGAGGGAAGGGTCCCAGTAAGGGAACTGGGTGCAGGGTGCCCAGCTGGGGCTTTGCAAGCAGCCATCAGGCAGAGACCTGGGGCAGAGGAGACTCCTGGAAACATGCACCCTGCAAGCAGAGGAGGTGGCGTGGGCCTGGCTGCGGCGCTCGCAGGTACCCCCTCAGCGTGTCATTGGCTCAGGGGCCCCACCCCCTTCTGTCAAAGGACTGGGAGGTCACCAGGGTCTGTCCAGCTGCAAGTCCCCGATTCTCTGCAGAGTCTTGTTCTTTGGGGCAGGCTGGGACCCCGGCTGCCTGTCACCCTGCCACGGCTCCACAGCGGCCCATCGATCCCCCCATCCCCTGCCAGCGGCCACGCCAGCGTGGGCCACTCAGACGTTCCCAGCCCCCAGGGCCCGATCAGGGCATCGACAGAACGGCACGCTCGCCATTTAATTAAGCTTAGTTTAATTAAAAACCTGGAGTTCTTTATTAGACTTGGTAATTGATTTAATTTTCTGTGGAATTCAAGTGCCAAACACCTCTTTTGTGTGAGCTTGTGAATTTTGGCAGGTGGAGTCGGACAGCCAAAAAGGAAAATCCCTCCTCCGCTGGGTGAGGTTTGTCTCACAGCAGCACGGGCAGAATCCTCTGCTGACCCACCCTCCTCTCCCCTCGCTTCCCCTCCTCTCCCCTCCCTCCCCCTCCCTCCCCCTCCCTTCCCCTTCCCTCCTCTCCCCTCCCCAAAACCTCCCTTCCCTAGGCCAAGGGTTTTTCGCCATGGGGAAAGGCCGCCCTTGCTACTGGGTGGGGTTTCTGGAAATCCCACAGTGGCTCGGGTCTCTGCTGGTCCCCGGGCTGGCGGTGGAGAGGGGTTTCCTTAGGTGATCCCAGGGGGCCTCTGGATGGGGAGGAGGATGTGGGGTGCAGGGAATCCATTTTGTGGGTTATTTTTGGAAAGTTTGGTCCTTCCTGGACAGTTTCAGCCCTGCCTTGCTCCTGAGGGAGCTGTAGTCCTGATGGCAGGTGGTCTCACCCAGTGGTGCCTCACATGTCCCCAGCCAGGTCCCTAGAGTACAGAGCACCACGCGGTGGCTGCACTGGAGCTTGATGGCTCCCGGGAAGGAGCGGGACACAAGAAAGGCAGTGGGGTGTTTGCACACAGGAAACCCTTCACTCACCTGTCTCCCAGGAACGCCAGCGCCCTCTGCAGGACATGTGAGCCTCCAAGTCACCTCGAGATTAAAGCCCCCCAAGCATCTGGAACAGCAGCTCCGGCGACAGCCCTTCATTACTGAAAGCCTCAGAAGGACACAAGCCCTCCTGTCCAGTATGCAGTGGTGACCTTTGACTCTTGGCTGCTCCCAGGGCGGGAGAATACCTTCTGTAGAAGGAAATTTCTCTTTCCTAATTGGAATAGATCATAAAAGCAGGGATTTTTTTAATTATTTATTATTTATTTTTTTTTTGAGATGGAGTTTCGCTCTTGTTGCCCAGGCTGGAGTGCAATGGCACGATCTTGGCTCACTGCAACCTCCACCTCCCAGGTCCAAGCAATTCTCCTGCCTCAGCCCCCTGAGTAGCTGGGATTACAGGCACCCGCCATCATGCCTGGCTAATTTTTGCATTTTTGTAGACACGGGGTTTCTCCATGTTGGTCAGGCTGGTCTCGAACTCCTGACCTCAGGTGATCCGCCCACCTTGGCCTCCCAAAGTGCTGGGATTACAGGCGTGAGCCACTGCACCCAGCCACAAACAGCTTTTAAAAATAGAGGCTGGTGGCGGGGCACAGGGGCTCCTGCTTGTGATCCCAGCACTTTGGGAAGACGAGGGGGGACTGATTGAAGCCTGGAGTTGGAGACCAGCCTGGGCAACATAGCGAGACTCCATCTCTACAAAAAATAATGTAAAAAAAATTAGCCAGTTGTGGTGGTGCGTGCCTGTAGTCCTAGCTACTCAGGAGGCTGAGGTGGGAGAATCATTTGAACCCAGTAGTTCAAGCCTGTGGTGAGCTGTGATCACACCACTGTACTCTAGCCTGGATGACAGAGTGAGACTCTATCTCTTACCAAAAAAAAAAAAAAAAAAAAATCAATCAATCAATCAATAGAATAGAGGTAAGGGCTGAGTGCGGTGGCTCACACCTGTAATCCCAGCACTTTGGGAGGCTGAGGCGGGTGGATCACCTGAGGTCAGGAGTTCAAGACCAGCCTGGCCAACATGGTGAAAGCCCGTCTCTACTAAAAATACAAAAATGAGCTGGGCATAGTGGTGCATGCCTGTAGTTCCAGCTACTCAGAAGGCTGAGTCAGGAGAATTGCTTGAACCTGGGAGGCAGAGGTTGCAGTGAGCTGAGATCGAGCCACTGCACTCCAGCCTGGGTGACAGAGCAAGACTTGACTAAAAATTAAAATAGAATAGAATAGAATAGAATAGAATAGAATAGAATAGAATAGAATAGAATGGAATAATGGTTGAGCTTTGCGAAAACACTCTGGTGGTTCTTCAGACTCTGAAGCACAGTTACCATGTGACCAAGCAATCCAATTCCTGGGTTCAAACCCAAAAAAATGAAAGCAGGCACCTGCAAGAACTTGCACAGGAATGTCCACAGCAGCGTTACTCACAAAAGCCAAAATGTGGAAACAGCCCCAAGGCCCATGGATGGGTGAGTGGATAAACAATAGATCTATTGAGGGAACTGTGATGTGGGCCTAAAAAAAAAAGGAATGAGTGGCGTGATCTCGGCTCACTGCAGCCTCGAACTCCTGGGCTTATGTGTCCCTCCCACCTCAGCCTCAAGTAGCTGAGACTACAGGTGCACACCACCATGCCCAGCTTATTTATTATTTATTTATTTTTTGAGACAGAGTCTCACTCTGTCACCCAGACGGGAATGCAGTGGCACGAACTCAGCTGACTGTACCCTCCGCCTCCCAGCTTCAAGTGATTCTCGTGCCTCAGCCTCCCGAGTAGCTGGGATTACAGGTGTGCACCACCAGGCCCGGCTAATTTTTGTATTTTTTAGTAGAGGCGGGGTTTAACCATGTTGGCCAGGCTGGTCTCGAACTCCTGGCCTCAAGTCATCCACCTGCCCCGACCTCCCAAAGTGCTGGAATTACAGGGTGAGCCATTGTGGCCAGCCTAATTTATTTATTTTTGTAGAGACCGGGTCTCACTGTGTTGCCCAGGCTAGTCTCAAACTCCTGGGCTCAAGCGATCCTCTGGCCTCGGCCTCCCAAAGCGTTGGCATTACAGGCATGAGCCACTGCACCCAGCCAAATGTTCGAACAGATATCTGGGAACCCAGCAGCCAAGTCAAGTTGACACATGAAATTAACCATCACTCCATCCTCACGATTCTGAACCGCACGCCTCAGTGGCATTAAGTGCATTCACGTTGCTGTGCAAACAACATCTTCCTCCATCGACACAGCTTTCCCTCTTTCCAAACTGAAGCTCTGTTCCCACCCCCTCCCCCCGCCCCTGGCGTACACGCCTCTGCTGTCTGTCTCCAGGGCCTCTCGGAGGAGGAATCAGGCAGGCCTTGCCTTTTCATGGCTGGCTGCTTTCCCTGAGCACAACATCCTCCAGGCACGTCCCCATCGTAGCTCGTGCCAGAATTTCCTGGGGTTTCTTTCTGAAGTGAAGAAAATGTTCCAAAATTGACTGTGTTGATAGTTGCACACATCCGTGAGTATACAGAAAGCCATTGAATCATACGCTCTAACTGGATAAATTGGATGCGATGTGAGTTCTATCTCAATAAAGCTATTATTTAAAATATAGAGGTCAGCTGGGTGCAGTGGCTCACACCTGTAATCCCAGCACTTTGGGAGGCCGAGGTGGGCTGATCACCTGAGGTCAGGAGTTTGAGACCAGTCTAGCCAACATGGCGAAACCCTGTCTTTACTAAAAATACAAAAACTAACTGGGCGTGTTGGTGCATGCTTGTAGTCCCAGCTACTCGGGAGGCTGAGGCAGGAGAATTGATTGAACCTGGGTGGCGGAGGTTGCAGTGAGCCGAGATTGCGCACTCTAGCCTGGGCAACAGAGGGGGACTCCGTCTCAAAAAGCAATAAAAATGAATAAAAATTCAAAATAAATAAATAAAATATAGAGGCTAAGTGCAGGCCGCCTGCCCCGTCATTCCCTATCTTGTGAGGGGCTGAGCGCTAGAGACCAGAAGCTGTGGATTTTCCAGCCAGGCCCTATTGGCTGAGGCACACGTGTGGCTCCCCCAAGACAAGAAGCTTCTGGAAACTCATGGCGCCCAGCACCGAGCCAGCGAGCCAGCTTCCTTCCCTGCTAAGCCCATCCCACCCCGGCAGAGCTCCCTTGTCTCTGCCCACCCCAACCCGGAGGCTGCTCACCCTCAGCTCCTGCCCAGCTCTGGCCTCCTGGCAGCATAGCGAGCTTTCTAGAGCATTCTGGAGCTTTCCAAGGCAGCAACTGCAGTCCCAGCCATTCTCCAAAGCTTAATTCTGCTCTCACCTAGTCCCAGCTGTGACCAGTGCCCGCCTCAAGAAGCCTACAGCCCAGGGCCCGCCCTCCCTGCAGACCGGACAGCAACGCCACCTCTGGGAGACTCGTGGGGACGGGGCCCAGGGCAGGCTCACAGTGGGAGGCTGGCAGCACCTACCCGGGGCAGGGCCTCCTCCTGCCACTACCACGTCAGGCATCACTGAGAAGGAGGCAAGGCCTAGAGCAGTCGGCACCCTCTGCAGAGCTGGCACATCCAGGGAGCTTAGGGTCCCTGCATGCTTCTGGGGTTCAAAGGGCAGAGGGTGTGAGGGGCAGCAGGGAGGCTTGAGACCCTCTGGACTTCGAGATCACCATTTCTGCCCCAAAGCCGATGCCTCCACCAGCACTGGCCCCTGCAGTCCTCGCAGCTCCCCTCGAGCTCAGGAGAAGCCCGCAGGACCCCACTCTCCCTCCCAGGGCTCCCTCTCCACCTCCTGGGGCTCCCTCCCTCCCCAACCTCCCCACACTCCCCAGGCTCCCACACTTGCCAGGCCCTTCCCCCAGCCTAACCCTGGCTCACCATTTACTCAGCCTATTTAGCATCGTAATGCAGACTGGTTGTGCTGGGTCCTACAGGTATTGATTTTGCTCTATTTTACTGGTTTTAACTTAATGACTAGAAACCCCAAACAAATAAAATTTCCTTTAAAAACTCAGAGAGATCAATGCTCATGGGCCAGAATCCCTATTCTACGAGCCGAAGGGACAGTCCCCTGGGTTCTCCGCATCATCGCTCATGGCCAGAGGCTCCCCGGGGGCTCGGGAAGGATCCCTGGGTGGGGGTGGGGGCAAGCATACCCCACCTGCTCAGGGCGGCCGCGTCCCTCCTAAAGCGAGACCCCCACCCTCTGGCTGGTGAGGCTGTTTAAAAGCCTGTCTCCAGGTTGTAAAACTGGAAAAATTTAAAACTTATGATTCATCTGTTTCCATGTGTCCCAGGCGGCCTCTGAGGTTGGCCGGGCTCTGAGGCAAGGAGGGGTCCCGACCCTGGGCATGGATGCAGATGTGGAGGACCTCTCGGAGCACGCAGGTGCTGAGGCCCCCAGCCCAAGCCGCCAGGACGGTCCCCATTCCTGGCTGGTGGGCTGGGCCACAGGTCAGTCCGTGCCCCATGGCCTGGGGGACACTCCTCCCGTGCCCTCCTGCGGGCTGCCCAGGGCGGCTGCCTTTGCGATCCCCAAGGTCTCCCAGAGGTCCTGGGGTGGCAGGGGCCCCAGTTTATCCAGTGGAAGGGGAAACTGAGGCAAGGTCCTGGACAGGGAGTCCTGGCTCTGCCTCTTCCCGTGAGACCTGGAACAAGTCTCCCGCCCTCCTAGGGTTCCAGGCTTGTGGTTGTGAAACCAGGGGGCGCTCAAGGGACACTCAAGGCTCTCAGTTCTCCCCATCCAAGTCCTCCAAGTCAACAGGACCCCCAGGAGTGGGGGAGAGGAGGAGCAGAGCTGGCCGGGGGCCGGGGTGGGGAGTGGAGGCCTCGCCCTCCCTTGACCTCCCGGATCTGCCCCTGTGCTTCCGGGAGGGTGAGGAACCAGCAAGAACCCCCACCCCCTGCACCGAGGTCCCCAGGCCAGGCCTGCAGCCTCCCTGGAGGGAGCCCTTTATTGCCCCTCCCCAGAGGCCCAACCCAAGCTCCTCACCCTGATGGCATTCATCCAAGAAGCCAGGATGAGGGTTCCCATCCCCACTGCTCACACTTGGGAAGGTTTTAAAACCAGCTGGGACCAGTTACAGGGACAGCAGGACTTCTGTGCCCACTGGGGCCAGCCCAGCTACCTCCAGGGGGTCTGGGTTGACCTTGGCCTGGGAAGCCTGTGCATGCCGGGGAGGGGGCACTGGGCTTTTCGCCTGCTCCCTCAGCCCAGTCTCTGGATTGCACTGGCCCCCAGCAGCTGGAATCCCTGCTCCCCGGAGGCCCACCCATTTCTGCAGCCCAGCCCCCCACCTCACCCCTCTCCCTGCTAGCATTTAGGCAGCTCCAGGGACACCCTGGTCACCCCATCCTGACTTGGGCAGGATCATAGAGCATATGATTTAATCTTCTTGTGCCTCAGTTTCCCCCTAGGTGCACTGGGTCCATGCCTCTGGGCTGGCAGAATTTGACTGCTGGGACACTTAGGCCCCTGGAGGAGTCAGGAACAGCCCCCTGGCCGGCTCTGCAGTGCACACGTGGTCAGGCCCTGAGGTGGTATCTCCTGCAGGTCTGGAGAGAGGCTGGCAGGTGGGTGGAGAGGCTGTTGAGAAGGGCACTGCCAGGGTCCAGGGCAGAGTCTCCACGTCCTACCCACCCACATGGGCTCCCTGGCTGTGCGCTCTGCAGAGGGTGACACGTCCAAGGAATGGGGAACGCAAGACTTCCCTCTGCTGGGTCACGGCTCCATCTCCAAGTCTGGGCCAGCAGCCGGAGGGCTGGATGCTATTTGCAAATTAGTGTTTCACCATTAGACTTTCGGCTGTGGGAGGTGGTGACAAAGACCTTGGCCCCCCACACTTAGCTCTTGGGAACGGCTCTGCCTGGGTTCCCCCGAAGCACAAGCACATGTCACCCGCCACCCACTCCGGGCCCTGTGGGTCCAGCTCTGCAGCCCAGCCCACCACTTACAAACACAGTAGGTCAGGCAAGAGGCTTCTGCTCCCAGGTCTTGATTTTCTCATCCACACAACGGGCCTGAGCTCTACTGTGGAGGCCAGGACAATGGCAAGGACTGGAGGAGGTAAAATCCCGGGACCTCCAGTCCAGTGCCGCCCCACGTCCTGGGGATGCTGTGTGGATCGAGCATTACAAAAGCATTTTGTAAGAAGGTGTTTGGGGGACTCCAGCCCCACTGGACAGATGGGAATACTGAGGCCCCAGAAGGCACCTGTGGGAAAGATGCAGGCTCCAGTCCTGGTTGCGACACAGACGCGTGCCTCTCGGATCCTCTCTGCCCGCCATTTCCCCAGGGGTCAGCGTTCTCAGGAATGCTCAGGGCCTGGCGGCCCACCTGCTCAGAAGGCCCAGGCAGCTCTGCCAAGGCCAAGGGCAGCAGAGACCCTCCAGCAGGCCAATGTGCCCAAGAGTCCTCGTCCTCCAAAGCCCAGTAGCTTAAGCACGATTGAGGGATTCTGCAGCTGTGTTTCTGTAAGGAGGAAATCATTGACTCTGGTTGGGGGCAGGGCATTTGGGGGGCATACCTGGAAGGGGCACCATCACAGGAGCTGGGAGGCTGGCACCTGGACGGGTCCCATGGGACCCACTGAAGAGTGACCTACATGTGTGAGTGGCCCATGGCTGGGACTTGGAGAGGGGCAGGGAAAGCAGGGGTGCCGTTCCAGGCTCCCAGACAGCGTCTGCTCCGGGCAGAAATTGTTTATGCGTCACCCACCCAAGGCTCCCGGGGCTGGAGGGGCAAACCCACCCACTCCTCTCTCCCCTCCTCCCCTTCCTCGTCCTCCACGCAGTGGGGGCTGCCTGGCTTTGGGATCCTCTTCCATTTCCTCTCTGCAGACATCACTCCTGGACCCAGTCCCCAATCCCTGGAAGGTTCCGGAGCCTGAGATGCTCTCCCCCCAACTCAGCCCATAGGTGAGACCTTGGCCTCCCTCACCTGCTAGGAAGCCCCTTGCTCGGGCTGCCTGCCCTTGGGGCCTCCAGGCAGAGCTGGACTGAATCTACTTGAGGGAGTAGCACCATCCAGATGGGCCCCCAGTGGGCCGGGGAAGGGCAGGAGACCTGCACCTTGCCAGCTGCCCTGGCTTCCCGGCACCCTGGGGGCTGGTGGAGCCCTGTTATCACTATGTCGGGGAGCAGAGCCCTGGGGTCAGGATGTGGGTGGCAGGAGGGCTTGGGGAACTTGGCTGTGGACATCTGGCCACCTGATTTGGAGCTGGGCAGCACTGGGCAAGTTCTTCCCTACCCCTGGCCTCAGTGTTCTCAGCTGTAAAATGGAATAAGGACAGGTTGTGAGGCTTAAACAGTATAAAGTGAGGGAAAAGGCTTAGCTCATTCAGTCCTGAGAGTAGCCACCCCGAGGAGGCCTGAGGGAGCGCCTCATAGACGATGCCTGTCTCCACACTCAGGTGGTTCTAAGAAAGAAAAGTCATCGGAGGACCCGTCCGGCTGCCACTCCAGCCCCAGCAGCCACCCCTGGTCACCAGGCCCGCACCTCCGACCCCCTCCTCACTCAGGCCTTAGAAGGAAAGAGCTGCTGCTTCTACAACGAGGATGCAAGACCTGGGCGGGACCCCCGGCATTCCGGCTTCGCCGTCCTTCTTTCCACCTCCAAGGGCAGAGCCACAAAAGGAACTTTCTGAGCAGAGCCCAAAGAGGTCCCTGAGGTCCCTGGAGCCTCCAATGGGCCCCCAGAGTCAGGGCAGAGGTGGCAGGTAAGGAAGTGTGGACATGTGTGTGGTGTGTGCACAGTGTGAATGTGCTTGTGTGTGTGCATCTGTGCATGTGTGTGTGTGTGATGTGCAAACGTGCACAAGTGCATGGGTGAGTGGTATGTGCGCACACGTGCACGTGCACACGCATGTAAGCATGTATATGCACGACCTGCTGTGTGCAAACCCGTGTGTGCTGTGTGGTGAGTGCACATGCCTGTGCAAGCAAATGTGCACGCATGTGGTACAGTGTTTAAGCATGCACATGTGATATGTGGGTGCACAAATGCATACGTACATGTGTGATATGTGCAATGTGTGTGTGCATGGCCGTGTGTATGAGTCCACGCACGCCATGGGAGAAAGGAGCCCAGGCTGGCTCCAGGACCCGCAGAGCCCCCCTTGCTGATGAAGTTCCCAGGCCCAGGCCACCCCCGTGTGGAGGAGGCACCGGCCACGGAGTCGTGAGTGGGCAGAGCTCCTCTCCCAGAGCCTGGCCAGGGCGGGCCCCACTTCCACCCAGCTGGTGCGTGCCCCTGCCTCTCAAAGCTGGTTTAATCTGATTGCTGCTGACCGGGTGAGAAGCTCCCTACCTGCCAGATGTTCTCCAGGATTCAATTGTTAATATCTTTCATCAATTATTGAAGGGGAGGGCTCCCTCTTTTCTTAAAAAAAGCAGCAGCACCGGCGCACAGGAGTGGCTCAGGTTACCCGGTCTGCAGGTGCCAACTTGGCTGCGAGGAGGGCAGGGAGGAGCTGAGCCCCAGGCCTCTCAGTGAGCTGGGTCAGCACCCCTGGAACAGCTGCCCGGGAAGGAGGGTCCCTTAGCTGGATGGAAGCTCCTCTACTGCAGCCCCTCCCTGCCTGGACCTACAGGGACTCTGATCTCTTGATCCTCACAACAGCCCCCCAGGGTGCCTGGCGGAGGGGATGGCACAGGGGGCTGTGCCTGCTCACAGGCTGCGCTCCCTGGGGCCGCATGTCTTGGGGCAACACAGTTAAGGGCTTGTGGTCTTCCAGGCTGGCTCCTCTGTGCCTGGCATCCAGCCCCTAACTGTCCACTGGGACTGGCTGGTAGCTGGGCCGTGAGAGCTGACCTCCACCCCATTCCCTCCATGGGGAGCGAGCGTTGAGCTGCCACGCACCCATGGCGGGGCCAGGAGGGAAAGCCCAGGGGCCTTGGGACACAGACACGGCAGCTGCAGCGGTGTGTCCACTCAGAGATGCTGTGTGGCCCACGTGGGTCCCCGGTGGTGCATACCAAGGTCCAAGGTCTCATTTTAGAGTTGAACATGAGGGTGGAATTGCCTCTCTGGCTTCGTAGAGCCGAAGGTGCAGCATGGAGGGGGAAGCAGGATCCTCAGGGCCAGAGCCGGGGCTGGGGTTCGTGCCCAGGGCTCCAAAATGCCAGCCCCGAGCTGCCCCACCCTGCTGGGCCTCCAGGGGCCACTCGACAGTCATCCTCATGCTCCCTCCAACCATGGAGGGCAGGTCCTGCCCCGGGTCCATTTCACAGATGAGGAAACTGAGGCCTGAGGAGGCAGCAACCCGATCAAGGCCACACAGCAGGTGGAGGGATGGAGCTGGGACCAAAGCCCCCATGGCCCAGCCCCGAGCCACGAAGCACGTGGCTGCCTCTGGGGCACCAGCAGCCAACTTGACCCCCATGCCCGAGCACAGAGACCACCCACACTGCCCCCTGCCTGGCCTGTCACCGCAACACAGACGGGGCAAAAGGACACGTGTCCTGTTCAGCAAGTGTCTGGTGTCGTGACATCCGATCGGGCCATTCAGCCAAAACTCATTCTCTGGGGCCTCTCTTCGGCCCCTGAATTATGCAGGAGGCCAGGCCACACGGTGGCAGATGGCGGCGCACACAGTAACTGGAGCCCGGGCAGGCGGGGCACCCTTCCCCTCCCCCGCTGCTCTCCCCGGGGATGAAGACACACACACGGGGCGGGGGGGCCCCCAGTCCCAGGGATTCCACTGCAAGGGACAAAGGGCCCGCATAATACAGGTTCCAGCAACGTCCCCCTTAAATGCGTTTGTTCCTCTTTGAATTTGAATTCCAGACGGAGGGTGCAGCCTCGTTTGTCGTGTTCTGGGCGGGGTCCCTGGGCATGCGGAGCTCAGATGGACGGGAAGGCGGTGCCAAGAGGGCAGGGGCCTGGCCCAGCCAGGGAAGGGGTGGGGGAAAGAGGGCAGGCACCGGGGCCTGTCTACTGGGACAGGAGAGCCAGCACTTGCTGGGCAGCAGGGGCTGGGCTGTAATGAGGGGACCTGGGGCCCAGATGAGCAGAGACCAGGGGCCTGTATGGGCCAAGGGGGCTCCACCCCGGCATTCCGTAGAGTTGGTGCTGTCTGCCCCAGGCTTCCCTGAGCAGCTGGTGAGCTGGCAACATCTACTTTCGCTGGAGCACCAAAGTCACGAAAGCCGCTCTGCCGGGCCCAAAGGTTCAGGCACCCCCCAGGGCAGCTGAGGCCAGGCTGGCGTTGGACGGCGGGGTGGGAAAGGTGGGTGTTCAGGAAGACAACACAGCCTCGCTGCACCTCCAGGAGGGCAGCGGTGGGCAACCTGGTCTAGGACAGAGCCCACCGTTAGGGTGGGGGGCAGAGATGCGGGGGCACTTCTGGGTCCCCGTCTTTGCTTGAGAGGTGGGCTTTCTGGTCCTCACTCTGTGAAAATGGCAGCCCCGAGGCCTGTGCACTTCCCAGGCTGCAGGACACAACCTCGGGCCTTGAGCCGTCCCCACAGGCAGCCCCAGGCTGAGCTGGTTCCACCCCTCAGCCTCTCCCAGGCCCCCAGCCCCCGGCCCTCCTCCCACACCTGAAGAACTGGATGGAAGAGCTGGTCATTCCGACCCAGAGCCCACCCCTCAGTGCGTTGGGTTCCCTGGGGGAGCAGGCCCAGTGTGCGTCCATCCAAACAATGATTTATTTCAGAATTGAGTGTATTACACCGAGAACTTGCCAGTTCTGTCCTGCCAACGTGCACAGGAGATCTGGCTAATTAAATATATTATTCAGTGTAGCCTTGATTGTTGGAAATGAATCAGTTTAATTACAGTGAGAATCACGCATCATAATTAACGTTCCAGCTTTAAATCAAAGATGGAGGAGGGGCCTTCCTGCTGCACACTCTGGCATGGAAGCGGCGGAACCCAGGACGCACTGGGAGAAGCCACCATGTTCGCCCACGAGGCCTGATTCTGCCCTGTGGAGGGGGACCTGGGCACACCACACACTGCCCTGTAGAACATGGACAATGATAGGAACAAGGCTGCAGGCCATCGAGAGATTTGGGGCGACTCGTCAGTAGAATTCCGGGACCCAATCTGGCACCGGACTTGGCTCAGGAAGTGCCAGAGGCTGTTGCTGATGCCAAGCTCTGCTCTTGACAAAGACCACTCGTCCCGTGGGCCAGGCCTGTGACCCTGCTGGCCGTGAGTCCCTGGGGTGGGTCTGGGCCTGACCTGTCCCTCCTCCAGGGTGGCCTGAGTGGAGTGTGGCGCCCAGACAGATCTGGACAGGCCGACCCTGATCTTGGAGGTCCTTGGACTCATCTCCGGCCACCCTCACCCTGGAAGCAAGCCCCTGCTTTCTGGGAGGCCACTGCCACCAGGCTCTCCGGGACAGTCAGATGTCTGCCCTCTCTCTGCAGCCCCGGGGCTGGGGCCCTGGGAGGAGGCTCAGGCCACAAGTCCATCTAGCCCCTTGCTCCCAAGCCTGAGGTCCCGCTGTGGCAGAGCCATTCTCTTGGGTCTGGAAGCCCCCTCCCTCTCCCAGGGAAAGCCAGGCTGACTGGCAGGGCTATGAACACCCTGGGAGGCTGAGTCCATCTTACCTGTGTCTTCAGGATCCAGTGCACCGACATCTGTGGAATGAATGAGTGAGTGAGTGAGTGAATGAGTGAGTGAGTGAGTGAATGAGTGAGTGAGTGAGTGAATGAGTGAGTGAGTGAGTGAATGAGTGAGTGAGTGAATGAGTAAGTGAATGAATGAGCAAGTGAATGAGTGAGTGAGTGAATGAGTGACTGAGTGAGTGAATGAGTGAGTGAATGAGTGAATGAATGCGTGAGTGAGTGAATGAGTGAGTGAGTGAATTGAGTGAGTGAATGAGTGAGTGAGTGACTGAATGAGTGAGTGAGTGAATGAGTGAGTGATGAGTGAGTGAGTGAATGAGTGAGCGAGTGAATGAGTGAATGAGTGAGTGAGTGAATGAGTGAATGAGTGAGCGAGTGAATGAGTGAATGAGTGAGTGAGTGAATGAGTGAGCGAGTGAGTGAATGAGTGAGCGAATGAGTGAATGAGTGAGTGAATGAGTGAATGAGTGAGTGAATGAGTGAGTGAGTGAGTGAATGAGTGAGTGAATGAGTGAGTGAATGAGTGAGTGAATGAGTGAGCGAGTGAATGAGTGAGCAGGTGAATGAGTGAGCGAGTGAATGAGTGAATGAATGAGTGAGTGAATGAGTGAGTGAATGAGTGAATGAGTGAGTGAATGAATGAGTGAGTGAGTGAATGAATGAGTGAATGAACAAATGTGCTAGAAATCTGGGGCTTTCAGGGATTGTGCATCAAATCCCCAGAAAAGGAAGAAGGCAGGTCCCCAGCAGCCCCCATCCTGACTCTGGGGACTGCCAGGGGCTGGGGCCTGAGCTGTGATCACACTCTCCAGCTCAGGTGGGCCACAGGCCACGCTGGGGGATTCAGATCTGGGGAGCCCTGACTTTATTGCTGAAGAAATGACAGCCAAGAGAGGGGACAGGGCAGGAACAAACGGGGTGTGGAGATCACGGGCACAGCTCTGACCCCGCCACTGTGCGCTTATGGGATCAGACCCAAACCCCCTGCCAGCAACAGCCCCTGCCTGTGTCCTCCGGAAGTTCTCAAGGTCAGAGTGGTCCCCTGAGGAGTGGGGTCAGGGCCTGGAGAGCGTCTGTCCAGAGAATACCCAAACAGCCGAAGGGCGCAGGCCCTTGGGGAGCGCTCGGGACAGCCCAGTAACCACCTGATTCCGTTTTAATTTTATTTCCTTGATGAAAACAGCAGGATCAATCCTGCTGACCATTTAGCAAGGTGTCCCATTTGCATATTCAAAAGATGCTGCAGCGGGAGGGCGGTGGGGGATGGGAGGACAGGCTTCAGGCTGATTGAAGTGGAGGCTCATTTCGGCTACAAGGAATTTAATTTCCACTTGCAAACTCAGAATAGATTGCGGTGTGGTGGCCGCCCACAGGACGCCGTGCGGAGGAGCTGCGAGAAAGCGGAGAAAGTGTCTCTGGAAGCGCTGTGCGTTAGCTCCGTGTCACTTCCCTTCAGCGTCTGTCCCGCCGCTGCTTTTAGCTGAAGTTATGATTGAAATTTGAAGGCTGGAGGTCTAGAGAAAGGGGAATTTAGTCCTGTGAAGGTGGCAGCTGGAGAGTCCCATTCCCCGAGAGTTCCGGACACAGCCCCACACAGCCCCGCACAGCGCTTGGGGAGGAACCCTGGTCCCTGGGATATTGGGAAAGGCCCCCACAGCCAGTGGCCACCTGGCCTGCAATCTGCATGGTGAAGCCACAATGGACACTGCGGCCTCACCCTCAGCAGCTTTGGGCGAGGGGGTCTGGTCAGCTGCCCTGTGGCCGAAGCCCCACCTTCACGGGGTGTGCAGTGGTGGCTGAGATGCCTCAGAATATGGTCATCCTTGGTCCCCTGCAGAGAGGCCTGCCATCTCCCAACAGTGAGGGTGATCCTGCCGGCCCTCCGCTGAGGATGGGAGCCTGCACAATGCCTTCCTCCTCCGGGATCCGGCTCTAGCTGGGACTGGAGTGTGGGCTCAGGGCTCTTCTGAGACGGGGATCAGGGCCTGGTCTGTGACGGGGATCGGGGCCTGGTCTGTGACGGGGATCGGGGCCTGGTCTGTGACGGGGATCGGGGTCTGGTCTGTGATGGGGATCGGGGTCCGGTCTGTGATGGGGATCGGGGCCTGGTCTGGATCAGGGTCCGGCCTGTGACGGGGATCAGGATCTGGCCTGTGACGGGGATCAGGGTCCGGCCTGTGACGGGGATCAGGACCTGGTCTGTGATGGGGATCAGGGCCTGGTCTGTGATGGGGATCAGGGTCCAGCCTGTGACGGGGATCAGGACCTGGTCTGAGACAGGAATCAGGGCCTGGTCTCTGATGGGGATCAAGGCCTGGTCTGAGACAGGGATCAGGGCCTGGTCTGTGATGGAAATCAGGGCCTGGTCTGTGACAGGGATCGGGGCCTAGTCTGAGGCAGAGATCAAGATCGATGGCCAGGGTCGGGGTCAGAGTTTGAGAGGAACAGGGCTCAATGTGTGGCTGTGGTCAGGAAGGGCTGGCTGAGCAGCAGTGAGCTCAGGGAGGCTGGAGGAGCTAGGAAGGAGAATGAGGCTCCAGAGAGGCCAGAGGAGTGGATTTGTCACTCGACCACAGCAGAACGTGGGCTGAGGAGGGGGAACTGCCAGGCCAGGTCACGGGTGAGCCTCGTCGCTGGGCCTCAGCTTCGTAGATGCTCACCCTGACCATCCAGTGAATTCTCACTGAGGGGAAGAAGAAACCACCTCCTTTGAAGGGCTGGGCACAGCAGAGTGCCCCGGCTCTGCGACCCTCTGGGCCTGGGCACGAGACCTCCTGACTCCGTCCCCCACAGAGCCCTCACTTCAGGACTTAGCAGCTCAGAACCCCAGACCCTTCCCAGAACCAGGGCTCCACTGTCGCTGCCTGGGTGGTGCCCGCCCCTCACGCTGTCACCCACGTCTGAGGCTGGAGGGATCAGGAGAAAAGGGGCACACAGCTCAGAGATCCCCCTGAGCTGACCACAGGCCCAAGACTTCATTTTTCACAAGGGGAAACTGAGGCTCGGGGCCTGCAACCAGTATGTCCCACATCCCAGAGCTGGTGAGTGGCTACCCTGCCCATGGCACACGAGGCTGGGCTGGGGTGTGCGTGTCCACGCCGCACCTCTGCCAGGAGCCTGCCCCACCCAGCGGTGAGGCCCCTGGCATGAGAAGAAGTCTGGGCTCCTGGCCCGCCCTCAGTGCCAGCGGCTGCCCTGCCTGTCTTGCACACGGCTTTAGGCAAGGGCCGAAGGCTGCCCTGGCCGCCCCCTTCTGGAAGGGCCACCCGGCAGGTGGCAGAGACACTGCCATAAAAGGGGCTGCCAGGGCGGGGCAGGCTCTGCCACCTGCGGGCTTCAGGACCTCACCTCTCCTCCTGCAGTCTGCTCATCGGTGAAATGGACGGAACAGCAGCCCCTGCCCGAGGTGTGGCGGTGAAGCAAGCAGTCCCATGTCGGAGGCTTAGAGCGGAGCCCAGCACACAAGGAAGGGCCTGCACGGGTGGCTAGGTCTGGTGAGGAATGAGGTCTCCATGCACCACGTGTGTTAGGAGAGGAGCATGTCCTTCTTGGTACAGTAGCATCTGCTCCAGAACCAGTTTCAGACGCTGGATTAGAGTCCATGGGATCAAGAAGGGAGCCTCGTGGCCAGTCTCTCCCATCCCCCCATTCTCTCCCATCCCCCCAGTCTCTCCCGTCCCTCCAGTCTCTCCCATCCCCTGAGTCTCTCCCATCCCCTGAGTCTCTCCTGTCCCCCCAGTCTCTCCCATTCCCCCAGTCTCTCCCATCCTCCCAGTCTCTCCGGTTCCCCAGTCTTTCCTGTCCCCCCAGTCTCTCCCATCCCCCAGTCTCTTCCGTCCCCCCTCCTGTCCTTCCAGGCTCTCCCATCCCCCCAGTCTCTCCCATCCCCCCATTCTCTTCCATCCCCCCAGTCTCTCCCATTCCCCAGTCTCTCCCATCCCCCCAGTCTCTTCCATCCCCCAGTCTCTCCCCTCCCCCAGTCTCTTCCATCCCCCAGTCTCTCCCATCCCCCCAGTCTCTCCTGTCCTTCCAGGCTCTCCCATCCCCCCAGTCTCTTCCATCCCCCCAGTCTCTTCCGTCCCCCAGTCTCTCCCATCCCCCCAGTCTCTTCCGTCCCCCAGTCTCTCCCATCCCCCCAGTCTCTCCCATCCCCCAGTCTCTCCTGTCCCTCCAGTCTCTCCGCTCTCCCAGTCTCTCCCATCCCCCAGTCTCTCCTGTCCCTCCAGACTCTCCGGTCTCCCAGTCTCACCCATCCCCCAGTCTCTCCTGTCCCTCCAGTCTCTCCGGTCTCCCAGTCTCTCCCATCCCCCAGTCTCTCCTGTCCCTCCAGTCTCTCCGGTCTCCCAGTCTCTCCCATCCCCCAGTCTCTCCCCTCCCCTCTCTCCTGTCCTGCCCCTCCCCCGACATATTGGCAGCCGTCCGTGAGGGGGTCCGGAGGCCAGTGGTGTCCTTTGGACCCTTGTGGAAAATCCCCCCAGGGTCAGAAGGGCCCAGAGGGAAGACAGGACTCTGTGGAAGAGGTTGCCTGCCCATGGAGAGAGTCCAGATGCATTGTGGGCCCTGTGGGTTGGCCCTAGTCTCCGCCACTGGGACCTCAAGCTGGCCAAGGCCATGGCCAGGCCCTGGCTCCTAGGAGGGGTGAAACTGATGGCTGGACATGTACGTGGACGACAGCCTCCAGGGAGGGCTGTTCAACCCCCGGCACTGGTATCATTCTCTGCCCCCTGGAGCTCCTGGGAAGATCCGTTAAGCAAGTGGTGGGGCTTCCACGGCACGGAATATTACGCAGCTGTCAAAAACGACGTGTAGGAAGAGTTTCCAGTAACGCAGGGAGATCCCGTGGTGAGAAAAGGCTGGTTCAAAAACAGAATCTATAGGATGTCCTTGGTGTGCAAAGAACGAGTGTGGCAGAAAATGTGGGAGAGCAGCTGCCAGGATCCATGGATGGACGGGGAAGGGGTCGCTGTGTTTCTTCAACTTTTCTATATTTTGCAGATTTGGGATGATGAGCGCGTCTGACTCTGATAACCAGGGAAAAGTGGAAAATGAAATGGAAGTGGCCAGCAGTCAACAATCCATCAGTTTCCTCAACTGCTCTTTTAAACACGGGTGACCACACAGCCCAGAAACTCCCTTCCAGGGACTACCCGAGAGATTGAAGGCAGGCCCCACAGAGACGCGCCCAGCTCCTGCTCCTCAAACTGCTCCGTTAAACACGGGGTGACCACACAGCCCCGAGAGAATGAAGGCAGGCCCCACAGAGACACGCCCAGCTCACGGTCACAGCAGCATCATTTACAGCAGCCAAAAGGTGGAAACAGCCCAGGTGTCCTCCGGCAGACGGGTGGATTAACAAGCGGTCTAACTGCGCCATGGGGTATAATTTAGGCTTAAAAAGGACGCAGCGCTGACACACGGGAAAACACGGCGAGCCTGGGAGCGTCAGGCCGAGGGCAAGAAGCCAGGCACAAAGACCACGTTATGGGATTCCATTCACAGGCAGAGCCTAGAACAGAGACACCTGTAGGGACGGATAGTAGATTCAAGGTTGCCAGGGCTGGCGTGGGGGGCTGGGGAGGTGACTGAGGACATAGGCTTTCTTTTTTTTTGAGATGGAGTCTTGCTCTGTCACCCAGGCTGGAGTGCAGTGGTGTAATCTGGGCTCATTGCAACCTCTGCTTCCCATGTTCAAGCGATTCTCCTGCCTCAGCCTCCTGAGTAGCCGGGATTACAGGCACCTGCCACCACACCTGACTAATTTTGTATTTTTAGTAGAGATGGGGTTTCTCCATGTTGGTCAGGCTGGTCTCGAACTCCCGACCTCAGGTGATCCGCCCACCTCGGCCTCCCACACTGCTGGGATTACAGGTGTGAGCCGCCACACCTGGCAGCCTTTCTTTTTGAGGTGATGAAAATGTTCTAAGATGGACTGTGCTGACGGCTGCACAGCTCTGCGAATACACAAAACACCCCACTGTTCTCGCATATTCTGAACGGTACACTGCAGGTGAGTGACTTGTACAATATGTGAATTACATCTCAATAAAGCTATTGTTCGAAAAAGCAGCAGCCCCAGCAAACAGTGAATCGGGGCAGCAGAGGATGGAGCCCTCTCCTCCTCCTGGGGGGACAGATGGCGCGGCCCCCCGGGGTTCGGCACCCTTGTCTGGTGCCCTGTGCTGTGGGGCTCCAGGAGCCCGCCGGGCGGCCATCGCCGGGGTGACGGCTGAAAGGCGGGATTGAAAGCCTTGGAGGGGCCTCCGTGGGTTGAGGTCAATAAATCTCGCCGGCTGTGCGGCCTCCCGCCCGCTCTGTTCAGCAATCTGTCCGGCTGCCTTTCACCAGCCCAGTGGCTCCCATTACCTCGGGGGAAGAGCCACAAATCACCGTGACAGACCAATCAACAGGCCGGGGAATTTTTACACACGCTGCCTCTTGAAGGATGAGTCCCCCTCAGCAGAGCATCAGAATAAATCTCCTCAAAAACTTTCCCCTGAGCCCACCTCCCCCCGGGGCCCCGAGTGGCTGGTGGCCTCCCCCGAACTCACCAGGGCCAAGCCCACCTGCGTCCCTTCCGGCTGGCGGGGCTGGGACCCTCTGCCGCCGTCCCCACTGGACGCCTCCCTGTGTCCCAGGAGGCCGACTCTGAGCTGGGGGTGGTCTGGGGGCCACCAGGGCTGGCTCTGACCAAGTCCACCCCGAGCTGTCCAGCCACGTCCCTGCCGGGACACTGCTGGCCCCTTAGTCCCCCATTCAATGTTGTTGGGCCCTCCCAGCAGGGCCGGAACACCTCATTTCAGCAGGAAGAAAGAAAGCTTTATAAAATAATTCATAGGAAACTTAAAACACTCAGACACCAAGAAATTGCAAATGGGGAAATATGATGGATTATGGGCTGGAGGAAGGCGACTTCCGCAGGCAAAATTGATCCCTTGGAAAATGGTTTTGTCTGCTATGAAAAATGGGTAATATCTCGCTGGGGCTCAAGAGCTATAATCCCGAAAATAATTTGCTTTTGATTTCCTTTTAGCCCCTGTTCTCCCCCCAACCCGTCCCCATTTAGGAGCCCTGGGCCTGCTCGTGGTGGGGGCCCCCTCTTTGTCAGGGCACCTGCTGGGGGCTCCCCCACTTGGTATTGGCTGGTCTACTTAGAGAGAGTCTTTTCTCAACTGATGGCTGACGGGGGTCGGCTCCCAGCGTGGCCGCCTCCCATGCCCCCAGCCCTCCTCTCTTCAAGAATTCCCAATTAGCTTGTCCCTTATCAGGGACTTTTTAAAAACCAAGCATCCAAGAAAAACATCGCATCATCTCTCAGCTGGGCTTGCAGGAAACCGTATCATTTCCTCCCCACCAGATATGCCGAGCAATGTTTCAATCAGAGATTCATGTCAGTACAACAGAACCAGAGAGGGGCATCCCAACCCCTCACCCTACAGAGGGGGGAGCTGGGGCCAGAGGGGAGGGTCTCTCCAGTCAGAAGTGGAGCTGAACCCAGGGTGGGCTTGGCTTTGGTGGAAGGTGTGGACACAAGCCCAGGACTCCAGCCACTGTGGAGAGGGTGGGGACAGAGCTATGAGCTCCGAGGGCCGAGGCCAGGTCAGAGCTCCTTCCTCTGAGGCCAGCCCTGCCGGGGGCTTTCACGACACCCAGACACTCTGCTCCTCCCCAGGCCTACTAAGTTGGGGTTTCCAGGGCAAGGGCAGGAGGCAGCCGTCCCACGTGGGAGAGGTCGTGCCTCCCAGTGCCTGGAGCTTTCTGCAGGTACAATGCTGCCCCTTCAACCCGTGAGCCACCAAAGGTCTCCCTGGGAGCAACGTCCCCAGCGGCTCCAGGTGGCTCCACGGGGTCCCACCTGCCGGGAGTCTCTGCAGTTCCCCTGTGGGCTGCAGCCTTCAGGGCCCTGTGGCAGCCCCGGGGACACTGGCAGGGCCACAGGGCCACTCGTGGACAAAAGACCTTGGGAGCAAGGGTACAGAGTGCTGTCCCCTGAGGTTGCTTTGTTCCTGTGGCAGCTGCCAGGTTTTCCAGGGATGTGGCTCCTGTAGCAGGAGCCCCAAGTGAGGGGTGCTGGGCCCAGGCTTCCAGGAAGAGAGGCCTGGAGGTGGCTGCTCAGCATCTCCTCATGGCCCAGGGACCTTTCCCTCCAGGGTCTGTTTCTTGAGGGTCACTGCGTGTCTCCAGCAGCATTGTCCTGTGGCCCCAGGGAGGAAAGCATGGGTGACCTGCCATGGGGAAGGCGTTTCCTGGAGGAAGAAAGGGCCAGAGATGCTGGGTGGCCACCCTGTGATGGGTGAGGGCCAGGCCTCATGCCTCACTGCTGGCTGCTCTGCTGCTGTGTCCCTGCAGGGTGACACAGGCACACCTTGCTCTGGGCCAGATAACTCCAGGAAAAGCCTCCATCTGTCAGAGCAGGTGCATGCAGCCCTGTGGGAGAAGCACAGCCAGGGACTCAACCCATTTCTTTCTGCTTGTGCAGCCGGGAAGTAGGGCTGTCCCGTCCCTTACCTGTGAGGCCGTTGAACACTGGCCTCCTTGGGCGTTTGTGCATTCACTCCCTAACCAAGTACCCTGACAAAGCTGAATGCATACATTTGTCTTGGAGCCTTCTGGAAAGAGATGATAAACCTCCCAAAGTTCACCCATCAAGGTCAGCACAAGTGATGTCCTGAACCTTAAGCTCCAGTCAAGCTTGGCAATGCATTTGTTAATTGATTGATTGATTGGTTGATTGACATGAAACTTCCTGATCCCTTTCCCAAAGCTGCCTGTTACATAGCACCGGTGATCCCCCACCCTCACCCCATGCACCGCAGCAGCCGGTCCTAATCCAGCCATCACCAAAACGTGTGCATGAGAGAAGGTATGGAATGGCTTCCCTACCATTTACCCACTGGCCTCTCCCAGAAGACCATCAATGGCCAAGGGCTCTGTGATTCAAGGCCGATCAGCTCTGTAATGAAATGTACCTCCCTTGGTGTATTTCAGGGACATTTGCACACCTGGGCTGGCAGGGACATGGCCACCGTGAGGAGATCTATTTCCCTTGCCTTGCAGACGATGGACCGGGCCCGTCTGTAGAGCCGTGGTGGAGCTGGCCACACGCACACGCAGGCCTATTTTTCAAACAATTGATTAATTCCGCAGCGATGTTTGCTGCCGTACATCACCTATGGCCGCACTGTGGGGCTTTCCGGTTCTCCTCCCACCTGTAATATTCCACAGCTGATGGCTGGAAATGGGGAAAGCTTTCTCGAAAACACTCATTCGGGGCTTACTGAGGTCATCAATCAGCTATTTTCAAATGTCAACTTTGAAGGCGAAAGGGGGATGCTCAGAAAACAGGACCCTCATTGGGAAAGTGGGGGGCAGGCTGGGGCAGCGGGGGTCTGTCACCCTAGGAAGCTGGAGCCTAGGTGACCTCAAGTCTTCGAACCTGGTCTGAGGGGCGACTGAACCCTGAAAGCTTGCTGTTGGCTCTCCAGATCCGCAGAGACGGGTTCAGGGTTGCCAGGGTCCCTCAGCGGAACCTGCTGCAGGTGTCAGAGGCCTGGATATGACCAGGCGGTCAGGGCCTGGTGCACCCGAGAATGTCAAATCCACTTCACAGAGACGTGAGCACCTGCCGGGGGTGCTATTTGCCCCATTCCTGCTGCCCCTCTCCGCAAAACAGGAGCCTGAACTGGCTGCCCCAGGGTCTTCGCCAGTGTGGGACCACGGCCTGGAAACAGCGGGGTCAGAATGTGCACGAGGCCTGGGCTGCGTGAAGCCTGTGTCGGTGATTCCACCGCAGGCAGCCGATGGAGATCCCAGCCCTGGAAGACCCCATCAGCCTCTGGTTACCTAATTAAAATGAAAACCCCTTCCAAGAACTCAGCACCGAGTTGGCCGTCCTGCCCCCAAGAGCTCATGTGTCGGGGAGGGGGCCACTCAGAGCCCAGGCCCCAGTCTAGGACTCACAGTTACCCAGAAAGAGGAGTGGCCAGTTATTCCCGGGACCGGACTGGAGGCAGGTGGGCGGAATGACTCAGGAAAAGCCACTGCTTGAGGGACCCCAGCACAGCAAGGTGCCAGGCCTTGGTCCGAGGAGGCCGGGCCCAGGAAGCTGGAGTGTGTGGGGCATGTTGGGAGGGTGGCGTGGTGGCTGCACTGGGGCTGCCTGGTCACTGCAGGGGTGAGGCTTGGAGACTGCAGGAGTGGGAGGGCCTGGGTGGGGCCCTGCTCTCCATGAGCCGGCCCCTATGGCTCTCCCTAGGGAGCAGACACCTGCAGGGAAGGCCGGGCCAGCTGAGGGGCAGCCTTGGAGAAGCAGCTGCAGGAACATGATGTGGGCTGTGTCTGCAGGTGAACGGCTTCTACAGGGCAGTGTGGGAGGGGAGGTTCCCAGGAGCGGGGAGGCCTGGGCTGCGCTCCTCAGGCCCCTCGCCTCTGGTGTTCCCTGGAAGGAGGGGCGGGAAGCTGGCGGCCCCGGCTGATTGTATTAGACAGGCCTTTATTGATCCAGCTCTTGCTTATCCCTGGTGTCTCATTTCAATAAACAGCAGTTTGGAGAAATTAGCGAGGGACCCTGGCTCCTTCCCCTCCCCCCTGCCCCTCTCCCCCATCTTCCTTTGGATTTGTCAGGAATGGAAGATTTATGAGGATTCGAGTGAGATTCTAATTTGTTCCTGAGACAGCGGGCTCAGAGCATTGAGGGCACGGGCCAAGCCCTTGCTGTTTACATGCCCTGACATGGGGACACAGTCTGGGCCAGGCCAGGGTCCTGGGCAGGGGCCTCACTGCTCAGCCACAGCTGCAGTCATCCGAGGAACTCAGCATGGTGAGAGGGAGATGTCACCAGACCTCTGGGGCCGAGTCAACCATGGGAGAAACCATCAGGAGGCAGCCTGGTGGGAGGGGACTGCCCCAGAGGGCACCACAGAGTTCTACCAGTCCTGGGCAAGTGGTCGTCACATTGCCCGGGCCTCAACCCCTCATCTGCAGGGGAGATGACAGATGTATGTGTGTGTGTGCATATGTGTGTGTGCATGTGTGTGTGCATATGTGTGTGGGTGTGTGCATATGTGTGTGGTGTGCGTGGTATGTGTGTCTGTACATGAGTGTATGTGATGTTATGTGCACCTGTGTGTGTGTACATGGCATGTGTGCATATGTGGTGTGTGCGCGCTTGCTGTGCTTTGGCACACATTGACACTGGCAGTGTAAAAAAACTCCCGTTTTTTTACCCAAATGCAACAGACATTTTCCCAAGTTATTCAATACTCCTTCTCTTTTTCAAAAATATATTTGTCACAGCTACAGAAACTCAGGGGATGGGCTGTAGCATAAAACCCTGAGTGGTTTCGCTTTTCTCCAGACCTTTTGGGGATGCTGTCCCTTCCCTCCCCTCCTTGCCCCTTCCCTCCCTTTCCCTTCCCTTTCTTTGGAAACAGGGTCTGGCTCTGTCGCTCAGGCTAGAGTGCAGAGGTGTGATCACGGCTCACTGCAACCTCCACCTCCTGGGCTCAAGCGATCCTCCCACCTCAGCCTCCTGATTAGCTGGGACTACAGGCAGGAGCCACCACACCGGCTATTTCTGTATTTTTCATAGACTTGAGGTATTGCCATGTGGTCCAGGCTGGTCCTGAAATCCTGGGCTCAAGCGACTGACCCACCTCGGCCTCTCAAAGTGCCAGGATTACCAGCGTGAGCCACCATGCCAGTCTGGGATGCTATTTCTTTATAAATGACATGTCCATGCAGGTGCCAGCCCAGCAGCCTCTGCCTGGAGGCCCCCTTGGCTGCCCTGTCTCTCCCTGGTGCCCATGGGGTCCCTCCTAGTCATAGGGTCCCATTTAGCGAGGCCCACCCAGCCCTCCAGGGAGCCCCCTCCCTCCCTCCCTTCCATTCCCTGCTTATTGCCCATCCCACCTCCAGCAGGTGGGCTCTAGAAGGGCCAAGCTGGCTTTTGTTCCCTGCTCAATCTTCAGTGTCTAGAACAGTGCCTGGTACACAGTGCCTACTGGATGATTTTTAAAATAGATTCTGGCCAGGTCCAGTGGCTCATGCCTGTAATCCCAGCATTTTGGGAGGCTGAGGTCAGGAGTTTGAGAACAGCCTGGCCAATATGGTGAAACCCCATCTCTACTAAAAAAACAAAAATTGGCTGGGCGCGGTGGCTCACCGCCTGTAATCCCAGCACTTTGGGAGGCCGAGATGGGCGTATCACGAGGTCAGGAGATTGAGACCATCCTGGCTAACATGGTGAAACCCTGTCTCTGCTAAAAATACAAAAAATTAGCCGGGCGTGGTGGTGGGTGCCTGTAGTCCCAGCTACTCGGGAGGCTGAGGCAGGAGAATGGCGTGAACCCGGGAGGTGGAGCTTGCAGTGAGCCGAGATCAGGCCACTGCATTCCAGCCTGGGCGACAGAGTGAGACTCTGTCTCAAAAAAAAAAAAAATTAGCCGGGTGTGGTGGCTCGCACCTGTAGTCCCAGCTACTCAGGAGGCTGAGGCAGGAGAATCACTTGAACCTGGGAGACAGAAGTTGCAGTGAGCCAAGATCACACCACTGCACTCCGGCCTGGGTGACAGAGTGAGCCTCCATCTCAAAAAAAAAAAAAAGATTCTAACAATCATTGACTTTAAAAAACAGCTTGATTGAGTTATAATTCTCATACCGTATAATTCACCCATTTAAATTGTGTAATTCAGTGGGTTTTGATATATTACATTAATTTTTAAAAATTGAGGCAAAACATATATAACATAACATTTGCCATTTTAACCTTTTTAAGTGTGTAATTCAGTGGCATTTAATACCTTCACATTTTTGTGCAACTACTACCACTATTTTCAACACTTTTTATCCCCCAAACTAAACCCTGTGATCATCACACGAAAGCCCCATTCTCTCCTTTCCCAGTTCCTAATAACCACTGTTCTGCTTTCTGTCTCTATGATTTTGATTCCTCTAGATACCTCATGTACGTGGAATCACACAGTATTTGTCTTTTTGTGACAGGTTTATTTCACTCAACAAATGTCCTCAAGGTTTATTCATGTTGTAGTATGTGTCAAAATTCCATTTTTTTTATGACTGAATAGCAATCACTGCCTTTTAATTGGGTGTTTAGATCATTTACACTTAATGTGATTGTTGATGTCACCTGCTATTTGTTTTGATTCCTCCCATTTGTTCTCTGTTCCCTTTTCCCTCTTTTTTTCTGGCTTCCTTTGAATTAGTCAAGTGGTTTTATTTTATTTTATTTTTTATTTTTTGATTTTCTTTTTGAGACAGGGTCTTGCTCTGTTGCCCAGGCTGGAGTGCAGGGACACAATCATCATTCACTACAGCCTCAACTTCCTGAGCTCAAGTGATCCTCCCACCTCAGCCCAGCCAAGCAGGTAGGGCTACAGGTGTACACCATCACACCCAGCTGATCTTTATTTTTTTTGTAGAGACAGGGTTTCATCTTGTTGCCCTGGCTTCATTATTTTTATGATTTCATTTTATCTTGTGTCTTTTTTTTCATTTTTTTGTTTGTTTTTTTGTTTGTTTGTTTGAGATGGAGTCTTGCTCTGTCCCCAGGCTGGAGTGCAATGGTGCAATCTTGGCTCACTGCAACCTCCACCTCCCAGGTTCAAGCGATTCTCTGGCCTCAGCCTCCAGAGTAGCTGAGATTACAGGTGCCCACCACCATGACCAGCTAATTTTTGTATTTTTAGTAGAGACAGGGTTTCACCATGTTGGCCAGGCTGGTCTTGAACTCCTGTCCTCAGGAGATCCACCTGCCTCAGCCTCCCAAAGTACTGGGATTACAGGCATAAGCCACCATACCCAGCCTCATTTTATCTTGTTCCTTGGCTTTAGTTATAACCCTTTGTTGTGTGTTTTTAGTGGGTGCTTTCGGGTTTACACATCTTAAATTTATCACAATCTATCTTCAAGTGATATTGTAGCACTTCACATACAGTATAAGAAACTCCAGCCAGGTGCAGTGGCTCGTGCCTGTAATCCCAGCACTTTGGGAGGCCGAGGCGGGTGGATCATCTGAGGTCAGGAGTTTGAGACCAGCCTGGCTAACATGGTGAAACCCTGTCTCTACTAAAAATACAAAAATTAGCCAGGCATAGTGGCATGTGCCTGTAATTCCAGCTACTCTGGAGGCTGAGGCGGGAGAATCACTGGAACCCGGGAGGCGGAGGTTGCAGTGAGCCGAGATGATGCCATTGCACTCCAGCCTGGGTGACAGAGCGAGACTCTGTCAAAAAAAAAAAAAAATGGGCTGGGCACGGTGGCTCAGGCCTGTAATCCCAGCACTTTGGGAGGCTGAGGTGGGTGGATCAGCAGGTCAGGAGATCGAGACCATCCTGGCTAACACGGTGAAACCCCGTCTCTACTAAAAATACAAAAAATTAGCCGGGCCTGGTGGCGGGTGCCTGTAGTCCCAGCTACTCGGGAGGCTGAGGCGGGAGAATGCTGTGAACCTGGGAGGTGGAGATGCAGTGAGCTGAGATCACGCCACTGCACTCCAGCCTGGGCGACAGAGCAAGACTCCATCTCAAAAAAAAAAAAAAAAAAAAAAAAGGAACTCCTCGAAGTGCTTCCGTGCCTCCCTTCTTGGTCTTTGTGCTACTATTGTCATACTACATGTGTTATGAACCCACAGCACATCACCATTACTCCCCCCGTAACAATTATTTACATTTACTCAGGTAGTTACCATTTCCAGCATTCTTTGTTGCTTCATAGATCCATCTTTCCATGTGGTACACTTTTCTTTTTTCCTGAAGGGATTCTCTCTCTCTCTCTCTCTTTTTCTTTTTAAGACAGGGTCTCGCTCTGATGCTCGAGCTGGAGTACAGTGGTGCGATCATGGATCACTGCAGCCTTGACCTCCTAGGCTCAAGCAATCCTCCGCCCTCAGCCTCCTGAGTAGCTAGGACCACAGGTGTGTGCACCACATCGGGCTAGTTTTTTAAAAAATTTTGTGAGACAAGTTTTCACTATATTGCCCAGGCTAGTCTCAAATTCCTGGGCTCAAGCAGTCCTCATACCTTGGCCTCCCGAAGTGCTGAGATGATAGGCATGAGCCACTGTGCCCGGCCAAGATTTTTTTTTTTTTTTTTTAACATTTTTTGCAGTTTGGGATTGCTGGTGATGAATTCTTTCAGGTTACATATGTTTGAAAAGTCTTTATTTCACCTTGATGACTCAAGATTAATACTGATGAGAGAATTAATAGTCAAGAACATTCAGTAGTTCTTACAACCATATTCTATATGACACGGAAGACAGAAAAAGGGCTGAACTGCTTTTGGGAGGCTGAGGCGGGTGGATCACTTGAGGCCAGGAGTTCAAGACCAGCCTGGCCAACATGGTGAAACCCCAGCTCTACTAAAATTACAAAAATTAGCCGGGCATGGTGGCGCATGCCTGTAATCCCAGCTACTTAGGAGGCTGAGGCACGAGAATCGTTTGAACCTGGGAGGTGGAGGTTGCAGTGGGCAGAGATTACGCCACTGCACTCCAGCCTGGGTGACAGAGTGAGACTCTGTCTGACAATGGAAGACAGGTGGCACAGCACAGTGATCCCTGAGAGATGGGAAGCGAGTGAGACTCTGTCTGACAAAACAAAACAAAAATACCTGAACAAGACCTGGAAGATATTTTGCCTGTTGTAGAATTCTGTGTTGACGGTTATTTTTTTTCAGTGCTTGAAAGATGTTGCCCAACCATCACTGAGCTTGCATTGTTTTTGACATGAAGTCAGCTGTCCTTTGTTTCTCTGTGGATAATGAGTCTTTTTCTTCTGGCTGCCTTTATTTAGTTGTTTGTTTGTTTGTTTGTTTTGAGATGGAGTCTCACTCTGTCACCAGGCTGGAGTGCAGTGGCACTATCTTGGCTCACTGCAACCTCTGTCTCCTGGGTTCAAGTGATTCTCCTGCCTCAGCCTCCCGAGTAGCTGGGACTACAGGCATGCACCACCAGGCCCAGCTAATTTTTGTATTTTTAATAGAGATGGGGTTTCACCATGTTGACCAGGATGGTCTTGATCTCTTGACCTCGTGATCTGCCCACCTCAATCTCCCAAAGTGCTGGGATTACAGCACTGAGCCTGAGCCGTCGCACCCGGCCCTTTATTTAGTTTTTTAAAAATATAATGTTTGTTTGTTTATTTTTAGAGAAAAGGTCTTGCTCTGTCACCCAGATGGGAGTGCAGTGATGCAATCATAGCTTACTGCAGCCTCAAACTCCTGAGTTCAAGCAATCCTCCTGCCTCAGCATTCCAAGTAGCTAGGACTATAGGCATGTGCCACCATGCCTGGCCAATTTTTTAAACATTTTTTTGTAGAGACAGGGTCTTGCCCAGGATGGTCTTGAACTCCTGGCCCCAGCGATCCTCCTGACAAGGCCTCCCAAAGTGCCGGAATTACAGGCATAAGCCACTGCACCTGGCCACATTGGAGAAGTTTTTGGCCACTATTTCTTCATATTTTTGGGCTCCTCCTTCTCTCTTCTCTCCTTCAAGGACTCCAACTACAGGTTTATTTGGCCACTTGAGGCTGTGCTGCATTTTTATGGTCTTTTTCTCTCTTGCTATGTCCTCAAAGTCACTCACCTTTTCTTCCTTCATGTCTACTCTGTTGTTAATTGTACCCAGTGTATGTTTAAGAATTTGACTGAAGTCAGGGCCGGGCACGGTGGCTCACGCCTGTAATCCCAGCCATTTGGGAGGCCGAGACAGGCGGATCACGAGGTCAAGAGATCAAGACCATCCTGGCCAACATGGTGAAACCCTGTCTCTACCAAAAATACAAAAATTAGTTGGGTGTGGTGGCGGGCGCCTGTAGTCCCAGCTACTCGGGAGGCCGAGACAGGAGAATCGCTTGAACCCAGGAGGCAGAGGTTGCAGTGAGCCAAGATTGCACCCCTGCACTTCAGCCTGGGCGACAGAGCAAGACTCTGTCTCAAAAAACAAACAAACAAAAAAAAAACAAAAAAAGAATTTGATTGAAGTCTTCCATGTCTGTCTTTAACATGCTCCATCTTCCCTCTGCCTTCTTGAACCTACGGAACGTGGCTATATGAACAGCTTAATGTCCCTGATGAACCCGCTCATCTGTGCCATTCTGAGTAATTGTATTGGTTGATCTCAGGATGGGTTCTTTTTCTCCTGCTGCTTTCCAGGCCTGATCATTTTTGTTTGGATGCCAGACATTGCGAATTGTATCTTTTTTTTTTTTTTTTTTTTTTGAGACTGAGTCTCGCTCTGTCGCCCAGGCTGGAGTGCAGTGGCACAGTTTCGGCTCACTGCAACCTCCGCCTCCCGGGTTTGAGCCATTCTCCTGCCTCAGCCTCCTGAGTAGCTGGGATTACAGGTGCCCACCACCACGCCCAGCTAATTTTTTGTATTTTTAGTAGAGACGGAGTTTCACCGTGTTAGCCAGGATGGTCTCCATCTTCTGACCTTGTGATCCACCCACCTTGGCCTCCCAAAGTGCTGGGATTACAGATGTGAGCCACCGCGCCCGGCAGTGAATTGTATCTTGTTGTGTGCTGGATACTTTTGTATTCCTATAAATATTTTTTTTTTTTTTTGAGATAGAGTCTCACTCTGTCGCCCAGGCTGGAGTGCAGTGGTGCGATCTCGGCTCACTGCAAGCTCCACCTCCCGGGTTCACGCCATTCTCCTGCCTCAGCCTCCTGAGTAGCTGGGACTACAGGTGCCCGCCACCACGCCTGGCTAATTTTTTTTGTATTTTTAGTAGAGACGGGGTTTCACCGTGTTAGCCAGGATGGTCTTGATCTCCTGACCTCGTGATCCACCCGCCTCGGCCTCCCAAAGTGCCGGGATTACAGGCGTGAGCCACCGCGCCCGGCCGTATTCCTGTAAATATTCTTGAGCTTTGTTTCACCCATTGTTAAATTACTGGAAAGGGTTTGATCCTTCGGAGGCTCGACCTTGAGTGTTGTTATCATGTTAGACTAGAGCACCTTCTGTTCAGGGCTAATTTTGCCCCTGTCCTAAAACAATACCCTGCAGGGTACTCCACCCGATACCCCATGTGTTATGGGGTCTTTTCACTGTGGCTGATGGCGGCATGAACTACTCTCAGCCCCATATAGTTACAAGGACTGCTCCCTCTGCGACTCCCCTGTGGTCCTTTCCCAGCCTCGGGTGGTGTCCTCACATGCATGGGCTGGTCAGTCCTCGGCTGCTGAGCGGAGGGGACCCCCCTGCCGGTCTCTGGAGCTCTCCCTCTCTCTGTACAACTCTCTCCTTTCACCCAGCTCTCTCCCCTCCGGCTCTTTGTCCTGGTCTCCCCAACTTTTCAACTTTGTTTTGTCAACTTGCAGGAATGGGGACTCTCTTTGGGTTTCCCCTTCCTACCTTGAGGCCTGGCAGTGAGCTGGAGCCACTGTAGGGCTGCCTCCCTCGCTTCCCATCTCTCAGGGATCACTGTACTATGCCGCCTGGCTTTCGGTGTCAGAAAACCGTGTATTCTGTACATCTTAGCACGAGAGCAAATGCAGCCCCTGTTATTTCATCATGATTGGAAGCAACAGTCCCTTAAGGGTTTAATAACTATTTCTTGATGAATGAATGAATGATGCTCCCAGGATGCCTTCACGCAAAAGGCTTTTCTCGCCCTCAGACTGATGACAATTGCCTTAGCACCATGAGGGTCGGGCAGCTTGTCCTCTCTGCCTCCTTCTGCAGTGTCTGAGCCACGTAGGCCAGATGGCTGGCGTGAATTGACCCCAGAAGTGCAACTGGAAGGTCGGCAGGTCTCAACACTTTGAAGGCCCTTGTCCCATGTGACCCTGCTGCTTTCTGGCTCTCGTGGAACAGCCCTCATGTCCAGCTGGACTCCTGTGGCCAAGGAGGGGGCAAGGAGAGGAGGGGACGCTGGCAGTGACCAGCCCTTGCTGGTCTCCACCTCAATGAAGCCCAGGAAGAGGGGCTGGAAGCTCTCCCCTCCACGTCCTCTTCTGTCCAACGAGGACACCCAGGTGGCCAGTCAGCCCTAGACCTGGTGCTCAGAAGGGGCCCTTCTCCCCGAGGCTCCATCAGCTTACTGGGCTACAGCCCACACGGGACTGATGGCACGTCCCAGCCCTATGTTCAGCCCCTGAAAGCCTGCGGGGAGGGTCCAGAAGTCTGAGCTGGTGGAGCCCCTGCATGAGGGGCCTGGGGGGCTGTCTGCAGGAGGGCATCAAAGTGACAAGCTGCAGGCTCCACTGCAAAGAAATTCTGGAAATCTGGGCATTTCTGGGCCGTTTTCCCCGCATGTGCAGGGACTCTTGCGGAAGTTATGGAGGAGTGCTCTGTCCTCGGGGGAGCATCCCAGCCCTGCTGTCTGGGCACTGACACCCTAGATGGGGCCTCACTGGACTTTGACCTCACAGAGGGGGAGGCCCTGAAGCTCGGCCCAGTGCATTTAAGGTGCCTTGCAGGCTCACAGCCTTGTGCCAGGTTGGGAGAGGAGGGGACAAACAATAGTGAAAGAGAAGAGAGGTCAGGGTGCCCAGTGTGCACAGCCAGGCAGAGGGGGCTCTCCCGAAAGGTCAAACAGAGAGGGGAGGCTGAGGACGGGGAGAGGACCAGATTCCTCCACCTTGCTTCCCCCAGCCCCTGCCACGGCGTCAGAGCAATGGCCCTTCATAGAGAGACCTCAGAGTGCCCCCACCCCTGTCACTGGGAGAAGGGCTGGGTGAGACGGGGAGGACAGGGCCATGGGGCCTGATGGAGAGGGAAGGGGCTTTCAGGGATCCGGCACTGTGGCCAGAGCATTGAAAGGTTCCAAGGGCGCTGTGCCCCTTCCACCCGCCCTCCCTCCTGGGCAAGCCCGGGCCCCCGGGTGGGCGCCTCGGCTGTTTGGGATGATGGATCGTGGCGTCTGCCCTGATGCAGCAGATGTGGGCTGCACTTGGCCTCAATCGCTCCCCAGGGGCCCCGATCGATGGCGGCCTGTGCGCGGCCCCAGCAGCCTGTGATGAATGGCTGGAGATTGATTTTCACTTAATTGACAATTTGGTGAACCTGTTTGCAAAATCCCAGGTTGGGCCCAGACAGTCTCGAGGTTATAGTTGGTCGAGTTGATGCTGCTTGGGCCAGAGTGGCAGCCAGGGGGCAGTAGAGGCCGCCCAGCGATGGGGGACCCGGCTGTGCCCGGGCTGAGCTCCCCTCTGTAGACCCAGCAGGGGCAGGGGTGCCAACCCAGATCGGGAACCCCCAGAGAGGTGGGCCCCAGCACTGGTGGTCACTAGGGCAGGTTGGCATCCCGGGCAGGGGTTTGATCCTGGCTGGGCCCCCCTGCTGTGTCACCAGGGCACTGCCTCTGACCCTCCCTGACCCTCCGTTTCCTCTTCTGTGAAGTGGAGCCCACCTGGCGCAGCCCAGTCCCCCCATCGCTGGGGGCCTGTGCTGCCCCCTGGCTGGCACCTGGGCTCAGGCATACCCTACAGCCCCATCTCATTGCAGAGGCTGCCCGCCCACCCTCTGGTCAGCCACAGAGGACCCCACACTGGCCCCAGGGCAGCTCCCCTCCCACCTGGTGGCCCCATGCTGACATGGCCCTGGGACCCCTGCAGATCCTGTGGATGCCCCTTTCTGCCCCATCCATCTTCCCCACGGGCCTGGGTGACACAGCCAATCAGATGAGGTCACTCCCTGCCTAGCCCCTTCTACTTAGGTCCCCACCGAGCCTCAGACCCTGTCCTCTCCCGCCAGCTCCCACCCATCCCCCTGTGTTCTGGGCGCCTCTGTCTCCTCCATGTGGCAGCCTCCTTCCCACTCCTGGGCACGACGGCTCCTGCCAGCCTCAGGGCCTTAGCACTTGCTGTGTTCTGTGGCTGCAAGGCCTCTTCAGTGACCCACACAGGGGTGGTTCCAGTGAGGCATCAAAGCTTCCGTTTAAATGTCCCCCACCCAGGGGAGGCCCTCCCTGGCCCACGTCTCTGCCCCAGACAGGCCCTCTCTCGTCTCTTCCCACCTCCTTTTCTTCAGAGCCCTCATAACCAGGTCAAAGTCTCTTCCTGGTATGTGGCTTGTTTGCCCGCCTGTCTGCTGGTCTGTCAGCCCTGTAACCCAGGGGCACTGCCTGTGTGGTCACCTGGCTCTCCTGGCCATGGCCAACCCAGCCCTGTGTCTGCTCAGCCGGCACCCAGGAAGCGCTCTCAGCACCTGGGCCAAGCCCTGCAGATGCTGTTCCCAGGGTGACATGGAAACACCCTGGAGCTCACCTTGCCACCTGCCCCTGAACTCATTAGCAGGGCCAGACTTGGGAACTGTAATAGGACCCTCGGGTAATCCCCTCCGGGGGCCGCCCCAGACAAAAGCCCAAATTAAGTCAGCAGAATCGCAGGGGAGAGGCCAAGGGGCTGGAATTTACCCACTAAGAGCAAACAAAGAATCTCCCGTCTCAGAGGCAGAGGCTGCTTGAGGTCTAATTTCCATTCCATGCAATTTGACACCACCCAGGAGCCCCTTGGACTGGCCTGCCTCCCTGGTCAACGAGAAAGCTCCCAGCCCATGGATTGGCACCCAAGGTTCTTGGCAGAGCCTCACCATGGCTGCAACAGGGCCCATGGGCCCCACCCCTGCCCTGGGACAGAGCCACAGCTGGGCAGAGGGTGGTCCCTTCCCGTTGTGAGGGGTGCTCAGGGGACCTCTGGAATCTGCCTCCCAGTCTGAGCTTCAGAGGCTGTTCTGAGGAGGCTGGCAGTGGTCTCGGAGGAGATGTTGGACACTCCAGGGGCTCCCACTGTGCTGGGTGTGAGAGACAGGGTGAGAGGGAGAAGCACAGCCTTTGACATCAAGGCCCTTGGCGTGGCCTTGGTCCTGACTCCCCTGTTGCTGTGTGAGCAGTTCTAGCAAGTGGCATCACCCCAAGAGGCTCAGTTTACTCATCTGTAAATGGGGCTGGTGTCCCAGGGAACAGATCGTTATAAGAATCCGCTAAGATGTCTGGGGTCCCTGCTTCTCTTGGGGCTCTGTGGTCGTTGATAACAGTGTCTGATGAGGGAGCCCCATGTATAAGCCTGAGGGTGTGCGAGTCGGGGATGGGACCCTCGCATATACGCTGGCACTGTGGGGAGGGAGGCCATTGAGGGCTGGCACTGTGGGGAGGGAGGCCATTGAGGTGTCGGCCTGGCCTTGCTCCATAGTGACCAGGTAGCCTCTGAACTTGCAAAGAGTGTGTGGGTCAGGGCAGGGGTGGAAGTCCTTCTTTCTGGTGTGCCGCAGCCCTGGTGAGGTCGACGCGCTGTGGCTGAGCAGGTTTTTCACTCCACTGCTCACACCCAGCGCCTGACGCACCCCAGGAGGTGCAGGTGAGCGGCCAGCGTGGCCTGTCAGGCCATGGGCTGGGGCAGACACAGGCACTGCCTCCAGCCCCCTCGGATAACAGGAGAGGCGGCCGTGAACCCTGCTGGGTTCATTACTGAAGACCGAGATCATCCATTCCTCCCATCTGTGGTTTCCTGAGGCCTGGACAGCTCAAAGAGCCCGAAACTCACCTGGAGCAGGTGCTACTCTGCAGCCGGGCACAGGTGCACCTGGTGGACACTTAGAGACATCCCTCTGAGGACAAAATGCTTCCCTTTGGAGAGCAGGAAATGCAGCTGTCAGTTCGCCCCTGGAGTCCTCCAGGTTCTTGGCCCACCTGGCTGTCAGGAGGAATTGCTCTGAATTCCAGAGTTTTACAGGCTTCCTTGGAGACAGCAATTGCTCTGAATTCCACAGTCTTAGAGCCTTCCCTGGAGGCCCATGCAGGAGGCCCATAGAGTAGAGCTGAGGCCCATGTGACAGTGGCAACAGTGCTGCGGCCCACTTTCCACCGAGGGAGGACACGTGAGACCCTGGAGGCTCTGGGGAGTGGGCTTCACCCCAGCTCACTGTCAGCCCAGGAGCAGCAGACCCAGGATGCAGTGGGCTGGATGTGCCCCCAGAAAAGGTGTGTTCAAGTCCTAGCCCCTCTGCATCCTGGGAGTTGACCACATCTGGGAAAGGTCTTTGAAGAGGTGATTAAGATAAACATTTTGAGATGAGATCCTCCTGGATTAGAGTAAAACCTAAATCTAATGGCAGGTGCCCTTCGAAAGGCAGAGGGACACAGAAGGAAGGGGCCATGTGAAGACAGAGGTACAGACGGAGCAATGCGGCCACAAGCGAAGGAATGCCGGGGGCATCAGAAGCTGGAAGAGGCAGGAAGGATCCCCCCTGGAGCCTCGGAGGGAGCCTCAAAGGGGTCCCTGTGACACCTGGTTTCCGACTATGGCCTCCGGAACGGGGAGAGGATCCATGTCCTGTCTGGCCTCCGGAACGGGGAGAGTATCCATGTCCTGCTGTTTTAAGCCCCTAGTTTGTAGACCTCTGTTACAGCAGCCCCAGGAGACCCTGACACAGACCCGGGTGTGTGGCCGAGGCCGCGCATCCCTGCTCCTTGTCGCCCCCGAGCCAGCGCTGCCTTCCCATCTGCAGCAGCTCTGCTCAGCTCCTCAGCCCTTTCCCTGCCGCAGCATCTTCCACTGTGACCCCATGGGACCCGGCCCCACAGCCCAGGCCCGGCACGCTCGAGTGACTCCACCCAAGGTGGGCCACACAGAAGGGGTCCAGGCAGGTCACAGGCACTGACCCCACATCAGGGAGGCCTGGGGCAGGGTCTCAGGGAGCAGGAGGAGAAGAGGGTTCAGCTGGGAGACAGCAGGCTCAAAGGCCCTGAGGCTGCAGACTCAGAAAGGAGCAAGTGTCTGGGGTGTCTGGAGTATCTGGGGTGTCTGGAGTATCTGGGGTGTCTGGAGTATCTGGAGTCTCTGGGGTGTCTGGAGTGTCTGGAGTATCTAGGGTGTCTGGGGTGTCTGGAGTGTCTGGAGTATCTGGGGTGTCTGGAGTATCTGGGGTGTCTGGAGTGTCTGGAGTATCTAGGGTGTCTGGGGTGTCTGGAGTGTCTGGAGTATCTGGGGTGTCTGGAGTGTCTGGGGTGTCTGGAGTATCTGGGGTGTCTGGAGTATCGAGTGTCTGGGGTGTCTGGAGTATCTGGGGTGTCTGGGGTGTCTGGAGTATCTAGGGTGTCTGGGGTGTCTGGAGTATCTGGGGTGTCTGGGGTGTCTGGAGTATCTGGGGTGTCTGAGTATCTGGAGTGTCTGGGGTGTCTGGAGTATCTGGGGTGTCTGGGGTATCTGGAGTATCTGGGGTGTCTGGAGTATCTAGGGTGTCTGGGGTGTCTGGAGTATCTGGGGTGTCTGGGGTGTCTGGAGTATCTGGGGTGTCTGAGTATCTGGAGTGTCTGGGGTGTCTGGAGTATCTGGGGTGTCTGGGGTGTCTGGAGTATCTGGGGTGTCTGGAGTATCTAGGGTGTCGAGTGTCTGGAGTATCTGGGGTGTCTGGGGTGTCTGGAGTATCTGGGGTGTCTGAGTATCTGGGGTGTCTGGGGTGTCTGGAGTGTCTGGGGTGTCTGGAGTATCTAGGGTGTCTGGGGTGTCTGGAGTATCTGGGGTGTCGAGTATCTGGAGTGTCTGGAGTATCTGGGATGTCTGGAGTGTCTGGGGTGTCTGGAGTATCTGGGGTGTCAAGTATCTGGAGTGTCTGGAGTATCTGGGGTGTCTGGGGTGTCTGGAGTATCTAGGGTGTCTGGGGTATCTGGAGTGTCTGGAGTATCTGGAGTGTCTGGGGTGTCTGGGGTGTCTGGAGTATCTCGGGTGTCTGGAGTCTCTGGGGTGTCTGGGATTTCTGGGCTGGGCTAGAGGGGCTGGGGCAGGAGGGGTGGAGAACTGGGAGGAGAGCCTCTGCCCTAGGGGAGAGTTTTGTGCACAGCAGGGACATTGGCTGTCCCCAGCTGCTAACCTGCTGCCAACCTGGAGCCCCCGTGGGCTGGGCAGGCCTGGCTGATGATACCCAGGATGAGCAAGGTAACAGCTGTGAACAGGGGCCAGGGGCCAGGGTGGAGCCTGCTGGGTCCTCTCTCTGCACCTGCTCCCCATGTTCTCCGTGGCTCCTCTCACTCAGGCCTATCCCTATGGCTCAGAACAGCTCAGAAAGCCCTGGCCAGGGTGCCCCCCAGCTGGCCTGGGCGGTGCTGCAGTCCAGCCTTCCTGACCACCTCGAGGCAGCCATGCAGGGGCCTGGACTCCAGGGACCTGGACAGACCCTCCCTCAGCTGGGGCAGCTCTCTGGGGGTGAACTCAGGAGTTGGAACCCAACGCATTCCTGATCCTCTCCGGGACCACTTCCACTTTCTGACTCCTTTTCCTCCCTGAGCTCAACATGACAGAGGAGGGCTTAGGCCTTTGTTCTGAGCGAGTGAGAACTGATGCTAAACTCTTGGGCTCACACCAGACAGCAATTAAACGTCCATCAGCCTTCCCGTTCCCAGGCTGGTCCTCCTTAGCCTGGGGTGACCTGGAGGTGGCTCCCCACCCCTCCCAACCAAAACTTAAATTGAATAAATAGATGGGACTTCCGAGGGGCCTTCGAGGAGGGGCTCTCCCGAATGCAATCAGCCAAAAAGGGCTGAGAGCTTTGGAAACGATTTCATTCATCAGCCTAATGGCTTTGCAACCCTGTCTGAGGAAGCTCAGGGTTAGGGCTTTTGTCTCTGATGCCAGCGCCTAAGCCCCTTCCCTGGGCAGGAATGTGGGCTCCCTGGACCCCAGCCCAACCCCACCGCCCTGAAACCAGAGCCACAGGCTCAGCCGGGTTGACTTTGGCTACAGGGCCAAGGCCCCCGCTTTTCCCAGGCTCTGCGAGATTTTGTTCCAAGCAGAGCAATTTCTTGGGCACTTTCCCTGGGATCAAGTGTTAGCCAGGGCTGTAAATCTTTTGTTCCAAAATGCAGACCTCATTCTTCTTGGTTTCTGACACAGATTTGCAGTAAATTAAATGAGAGGGGCCTGGAGGTGGGACTTAACGTCCTGAGTGATTCTGTGGGGTGCCAGCCATGAAGAGTGCCGTCTGTGGAAAGGCCACAACCTTGGACCTGGGATGTGGGTTTCTCTCGCTCCTCTTGGTCTGAGAGGGCACCAGGAGACCTTCTGCCCAGGGCCAGGCTGTCCTGGGCACCAACCTCCAACCTTTTTTTTTTTTTTTTTTTTTTTTTTTTTGAGCCATCTCGGCTCACTGCAACCTCTGCCTCCCAGGTTCAAGCGATTTTCCCGCCTCAGCCTCCCAAGTAGCTGGGATTACAGGTGCCCGCCACCACGCCCGGCTAATTTTTGTGTTTTTAGTAGAGATGGGGTTTCACCATGTTGGCCAGGCTGGTCTTGAACTCCTGACCTCAAGTGATTCATCTGCCTCAGCCTCCCAAAGTGCTGGGATTACAGGTATGAGCCACTGTGCCCAGCCAGTGACCTCCAACTTTAACCAGGAGTGGGGCTGGCAGGGGGCTGCGGCTTTGCTGGCTCAGTTCTGTCCGCACAGGGTGCAGGACCTCCAGCCCTGCTGCTTCTGTTCTGGGTCCGCACAGGGTGCAGGACCCCCAGCCCTGCTGCTTCTGTTCTGGGTCCGCACAGGGTGCAGGACCCCCAGCCCTGCTGCTTCTGTTCTGAGTCCTAGCTTTGGAGCACATGGGCCGCGGGCACCCTCCCCCGTACTCCAGGCCCCGGGCCAGCTCTCTCAGGTGGTCTTGTCTTCCTTTCACTGATTAGAACTGGGGCTCTGAGAGTGGTCAGGGGAGGTCTTAGCGGGTCGAACCAGCCTCAGCCCAGTGCTCCGAACCAGTACCTCTGCCCACACCCCCAGATGGCCTCACGTGGGGCAAATGTCACCCAGAAGTTCACGTCCAGCACAGTCCTCAGGCAGCCCCACAGGCGGGGCCTGGATAGTGCTGCCAGGGGCCTTGCCAGCCCAGGTCCTGAGTGTCCCCATCTCTGCCATCTGAGGAGGGCAAGGATGGCTTCGTTCCTTATTGCTACAGAGATTTCTGGGACTGTTCAACCAAGAGCTGCCATGCCTTTGGTGGTGGAGGATCCGGGAGCGGGTCACTGCGGAGGGCCCAGCTCTGCCGAGGAAGCTGCGTGTTCTCCCTGTGCTCCAGGGAGGGCGGCCAGTGGGGCGGGCAGCGGGGCTTGGCTGGGCGACTCCTGCTCAGCTTACTTTGAACAAACACAGTGACCTAAAGCAGAGCCGGGCGCTCCAATCTTTTCATCAGGAAAGATTTAATTTATTGGGAGCGCAGAGCCACAAATCATAGGCCTGGAGATTTATCGCCTCCAGGGGCAGAATTGACCACAGAGGGAAGGCAGCCTTCCCAGGCCCACCTGGCTCCTTTAATAAAGTTGAAAATGTAAAATATGCCCTGTCCCGCACCGGGCGCCTTGGGTCCCACGGCTGAGTTTATGGAGGAGGCAGCATGACCATCATCTCCTTACGGAGAACTCGGCAGGGGCCTCCTGGGCCAGGGCTCGTGTGCTTAGGGTTGCAGTGCTGGTTGGGGTGGCGGTGGGGAGAGTCGTACTCCGCGGGTGCCAAGGAGGTGCTGGGGCCCAGGAGGGGCCCCGAAGATCAGCCTTTGGAAGACCTGGAAGACGGGGAGGAAGAGCGCCAGCATTGTAGGCAGGGGAGCACTGGGGGAACTGGGATCAGCGTGGCCGTCGCGGGCGGGGACAGCACTGGGGGAACTGGGATCAGCGTGGCCGTCGCGGGCGGGGACAGCACTGGGGGAACTGGGATCAGCGTGGCCGTGGAGAGCGGGGACAGCACTGGGGGAACTGGGATCAGCGTGGCCGTGGAGAGCGGGGGGAGCACTGGGGGAACTGGGATCAGCGTGGCCGTGGAGAGCGGGGGGAGCACTGGGGGAACTGGGATCAGCGTGGCCTTCGTGGGCTTCACAATCAACAGAGCCCGCCCCTGCGCTCATGGAGCCTCCAGGCCCCGAGCTGGGCTCTTCACGATGTCTCGTCCCCGAAATCCTGGTGACCAGGCGTCAGAGGCTCTTCCTACTCCTGGCTCACGGGCAAGGATGCCAAGTCTCAGACTGGCAGAGGCCCCTTGTGCTGAGTCCCCAGAGCCTGCACACCCCCGCCCCCGGCTCCTCACTCTACCTCCTCAGGTCCCCAGCTGGTAACACTACCACTCACACACAAACCCCAACCCACCGGGGCTCAGTCACACACTGAAAGTCAGCCCCGACCCTGTGGGCAGAGCTGGGGGCAAGGAAGCCCCAGATGCCCCTCAAGTCCGTGGGAGCCCCCCATGCTGCCTGGGGCATTGAGATCTTTGTGGGGGGTAAGGGATCCCCTTTCCCAGCATTGCAGAGAGCATGGGCAGGCCTGTGATCAAAAGCGGCCCCTGCTGGACCTGGCGCCAAGGCCAGGAGGAGACAGAGCTGAGCTGGCCAAAGGGGCAGGGCTGCTCACCCCCATCCCAGGCTTGTCCCCCTCTGTAGCTGCCACAGCTCCATCCCTGAAAAAATGCCCCCAGTCCTCAGTGAAGAGCCGCAGAGCTGGAGGGACCCTCCTGGGGCCCCCTCCCCGTTCCTGGCTCTCCTGTCCGGGACAATGACATCCTTAGAAGATAAGCTAAGCCTGTGCCATTCAACCTCAATCCACCCGTCAGGCAGTGTCAGCTCCCGAGCCTCAGGGCTTCCCTCAAACTGCCACTTCCAGGGAGGACTGAGCAGGAGCAGGGGTGTTTTCCAGCAGGCACTGCGAGGGCTCAGGGCTGGGCCACAGGCCCCCCGGGAGGTTCCAGAGTCCGAAACTGGGGCCTGGAATCTCGGGACCTTGGACAGTCTGGCAAGGAAAGACAGACTCCCGAACCTCTTCAGCTGCAGCTGGGGAAACAGGCCGGGAGGGAAGGGATTCACTCAAAGCCACAGGGGAGGTAGTGAGCCCACAGAGGGCCCAGCCAGCCTCCAACAGACCACAGACCCAAGGGTCACCCTTGCCGGCTGGGATGGGTCCAGTGTACCCCAGACACCCCCCGGGGCCCCGTACATGGCTCCTTGTTCTTCCGCCCACCCTGCAGTAGGGACACGTCCACTGAAAGTCAGGCTGCCTCAGGAGGAGCCGCCTGCCCTTTGTCCTGCTTCCCAGGTGGGATGTTTGCTCCTTGCCGGAATCAGACAAAACGGTGAAGCCCTTTCTTTGGCCTGAGCTAAATTCTACAAAACAGCACCCCCTTGCAATGTGTGTTTTTGCATGTAAAATAAATAAATAAATTTTAAAAATAAGGCAGTGTCCCCCTAACCTCCATACCCCAGTGGTGCTTTCTTGCAAGTTTATCCAGCAACGCTGAGGGCAAACCTTTCCAACCCGGGACACATGTGACTCTGGGTCTCTCCAGGAGCGGGAAGTTCAGGCTGAGAACTTTCTTCAGCAGGGAAATCAGAGAAGTGGCCTCGGAGGAGAGAGGAGGTCAAGCAAGGTCTGGCAAGGAGCAGAAGTGTGTGTGCACAGACGTGTGTGAGCGTGCACACCTGTGTGCAGCGTTCATGTATGTGTGCACGCGTGTAACTGAGCACAACGTGGCCATGTGCGTGTGTCCCCACACTGGGTGGGCAGCCCCCTGCGTGAGCGCGTGTGTGCACACACAGCGTACTTGCCTGGTGTGTTCATGGATACCTGTGGGCAGCCTCACCTTCTTGGGGCCCTCCCGCATCAGGCCTGGTGCTCCGGGGTTCCAGAGCCCTGAGACCCCAGGGTTGGGATAACCTGGCAGCCCCTGCTCTGAGTCACCTGTGGGCCCCTGGGCAGACCAGGCCTCCCCATGCCCGGGGCCTCCCCAGTGCCCAGCTGCCCAGGCCCTGGCAGAACATGCAGCCCAGCCCCTGCCCGCAGCCCGCTCTCTCCCCTCACCAGAGGTTGCAGCTCTGGGACCACCCACTTGCCCAGCCCGTGCCCCCCCGCCCCCCAAGCACTCTACTTAATGTCTTTCTCATCAGGAGTTTTAAATTATAAGCCTAAATGAGGTCTATAAATTTGACTTCATAAAATCCCGTGCACATCATTTTCCAGCAGAAAAGACTCTGTAAGAAATATTTGCCATGCGACCCTCTGCACCCCCTCCCTGGGCAATAGAACATTTATTCTAATATTAAAATGGCAGGCGTTCTATAAATCGTGAGTCACCAACACTCTTCATTGATTTTCCTGTGGTCTCCAGCCCGGGGTAGGAGCCGTGTGAATATCTGTCTATTCGATTGAGATTCATACCCTATTTGGGGGTCAAAGAGCGAGACCTTGTGAGCTTGAACTATCAGCCCAAAGCTGATCAATACTTGGAGATATATTGGGGCCCGGCTGCTCACACAGATTAAGTGGCCATAAATACGAGGTGAGGGGGTACCTGGGCCCTCCAGAGGGAGGCAGGAGGCCTGGAGGGTCTGATCAGAATTGGAGGCTTCCCTGGGGGCCCCAAGGGGAGGGGTCACCTGAGGGGCTGGATCTGGCGTGGGGGAGCCAGGGGTGCAGGGCCGAGTGGTAGGGCAGGTTGAGGCGCTGCCTCCAGCCCTATGCAGGCCCTCCTGGCCCACCTTGACGGGCTCAGAGGTACGGGAGCCCAGAGGGATAGCCACCAAGGCCTGGGGAGGCTAGAAACAGCCGAGAGACCCTGGTCCTGGGCGGAGAGGGGCCTGGGATGCAGGAGCTGCCGCATCAGAGGGACCTTCTCACCTCCATTCGCCAGAACGTTCTGCAGGCTGGAAGGGCATACCAGGAGGGGTTTTAATCATTCAATTAGATGATTTTCATCACTAAATCACTTGTTTTAATCATTAAAAATGATTTAAATTTTACCCACGTTCTCTGCTTGGTTTCCGGGGCCTCGGAGGCCTGTCCTGTCCTCTCATAGAGAATGAGATCTTGATACTCTGTACAAGTTGATGCGATATCCTGATGCATTTCGGGGAACTCGGCATAAAACGAAGAAATTTGTGCAAAGGGGGCCGGGGGATGAGAGTAGAGACTGTCTGTGCTGGAGCCTGAACTGCACGGGAAGCAGCATCTTCAAGGTTCACATGTCCAGCTACAAGTTCATATGAGTAACAGACCAGGTAAATATTTGAGGTCAAAACCCTACCATGTTTTTGGCCGGGCGCGGTGGCTCACGCCTGTATTCCCGGCACTGTGGGAGGCCGAGGCAGGCGAATCACGAGGTCAGGAGATCAAGACCATCCCAGCTAACACGGTGAAACCCCATCTCTACTAAAAATACAAAAAATTAGCTGGGCGTGGTGATGGGCACCTGTAGTCCCAGCTATTCGGGAGGCTGAGGCAGGAGAATGGTGTGAATCTGGGAGGTGGAGCTTGCAGTGAGCCGAGATTGCACCACTGCACTCCAGCCTGGGCAACAGAGCGAGACTCCATCTCAAAAAAAAACAAAAACAAAAACAAAAAAAAACTTTACCATGTTAACAAAAGTATTTATTTGCTTGGGGAGGAAGGAAAGGAAGGAAGGAAGGAAGGAAGGAAGGAAGGAAGGAAGGAAGGAAGGAAGGAGGGAGGGAGGGAGGGGAGGAGGGAGGGAGGGAGGGAGGAAGGGAGGGAGGAAGGAGAGGGAGGGGAGGAGGGAAGGAAGGGAAGGAGGGAAGAAAGGAAGGAAGGGAAGGAGGGAAGGAAGGGAGAGAAGGAAGGAGGGAAGGAGGGAAGTAAGAAAGGAAGGAAGGAAAGAAGGAAGGCAGGCAGGCTTGCTCCTCTCTGGGCCTTGGCCTCCCGGCTTGTCCTCCTTCCTGGGGCTACTCCCCTGCAGAGGCCACCTCCTCCCTCTCCTGCACTAGACCCACCCTCACCCTCGGGGCCTCTCCTGATTCTGCCTTGGACTCCAGCTCATTCTGTTGGACCTCAGGACCCTTGAGGCAGGCCCAGGGGCTCCCTTCTCCCTGCGCCCTGCACAGCCCTGGGCTGGTGACATGGTTCATCCTACATTTTCTGAGCACCTATTGGATCCCGGTCCCAGGAAAGCATTAGGAAGTCTGCAGAAGCCGGCCCTGCCTCATCTGGGGCAGGAGGAGCCACAACCCCCAGGATGCGGGGTTTTATGAAGGACACTGTAGGGGCACAGCTCACAGGGCCCACCTCTCCTGGACGTGTACATAGGGGTCCCCAGCTCTGCAGGCACGCCCTAGCTGTACCCTTGGGGTGGGGTCCCTCTTCCCGCCTCCTCATAGATCACCCACCCCGACTGGCTGGAGGCCTGCCTGCCTGCCAGCCTCTGACATCATGCATGCAATCTATTAAGTTATTAGGGAGATAAATAATTTGAACTCTGGCCTTTTACCTTTTCCCCTGTGGGCGGCCACCCTGCACGGCACCTCGGGCCGCCCCGCCCAGAGGAGCAATTTCATTAGGAGTATCCGCGGCAGCTGGCAGAGGCCAACCGGTGAGGCCCGCGAGTGGAATTTCTTTATGGAGATGAGAAATAGGAATATGAAATTTTAAGCCTCAGCGGATGTAATTTAACTTTGCATTATTTATCGGGGACACAAATCCTTTCTAATATTGGCGGATTTGGGAGGCCAGGGCAGGGTCTTGGGGGCCTTAGGGAGCTGCCAAGGCACTGGCCGGGCACCCCTGCCTGCCCCCTCCAACCACCCGCAGCCAATAAAAAGCTGCTGGGAGAGTCAGGGGACCGAGGCGTGATGGGCGGGGGCTGCAGATGCCTGCCCGGGCTGAAGGGTGAGAAGGAAGGGCCCCAGCTGGTGGCAGGACAGGGGTCATTGCTGCCAAGGCTGGACAGCAGCCCCAGGCCCTGGAGAGGTGAGGCCCCAGCAGGTGCCCTGGGCTGGAGCCTGTGCCCAGGATGACTTGCTCAGGGCCACACGGGGCCCTGCTCTCCTGTGTGCCCAGCCCCAAGTAGGGACCCTAGTGCACCACGTCCACGGGCCTGGCCAGACCTCAAGGCACAAGTCAGCACTGGCCAGGGACCGGCCCGGGCAGGGGGAGCCGAAAGTAAACCCCTTGGAGACACATTAGTGTCCTGGGGCTGCTATCATAAAGTGCCGCCAGCTTGGCAGTTTACACAACGGAAAGGCATCCTGCCGGTGTCGGGGGGCCACAGTCTGAAATCAAGGTGGCCTGCTGGGGTGGCTGCCTCCAAGGGCTGGGGGAGAATCATCGTCCTGTCCCACGCCTCTCTCCCCGCTCCTGGTGGCTGCTGGCGTTTGCCCGTTGGCTTCCGCCACACCTGCCTCTGCCATCACTTGGCCTTCTGGTAACGCCTCCCATGTGCCTTTGGTCCAAATCCCCCTCTAAGAAGAGGAAATGCCTGGATCCGGGGCAAGGACAGTCTGAGAAGGATCTGCCTTGGATCAGGGCCCCCTACTCCAGCGTGGCCTCATCTCAACTTGCTCTCATCAACAAAGACCATATTTCCAGATAAGGCCATATTCACTGGGACAGGGGTTAGGACGTGGGCATATTTTTTTGAGGGACACAGTTCAACCCCTAACAGGAAGTGGGGGGCAGGAATGGGGGGCCTGTCATCTCACACCCACAGAACGCTCAGAGCACCCAATAGCCCAAGTGTGAAGTTGCATAAGAAAAATTTAATTTGTTGGCCGGGCGCGGGGTAGGTCACATCTGTAATCCCAGCACTTTGGGAGGCTAAGGCAGGTGGATCACCTGAGGTCAGGAGTTCGAGACCAGCCTGGCCAACATGATGAAACGTCTCTACTAAAAATACAAAAATTAGCTGGGCTTGGTGGTGCGCGTCTGTAGTCCCATCTACTCTGGAGGCTGAGGCAGGAGAATCGCTTGAACCCGGGAGGCAGAGGTTGCAGTGAGCCGAGATCACACCACTGCACTCCAGCCTGGGCGACAAGAGCGAAGCTTTATCTCAAAAATAAAAAAAAAAAGAAAGAAAAATGTAATTTGTTAACTATCAGTATTCCATGCTCTTGAATGTTTTTGTTTTTGTTTTTGCATAGAAAAGATTATTCAGCATAGTTATTTTGGTTTTTGAAATATTCAACTAATTTAAAACTGTAGCTGTTCGTTAAGCTTTTACGTTCAGTTTACAAATATGATTCCATTAGGAATCTTAGTAAATTTTAAAAACAATGTGAAGGAACTTCCACTACTCAATTAAATTTCCTTCAACATTTAAACTTAAAATTTGGTTTCCTGGCTGGGCGCGGTGGCTCACGCCCGTCATCCCCGCACTTTGGGAGGCCGAAGTGGGCGGATCACAAGTTCAGGAGATTGAGACCATCCTGGCCAACATGGTGAAACCCCGTCTCTACCAAAAATACAAAAATTAGCCGGGCATGGTGGCAGGTACCTGTAGTCCCAGCTACTTGGGAGGCTGAGGCAGGGGAATTGCTTGAACCCGGGAGGCGGAGGTTGCAGTGAGCCGAGATTGCGCCACTGCACTCCAGCCTGGCGACAGAGCAAGACTCCGTCTCAAAAAAAAAAAAAAATTGGCTTCCCTTTTAATTGCTTCAGTTGTTGGACATAAAGCAAACGTCTCATGAACATGGACCATTCTTTCATATCTTAAAAACACATTAAACTTGCAAACATGAAGACTCTTCAGCCCTCTTATATTTTCGATCTAGTTTACAAAGTTGATCATGGATTGACCTAACAGCTTAAGTCGATGAATTAACCATTTCCTTTTGGAATCGCAGCTAACTTCTGACTAACGGGCCAAGTTACTTTAACCAAGACAAAAACAGAAGAGAGCAAACAGGCAGGTTCCTTTACCCCAGATGCATCGACATTCCTAGAACCAGTTCTCCGTGTTGTTGAGTTCAATTACGCCTACTCCAAATGAAACAATGAGGAGTTGTTTTAGGGGGGACCATGTGGCCCCGACCCCCAGGCCAGACGCAGAGTTGCAGCCTGTAAGAAGTCAGAGCCTGTGCGAGGCCGGGCCGCCTCCTAACGCCACCTCCCCACTCGAGCTGCTGCTGCCTGAGCCCTGACCTCTGTCAACATCTCCCCCATCTGGAAAGCCTGACCCCCCACTCTGGTCAGCTCCCGGCCCCTCCTCACCCCTGCACGGCACTCGCCACTCCTGACGCTAGATGTCAGCTCGGTGGGAGCTCAGTGGAGGACAGGCCGAGTGCCCCAGCGTTCTGGGGGCAGCTGAGGTATTCCCGGGAACAGGAGGAAGGGGTGGCAGGGTCTCGCCGGCTGTCTCAGCTCCCCAGTCCCCCACAGCTGTCCCCATCGACCCCGGGCCCATTAACACCTCTTGTTGCTGCCCCACGACTGGGGGAGTCAAAGGAGATGGTTCCGTTTAAAAATCCCTCAAAGGGTTTGTTAAGGAACAGTGACAGGGGGCGGGTCTGGGCAGGCCTCGGGGGTCCGACCCTTCTAGACCCTCACGTAGTGCCTGCCTGCCTGGGGCCTGCACACAAAGGGACAGATGGATGGCCAGATGCAGGCATGGGGGCGCGGGCGGCAGGGATGGGCGTGGGGTTGGATGGTCCAGGCGGCCACCAGGGCCTGCCTTCTTCGCAGTGGCCGGCCACGTCCCTGGGCCACCCAGGCGGCACCTGCCCCTCAGGTGACTGAGCCCCACCTCCGGAGCCAGCTCCCCAGGCCCACTGGGTGCCCTCCCTGGCCCGCTGCCCGAGGGTGCCACAGGGCAGCCACACGCCTGCCTCAGGGTAGGAGGAGGGAACGGGGCCAATGGTGGAGGTGCCACCCAGGGCGGCTCCTGGGGTGGAGGGGACAGAGCGAGGGCCCCAGAGCCCAGAGGCGAGCTCTGCACAGCAGGAGGGCAAGTGGGCGCTGGCACCGCGCGGTGGCGGGCAGTGGCGCTGGAGCTGTGAATAGGATCGGTAGCAGCAATGGACAGCAGCTGCCGCTGTTCCAGCCGTTACTGCGGGAAACGGTTTTAGGCCTCAGCCTTTCCAAGCTTCCTCTCTTGATGGCTGGGACACACCACGTGGTTCTCCTCCTTCTCTGGGACTCGCCTCTTGCCCACCCCTCCTCCCCACCCCTCCACCCTAGCCCACACCCCCCTCCCAGGGCACCTCTTCACACTGCTGCTGTGCTTGGAGAGGTCACATTCAAAGCTGCCAAAACTTACTGTGTGACCCCAAATGCACCACTCCCCTTGGCCCCTCCCAGTCCCCCGTCCCACGATGGGTAAAAGGGGCTTCCTTCAGTTGTTCCCTCCCCGAGAGAGACCCCTCACTTTCTCTCAGTGCCCCCCAAAGCCGTCACAAGCTCATGACCACATCCACACACATCTCTACCTCCATGCCTAACCCCAGGCCCCGACCACCACCGCCTCCGCCAGGGACATCAGCTGGTCCCTAATCATATTGCTGCCCTGGACCGAGCCCCCCGAGGGGGGCAGGCAGCCCTCTGGGCAACCCAAGGGCCCCCACCCAGCTCTGGCTCAGCCTCTTTGGACCTGAGCTCTTCCCACATCCGCTCTCGCCGGGATGCCCTTCCCAGGTGGGGATGCCTCAGACCTCGTGGGAGCACGGCCTCTCCGGGAGCCTCCCTTGGCCACCGCTGCCACTGCAGCTCAGCTCCTTCCTGACCTCTGACACTGGAAGGGACCCTGCTGCCTCGTTCAAGGTCAATCCCCAGGCTGGGAACAGCATTTGCTCCCTTAACCCTAAGGACAGGCCCACGAGATAAATGTATTCCCGACCCCACACTGCAGGTGAGAGAATGGGGCTTCAGAGAGTTCTGGTGCTGATGGAAGCCAGTTAGCTGCTCTGCGGTGCATCCATAAACCATGAGGGCTCCAGGCCCACTCGACTGTCCCGGAAACGGGCGTGGAGACAGTGTTTCAGAGGGAAACTTTTCTCAGGTCCTCCAAGCTGACCTCAGCCGTCTTTATTATAATTTCAATATGTGAAAATCAGAATGCAGGTGAACATCCCCGGGCCTGTGGCCTTCGGTAATGATAAAATCAAAACAGCTTTGGCTAAAATTCAGAACACTGCATTCCAACTAACCGTTCATTTCAGTGACAAGAAGGCTCCTTCCTCCGTCAACCGTGTCATTGCCGCACCCAAGAAGTCCATGCCCGTCGCGCTGTCCAGCGTCCAGCCCACCCTCATTGCCACCTGGGAGCTGTAGGAACCCTGGGTACCGGGCCTCAAACCTGGGGTTCTTGGCACCTGGGAGCTGTAGGAACCCCAGGTACCAGGTCTCAAACCTGGGGCTCTTGGGGGAGGGTCCCCACCGCCACGCGATTTGTTTCTAGCCCCTCAAGTGGTTCTAAACGCACAGGCAGGGTCAGCTCCAAAACACAAAATTTTAAAGATTCTGGCAAAGCACGCAGGATGCGCTGAGAACGATGGCCCCTTCGCTGCAGCGTGAGAAACTCAACGTCACCCAACCAGGACAGGGAGGGAGGAAGACCGGGGGCCGGGGAGAGCCACAGTGGCGACCGTGAACAGGGTCCCCACATGCTCAGAGGCCCCCTCAGCGACAGGGAGGATTACAGATGGGAAGGGGGAGTGGCCTGGGCACGGGAACATTCTAGAAATGAAGAAGAAGGCTGCAATGTGAAGAGTCCTCCCCGAGGGGTTGCTCCTTTGGTCAGGGAGGTGCCCCTGGGGAGGGGAGATGCTGATTCCCTGGGGTGAGTCCTGGGCCACCGTCCAGACTCTAGGCTGTGTGCGTCTCGGTCTGTGTGTGTGCTGGTGGGGGACTCGTGAGCCCAGGTGCTGCCAACATGGCCCTGTTGGCCTGACGAGCTGCCCCTACTCCGTCCAGCTTGGACGTGGACCATGACTGCCCAGTAGAAACAATGAGAGAGGCCTAAAGGGCCAGCCCGACCTCAGAAAGCTCTGCCACCCCAACTCTGGAGGGTCACCAATGGCCCGGGAAATGGTCATAGTGTGACAATCAAGCCAAGAAGTAGGTTTCAAGGACGTACATCTCGGCCGGGCGCAATGGCTCACGCCTGGAATCCCAGCACTTTTGGAGGCTGAGGCAGGAGGATCACTTGAGGCCAGAAGTTCGAAATTGGCCTGGGCAACATCATGAGTCCCTGTCTCTCCAAAACGTTTAAAACATGAGCTGGGTGTGGTGTCGTGTGCCTGTGGTTGCAGCTACTGGAGGGAAGGAGGGGCTGAACTGGGAGGGTGGCTGAGGCTGGGAAGTGGAGGCTGCAGTGTTTTGCACTTAAGCCTGGGTGACAAAGGACCCTGTCTCAAAACAAAGCAATACATCTCCTAGAAACCCAACCCTGGGGCCGGGGGCGGGGCGTGGTATTTCCTGCCTGTAATCCCAACACTTTGAGAGGTAAAGCAGGAGGATTGCTTGAAGCCAGGAGTTAGACACCAGCCGGGGCACCAAAGGAACACCCCGTCTCTACCCCCGCCCAAAAAAAAAAAAAAAAAAAAGCCAGATGTGGTTCCAGCTGTGGTTGCTGAAGTCCCAGTGACTCAGGAGGCTGAGGCAGGAGTTTCACTTGAGTCCAGGAGTTGGAGGCTGCAGTGAGCTATGATGGCACCACCGCACCCCAGCCTGGGCAACTGAGTGAAACCTTGTCTCAAAATAAGTAAATAAAAATAAAATTTTGGGCCGGGTTCGGTGACTCACACCTGTAATCCCAGCACTTTGGGAGGCTGGGGGGTGGGGGTGGGGGCGGATCACGAGGTCAGGAGTTCAAGACCAGCCTGGCCAAGATGGTGAAACCCCGTCTCTACTAAAAACTACAAAAATTAGCCGGGCGCGGTGGCAGGCGCCTGTAAATCTCAGCTACTCAGGAGGCCTTAGTAAGGCAGGAGAATCGCTTGAACCCAGGCGGCAGAGGTTGCAGTGAGCCGAGATCACGCCACTGCACTCCAGCAAGGGGGGCAGAGCCAGACTCTGTCTCAAAATAAAATAAAATAAAAAATTATTTTTTAATTAAAAAGATAAACCCACCTGGGGCAAAATGTGCATGTGTACCGTGTAGGAAAACCCTGGAAGGAGCAGCAGCAAAATGGGGTCTGGATAGAGGACCTGTGGGGCCGCGTCGGGGTTCTGTTTTCCAAATTCTCCACAATGAGCATATGTTACTTTCGTAACAAAAAATCAGCCATGCGCGTGAGTTTATACACGCTGAGCGAGGCCAGCCTGGCCCCTGGGAGATGGGACTGGAGGAACCCAGTGGCCACCCGGGTCTCTCTGCCCCGAGCCCTGGTGGGGAAGGAGGCAGCCCCTGCCAGCCACGCTGCCTTTCAAATGCCCGGTGGGGTCAGGGCTCGGTGTGCTCACTGGCGACATCATCTCTGCAGGCGGTGGCCTCTCCACACACCCTGGCTGCAGAGGTCCCAGGCCTGAATGTCTCAGCCCCCCGAGAGCCTTGCCACAGCCAGCCCAGCCCTCCCTCGGTTCTGAGACCATGTTACCTGAAAGACTGGGGGGACCCCGCCTGTCCGTGTTCTGACACCAGCCTGGGCGGCAGGAAAGGCGCCCACCCGCCCATAAAACTCCCAGCTGCCTTATCCATCTCCACCACAATCCCAATCCCACCGCCATCAAGTTTCACTTTAACTAATGGGACACTTAGTTTAATGAGGAGAGTTTGCGTAAGAGGAGCCTGCTAATTAAATTTTAAACCTTGTCATTCCGAGGATTACTGAGCTCTGAACAAAGCGTTTGCCAGGGAGAGGAGCGAGCCCCACCCTAGCAGAGGCCTGGAGCTCCCTGGTGTCAGCTGCTCTCTGCCCTGCAGGACGCATTGGGCGTCTCGGGCACAAACCACAGAGGGGCCTCTGGCTGCCACAGCCAAAAAGGAGCTTTCGTCAGGCCTAGGAGTCTCAGGGCCCTAGATCCCCAGGCAGCCCCCAGGAGGGGCCTGGCTCTGGGGCCTTTGCCCTGAAGAGGCGACTTCAAGGGCCCTCCGGCCACACCCTTCCAGGGTGCCAGACCTGGGGGGCAGGATTGCTGTCTCCCAGGGTCAGACCCGGGGGAGTAAGTGCTGTAAGGAACCGCCTGAGGTGGGGCTCCCGGAGGACCCACCGCCCTTTCTGCCGTCCTCCCCCTCCCCCTCCCCCTGCCTCATCCCAGGGTCAGCCCTCTCGGGCTCAGAGCAGGTGGCGGCTGGCTGGTCCCACCACCCCGTCCTCTGGGAGACCTAGCTGAGCCTTCAAGAGTGGCCATCCCTAACGCTCAGCCACCCTCCATATCTCCTAATGCTCAGCCACCCACCATATCTCCTAACGCTCAGCCACCCACCATATCTGCAGCCAGCATTGTTCCCCAAGCAGAGGAAGAAAATGGGGAGGGTGGCATGAGTCATGGTGTCACCCCTAGAACATCACAGGTCTCAACCTCTGACCTCTCTGAAGGTCTGACAAAGCCGGCGGTCAGGGTGGGCCAGCCTGAGGACCAAGCTCTTGCAGAGCTTTTGGCTGAGGACAGGACAGAGCCACTCTATAAATGACCACCAGGCACAGGCAGTCAGTGGGTTTGGGGGGCACTGGAGAAGCACATGCCTGCTGGGCCCCAAGGACCCCAGTTCCCTGCCCACCTGTCTGGGCTCTCCCAAGTGAAGGCAAACCTGTGGAGACGCAAGCCTTCCAGGGAAGCCCTGGGGCTGCAGGAGGTGGGTAAGGACATCCTGTCCGACACAGGCCAGCCGTGATCAGGTGCTGGGCACAGACACGCTGCTGCCCACGGCCCAGCCCTATGCACAGGCCAAACCCGTGTGGTTGACCTGTGCAGGAGAGGCTAGCGGGGCTCAGTCCTGCTGCCCTGGGCCAAGACTCTTCAGAGGGGTGAGGTGGGGAGCGGCTCCCAGAGATGGCAGCTTTTGGAGCCAGGTGGGACGTGGCCCGCACCAGGCTAACCACAAGACTTCCCGTCTGCCTCTCCCACTGGGAGGCAGGCTCATCCTCCAGGGCGGCCTGGGAGGGAGTAATTTTAATTTTAATTGAGGTAAAGTTCACATCACGTAAAATGAACCACTTTAAAGTGTGCCCTGTGCAACCATCGCCACGGTCTAGTTCCAATCCAACCACCACCTCCCGCACTTACGCTCTGGGAGAGCGTGGGGGATGTTTGTGTGTGTACCGTGCAGTGGGTGTGTGACCTCTTGGAGAGCGATGAGCGTGTGGATGAGCAGATGTGGGTGTGCAGGTCGGAGTGGGTGTGCCCTTTACCCACCCATCCCAGGCTTTGCCTCCTCAAGCCCCATGGTAACCCTGGGAAGGAGATTGTACTTGCTCTTCACAGACTCAGAGAGGCTGAGCGGCTTGTCCACGGTCACACAGTGTGGCCAGTGAGTAGCATGGATAAGAAGGATGAGGAGCCAGTTCTCCCGAGCCAGTGCTCTGGGGCCTTTTCTGCCCAGGGCATCCCACCGTGGCTCCCCGGCTCCTGGACCCACCCAGCCCCGACGATGTGACCTGGGGGACCCCAGCCCTCCTGAGATGGCACCCCAGGATGGTGTAGGGGGAAGTGTGTGGAATTGGGTTTGGAGGGCTGTGCGGCATCTGGGGCCTGTGGCTCCCAGGCAGGGCCGCCCCCCACAGCACTGCAGCCTCTCACGCGCACGTGCAGGGCAGACTCTGCCCGGGGGCTGCAGAATCAGGAGTCTTCTCCTAGGTTTGGCCTTGGGCTCCATCCTACACCCTGAATGTGACAGCTGCGTCTTCGTCTCACACCTACTTTTGAATGCCAAGAGGGGGCTCCGCTGGCCAGGACAGAATATTTTTATGGTAAAAAATGACCGGCAGTTGCATCAGCTCCAGGAGGGTGGGAGCCGTCACCCGAGGTCGCACAGGCAGACTGATGAAAATTCTGCTTATAAAGTCACTGCTCCCCCATTAATTAGGGGGGAGGGGGCGCTCCGGAGCCACCACGCACCTCGCCCACGGCCAAAAGCTTGTCAACATTTTCCACGAAGGATGAAAATGTAAATAACTTTCAGATTATTCAATGTCACCAAGGTATGGAAAAAGGTCGCCATACTGGGTGTCATTTATCTCGTTGTGGATTTAAAGAGCTTTTTTCTATTAAATTTCTTAAAATTAATGTTTTATGTTGCTCAGAGTAATTTAAACAATTATGGGCTTAAAGAATTGATCATTACAGCCCCTGGGATTTAGCGCTGCAGGCTGATTCCCCTGAAAAACCTCTGATTTATCAGGGCTGCTACTCGGCCAGGCAAGCCCGGGGATTTGGGCCCCCACCCGCTCCTGTCCACCCTTGGGGAGGGGGGCTGGACCTGCCGGCAGATGGTGAGGAGGGAGAGGAGGGGAGGGCAGGGGGTGTCCCTGCTCTTAGGGAGAGGGAGGGGTGCCTCTGTGACTTCTAAGGCATCCCCTGATTCGGGAAGGTCCTTCGGGCTAAAAGCAGCTCTTCGTATGAATTTCATATTTAAGAGAAAATAATCCCTTTTAATGTGCTGGTTGAAATTACTTTATTATTCAGATATTTAAGTTGGATGATGTAATACAGTTGCCAGATTCAAAGTTAGCAAGCTCCTCCCCCGTCCCGCCAAGGGGACGCCACCCAGAGCCCTGTGCCACCCCCAGCCCCGCCCCCGCTGCAAGGGGGATGGGGTCCTGGGCAAGGGTCGGTCCTCTCTGGTCAGCGACCCCGCTGCCTCTCGGGTCGGGACCCCAACGAGCGGGAAAAAAAAAAAAAGACAGAACGCGTGCCGGGGAGTATGACCCCGGCCCCGGCTCCCTGCACCCCGGGCTGCGCAGAGCCCTCGCCCTCCGGGTTCCCTCTGCCAGCGACGCCAGCAGAGCCGGGCAGGTCCCATCTCGGGGTCTCCCCGCGCCCGGACGACCCCTCTCCCACTGCGGCCCCGGCCCTGCCTCACCCGCCGCCCCACCAGGGTCCGAGACCGGGAGACCCCAGCCGCGGGGGGGGGGGGACATCAGCCTTCGACCTGCCCCCGCACCTCCCGCTCCGCGGGGAGACTGGGCGCCAGGAACCCCGAATTCGGGGCTGACAACCCGCAGGCGCGCGGCTAAAGCTTCCACCGTCCGCGAGAAGGCGTCTCCACCCTGGAAGGAAGGGGGCTCGGACCCAGGGAGGATGAGGGGTCCGCCTTCTCCTTCCCCTCACCTCGCTGCAGCCCAGAGCCCGCAGACAGCCCCGCGGCCCAAGGTCTCTCTCCGCCCGAGGTCTGCAGCTCTGGCTGGGCGTCCCCCGGCCTGGCGGGGGTCCGGGTGGGGGCCGCGGCCCGAAGTCTGATTCTGGGTTCGCCCTCGCGGGTACGGAGCAGGAGCCGGAGGAGGTCGGAGCCCGCGTTTCTGTCCCTGGGGCGCGGGGAGGTCACAGGGCTCCCCCCAGGCCCGCGCGGGGCGGAACCGGGTACGGCCAGAGCGGCGCGCGCTGCGCTCCGATCGGGAACCGGAGGCCGGCGAGGTCACGCAGACGCGCTCTCCAGGGCACCGCGGGTCTCCCATCGCCGAGGCCGCCTCCGCAGGCCCCGCTCCCCTCCCCGCGGCGGCCAGGGCGGTGTCGGGGGCGGCCACGGGCTCCGGGATTATCGACGCGCCGCCAGCTGGAGCGGGCGCGGGCGGGGTCCCCGCGGGAACAGTCGGCACTTTATTAACCTGTCAGCGCCTAAAAGGTCCCGGGCGGCCTGGGGGAGGGGCCGGAGGCCGGGGCGGGGTGGGGGCGCGGCTGGGGGATTTGCGCCCCCTCCTCGGGGCTGCCCCCCGCCAGCCCGCGCTGCACCCCGGCGGCCGCGCCCCCTCCCTAAATTCCGCCTTCGACCTGGGCCCGGAGCCGCTTTCCCCGCGGGCTGCCCGTTGCCCCCGGAGAGTTCGGGGTCGTCCCTCCAGCGCCCGTCCCTGGCCGCGGGGCCGCTGGCTGGAGTCTCTGCCCTGGGGACACCGACTCCGCAGGCCGGCCCCGAACCTCGCACTTTCCCGCCGGCGCGCCTTTGCCCGCACTGGTCGCCGTCGCCACGCGCCATCCTCGCGTCCAACCCCATCTGCTTCCACGCTCGGCTCCAGTGTTGCCGCCATTCCCAGTGGCCGTCGGGGCCCTTCTCCCCTCCCGGGACCGCCCTGGTGATCCGCGCGTCTCTGCGCTTCCCAGGGGTGCTCGGTGCCTCCTTAGACACAGCGTGGCTGCCAGAGCCTGGGGGTCGAAGGCCATGCGCCACAGGGAGGGAGGGAGGGCGGGTGGGGCTTGGGAGGACCCGACAGAAACCCCGTTGACCGCCTGGTCAGCACCCCTCCTTCCCCACAGCGGGGGTTGGGGGGTGGGGGGACCCAGGCCAGGACAGGTCCTTTCCTCCTCTGGGCCTCAGTCTCCCCACAGGCAGAGGCCGCTGGGCGGAGCACAGCCAATTCTAGAAATGTTCATGGAATGAACAGGTCCAGGAGCCTGCCAGAGCCCCTGCCCGGTTTAGCCCTGCAGACCTGGGGTCTGTGGGCGCCTAGAGGTCAGCAGAGGTCAGGGTCAGGGCAGACTGGACATCAGACCTTCTCCCGGTGATGTTCCTCAGAGGTCCTTTGCCCCAGCCCCATCACTCCCAGTCCCCAGGGTTGCCCAAGCCTGCATGGCTGAGGACAGTCTCCCGCTCTTTTCTCCCAAGCTGCCCTCCCCTCTTCCCCCTCTTCCCTCCCCTTCCCCTTCTTCCCTCCTCTCTCCTCCCTCCCCACTCTTCCCTCCCCTCCCCTTCTCCATCTTCCCTCCCCTCTCCTCCCTTCCCTCCCCTTTCCTGGGCCTTAGCTTTCTCTTCTGTGAGATTGAGAGGAGAGGCCGCTGTGGGACTCAGAAGAGGATGTGCCTGACACACATCCCGAAACGATGAAAAGGACGTCCCTTAAAAGACAACTGTTCCCTTGGCCAGGTGCGGTGGCTCACACCTGTAATCCCAGCACTTTTGGAGGCCAAGGCGGGTGGATCACCTGAGGTCAGGAGTTCGAGGCTAGCCTGGCCAACATGGTGAAACCTTGTCTCTACTAAAAATACAAAACTGGGAATGGTGCTGCGCGCCTGTAATCCCAGCTACTTGGGAGGCTGAGGCAAGAGAATCGCTTGAACCCAGGAGGCGGAGGTTGTGGTGAGCGGAGATCACGCCATTGCACTCCAGCCTGGGCAACAAGAGCAAAACTCCATTTAAAAAAAAACCACACAACTGGTCCCAACCAGTTCCCCCCAAAAGATGGCTGGTCCTGGAGAGACTTGGAAGTCTGCAGCTCAGAGCAGCTTCCCTTGGCCACATTCTGGAGGGGCCTCCGCACCCTTACTGGGGGAACTGAGGCCAGTGCAAAGGTCCCCATGAAAGGCATGGGGACTCCTCCACCTTCCCTCCCCGTCCACTGAGAAATAGGGAGCCCAGGCTCCAAGGGGCCTCCTCCCTCCAGCCCCCACTCTGCTCCAGGGAGACCCCCTCAGAGGAAGAGACCCTCAGGGAGGAGGCCCAGCCCTCCTTCCTGCAGGAGGGAAGGCCGAGGTGGAAGGGCCAACCCTGCCTGCTTCTACCACTGCCCCTATAGGAGCACTTACCTGGGGGTGGGGGTGGGGCGCATACAACTTCTTTCTGCCCTCTGAGGGGACTGTCATCACTGTCTTCTCTTTACGGCGGCGGCGGGGTTGGGGGGGTTGGGGGGTGGGGACGGGGAAGCAGGGCTCAGAGGGTTCCAGCCCCCAGCCCAGGGTCACACAGCAAGTTAGAAGAGCCAGGATTGGAATCCAAGCTGGAGAGACTTCCATGACCATGAGCCTGGTCACCCTACCAGCCTATGTCCTGGGGTTGGTGCCAGCTGCAAGCTGTGAATGGCACACACGGCCCACCTCCCACCCCCATCATGCTCTCTGGACATCCCAACCCCTGCCTCTCCCAGGGACAGGGTGTGGAGACCGCAACCCCTCCCCTCCATCAGGAAGGGATGGGCTGTTCCCCCCACCTCCTTCCAGTGCTCATGAGCATGGCCAAGATCCAGGGATAAAGAGAGCCCAAATTCATACTAGGTGCCAGCCCAAGCAACGAACTAGGGGGACTCAGGGCCCCTCCAGGGCTGCCTCTCAACATTCACAGAATGTTCCCCACACCCAACACTCCCCAACCCCCGCAGCCTCAAAAAAACGCGGGCCTTCCATTGACTGTAACTGACAAATTTATTGAAGTCTTGGAAAGAGCTGATCACCCGAGAATAAATAAAAGACACAGAACATTCACAGAACCAATAGGTAGCTCGAGATTCAGGTTTGCGGGAGTGACTTTGACTTACACACAGGCCAGCCTTTGTGTCTGGGGCACGCACAGCTGCGGGCATCTCCCAGAAACTTCTTCCCAAAGGATCTGATGGAGGAGGCAGGGCAGGCTCAGAGGAGCCCCACCCTTCTCCAGCGGGGAGACTTCCCAATCTGGGGCTGGCAGAGCCGGCTCCGGCAGGGAGGGCAGGCTGTTTGGCAACAGACATCTGTGGGTGCAGCCTGGACACCAAGGGCCTGGGGTGGGGTGAGGAGGAGACCCTGAGGGGCTTAGAGAATTGAGCTTGGAGAGAAGGGGCGCCAGGCATTTTTGCCTCCTCCACAGGATACTCGAGAACAGAATGATCTAGAGACCTGGGGATTGGGGAAAGCTTCTCCCGGGGAAGGTGGGGCTGGAGGCAGAGAGGCCCCCTGTGGTCTGGGGAGAGGAGGGGGCCTCTCCCGGAGGACACAGGTGTGTCCCCGCCTCTGCAGCCTCTTGCCTCGACAGGCAAGGCCAATCTCCGACCTAAAGAGGGAGCCTCGGGGTGACGGCTCCAAGACACATGGAGCCTGGGAAGTGAAAGCACAATTATGATGATTTCTCAGTTTTAGAGATGAAAGCGTTTTTCCAGCCCTCGGGCTATGCTGGGCTGGGCTGGGCCTCAGCAAGGTGACATTTCATGTCTAGAAATAGCAGCAAGTGCTCAGTTAATTGGTCAATAAAGGGGAGAAATTTGCTTACAAAAAAGGCTGGCTTGCTGGGAGGCCACCTGGCGGGCCAGCCCTGTGTCAGAGGAGGGGCCAGGTGGGTCCCTCAGCCCCCAGAGAGGGAGCTGTGCGGTCGGCAGTGGGAGGCTCCGAAGGCACCAGCCCTCCCTTGACGCCCTGGCCCCACTTCCTCGGAAACCCCAGCAGCCCCGAGCCGCCCACCCAGGGGCAGCTCCCTCGTGTGAGGTGCAGGGTGGAGCCGGGCCTGGGTCAGAACTGAGCGTGGTCTACCTCATCCAGCCAGGAGGCGGGGCTGGCAGGGAAGTCGGGGTAACCCCCGCTGCTCCCCGTGGATAGGTCAGAACTGGGTCCGTTCCCTGCCAGCACCCTCATGGGTGGGGGCCCGCCGGGGGCTCCCGAGGGCACAAGGCCCAAGCTGGTGTCTGGGTACACCAGGCTGGAGAGGAGGGGCTGGGGGCCAGGGAGGCTCTGCGGGGCGGCGGGGGATGGGGGGACACCGTAGGGGCTGCCGGGACGCAGCTCTCGGTACTGCTCTGGGCCTGCCAGGCCTCCATGCTCCAGGGAGAAGTTGCCCAGGGCTCCCGAGGGCCGGCCCAAGGCCTGGGTGGGTTCCCCCAAGCTCCCGTAGAGGCCATTGGCCGGGCCCATTTCCGCCAAGGAAGGCTCATCTGCAACAGAAGCAGAGGCTCAGTCAGCGCCTGCCCTCCACCTGCGGCCCCTCAGAGTCCCATCCTGCAGGCGGAGGCACCCCTGGGTCGGAGAAAGAGTGGCTGCCCCACACCACATGACAGGTCATAACAGGCCCCTTCTACTGTTGGAGCATGGCTGCCCCTGCCCCTCCACTGCCCTCACCCCTGAGTCAGCCCAGGTGTCTCAGGCCTGGTGGGATCAGAGTCAGGAACAGCCCAGCCAGGGCCCAGGCTTTCAGGACCAGCCCCACAGCAGCCTAGGAAGGGGGCACAGATACCACCACCCACATTTTGCAGACAAGGATATTTAGTTCCAGAGTGGCTGAGTGAGTAGCCCGGGTCACGAGGCAGCCCAAAAGAGAGTGTCTTGTCCACATTCTGAGGATGGGCATCAACAGATGGGGACGCAGCATCCCCGGTGCCCGGAGAATGAAATAAATAATCCAGGCCCCACAGAAGGGTATGGAACCTTCTCTCCCTGACCCCAGGTAGCCCCCTCCCCCAACTCCAAGCAGCTGGGACTTCGACTCAGTCTTTCCCGAAATGCACTGCCCATTCTCCTAAAAATCACTGCAAGGGCTAGGAGCCAGAGAGACGGCCTGGACACGCCCACCCCCCCATGAGAAAGCCCGTAGGCGCCCAGCTTGGGGACAGGTCGGGCCACAGGGATTGTGTCCCCACCAGGGGAAAAGCAGTGGTCCGGAGTGGCCACCCAGGGCGGGGAGGGTGCTGGGGGAGCAGGTTCTGTAAGTGAAATGCTTTTGAAAGTAGAACTTAAGGAGTCCACTAACTCCATGGGAAATTCAGATCCGCGGGCTCCCTGGGACCCCTGCGACCCCGCCGACGCGCGCTCGTCCCCCCCCGAGCTCCGCGATCCCTCCGCCTACCGGGGAAGGAGACCTCAGCGTCGCTGTCCTGCCCCTCCTGAACGCTGTCCTTGTCCGACTTGGAGCCGCCGCGGGAGCGCTTCATGTTGCGGAAATACTGCCCCCAGCGCTGCCGGCCGGCGTCCTTCTTCAGCCTCTTCTCCTTGGCCCGGCGGTTCTGGAACCAAACCTGGGGGCGGGGCGGGGTGAGCGGCCGCCCGGCTCTGCGGGGGCCCCCAAGGCCGCGGGCGGGAGGGAAGCAGGGGCGAGCGCTGACCTGCACCACGCGCATGTCCAGGCCCGTCTCGGACGAGAGCTGCTCGCGCACGTGGCGCGCCGGCTTGGGCGAGGTGTTGTAAGCGCTCTTCAGCGTCTCCAGCTGCTTGGCGGTGATGGTCGTGCGCGGCCGCTTGGCCGTGGCCTCGGCCTCTGCGCGGCGGGCGAGCGGTGAGGCGCGGCAGCCCCTCCGGCCCCGGCCGGACCCCCAGCCCTCCCACCCCGGCCGGCGCGGGGACGTCGGGGCCTCAGGTGCCCACCCCCATCCCGCCCCACAGGCTTCTCGGAAGGCGCGGGCGCTGGGAGCGATTGGCAAAAACGGGCAGCACCCGGGCTGGGGTGGAGGGGGCGCCGGCGGAGGGCGGGTTCTGCCGCGGGGGCGGGGGCGGCGCCTTCCCTAAAATCGCACCTCCACGGCGCCCCCGCCTTCAGCCTTGGCTCCCTTCTCCAAGCACCCTGATTTCCCCGCGGGCTCCCCTTTATTCTAAGGGTGTGGGTATGGCCCAGCCTTCGCGGCCAAGAATTTAGGGCGATAATTCCGACCAGGGGCGAAAAGCCGCACACTTCGGACCGAACGAAGCGGTTCGGGACGCGGGTCTGTCCGTGACTCCGCCGTTCCCGGCCTCGGCTTCCTGCTGCCTACACCGCCCTAGCCCAGGCCCCCTTAGTGAGCGCTTGGGGAGAGAATTTCCCCGGACGCCCCCCTGGGCGTGGCCTCAGCCCCATTTTTTTCAGACCAGGAAAGGTGGGAGCGTCGTCCCCTCGGCTGACCTCGCTGCTTGGCGGTTTCGTAGTCCGCCTTGCACACGAGCCGGCTGTCCTCCATGAGGTAGAACTCGTCGCCCGTGGCCAGCTGCCGCTTGCACACGACGCAGGCAAAGCAGTGCAGGTGGTACACGAAGTCCTGGGCGCGGCGCACCACCTGCGTGGGCGGGATGCCCAGCTGGCACGCGGCGCACTTGGTCCCGAAGCGCCTGCGGGACGCACAGGGCCGGGCTCAGCGCGGAAGCGCGAGGCTCATTTCGCCCCGAGCGGGTTGGAGAGAGGCAAGCGGCTGCCTGGGAAGGCGGCCCCGGAGGAAGGCTCTGTCCGGCCCTGCAGGGTGGTCGCCAGCCTGGCCGCCGGGGCAGAGCTGCCCACTCCCACTGAGAAGGGAACCTCAATCTCAGAAAGACCTCGGGGAGCCCAGCCGCCATTGCCTGCAGGACCCATGCTGGATCTGGGAAGGTGAATCCGGAGGGAGAGGACCCATCTGGGGCCAGTCCCTCACACCCCACAGCTGGAGCCATGAAGGCCACTGGGCCAGAGCCGCTGGGTGCCAGCATTAGGAACTAAAACATCACCAATTTCGGAGGAACTAAGTCCAGTAGAATCCTACAAATAGGGGTGTATCTTCTCTAATGACTGCTTCTGTGATTTAGGTAATAAATTGCTTTTTTTTCCAAATAATACTTGCTGATGTCCCAGCCAGGCCCAGCCACCCAGGGAGCACCCATGGAGAGGCCCCACCCTTAATTTGGCCAGGCCACAGGGTGCCCTGCCTGGGTGACAGGAGTGGGCTGGGATTGCGAGAGACGCAGGCTTCGAGGGCCTGGCCTTGGTGATTGTGAGGGGAGGAGTCCCTGGGGCAGGCGTGCCCTCCGCTCCCACACTGAGGTGAGGTTTCGGGGCTCACTTGAAAAAGTCGTCCTTGCAGTAAACGCTCTCCCCTCGGCTGAAGCAGCGCTCGGCCAGTGGCGTGTGGCAGTCGCTGCACTTGAGACACTTGCTGTGCCAGTGGCGGTCCAGAGCCTTGAGGATGAAGCGGTCCAGGATGTGCTGGTCACAGCCAGCGCACAGCGGGATCTCTGTGGGCACGAGGAAGTTCTGGGTCACCTCGTAGACCAGGAGGCAGTGAAGCCACCTTCCCACCCCAACGCGAGCCAGTCTCCCCTCCGGCCCACAGGACTCAGGGCTGCCGAGGGGTCCTCCTTTCCCTACACACCCTCTTCCCCAGCCAGCTTAAGTGGCCCCGCAAGTTCCGGGAGTGTGCAGGCACCGCATCCTATGTCAGGAGCTAAGGGGAAACTGACATCGGTCTAAAAATGTGTGTGAGCAAGAAAGCAGCCCAGGCCATTTCACGAGGCTGAATACTCAATTACAAAATGTTGCCAGTGCCAAGAAGGGTGCATGTGGAGCTCAAATGAAAACCCCACCCCAGGGGGATCTGCTCTCTGAAGCCCGGCAGGAAACATAGGGAAACGGGTCTTCACCATCACCTGGAGCTGGGGCACCCCATCGGGTCTCCTTCATGTTAAGCGTCATGGCCACTCTTTCTAGGGACTCCTCGCAAATGTGGCTGCCCTGCCTGGTGGCCCTGTCTGCAGGCCTCCGGGGTAAATATCAATGCCTTCCCCATCATTGGGCAGCCGCAAAATTACTTATGAGTGGACTGGACAAGCCGATCCACTGCCTTTGTGTCAGGCGTGGGTGCCCCCAACACCGTCAGAGTTACTCAAACGTCTGGCTTCCCGCTGCTTCTGCCCCCCACACCCCACTTCGGTACTGCAGGCCCCCTGGAGGAACCACACTGGGGAGGTCCAAGGGTGCCCTGTGGGAGCCTCGAGTCTGTGAGCGGGTTTTCCAGGTGTCAAGGGCTGAGGACTCCCTCTTCACTTAGAAAAAGTCTCTGGAAGAGAGGAGTGCCCGCTGAAGGGACCGGGATTTACTGACATATTGCACCCGCCTCCCTGGCTGTGGACCCCGCCGGCTCCAGCCCATCTCCCAGTGGGTGAGAGACACCAGGAAGGGGCTCCCTCGACCTCCGGCGGAAAAAACTGGGCTGCGCCTCCCCACGCAGTGGCGGGAAACCGGCGATGAATGCGCCCCGCATCCGGCAAAACCGCAGCTCCGGGTGCGGAGCGTCGAGGACCCGCTGCGCGCCCGGGGTCCCCATCGTGGGCAGCGATCGCAGGCGAGGACCCGGCTCGGAGCGGGGCGGCCCGACAGGCCGACACAGCGCGGATTCAGCACCGCGGACCGGACAGCGCCTCGGCCGCAGCTCGCCGCCGGCGCCCGCGTCGGGCAAAAGCCGCCCCAGCCCACCCCGCGCCGCGCCCGCGACCCCAGCCTTACGCTGCATGGCGACTCCAGCCCTGGCGGGGGCTCCTGTGTCAGGGATGGCGGGGTCGGCGGAGCCTGGACGCCAGCCCGCCCGCTCCGGCCAGCTCTCCCGAGCGCGGGCGCGCAGTCCTCCTTCCTCCCTCCCTCTCTCCGCCCCCCAGCCCCCGCGGCCAACCCCTCCCAGGAACCGTCGAAAAATAAATAAATAAGTAGGGAACCGCGAGCCCCCACAGCCTGGATGTAACCCCCTTCCCGCCGGCCGGTCCCTCTCACTCCCCACTGGCTCCGGGGCCTCCTTCCCCATCCTGCGGCTCCAGCTGGCCCGGGAGTCGAGGAGAACTGCCCAGGTTCCCTAAGAACCAAAGTGCTGGGAGCTAGAGTGGTGCCACCAGGAAGCTGGGGGGCCTGGAGAAGAGAGGCTTTTTCCTACAGACGGGCCCTGAGCGGGGATAAACCGAGCGGGTGTCTGTGGGCGCAGACGCTGAAACCTGACTTCGGGGAGACCGACGGTCGGAGTTCAGCTCGACCTTGGCCCCTGCATCTGACTCTGTTCCGCTGGAACGTGGAAAGAGTCCGGCTGGGGCGGCCTTCTTGGGGACCCTCCTGTCCCGTGGTCACTGCCCCGCCACTGCTCCCTGCGCCTCCTCCAGCCCAGGGAGCTGGCTCCGGGCTGCAGAGGTCTCCTAAGCCCACCCTGGACCCCCGAGAGCTCCCTGGCCGGAGCAGCGCAGTGCCACAACCTCACTCACTCCCTGACAACCCAGGCCAGGGGCCCTGCAACAAATACAGGCTGAGGCGCCCAGGCGCGGACGTTCCGGGGTCCTCGCGCCCACTCCCGCCCAGATCCTCTAGCTCCTGCCAGCCTCCGCGGCCAGGCCCGGAAAGGCCTGAGGATCTCCTGGTCTCCCCGGTGCAGCCACTCGGCCCGGGCACCCACCTCGGCGCAGGTCCGCCCTCCGCGCCAGCAGTGCTAGCAGCAGGTCGCCTCCCGCCGACTCCCGGGCCGGGCCCAGCTCCCCGCGCGCCTCCATGGGTCCCGCCGCCCGGCGTCGCCACTCTCCAGTCCCGAACTTTCCCGGGCCCAGCGACGCCACCCCGCAATAGCCCCGAACCGGCGTCCAAGCGACTCCGGGTGCTGCTGGGCGCTGCGCCCGCGGGCCGCCCTGGGGCCCGGAGCCTCTGGCCGAGCGGAGGGCGGAGCGGCCGGGGGGCGGGGCCGCGGGGCGGGGCGGGGCCGGGGGTCGCGGAGACCAGCCCGGGCCACTGCGGACTCTGAGCGCCTTTGCGCCGGGACCTGCGGTGCCCAGAGGCCGCCCCGCGTGCCCGGCCCGAGGGCGGGCACCGGTAAGGGAGGGCCCAGGTCAGGGCTTCCCGCCAGCGTTCGTCCCGGCCCCGCAGCTTCCTGCGCCGGAGCGGCCCAGAGGCAGAGGCCTGAGCTGGAGCACACGCCAGGAGGGCTAAGGTTCCCGGGAGAGGGGTCGAGAAGGCAGCAGGGTCCTCCCGCCGCTGAGGTTTGGCCTCGGGAGCAGCAGATGGTCGGCGGGAGCTCAACCCGAAACGCAGAAGGGGTGAGTGTGGCGCCGAGGGCTGCGTACCGGAACCGCAAGGTGCCGGACCGATCCCAGATGCTAACAGGCTTCTGGGCTCCACCCCTGGAACTGCGGCCCCGGACGGCTCAGGGAGGAAGGGCAATCCTTGAGAGAGAACAGGCTCTGTGTCCTGGACACGCAGCCAAGACCTCGGGTCGTGAGGGGCCGAGCTGGGGAAGCCCCAGGGCACACCTTCCATTTCCAGCCCCCAGCACTCCGGCTCCATTGGAACACGGTCCCTTACCTGATATTTCAGCCTCTTGCCCCAGTCCACACAGGTGAGCTCTCCAGAACCCACCTGTCCTTGCAGGCAGAGGGACGCACCCACCCCTGCCCAGAGGGCCCTGGGCCAGCACCAGCCCTGGGCAGCCACCCGGGGAAGAACACAGCAGTGGGTGGCCCTCGGCAGCACAGGACTTGGCAAAGGCAGGGGTGCCCTGGCAGTGCGCAGAAACACACAGGAAGGGTTGGGGGACCAGGGGCTGATGCCATCCTGCAGGTCCCTCTCCCTGTGGGTCTCACAGCAATACTCTGTCCACTCTGCCTATGGCTTCTGGACTGTGAGCTTTAAGGGCCCAGGCCCAGAAGGATGGGCACAAGAAACCACAGTCCCTCCCTCCTAGCTCCCAGCAGGTCCGATGTGTCCGTTTTGAGCAGTGGCCCATGCAGCCAGCTTTCTGCCCCTTCACTTTGCACAGCACTTGTTACCCAAGAAGGGCCAGGGCAAGGACACGCGGGTGCAAAGCCGAGTGTGTGCGGGCTGTGCTGGGTGCAGGTGGCTGAGTGTCAGCTGCTGCCGAAGCGATCAGGGGTCGTGTGTGGCAGGACTGGGGAAGGGGCGGCGGCAGGTTAAGGAGGCGGCCCACCCTGCTGGCATCTGGCCAGCCCTCCAACAATGCCTCCATTATTTCCCAGCGTCCGTGGTGATGGAATGGCCCTTGGGGAGGGTGGTTCAGGCGGGAGACACAGGCTTGGGTCCCCTGCTGTGGGGTCCAGAGACCTGGGCCGGGCTGTGTGCAAGAGCTGACGGGCACTGGTCACCGGGGGAACCTAGCACCCCTTGGTCGGCCCCATCGCCCCCCAGCTGTGCCTGCGATGCCCCCTTTTTTTCTAGGGGCCTCCACTCCAACCGCTGTCCCGCACTCTTGCAGGCCAGCGTCAGGCCCTCCCCGCCACCCTGGGATCTGGAAACTCACTCTCTGCAGTTTCCATCTCTGTGTCCCGCCTGCAGAGCGGCGGGACTTTCTTTGCCTGGCCGCTGGCCCTGCACGCACCCCCTTCCTCGCGCCTCTGCCGCCCTTGCCGTTTCTGTCCTCAGTGTCCTGCTGGGGCTTACCCCGAGTCCCGCCCAAGGTGCAGACGGCGGCGGCCCCGGGCCTCGCTCGGTCGCGCTCGAGCCCCGTTTCCAGCAGCATCGCGGCCACCAGGCCGAGTGGCGCGAGACGCGCTCCTCCTAGGTCAGCGTCCCCTGGAGGGTTCGGGGCTCCCAAGTCCCGCCGCGTCGTGCGGGGCAGGGAGCCCGGGAGCCACTGGGCCTGGCGCTGTCCGCGGTGCTGAAGGAGGCGCCCGCTGCCCGCCCCGCCCGCGCGCCCGCCCACCTCCCGGGGCCCCTCTCGTCGCCCCGGTCCCCACCCCCGCCTCTGCCCCGTGTCGGGCGCGCCTCCCTCCCTGGCTGGGTTGGGCCGCACTCAAGGCAGCCCCCGCCCTCACCCCTCTGAGACCCAGGGTGGCCGTGCCCGCTCCTCCCTAAGCTCCAGGCCCTGCTGAGGCGCTGGGATTCGCCGAGTTTCGCAGCAAGCGGGTCGTCCAGCCGCAGGGCAGGAGGACACTGACCCTACCCTTCTGGCGTGCAGCCTCTGGAAGGCAGTGCCCAGGCCGTGCCCCGGGGCAGCCCCATGCGTGATCAACTCCAGCCCAGGGCTCACTGGGGCACTCTCCTGCAGGTGTTTTGCTGGTCAGGGAACTTTCCACTCTTAACCTCCTTGAACTCAACCCCCAACTTCTGGGAGGAGCTCAGCCCGCACCCCTCCGGGCTGCCAGGAGGAGAGGCACCTGCAGTCCCCTGTAACAAAAGCACTGCTGAGGACTCAAGACCTTGGGCATAGGCAGGGCCTGAAGGAATCGCCCAGTACACACCCAGGCTGGTGTCTGCTCGGTGCCTGACGAGTGACTGAGTTACTGCCAGCCTCTGCACAGCCTGGCCAGGGAGGTGCCAACCGGCTTCCTCCACAGCCACAGGCAAGACTGTTGACCACTGCCCTGCCCCCACTGGCACAGCAAAAGTAGGGGAGGGGCAGAAGACAACACGGGGTCAAGGGCACCCCACAGAACACCACAAACAGCCTTAGCAGGACACTCACACCCAGGAAGCAGAGGGATGGCCACTCAAGCAAGCTGGGGGTCCTCTGAGGTGCCCTCAGGCTGGGCTGCCGCGCGTGCTCTTTGAAGTGTGTAGCTGACATGCATCTCAGCTGCCCTTTAACCTGTGTAAAATCAAGGGTCTTGTCCTGTGAGTCTCGTCCAGATCAGCTCCAGGGAGATGATCTATCACTGCTTTCCATCTTCTACTTTCCATCCGACCCTTGGGCTGTGTCCCAAAAGCCAATGATTCGATAGGAGAAACTCTAGGATTTCAGATGTCCAGTACGTGAACAAAAGAGGGGTCCATTCTGCACCCACCGCCTCTACCACAACTCCCACTGGTAGAGCTGGTTCACATTTCAAAAGAATCACCATTTTTTCAAATGTCAGATTTCTTTATTAAAATGTGCACATTATAGTTTACTTAAATACAAAATGTTCACTTTCCTTGCAGGTAAGAAATTTCACTGACATTTCCATGTCAATTAGCTTCTTTTTAATAAAAATCCTTCCACTGAAAATAAATAAGCATTTAAATTACTGAACTATTATATTCATTAGTCTCAATACCTCTTAAAATACTTAAAACTTTAGAAAATAGACTCTAAACATTGCCTAAAGGTGGCATCCAGCTCTGAGCAGGCCACACAAGGTGTGTCTGAGTATGGCCATATGACTCCTGGGGCCACCTCCACGACGGCCCAGCCCCACCGACGCTCTGCTGAAAATCCTGCCCCTCAGCAGGACGCAAGCTTGTTCCCCAAATAGTGGTGACCTCAAACTGCAATATGATGAAACCTGCAGCCAACACTGCCCTCCACAAGGGTTTCTGGAAAGGCTGAAGCTGGAGACGGTAAACCACAACACCGTCCCAGGTCACTCCAGGTCACCCCAGCTAAAGACATTCAACACCAGCCAAAAGGCTAAAGTTTAGTTTGAAGGGTTCAAAGGCAAATACACTGAAACCCACGTGTAAACCTGCCTGGTTTTCAAACTGGAAGAGAAACACTTTGGTGTCTTCAATAACCCAGGCCTGCACTGGATGAAGCAATGAAGGCAAGGTCACGGCTGCTAAAGCACAGAGGGGTTAAAAAGTGTGAAACCAGAAGCAACTCTCGAGTGAGACACGAAGCAGCAGGCTGACGCACCAGACACCGCTCCCACCAGACACCTCTCCCGCCAGCTGCAGGGCCCTGGGCAGCGTTCTCAGCCCAGCCATTCTGTGACAGTTGTTGAAAGAATCAGCTGTTGCCTTTTTTTCTCAAGCGACAACAATCACATCAATATTACATGGTCTTATGAATACATCCATGTCATCAACTTGTTAGTAAACACATGATTATACAACATAAAGTAGGCAAAGCGGAAAAAATATCTACAACCGTCAAAGTCTCTCTCTCTCTCATACACACACACACACACACACACACACACACACACACACGGGCACACAAATACATCTGAGCCTATTTTAGCCAAATCAAATTTTGCCTGTGAGACACACCAATAGCCACAAAGAATCTCAATATAAATGTTCCCAGAAATAGTGTATTTGTTTGTTTACATCTTCAGAGGCAACGGACCACTAAATGTTTTGGGTTTAAAAACAATGTTTAAAATTATCAAATGGTAAAAGACATCATGACAAAAGCTTGGGAGATCAGTGCCTGTGTGGAGACCCTTCCCAAAACAGCTTCAGGCAAAGGAAGCCTGGCCCCCTCCGTGGGCCGAGTGAGATGCTTGTGTGTGCAGCAGGTGCCTCTGTGGTGCTGGGTGAAGAGCAGACGACAGGGGGGGCTTTAGAAGTCTCCCTGGGGCCTACGCTCCCAAGGGCAGACTGCTCTCCTCCCCATCCCCCAACAGAGGGGCCTGTGCTCTAAGCACTGCCCGCTGAGCCCAGAGCTGCCCTCCAGGCACCCGCCGTCCCAACGGCCCCCATTTACTTGTCTCTCTCTTGTCACCAGATAGACAGACAAAGGCGCTGCCTCTGAGGGTTAAATGAGCCCCCATCCTTCCAACCCCCAGGTCCACAGCCCAAGGCCTCTGGGGGTTATTTTCTGAAACGCAGCACAGCCACAGAATTCCTTGGCTCCTCCCCTGTTGAAATCCCCACGTCTGGTGTCGAACACCCGGAGGAACAAGGAGAGCCCTCAGGAACCTGCCCTAGGGAAGCAGCTACAAACACAGGATAGTCCCTGGAGCACTTGCTTGGAGGGGCTGCAGAGGCCGACTGCGCTTCCGGCTCTGTCTGTCCCCGCCCGGCTAAAGGAAAACACTTGGCAGCCTGGAGCAGGGGGCGTGGGGGGAGCGGGGGGAGGGGGAGCGAGGGGAGTGGGGGGGAGCCAGGAGCCGCGGGGGGGATGGGCGAGGTTCTCCAAATACAAAAACAAGGCCCTGCAGGATGGGGCGGAGTGGAGGAAACGAGATGAAAGTGTGTGGGGAAGACTATCTGGCCTGGACTCTGCACCCTCTTTTCACATCTAGAAGAGTAAAAATACAGAAGTCTTTTTGCTGTAAGACCTGCAAAAGGAGCATGAACAGACTTGAGTACGCCAGGAATGCAAATATCCCCACAAAATTACCCCGTGTTCTTCCCTTGTTAGAAGAGCGTTTGTAAAACCAGGACTTTGAAGCCAAAAGGTGCCATCCGATGTGAAACCAGGCCCGCATGTTTATAAAATCCCTGATCATAAATATTAAAGCTGCAGGTGGCACGGGGCAGGGCTGCCTCCAAGGGAGCTTCCGCCGTGGCTGGCAGCACCCGGGCACTCACACGGCCGGGTGGTGGTGCTTGACCTTCCACCGCCTGGACCTCACCCGGAAGAAGAAGTACATCACCATGAGGAACAGGGATGAAGCCACGTACAGCACGACACAGAGACTCATGTCCAGGCTGGAGAAGTCAACCCCGAGGAAGGGTGCGGCCCCGCCCACCTCCTTGTGGGCCCCGGGCCCATCCAGACTCTGGAGTTTCCCGTCCAAGCTGTGATGCAAGCTCTCTGGAAGGGCAGGCCTGGGGCCCAGTGCACCAGGTGGACGGACGCTCTGGGTGTCTCGGTCTCCATGGGACACCTCTGGGGGAGTGAGTCTTTTCTCCTCTTCCTCACCCCTGGCCAGGGTTCCTCCTTCACTGGAATCCCCCTGGTCTGCGGAATACGTGTCTAAGAGGTTGTCGCGGCCATAGTGCTGCTTCAAGAATGTGAGCACGTGGCCTTCATCCCAGCTGGCCAGGCCCTTAATTTCCTCATGGCAGGCTGGGCAGAGGTCCGGAGTGGGCCACTGAAGCTTTGGAAACCGGGGATCCTCACTCAGATGGCCTAGGAAGAAAAGGAAGCGGGAGAGCCAGAGGGAAGGAGGCTTTGTGCAGCCACGTGCAGCGTGCGGCAACCGGACTCCCACTCCCACCCACCACGGGCCTCCACTGCCCTGGCCCAGGGTCCTGCCAGGCCTCCCTCCCTGCCCTTCCCACCACCCGTCCCTTGCAGTTCGGCCCAGATAACATCCTGCTTCTGCAGGCCCCTGCGCACGTGTTCCCCTCTGCCGGTTCCCATAGCCTGCAAGTGAGGAGACGCTACACGCTCGGCCTCCGCCACTTCCCAGACCACACCTGTCCCAAACCACCCAGCACTCCACTTCCAAAACGGAGCATGCAGCTCTCACCTGGAGGCCTTTCTCCGCACAGTGCTGCCTGTGTGCCCCTCCCCCCACTGCTGCCCCTCTGCCCTTTCCTGAGGGTGCACCTGAGGCCCACTACCTACAGAGCCCCGGCCACCTGGGTGCTATGGACAGTGGGCCTTAGGTGCACCTTCAGGAAAGGGCAGAGGGGCAGCAATGAATTTCCACTGCACTTCAGGTACACTGGCCCTTTCCGGACTACAAATCCCTTCAAGATCTCCAAAACTCGTTTCTGAAGTGACATGTGCTCACTTCCAGGCCCAACAGGCATCCGTCATGCAGAAGCTGCGGCGCACGGCGCCTCCTAGCTCTCGGAGCCCCTGCGACCCGACTTGCTGACACCTGGCCACCCTCACAGAGCTTCCAGAAGTGAATGTAAACACAACCACGTTTGTCTGGGGGACTTGAGACGTGCCTGAAATCAAGAGATGCCCTACTCGGGCCAGTCACTGACTGCGTGCTTATCCGGCCAACCGGCAGCAGGTGCTGCACACGAAGCCAGAGGGGACAAGCACAGACCAGTGGCACCTTGGTCAGAAGCTGCCAGAGCTTCATGTAGGACTGTCAAATAAGGCGCCAGCCCTGGGCAGAAGACCCCAGGCACATCTCCGAGGGGCCTCCCAGGAGCTTGGGTCTCAATGCACAGGCTGGAGGTGGGACTGGAGTGGGAATCTCAGGAGTGACAATCACACTGGGCTGTAAGGCCCCTTTCTGTTGCAGTCTCATGACTGGGGTAGTGGGGGCACATGCGGGCTGGGGCCACAGGTAGCAGCAGGGGCTCCAGGTCCAGGCAGGCCTGGCGAGGGTCCTGGTCCCACTGCCTCAGAGCCGAGGGCTCGGGGAAAGCACAGGGAGCTCTGTGGGCGGCGGCGATGCAGAGGCTGCCAGGGCGGAGAGACGGAGAAGCTGCGCTGACCGAGGGAACAAACCCCGCAGACACACAGCGCCTTCGTCACATGACCCCGGCCCCGGCAGTCAGGCTCAGGGCAAAGAAAAACCAATTTCTTTAGTGCTTCAGCTGTAATATGTTTTTCTAACACAGTGGATTAAATAAAAACCAATAGTTTAGTGGCATTTTCTATTCATCTCTATTAAGATTTCTCAGTGGAATTATTTTTAAGCCTAATTTTAATCTGCCACTGATTTAGGAACAGTTTGAAGTACTTAACTCTGAGAAAATACATGTGCCCTATTTAATTATTTTTTTTTAACAAAACAAAGCACTTTGAGAGGTTTGGTTTACGTTTGGACAACAGATTTCCATACTACTAAAATTCCTCATCAAAAATTAATTACGTTCCAAGCTTTCCAGAGTCAAAAACATCTTCAGAGTCTAACGGGCTACCAGTGGGTACCGATGGGGGAAGAAAGAGCCACACCCATTTCCACGGGGTCGAAGAGCCCCCGGAGTGAGAGAAGCATCTAGAAAGCCGGGGACAGAAGCAGCCTGGGAAAGGCTGCAGCTCTGGCAGCTCTCAGCCACCCAAGTCCTGATCCCGTCAGCACAGTGGGTGGCACGAGGCCGCAAAGCTCAGGGACAAGCCCCACGGCAGCCGTGCCGTCCTTGCTGTCCCAGGACCAGGGCCTCCCTCCGCCCGTGCTGAGCCCCCCATGCCCAGGGGCTTCTCACCTGCCAGGCGGCCGTTCACCATATTATGCTTCTTCCACAGCCAGAGGATGGCTTGGTCTGGGGTTTTCACCGAGTCCATGGATTCTTTAGCCATTTCCTCAAAGTGCTCACCACATTCCTTACACCCAAAGAAGGTGTGAACGTACCTCCTCATTGTCTGCAGCACAGCCTGGGGGTCGTCTTCAAAGCCTGCAGGGGAAGAAACACTGCTGACAACGGCAGGTGCGTGGGCATCACCTGACCCCACGCTTGTCCAGAGAGCCTGGGGGGAAACCGCTCCTGACATGTCGGGAAGCCACCTCATGTCTCCCCAGGGGCCTCAGGCTGTGGGCACAGACCAGAAGCCAGCACCTGCCAAGATGTCCAACACGCCCACGGGTGCTGCAGGCTCTGGAGACACAATGACTGTGGACAGCCCAGAGGGCGGACATGCTCCCCAGATGCCCTGGTGCCAGGAGGATGAGCCACGGACTCGGCCGCCAGGGCCCAAAGGAGCCCTTCCAGGGGCGCCTCCCACCTCCCACCAGTCTTCCAGCCGTCTGTGCCAGAACGCCCGGAGTGCCGCTCTTCCCCGGGATTTGCCAGCTGGGTGCAGTCTCTCTTGCCTTACAAGCAACTCTCAGGGGCTGGTACCAGGGCAATGACTCTGCTCATTCTAAACCTGCAGCTGTCGCGTTTGAAAGCCCTGCAGGACACCAGCCCAAGTGGGGACACGGCCTTAGGAAGTGACTCTTAAGCTGCCGCCAGCCACGGGCGTGAGGATGTGGAGCAGGTGGGCAGGCACAGGGACGGGTGCACCCACAGCCAGAGTTTGTGCCACCGAACGTATTAACAGACATGGACAGGCCGGGGCGCTTCCGCAGATACTGTGAATGAACAACACACATCTCAAGAAAGCAACACCTGCCCACAGGTGGCAGGAAGCAGCCAGCACCGCAACCAAGGGGAACCCCTGAGAAAACCAAGGGGGCAGCATGGGGCGGGGCTCGGCAGTCCCCACTCAGACGACTGACACAGGAGCTTGAACGCACAGATAGGAGACCCATGAGATTAAAACAGATTACATGTCAGCATTAAAAAAAGACATGCTTTCGCGAATGAATCCGTCTTCATCGACAGCAGGCCCTGGGGGAGCTTCCCGCGTGAGTGCAGGCCTGACGCTTGTCGTGGCTCCCTGCAAAACACAGCTGCGTGCAGGCCCTGACCTCAGCGTCCTGGTCGGTCCCAAATCCCGACACTTCTTGTTTATTTCACCCAGAAAGGTGAGAGCAGAGCAGAGCAGACCACCTCCTCCTCAGCCTTGAGCGTGTCCACGGGCAGCTGGGCGGTGTCTCAGATGGGACCGCAGGCGCTGGCCCTGTGACCCGGCCCGTCTGCCCTGCTCTCCTGCCGGGAGGGCTCCACAGACATCTGCCTTGCATCTCCACGTAATCCCCCTCCTCTTCCCCACATCACCGCAGGCGCGGGGCCACCCTAATCTTTAAAGTGGACAAGAACCATAAACCTCTACCTGTGGGAGGATTAGAGGCCTTCACAGGCATTTTACTAGATAGGGCTTAAACATACAGTAAAGAGAAGAAAAACCTTCCAAGACTTAATCCCGTGGTCGCCTCTGACCCAATTCTCTTGGCAGGAGGCTACTCCTGGAGGCTGCTTCCAATATGCTGATGGGCGGAAGGAGCGCTGAGGGTCTTGCTAGCAGTGTGCTTTGCCATCACACTGCTCTTACAATTCCACTACACTAGGGCTGGTCCTAGAAGAGTTTAAAATCAAATACCCCGGTCACTCAACTTCTCCCCTTGGCCAACACTGTACCCACACTGCCTTCAAGGAGCCGTTCCTCATGCCTGCGTGTGCCCGTGTGATCAGAGCAGACGGAAAGGGGGATGGCATGTCAGCTCATCTCCTCACCAGAACTTTCCATGTGTAAACGTGAGGTTTCCTAACTCAGGCTCACGCTTCAGAAGCAGTTTTGTTGTGTTTTTTTTTTTTTTTTTTTTTTGAGACAGTCTTGCTGTTGCCCAGGCTGGAGTGCAGTGGCATGATCTTGGCTCACTGCAACCTCCAGTGCTGGGATTACAGGTGTGAGCCTTGTGCACAGCTCAGAATCAGATTTACATGGTCTGGCTGGGCATTCGGTCGGAATCAGGTTTGCATGGTCTAGCTGGGCATTAGATCAGGCAGTGTGGATGCTGTGATTTCAATTTCTGTTTGGACAGCTCCCAAGGTTTCTCCCCAAAAACATACTACTCTTTTTTTCTGTATGATTATGAAAAGGATTTGAGGTTAAAACCCACCCTCTCCCCCAACCAGACCCCCGAGAAGCAGTAATCCAATATCACCTTGAGGAGGGCCAAAACAGATTTTCAGAAGGCCACTATAGTGCCCCCATCCCGGGACACTCTCCCATTAACAGGTGGAATCTATTTCTCTCACCACGAATTTAGGCTGGGTCAACAGGATGCGGCAGAAGTAATAATATGTGACTCCACACTGAGGTGGACTCTCAGGGGGTCCTGCCTGAACCTGGTGCTACTTGGTGGGGAAGCCACGTTCAGGAGTACGAGGCATTCCAAGGTCCCCTGGACTGACCAGCTGCCACCAGACGAAGGCAGACACACACGAGTGAGCCCAAGCAGCAACTCACAGAAGAACCGCCCAGCCGAGCCCAGCCCAAACTGCTGATCCACAGCATGATAAGCAAACAGTGGTGGCTGCTTTAAGCCCCAGCATTTTAGGTTAGTTTGTTATGTGGCAAAAAATAACCGTAAAGGAATTTGAGAATCTTACTGGAAAGAGCGTTGAACTGTGTGAGTCAAGACTCCACTTCGGCTTTGAAGTAAACATTAATGAACCTGAATTACTGCTTCAACTGGGAAGCACACACACAACAAAATTCAGGGGGGATAAAAAATCCAATACATACTTTAGTGTTCTGTGAAGGACAGAAAATTTGTTTTTATCTATTTCCTAGTAATTGAAAATTATTAAATCCAACTTCGAAGTTTTATAGGTTTTAACCCCTTGTGGTGGGCAGCCTCTGCGACGGTCCCCACAGATCACACCACCTATACTCACGCCTCCTGTAATGTCCTCCCCTTGCGAGTGGCCTGGGCCTGGGGACTGACTAGTAAGCAGAATCTGACAGAGGTGATGGAATATCATCCTCGGATAGGCACCCTCTCACTGGCTTGCTGATGAGGCTTGCTGCCATGATGTGAGCCGCCCGATGGAGAGGCCCTGAGCGTGGCCTGCAGTCAACAGCCAGCATGGAGCTCAGGGCCTTAGGCAAGCCACGTGCAAGGAGGCAGGCCCTGCTCTCTGCCCCATGAGGGTGCTGGGAAGCCACTCTCCCCAGGTGGGCCTTGGGTGACCCCCCAGGCCCAGCTGACACTCCGACTGCAGCCTGACCAATCCTGAAGAAGAGGACCCAGATGAGGCCATGCCCGGCCCTCAGAAACCATGAGCTCATAACCGTGCGTGGTTCCCGTGGTTCTGGCTGCTAAATTTTGGGGTGATTTGTTATACAACAGCTGATAATGAGAACACCTCTCCAAACAGATTTCACTTATTCTGTCTTTTTAAAGCAAAAAACAGGGAGTTTACACTGCAGGGAAACTCCCAGCCAGCACTCTTTCTTCTTTATGGTTTATTTCCTGCACGTTAGCCATGCACATCCTTGCGAGTTCTGACAAGGGGAACTCGTGCCCCCGCAGCCACAGCCCTGGGTGAGCTGACCGTGTGAGAGGAGTCTGAAGTGCCATTCCCCTGCCTCAGTGGCCTGGCGACATGCTGCCTCCCATACAGCAGTACATGCCTTTGCACACACCGGCTGGGTTAACTTGTTAGGCAGACCATCGGCCCCTCTGGCCTGTATGGGCACAGCTTACCTGTGCCAACCAGTGCATCTGGGTGGGTCGAGGCTTCAACAGTCAAAGTGTGGAACAGTTTCCAGAGAGAACACGGGTAACCCCTCAACTCAGATCGGCTTCCTTGACATCCAACCCACTTTATGTGATTAGTAAGGAATATTCCAGAAATCTGAAAAACAAACAAACAAAAAAACCCCAAAGAATAAAAGATAATTGTTGAAATTAAAAACAGTCGACAGCTGCCTTCTTGACTGGGGGGGGTGGATAATGGGGGTGTGGTTTACTGAAGCTGTATCAACTGTACACATAAGATCTGTGCCTCCTACCATATGCAAATTTAAATTCAATAAAACAAAAGAGAGGAAATGGTCTCCTTTACTAAAGGAGCTCTCAAGCCAATCTCTGAAGAGACAGTTCTTCTGTATCTTGATAAACCAGTAATATTAAGCATAAAATGTATCCACCTTTTCTTTTAAATTAGAATTAGTTGTAAGGACAGTATTAAGAGAAAAGGCAACTAACAACAGAAAAAAGCTCAACTGTCAAATAATTCTTGGCCAGAACAAACAAGGTGTGTTCACTTTGAAAAAGCAATAGGGTGGCCATCAGAGTGGGTGACTGCTGGACTGGGAGGGCTGAGAGCCCCAGGCAGATTCCGCTGGGTTTGGTTTCGTGTCTCATCAACCTTTTCCTCCCTAAGGACTCCTGAGCCCAGGACGTGCTCTCGAGGGAGATGTCACACGTCGCAGTCACGTGAGAGTGCTCCCATGACCTCGAGCTCGGAGTAGAGTCAAGGTGGAAGACAGACTCAGGCAAGAAGCCCGGCACCGTCTGCTTCTCAGCTGCAGCCAGCAAATGACAAAGCTGGCAAAATCACGGCACGACAAGTGCACCTTACAGGATTCCCAGAAGATCTGCTGTGTGCACTGACCACGCGGGCGTCGGACAAGCAGCACGCTGGGTTTACTGCCCGCGAGTAAACACTCTGGGGGCCACAGAGAAGCTGCTGATCTGGACTAAGGAGGGAATGGCAGGACGGAGTGCCAGGACCTCTTGGGGTGCTGGTCCCCTGAGCAAAGACTGGCACCTGCTGGCACCTGGTCTTGGGGAAAGCTCTGGAAAGGCTGCCACACTTACTGAATACATCAGTTTTCGTCAGATTGGCTTACTAAAAATTTAAAAAGCCCAACTACTACGTTGCTTGAGAAAACCCCATTTTGTCCAAAGGACAGGTGGTCACAGTGCACTTTTGGTGAGCTGTCCTTAAACTGAAGTCCCAGCATGACGCTGCCAAGGCAGACAGGAGGCCATGGCCATGATGCTGTCGTGGAGACAGTAAGTCACTGCTCCCCTTCCTCACAGCGGAGCCCGGGCCCCGAGCAGGGAGATGCACCAGCTAAGGGCAAGGGAAGGAAGGCGAGGGAAGGAGGGTGCAGCGTGGCTGGCGAGGGTTCTGGGGCTCACCCGCATCTTGTTGTTGACCAGGTCAAGCACGGCGTTGTAGGGGATCCTGTCCAGGGGAAGGCTGGCCAGCCACTCCTGCAGCATCTCCAACAGCTTCTTGACTGGCGGCCGTCCAGGGAACAGCTGCATGAGGAAGGAGCCACCTGAGAGCTACAGACCCAAACCCGGGCCCGCCCCCACCGCGGGGGGCACCGCACCTCCAAAGAGAAGCACTCCATCCGCAGAGGGGCTGAACCTAGGATGGGGCCTCTCATAACTCGGGTTTCTCTGATGGGAGGCAGGAAACCCAAGGGGCCATGGGGTGGGCATCTAGCCTGCGCCTCTCCCCAGGACAGCCTGTGCCCACGGCCATGCCTTTCTCCAGCCCGTGCCTGCAGCTCACCCACCTGCGCCCACGGCCTCGCTCCGGCCAGGTGACAGGCAAGGTCACGGTGTGTGACTCATCATGGAGCTGGCGGGGGCTTGCTGATTTATTCTGCCTTCCTCACGAGGAGCTGTGCTGACCCCGCCTGCCCGCCCGCTGGGCTTCCCCTCTGCCGTCACTGACTGTATGAAGGGCGCGCGGCAGTGCACATGCGCCGGCAGCCGGGGCTAACTGCCTATGGGCTTGTGTGGGCCGTGAGGCTGGCCGACATCAACACAGCTTGGGGAGGCGTCTGGCTGAGAAGATCCCAGGGCTCTGTCTTTTTAGGAGAAACTCTGATCAGCTGCTGCACCACAAACTGTGCAAAACATAGGCTGCCGAAAGAGCTCCGAAAACCCGAGCTGAAATCTCACGGGTGGCAATGCCAGACCAGAAACACCAGCCACCAAAAGAGTTCCTCAAACCCGAGCTGAAGCTCACAGGTGGCGATGCCAGACCAGAAACGCCGGCATCTTCAGCTCAGTCCAATATATTTTCTCCCGTGCAGGTTAAAAAGTACCATGATTAATTTACCAGAATCAAATTTATTTTAGACATCCAAGTAAACTTCAGAAAAATATTAAGAATAACTTATTAATACCCTGGCCTCAGGAGTTGCCCAGAGCACAAGTGTAAAAGCTCCAAGCCTAACTAGACTAAGGGGAAGACGGAGAAGCCGGGAGAGGAGAGCAGGTCTGCCTAGCGACAGCTGTGCGACTCCAGCGAATTAGCTGGCCGGCGGCCACCACCACTAAGAGCCACACTGTCCTCCACTAATATGATGGACAGATTAGCAGGACACTTTCTTAAAGGAAATGAGGCCAGCTAGAGATTTCTGAACTCTGGATGGCACCGTGGGGGAAAAAGCTGCCTGGGCAATGTTCATGCATTCATCTGAGGCACCTCCAGTCCTTCAAGATTTCCTGTACTTTTCACAAATCACTTTGTAAGTAAACTCTATCCAAAGTGCTCACTATAAATTATTCTATCATGCATCTTATTTTTGGCAAGATAAATATTTTAAGCCTAAGCCTTCTTGTCATTTAGACAGTAACAAGCAACCGAGCTCATGGAGTTACACCTGGCCACCTCCCTGGCTGGTCCTCTTCAGCCTGACCCTGGGCACGGCCAGGCCTGAGCTCTGTTGGGTGGCATCTCTGCCCGCTCCTGGCGACCCCCTCAGTGGTCTCAGACACCACATCTGTGCTGGTGATGGTGCTGAGCGTGAAGCTCCCAGGACCCCTCCCTGAACCTGGCTGGTGGGGCAGATGCACACCCCACCTGGATCTGCACAGCCCTTGCCTCTCCCTCTCTCTCTCCCCCCAGCCCCCGTGCAGCGCTCCTCTGAGAGCCAGCTGAGGTGTGTGTGGGCCTCCGCTCCCTCCTCCATCTACTCTCCAGGCAGCCAGAGCTGGGCTTTTCCAGCAGGTGCTCGGCTCACACCCCCGCCCCTCTCTACACCCACCGCCCCAGCCCCAGTGCTGGGAACAGCAGTGGACGCAGGAGGCACTCGGGAAATGGGTGGAATGAGTTGGGGCGTGGGCCTGGGCGACAAAGCAAGGTGGAGAGCACCTCAGCGGAGCTGGCGGAGCCCCCGCAGTGTCCGACGCCCCCCAGGGCCCACTCTGTGCAGAGCCAAATTCCCACATGCAGCCCAGACCAGCACCGTCCCAAACCTTGGCCAAGACAGTCACAAAGTCCTTGAGCGTCTTCAGCTCTGCTCCGGCCAGGGACTTGTGGGCTGCCAGCTCCACCCGCAGGAGGTAGTGTAGCCCTGACTCCAGGTCCACCGTGTACAGCTTCGACCTAGGACGGGATATGGCAGCGTCAGGGAATGCCCAACCTTTCCCTCCACAGCAAGTCTCCCTGTCCTGGCTCCTCCCCACGGACTCCCAGGGCCCCTGGGAGGGCTCCTGAGCGGCCCTCACTGGCTGGGGTGGGTTTCTGAGTAAACCCGCCCTGCAAGCACGCAGCCTTCGGTCTACACGCACTGTCTCCGGGGGCTTCAGTTCAAGAGGAACACTTGCTTGTCAAATTCTCTCCAAACCACGATTTCTGAATTTTCTTCTTTGTGTGGCTTTTCAGGCAAGGGAAGCGATTTTTTCCTCACATCCGGCAATGACTTCAAATAAGACGAAAAGAAGGCCCGCAGAGGCTTCACGCTGTGAGAGAGGGGAGGGCAAAGGTGAGAAGAGCCTCCTTTATAAAATCCTAAAGTAGGAGCCGTGGCATTCAGGACAGCTCTGGGCCACCCCTTTCATCCTTTGGGCATTTATTGGGGCATGGGAGTCAGTGGGAACAGCTGACACCCCGCCTGGGCTCCGGCTGCGCTTCCACCTGGGGGATAAGAGGAGACACACCAAATCCACAGATTTACAACCAGTTCCAGTTGTAATAAGTACTATGACTCATTTATGTTTGTGGGGACCTTAAGGCGTTTTGTAAAGCTGGGTTGAGCATCTGCCAAGATGAGCTTTATTCTGACTGCGATTTCCAACACGCCTAAGAGCCTTCACCGACGCGCCCACAATCTGCCAGCCCTGAGTGAGGCATCTGGAAGTCGGGGCCTGGGGTGGACGTCAGCCCCTCCCTGATGTCAGGCCCCTGAGCTCCCTGCGTGCCCACCCTGTGTGGACAGGGTGGAGCTGAGCCCCCTGTGTGCCCACGCTGTGTGGACAGGGTGGAGCTGCCTTCTGAGGACACCCTCAATGCCATTATTGAGCACTTCAGTGTGACGTGGAGCTTGTTTCCAAAGACAGAATGTAGCAGTGCTATTTGCAAAAACATTAAAATATCTATAAAAATATTAACATTATTTGACACTAAGAAGTTGTCTAGATGATACTTTTAACACTAAACAAACATCTGGGAGTGGTTCAGGCCGCTCTGCCAAGTGCAGTGCTGTGCCCCAGGCCTGGAATGGGCCACCTCGTTGGCAGAGCCAGGCCCCCAAGCACTCAGAGCATCTCCCAACAAGCTCAATGGCCTCTGTGGTTACCCTGAATTCCAGCTTTATCTTTTGTATTTTCACTCATTTATCTATTTTTGAGACAGGATCTTTCTCTGTTGCCCAGGCTGGAGTGCAGTGGTGCAATTTCAGCTCACTGCAGCCTCAACCTCCTGGGCTCAAATGATCCTCCCACCTCAGCCCCTTGAGTAGATGTAGCCACAGACATACTCCACCACGCCCGGCTAATGTTTTATTTGTCATAGGCTGGAGTCTCACTATCAACCTGGGCTGGTCTCAGACTCCTGGGCTCAAGTAATCCTCTCATCTCAGCCTCTGAAAGTGCTGGGATTACAGGTGTGAGCCTGGCCTCTTTTTCAAAAGGAAAGAAAAATACTTAAGAAACTGCGGTGTTCTGGGCTTCTGTAAGGCGCCCTCTATGCCCCAGTCGATCTTTGAGGAGGCTGAACTGGAAGCCCCAAGAGACAGGAAACACGTCCTATCTTCTCACTGCTGTGTCCCTGCACCTCGGAGCCCGGCGTGGTGAGTCACCAAGAGCCGCAGAGTCAACCGTGGCTAAACCAGCACATGCTGGAAGCCTGCAGGTGCTGCAACTTCAGGCCAGGGGAAGGGGCCACCCAGTGTAGGGCAGGCTAGCCTCACGCTGTCCTTCTCCTCACGCTGTCCTTCTCCCCAAGGTGAGGAGGAGCGGGGCCCCTCCAGCCTCAGGACGTTACTTAACTTTCTCAACCATTTTTCATTTTCTTTCTTTTTTTTTTGAGATGGAGTCTGACTCTGTCGCCCAGGCTGGAGTGCGGTGACAGGATCTCAGCTCATTGCAGCCTTGACCTTTGAGGCTCAAGTGATCCTCCCACCTCAGCCTCCTGAGTAGCTGGGACTACAGTGGCACACCACCAGACCTGGCTAGTCTTTTTTTTAGTATAGATGGGGTCTTACTATGTTGCCCAGGCTGGTCTGGAACTCCTAGACTCAAATGATTCACCTGTGCCCAGCCTCATTTTTCTCACTGTTCTTTTTCTAACCTGATTCAAGTTGTTTACTTTTTCATTGGGCTTATCCGAGGGGCACACAGGCACTCCACGCAGAGGCAAAGGGCTTATCCTCATGAGGGGCACACAGGCACTCCACACAGAGGCAAAGGGCTTATCCTCATGAGGGGCACACAGGCACTCCACGCAGGGGCGAAGGGCTTATCCTCATGAGGGGCACACGGGCACCCCACGCAGGGGCAAAGGGCTTATCCTCATGAGGGGCACACAGGCACCCCACGCAGGGGCGAAGGGCTTATCCTCATGAGGGGCACACGGGCACCCCACGCAGAGGCAAAGGGCTTGCCAAGGTTCTGCAGTTCTTAGAGAAAGAGCAGAACGTGAGGGGCAGGGCCTGGTGCCCACCCCTACTTCTCATTCTGCAGAGGTGGGCACGTGGGCTTGTCTGCCAGCCCCAGACACAGACCCAAACTGCATCCCAAGAGTCCACCCAGAGCAGGGTTTTAGGAGCATCGGCTGCTCCCAAAGCCCCGGCCCAGCAGCCCTCATGCATGTGCTGGTTTAGCCACGGTTTCCTCTGCGACTCTTGGTAAGTCACCACGCCAGGCTCCTCCTAGGTGCGGGGACACAGCAGTGAGAAAACAGAAATCCACGAAAACACAGCACAGATCAGCAATACCCACGGGCTGAGAGCCAGGGCCCAAATCTGCCCAGGGAAGCGAGGCGGAGGGGCCAGGGCTCCCCCGATCTCACACCAGACTTGCACTGTCTACTCGGAGCCTCTGTCCGGTAACTCCGAGCGGCACGGAGTTCCCAGACCCCACCCGGGCACTCACACGTTAATCAATCCATGCGACCCATTTGGGTAGATCAGGTAACACGAAGGGACTGAAGAAACACCAAGTTTCTCCAGAAATGCTTTGTCCCCGTCCAGTGCTCGGGTCACCACGATGCTTTCATACGGGATCAGGTCTAAGATCACCTGGGGGATGAGAACACAATGACACTTCCACAGGGGCTGGCAGTTTCTCAGAAAACACGACGTGCAGACACATGGCCTTGCAGGGAACCTTTCACAAAAGGGCATGAAGTCTGTCCCCCTGCAGGCAAGACCCTCACTCAAATCTTCACTCTCATTGCACTTTAAGGCAACTGACGGCACACACGCCATGAGCAGAAACCACGGTCTTATTCGGCAATTTTACAAACTCATCAAAGAAAACACTTATCCGCGAATTTGCACTTGACTTTCTAAAACCAGCGCGCCCCCCACAACACTGATACTGGTCAAGTGAGTCCCTGCACACAGCAGCCACACCCCACGGCCTCGCACTCCCGTCCCGCGTGTGGAAGCTTCGTGGCCGGGGCAGCAGGCCTCGTGCTGCCGCTCCTCCCCAGCCACCCTGCTCCTGTCTGGTTCTGCTCAGGCTGAAGGGGCAGCAACAGGGTCTCCGTGGCAGAGAGACCACAGGAGTGGCATCTCAGGATTTTGGAAGAAACCCTGCGTGCGCCACCACCACATCGGGCGTACGTCTTTCCTTCTCTTAACAGAGGAACAAAACCAGCTGCTCCTCAAACCAAGGGCCCTGGCTAAAGGTGTGAACTGGGCGCCCCGCGTGGCCGTGCCTCTCCTGAGCTGGGTGTGTCTGCGAAGAGCTGATCGCTACTCTGGGGCCACACTGGTCTCTGCTCTGGGCCATGCCGTGACTCTGTGCTGAAGAGCACTCCTCCTGCACGAGTGGAGCCTGGCTGCCCCGAACGCACCAGCATGCCAGGCAGGTAGGGGAGCGTGCCCGGCACCAAGACGGTCCCACACCCGCCTCTTCTCAGGGGAACACCTGCCTCTGGTCTGCGTGTGTGGAGGCCCCGCCCGAGACAGCAAGGGCACGAGGGGCCTTGGGACAGGGGTGAGGGGTCTGGGAGAGCCACACACTGCTAGCGGTTCCTCAGCCCTCCACAGAGAATCCTGGCCAACCATCTGGAGGCAGCCTGGCGTCACCATCAAACCTGGAGGGGGCGGTGCTGGGGTGCCAGGAGGGCAGCCAGGGCACAAAGCGAGACGGTCACAGTGCAGGTGTCTGCAGCTGCCTTCCCAAGTGCGTCTCCAAAAGCCCTCGCAGGGGCAAAGCTGTTTCCTACATTCACCGCAAGGCCCCTCACAGTGGACAGAAAAACAGTCGCCTATCAAGTTGCAAGGAGGAGGAGGAGAAGCTCAGGGTGAGTGCTGGGCGAACGCATGTGCAGTGAGGCCTTTCTCTCGTCTCCGGGAAGACTGTCAGCAATAATGACTCTCCGTGAGCTGCCCCTGCACCTGGTCCCTGGACCTTATTTAGACTTGGCCAGAAGCAAGGCTTCAGAACTGTACGTGTGAAATCAAAGTATGACGATAGAAACGACGTTTTACAGAATCTTGGATTTGGCAAAAATGTTGAGAGTTCAGAATACGGCAACGAAAAAAATCTTAGTAATAATGCATACAAAATACAGAATGACCTCAAGGTGAGCTGGGCGTGTCATAAAAATGAGATCTTCTGCAAAGCCCCCTCTTAGTTTCAAACCTAGGGTTAGGCCACCTTCTGAACCCCTCCCACCGCCAAGCTCATTCATCCTAACAGTCTTCTCCAGACACCAGTGACTTTGCTGAGTAACATTAACTAAGCTTCTGATAATGAACAAGACCTAAAGCCACAGACAGGACACGAGATGCCGACACAGTGACCGGCACCTGCAAATCTCATCACAGATCCACCGCCAACCCCAATCACACCACGTGTGACACCTGGAGCCCACGCAGAGGCCGTACCTCCCGTCCAAGGTAGGAGCTGTTGCTTTCAAAGACAATAGCCACGTAATGGCTGCCACGGTTGTCAAGAAGGGAAAGAACATCACTGGGCCTTTCAAGAGGAAAAAAAGAGGCTTTTAGTGCCGTCAACAGCAGCGAGTTGGCCACCACATCCCAGTGGCCACATCACTTAATAGAAACCTATTACGTTTCTTGCACAGTTCAACACGAGTCTAACGGCCGCCTTCTTCATGGAGCTACTCACTGAATGGGGTCTAGGCGCGGGCAGGCAGGGGGCCGGCTTCCTTCCGTGTGGTTCTGCAGGAAGTCAATCATCGTCTGTCTGACTGTTCGCAGCTCTCGGTCAGGTCCTGCCGGAAGCACACCAGGGTCAGAGCTGTGTGTGCGGCTGTCCTCGTGGGGCAGGCATACACCCAGGGACAGCAGCCCCGTCCCAGCCTGGGGCCCAAAGACAGCAGGGTGCAGGTGGCAGCAACATGTGCAATCCCAATGGGTGTGCCCAATGCCACCCACAGGCGTGGTACAGACAGCGCTGGATTCACACAACTGGAGACCACACAGCAATGACACAAGCATGGGTGGGCCACAGGGACAGGCAACAGAGGCAGATGGCAAGACACGGCACTGCGAGGAGCAGGCCAGGCGGCTCCACTGGGTCACTCACAGGCAGAGCCCCCCCAGGGCGCGGCGAGGAGCAGGCCAGGCAGCTCCACCGGGTCCCTCACAGGCAGAGCCCCCCAGGGTGTGGCCTGCGGGGTCTGATCACACTCTGGGCGATGCTCGGCTGGGTGGGATCATTTGTAAAAATTCATCGGGTGGGTACATGTGATCTGTGCACATCTCCAAATATTTTTACAATAAAAAATTTACTCTGAAAAAGTTTTTACTACAATATTTGCCAAGCAAGGCAAAGCACAAAATTAAAATTTCTCTTTGAAACTATTAATATCTGAACTCTTAAGGGAAAGCAGGCAGGAAGGTCAGCAGAGGGAAAGGTGCTGACCCAGGCTGGGAGCTCCCCAGGCTCTGGGACCGTGTGTCTTTAGCAGGTTTATGAGGGGAATCTCAGGGACTAAAATACAATGCTTATGTCCTTACCTTTAAAATTTTCTCCAGTTGTAAACTCCTTTGTAAATGCTTTAAAATACTAAGAGGAAAAACACAGAACAAGTAAGAGGCAGCCTTCCATGGGCATCTGCATGTGTTTAAGCAACAAAACGCCCGTCACCTTAGAGGGAGCTTTACTCAATTTCCTTCGGAAAGTTTTCATAAATTAATGACAAACCACACGCTTCTCCTTGTCTTTGTGCATATTAATGTTTCCTGTCAGATTTACGAGGGGGCTAAGGTTAGCTCCAATCAGCATTCCCATCATTTACATTTTCTGACCCAACAGGGCTAGAAGCAAGACAGTTCAACTGGGCTGGAATCATAAAAGACACCGCTCTCTGGGACTTGGTAGTGAGCCTATGTCTTAATGGTTAGCTGTAGCGTTAGCTGTGACAACACGGAGGATGTGCAGGAGGAGGAGACACCACGCAGTATCTCTGAGTGGATGATTAGGTTCTTATGTTAACATTAAAAACTTTCTTCATCAAAGGGTACGTTAGAGACAGCGACGAGACAAGGTTACATGATGGCGGAGATGAGGTCGGTAAGAAAAGCACTGGCCAGCTAAGAGGGAAACGTGCAGATGACAGGAAGACACTTCACCCATGACACCCACGGCCCACAAAGCCAGATGTGCTGGCACTGCAGCCGCCAGGGAAATGCAAACGAAGCCGCCAGTGCTTCCTGCTGCACTGGTCCCTGGGCGAGCACAAAACTGCCTGACACTGCTGGCCCTGCAGGTCTGTTGTGCACAGACCCGGTTCGCGGCCCAGTGGCTTCTCTCCCAGCCTCAGCTCTCCCCTTGCCCGGGAAGGCGCACAGCAGCGCCGTTCAAAGCCACCAAAGCCTGGAAGAGCCCACACACCTGGCAACGGGGGGCTCTGGTTCTCAGAGTGACGTCACTGGACAATCCCATCCAATGAGCATCGTAGTGGATCTGGGCAATGTCCCATTAAGTAACAGAAAGAGGGCCCGAAAGTTTACATACAGCACAGTGTGAACTGTGTCTGAAGCAAAATCAAAATACAACAGGAAGCCATGCTGACGTAATCACACGCAGAGGCAGGCAAGCAAGTGTGCGACACAGGCCCCGAGAGGCCCTGGGGCAGGGCTGACACCGGTGCCGCCCAGCGTGGCACCTGTTAGGGCAGGACCACAGGTGCTGCCAGCACAGTGAAAACAACAGCCCCCAAAATACAAGCGAAGCCACCATGACATGACACCACACCACACAGCAAGGCACCAGGGCTGACAAGGACGGAGTTTTACTCAAATTGACAAAGCTTCCCAGGAAGTGGGCCCAAGGCGCCCACGTTTCTGGAGATGTCCATGTCAAGGCACGCAGGAGGCAGTGGCACCCGCAGGTACACACATGCTATGCACGGGCCTGCAACAGGGTCACAGGTACCTCCGCCCCCTAGTGGGAGCAATGGGCACAGCCTTGTCTGCAGGGCTGACTTTGGCTGGGGAAGGCAGAGGCCCTGTGCCTGTGTGTGCGTGTGTGTGTGCATGAGTGTGCATGTGTGAGAGCCCCATGGTACACGGACCACACGCGTGGCTTCAGGCTGGGGTGCCAGCCCTCGCAGTCCTGGTCTCCTTGCGCCCCCTGGCCGTGCAGGCTGCAGGGGGTCTTTTCACGCATCCCCTCCATGTGACCGGGTCTGTGTGAGCGTGGACAGTCCCACAGACACTTCCACAGCACAACAGGGTGGAACAAGAGCTGCCCCCACCAAACATCAGCTCCTACAATTCCTACGAAGTTCCAAGGAGAGAGCCAGAGAAGCCGAAAACACAGGCACTATGATGTGGCGAATTTCAACAGACAAGCAGCCGCGTGATGCTCACCTGGAAGGTGGGGTAGAAGGTGAATTTCAACGGACAAGCAGCCGCGTGATACTCACCCGGAAGGTGGGGTAGAAGTGGATGTCGTAGTCATGGCACACGGCCTGGTTCTTCTCTTCCATGCAGTCCAGAGCTGCGACGCGAATGGCACTGGCCCAGTCTGAAAAGCAGGAGCATGACCTTCAGTGTGGTGAGCACTGGACTCCCGGGAAGCCCAGGACCCAGCAGTCCCCACTCCAGGCTGCGGCCACCTGCGAGACCAGCCCACCTGCCCCCTCTAGGTCATCAGTTAGGCCCTCATCACACAGAGCGTCTATGTGGAGCTAGGAGAGAGAACTCCACCAACAGCACGATGCCTCTCCTACCACAGATAGTCACAGAACAAGCGGATTTGTGCTGAACCTGCACATCACGGAGCAGGGACAAGGCTGTGGGCCCCTAATTAAATGACACCCTGATGGATGAAAGCGCTGGTAACAGACGCGGCTGTCAGCGGCCGGCACTTAAGTCAGGACAGCAAGCAAGTACGTGCAGATTAATCAGATACGGTCCAGGCTGTTTGGCAAAAACATTCCCGTGTTCTCACTCCAGCGAGTACTGGCAGCATCTGAGCAGGGTCTTTCAAGGCAAGGATGCGTGCACAGACACATGTGAAGTGGTTTCCAACACCATCCCAGACACTGCCCGCAAACCCTGGAACACCTATGCCATTTTGGGGAGGCTAAAAGGAACCATAAATTTTTTTGTTCCTATCTCTAAAGTTTTTGCTATGGAAAATTTCTAACATGCAAATAAAATAGAGATAAAAATGTAACAAATCCCACACATTCTACCTCTTGGATCAATAATTATCAGCTCAAGGTGAATCCTGTTTTGCCAAAGTCTCCACCCACTTTCAGAACTGTCCCACAACAAATCTCAGCACGTCATTTCTACACAAAACCCACCAGGCTTTGCCTCTGAAAGATGAAGGCTCTCCACTGGGCATGGTGGCTCATGCCTGGAATCCCAGCACTTTGGGAGGCCGAGGTGGGCAGATCGTTTAAGCCCAGGAGTTTGAGACCAGCCTGGGCAACATGGTAAAACCCTGTCTCTAAAAAAAAAATACAAAAAATTAGCTGGGCGTTGGTGGCGCACACCTGCGGTCCCAGCTACTGGAGAGGCTGAGGTGGGAGGACCGCTTGAGCCCGGAAGGCACAGGCTGCAGTGAGCCGGCGACAGGGGGAGGCTCCACCTTAAGAAAAAAAAAAAGTCCCTATTTGTTCGTTTAAAGTTTGTTTGAATCAAGATCCCAGCGAGGCTTGTTGGTTACTGCTGGTGGGTCCTGGCACTTTCCTTCTCTGGGTTTGACTGACAACATCCCGGACTCCTGGCATTTCTGTAACAGGGCACTCAGATCTAGATTCTTGTCTGATTTGTTTGGTGACATTACTTTGTAGGTAGTGGAACATGCTTCCACCCAGAGGCAAGCGACGCCTCTCTCCTTAGTGATCACGACCTAAATGCATTAATGCACCAGGGCTGCAGTGAAATGGTGACGTGTCATCTCTCACCGTTTGCTCATGATGAGCTGGGACAATTCTGTAAAGAGAGACCTGCCCTCACTGCAACCCAGCGGAATGACTCACATGAGGAAGGGGAGTGCCTGGCTCGTGCTTCAGTCACCAGTATCAAAGTCATGGTTTCCGAAGCTGACCAGTGAGGTTTTCTTTTTAAAAGATTTGTGTTCTTCCTCTGGGATGTAAAAATTGCACTGCCAACAATTCACAAATATTTCCTGGCTCCTCACTCTGTAGGGGTCCTTCCAGGCCCTGAGACTTTGAGGGGACAGCCTAAAGGGGCACCACTGGGTCAAGGGATGGGTGCTGGCTATCCTGGAGCCTGGAGGCCTCAGCAGAGTCGGCAGTGTGGCAGGGCACGCCGCACCGTGGGAGAGGCAGGTGCAGAGGCGAGACCCAGGCACCCAGCAAATGGACCTGCCTGGAGGAATGGAGCCAGCCACGTGGGGTGCTGCCCTGGCACAGCCTTGTGACCGGAAGCCCAGTGATTTCTGAACGGGAGGGAACGTTATGTCTGCCTGTCACTGAGATACTGATGAGGCTCTTTTTTGCCTTGTATTCCGATTCTGCCCACTTGTCTAAATCAATGATTCCACTATAAATCATGTAAAAAGAGTAAGAGTCTTTTCTGAGAGCGAGCTATGATCTCAAACTCCAGAGGTTCTGTTAAAAGCATGCCTGGAAGAGACGGAACATATCACCAGACTCTGTACAAATATGAAGGCTTGTGTGTGTTAGCGGTTCAGATTGCTATTTTTCTACATAATATACCACAGCTCTGTTTCAGATACTGGCCTTTTCTCCCTGTAATTTAAAAATAAAAAAGAAAGAAACCTCTTTCAGAAACAATGACCAAATACCGTTCCCGCTTACGCTGGCTAAGTGAAACCAATTCAGGTTTTGAGGCCACTTTCAGTGGATGAGGGAGAAGCGACACGAGCTCTCTGCATCCCCGGCCACTCCTTGCCCAAGCCTCAGACCACATGGAACTGAGGAAGAAGGGTTCATGCTCTCACCCAGTCAGCGCAGCAGACGGCACGGGACGCGGAAACAGGAGGTGCTCCCAGCAGCCCCGCCGTGGGCAGCTCACGGGCGGACCCCTCCACAGCCCCGGCTCCTCAGCCCGTGCATCCTGGCGAAGTGTCTCATTTCTGTGGCCTTTTATCTGGCTCACAATTCCACATGGTTTCATTCTGTTTATTGGGAATTTCTATAACACATTTTTATTCCACACTTTTTTTAAAAAAAAGCACCTTTGTGCCCAGAAAGAACATGTAACAAAACAAAAAGTTGCTCTGAGAGCCCAGACTGCACACACAACAGAATCACGGCCGTGTGACATCATCAAGCCGGCCTAGAAACAGCAAAAACAAAAGACGGGAAGAAGAAAACGTTCCAAGATGTTTGCCAGGATTTGGTTTTCACGGTGGGATCTGGTCCCATCTGTGGTTTCTCAGATTTGTCTTAGGGCATGTTACCTACACAAACAAACACACAGCACATCCCTGCTGCCCCAGGCACTTGCTGGCCACATCACACCCTGCCCTCCTCTGGCCACCTCTCCTGCATGTTTCCTAGTTTCTATCTTCCCGTAGATCTTGGTACAAGGTGGCAACACAGAGCCCTGCACAGCGACCGTGGAACTCTCCCGGCACCTCAGGTGAAGGCCGCTTGGACAGTCTGGGCCCAGGCCAGGTGGTGCTGCTCTTTTTAAATAACCCTCCTGGCCGGGCGTGGTGGCTCACGCCTGTAATCCTAGCACTTTGGGAGGTCAAGGCAGGCAGATCACGAGGTCAAGAGATAGAGACCATCCTGGCCAACATGGTAAAACCCCGTCTCTACTAAAAATACAAAAATTAGCCGGGCGTGGTGGTGCGTGCCTGTAGTCCCAGCTACTTGGGAAGCTGAGGCAAGAGAATGGCATGAACCCGGGAGGAGGAGGCTGCAGTGAGCCAAGATAGCGCCACTGCACTCCAGCCTGGCGCCAGAGCGAGACTCTATCTCAAAAAACCCTAAAATTAAATAATTCTCCTGAATCTCAGGCAGCGCTAGAGAGAATGTGAAGAGTTCAAATGTGGCCGGTGGGAATGGCTGTCAGCCCTGCAGTAAACAACTCTGTAACACCTGGAATGCAGAATCCCAGGTGCCAAAGGGCTGAGCCCAGGAGGAACAGAGGCATGATCCGACCCAGGCCTCACAACTGCTCTGATTCCTGTGCCCCACTCCCAACAAGCTCATCCACCGCAGGGCGCTGCCCAAAAACACATGAGCCTCAGTACTCGGCCTCCGTGACGGCATCCTTATCACGTCGGGCCACAAATCCACCCTGTCACTGGCTCCTCACAGGCTGTCCCCAATGAGGCTTCAGATTCCCAAGACCAAATGTCTGCTGGTTGTTTCTACCTGTTACTCTTCCATGATAAGCCAGTAAACACTCAAATCAAGACTTAAGTACATAATTCTAACATTCTGAACCGAGCTGGAAGGCGCCTGGGAGAGTCCCGGCCTCCAGAGGATCCGCCAGACCCAGCACTGCTCCGCTCACTTGTCCCCTCCTCTCCCCTCCAGCCATGCACAGGCCTGACCTCCGTCCCACCACCCCTGGGCCTCTGCCCTGTCTCCTCCCTGGTGGAACTCTTTCCACTGATCTGTTCCTGGTTGCTTTCCCATCTATTTCACAATTTGAACACAGGTAACACCTCAGCAAGGACTTCCCTGACCCCCTGCCCAGGCCTAGTTTCATTGGCAGGAAAAGCCTCCGACCGGCCTTGTTTCCATGGGAAGTAAATTTACACAGCCCTTTACAGTTGACAAAGCTTTCTGACCAAATTATCTACCACGGGAGTGGCCTGGTGACAAACGCAGGATCCTACAGACGGGGAAACTGATGCTCACAGAGGCCGAGGAAGGCTCCAAAGTCCGTCAGGTCCGCATAGCACACACCTCGAGCATGGAGGGCAAACGTCCTAACAGGCGTGCCCGACTCCGACTAGCGTGTGACCAGAATACGCCCCCATCCTACCGTGGCGAATGAAGACTCCCCGTCACGCAGGTGACATGCTGCAGCCCAAACATGCATCAGCTACGCCCTGAGGCAAACACCTGTGGAGGAATCATTCCACCAACTCCCTTACAAAGGCTCCCGCAGGACACGCTGCCTCCTTCAACATGTAGAAAACCAAGGCTTTGCAAAAGCAAAAGATCTTCATCTTCCCAACATATTTCACACCGTCTCTCCACTAGACCAGAGGGCTCTGCCCTTGGAAGGCAGGGATCCGTGTCCAATCAGCCTGGCGGCCCATCCCCACACATAGGAGGCCCCTGGCCAGTGCTCAGGGGCTTGTGCGAAATGACGCGGCAGAAGGGCAGTGCCCCTCACAGCCCCACACTGATCGCTCCTTACCCAGCCCGCTACCATGGCCTCCGTGCAGTTTCTTCAGCCCTTAATGCTTTGGAAGCACCCGGACCCACCTTATTCCTTTTGAGCTTCCATCAAAGGCTGTGGTGTGAATGTCACCGCCCCTACTTGGCAGATGAGGACACCGAGCTCCAAGTCCTCAGAGGCCGAGAGAGGGAGAGCGAGCCTCAGGGCCGGCAATCCGCCCCCTCCACCCCCTCCACCCTCTCCACCCCCTCCACCCCCTCCACCCTCTCCGCCTCCTCCGCAGGTCCCATCTGCCAGGCTCTCCCAGCGAAGAGAAACCTCTGCTCTGGAACTGTCCCACCCACTGACCCTCAGACACATAAACAGGGAGGCAGAGGAAACTAAGGAAGTCCTCACTTCGTGTCACTGACAGGCTCCTGGAAACGGTGGCTTGAAGGGGAAGGACACATAACAAAACCAGTTTTTTTTCTCTCATCCACGTTATAAGGAAATGACGTTGACAGAAATGTCGTTATCTGAGGACCTGCCGTCTTCCTTGCACTTCGCGTGGCAGTTTGCAGGAACCGTTGAGGCTGTGCAGTGAGCGCTTTCCGCACAGGGCAGGCAGCCTCCCTCACCTCCTGTCCCCTCCTCTTCGTGACACATGGGAAGGGGTCACCTTGACCAATATGTCTTTAAACTGCGTGTGTCCACTTAAATACGCACATTTTTTCAACAAATGTATTGGGAAATTTTTTGGAGATATGTGACAATTTGAAAAAACTTGCAGATGAGCCACACGGCCTAGAAATATACAAAAAATTAAGAAAAGGCATGTCATGAATGCAGAGACCATATGTAGATGCTGTTTTATCATTTACTACCACAAAATATATACAAATCTATTATAAAAAGTTACAATGCATCAAAACTCACACACGCAAAACTTACAGACCACACACAGCACCATTCACAGTACAGAGAAAGGTAAACCACTGTCAGGATACAGCGTAAGTCGGGGCCTGGAGGCTCATGGCTATAATCCAAGCACTTTGTGAGGCTGAGGCCGGTGGATCACTTGAGCCCAGGAGTTTAAGACCAGCCTGGGCAACATAGGGAGTCCCTGTCTCTGCAAAAAATTTTAAAATTAGCCAGGCACGGTGGTCCCAGCTACTCAGCAGGTTGAGATGGGAGAACTACTTGAGCTCAGGAGGTCAAGGCTGCGGTGAGCCGAGATTGCACCACTGCACTCCAGCCTGGGTAGAGTGAGAACCTGTCTCAAAAAAAAAAAAAAAAAAAAAGAAAAAAGAAAAAAAAAGAAAATCATGGAGGAGAAAGGACATCTGCCTGAACAGGTATTTTTATGCAGGCGCAAGTGCCCTATTAGGGAAAAAATGCCACAAAGGACATGAATTAGGAAGGAAGAGGAGCGAGCACCAGTCGGGAGAGGCTGACTCTGCTGTTTGTGCACACGCTGCCGGGTGTATCAGCAGGACTGCCCTTAGCTATAAAGCCGCTAACCCTGAGCCTCGAACAAGAAAGACAAACAGCAGCTGCCAGTCTTCTGGTTGCACGAGAAGGCCTGGGCAATGAGAAACACTTTTCCAGATGCTTTGTCCCTGAAGCCAGGAAGTACCTTCCAGTAAGGGACTGCCTTTTACAGTGATTTCATCTTGCTGAATGCCCCTGGCCACGAAGAACTCATGAGTTCAACACCGAAGGCTTCATCAGTCTACCTGCTCCCCAAACACAATGAGCCTTACTCTAGATCTGGGGTCCTAAGGCCCTTTAGGGCTCATTACACAGTCCTCTCAGGACGGCCAACACGGTGGCAGAGAACCTCACAGAGGAAACATGATGACAGCTGGAAGGACTGCACCACTGAAGACGCCATCGTTGTTATAGGAAGAGCCGTGAAGGCTGTCGAGCCCACACAAACTCCCGCTGGAGAAAACTGTGTCCACAGGCTGTGTCTGACCTCACGGGATTTATGACAGAGCCAATCAAGGAAACCACGAGAGGTCGTGGATGTGGTCAAAAGGGAGGGGAGAAGGGTTCCATGAGACGAATCGTGCAGCAACTCAAGAGAACAGAAGACGACGCTGTGGAGCCAAGTGCCTCCTCACCAGTGCCAAACACAAACGCACCATCACCTGGCAGGACTCTCAACACTCGAGACGGTTTTTGCTTTCTTCTATGACACGGACCCTTTTCTAAAACAGGCACTAAAACTAAAGCAAACAGTGGAAGGAAGACTGGGACCACACAGAAACCGTTTAGAGAAATAAAAAGCAAGAAAGCCAGACAGAAGGCACAACGTACCTCCATGAAGTGACACGGAACACGCCTGCCTCCCCTCTACTGCCTCCACCTCCTCTGCCGCTGCAACCTGGGGCAGGACAAAGGTCTTCACGAGGCTCCACCTGGGGCAGCCTGGCCGGGACAAAGGCCTTCACGAGGCTCCACCTGGGGCAGCCTGGCCAGGACAAAGGCCTTCACGTGGCTCCACCTGGGGCACTTCCTGAGCAGAAGGCCTACTTCTCTTTTGTGCGACGATCTTCTCTAGCTTCCTTTACTGTAAGAACACAGTACGGAACACGTGTAACACACAAAGTTTGTGTCAATCGACCGTTTGTCACTGGTAAGGCTTCCAGTCAACGGTGGGCTATGAGCTCAGTTTTTGGGGAGTCGCAGGTTATATACACATTTTTGACTGTACAGGAGCTGGCACCCCCAGCCCGCAAGTTGTCTGAGGGTCAACTGCACACGTAACGGGAGTGCTGCCCTTCTAACTGAGCCCCTGGAGGGCCGCCCAGATGTCCGGCAGATGTCCCACACCTTTTCCAGCTCAGCGTTGACAACGCACCATCCTAGAGCAACGGTGGCAAATTCTTCTTGGCCTGACAGAGACACTTTATGGAGAAAAAAGTGACAGAGTTCACACAGCCCCTTCAGAGCTAGCACGCTGGCACCCAGGAACCTTCCTGGGCGTGAGGCTGCTGTCACTAAGACCTCTCCTGTGAACCTCGCATCAGCAGGTGGAGACGGAAGCAGGGCCCTGGAGGAAGCCCCGATGGCCATCCCCGGCTTGGGAGCAAGGCTGGTCTCCACAAGGCCCCCCAGCTCCACTGCGCCCGCCCCAGCCTCATCGCGCCACACCCCAGCTTGGGAGCAAGGCTGGTCTCCACGAGGCCCCCCAGCTCCACTGCGCCCGCCCCAGCCTCATCGCGCCACACCCCAGCGACCACAGGCGAGTCTTGCTCCAGTCATGTCTGGACTGTGTGACCCCCGCTCCCTTTACCGGGCTCGTTCCTATTTGCCTTCCAGGTCTCCATCCGAATGCCACTTCATCTGAGTCTACCCTGACCGCTGTTCAACTGGTTCCCCCGCCCATGGCCCATGCTCAGCAGACCCTCCTTGCAGGTGGAGACCCAGCCAGGCAGCTTCACATCCAGCTCTGCTGCTTACTGGGTTTTGAGAATTGGGGCAAGTAACAATCTCTTCTTGCCTCAGTTGCTCCATCTGTAAAATGGAGATGCCAAGGAAGATCCATCTCCCAAGGGCAGTGTGAGGATCGGCGGGGTCAAAGGCACGAGTGCTGGCACAGCACACCCCCCGGAGGAGGGCCAGGACCAACATGCCCACTCAAAGGCCACGTCCCCACGACGGCCACACCTGCAGGGACTGACAAGCATGTGCTGGGGATGCAAGACCAGGGACACTGCTGGGCCCTTACGGGGAGTGACGACCAAGGAAGGAGAGAAGGAGAGAAGACAACTCAGGCTGGCAGGGCAGAAGGGGAGGCGGCCGCGGGAGCACCTGGAGTCAGGGACACCGTCATACGGAAGACGAGGGGAAGCCCTGAGCTGGGCTCGGGCCGGTTCACAAGAGGCTGCAGATCTTGGTGCAGACTTTGTTCTTTGTCTCAACAGCCACGGGCAGCCACTGATGTGCGTGGAGAACTCATAACCACCACGACGTCTGAGTGAAGGAAGACGGTGGCCAGTGAGCTGGGTGGCCAGCAAGCATAGAGCGCTGGCATCAGCCAGAGCCCTGAAGACCACCTGCTCCCCTCTCCCTCGCGCTGGGTCACACCCAGGCGACCCGTGGAGCTCTGGTGGCTACAGAGGCAGCATGGCCCAGTGGTGGCCAAGGCTGAGCCGTCTCTTCTCCACATCCAAGACCACGGACTCCGGGCACACAGAAAGGCATGGGTCTCCGGCTCAGCACCTGCAGGCACTTCCTCTATGAACATTTTCATCAGCGACACTCTCTGGCCTCAGCTTCGGGAGGAACTGGGCTGTGGAGAGCAGTTTCCATCGTAAGGATGATGTATGGAACTTCGCAGCCACCGTAGCTGAGGGAGCAGCCAGTCTCCCTCTGGGTCCGAAGTCACTGGCAGTCAGGGTCAGGGCCAGGATGGGGGCTGCACCCCACCAAGTCAACCCGGACCTCTCCCAGTCTAGACTCTGCAAGCCACCTGCCACCCACCACCTCCACTCAGCTGTCCCAGGCATCGTCACAACGCTCCTGACCCTCCACCTCCTCCCCACTCCCTGCTCCGCACAGAGAGCCAGGTAGACAGCTCTCCTCCATGGGGCACCCGGAGACAGGACTGGCTGCTGCCCAAGGACAGAGGGCTGTGTGCCGGCCCCTGGGGAGACGCACGGTGTGCGGAGATGGGGCAGATGCTAGGTGGCAATGGTGATTCTCCTTCAGCCGGACTAGACGGATATTCACAGGTATCTGAAACAGGACGCCCTCTGAAACAGGCCGCAGCTGCCAGCTTAAATAAAGGAGACAGAAAAAACCCACCTTGCTTTCCCTCCAGTTTTGGCCAATCTGAGGCTTTCCTCACGACAGCAGAAGAGCCAGCGCTGCAGCATCACCCAAACCACAGGCCCCCTGGCCAAACGGGTGCTCCAAAACCCAGCGTGCGCCCCGAGACTTACACGGGTGCACTCCACCTTGACACCTCTGATAAATAAAATACCGGGTGAATTCCCAGCGTCAGGAGTGCACATCTGAAGCCCGTCCTGTGCCAGCGACACCTGAAGCCAGTCCTGTGCCTGCGTCACGTGGAGCTCGTCCTGGGTCTGCGTCACCTGGAGCCCGTCCTGGGCCAGCGTCACCTGGTGCCCGTCCTGGGCCGGCGACACCTGGAGCCCGTCCTGGGCCTGCATCACCTGGTGCCCATCCTGTCCCACACCTGGAGCCTGTCTTGTGCCACACCTGGAGCCCTTCCTGGGCTGGTGTCACCTAGAGCCCGTCCTGTGCCACACCTGGAGCCCGTCCTGGGCCTGCATCACCTGGTGCCCGTCCTGTGCCACACCTGGAGCCTGTCCTGGGCCGGCGTCACCTGGAGCCCGTCCTGGGCCGGTGTCACCTGGAGCCTGTCCTGTGCCACACCTGGTGCCCGTCCTGTGCCACACCTGGTGCCCGTCCTGTGCCACACCTGGAGCCTGTCTTGTGCCACACCTGGAGCCCATCCTGGGCCGGCGTCACCTGGAGCCCGTCCTGGGCCTGCATCACCTGGTGCCCGTCCTGTGCCACACCTGGAGCCTGCTCTGGGCCGGCGTCACTTGGAGCCTGTCCTGTGCCACACCTGGAGCCCATCCTGGGCTGGCGTCACCTGGAGCCCGTCCTGGGCCTGCATCACCTGGTGCCCGTCCTGCGCCACACCTGGAGCCTGCTCTGGGCCGGCGTCACTTGGAGCCTGTCCTGTGCCACACCTGGAGCCCATCCTGGGCTGGCGTCACCTGGAGCCTGTCCTGGGCCTGCATCACCTGGAGCCCGTCCTGTGCCACACCTGGAGCCCATCCTGTGCCGGCGACACCTGGAGCCCGTCCTGTGCCGGCGACACCTGGAGCCCGTCCTGTGCCGGCGACACCTGGAGCCCGTCCTGTGCCACACCTGGAGCCCGTCCTGTGGCGGCGTCACCTGGAGCCCGTCCTGTGCCACACCTGGAGCCCATCCTGGGCCAGCGTCACCTGGAGCCCGTCCTGTGCCATACCTGGAGCCCGTCCTGGGCCTGCATCACCTGGTGCCCGTCCTGTGCCACACCTGGAGCCTGCTCTGGGCCGGCGTCACCTGGAGCCCGTCCTGTGCCACACCTGGAGCCCATCCTGTGCCAGTGTCACCTGGAGCCCGTCCTGTGCCAGTGTCCAAGTAGAATTTTCCAAAAGCTAAACACACGATTCTCACACAAACGCAGAGTGAACATGCGTCAACAACATTCTTCCACTGGGACTGCTGAAGGAAAGGGTGAGGCCAGGTGGGGAGCACAGAGAATAGTGCTATCTGCCCCCAGGGACAGTGCACAAAGAAACTGTCCTATGGGGCAAGAAAACCACAACCTTTGGGCTTTCCTTGTCTACCAGACAGATGAGGTCGGCGAGCTCACGAGTAACCACAGAGCCTGGGCCCTTAATCAGCAGTGAACAGCAGGATAAACACACAGATGTCCGTGCCCCAGGTCACAGCCCTTGGGCGAGCCTGTGCAACACCCCAACATGATGCTGAGAGGACACAAGACTCAGCTTTTTGTCCTATTTCCAGGTTTTACCTAATATTTCCTTAGCAACAGGATGCAGAAAACTAGTCAGACGGGGAAACTGATCAGCCAGGGGCCAGGAACAAGAGCCGTGCCCTGGGCAGGAGCGAAACACGCTGCTCCGCATCTCAGGTGCGTGCCCACCTCCCTGCACCCTCTCATGCTCCAAGAAGACAAGACATGGCCTTCGGTAACTTTTGCCCAAACACTGTCTACATGACCTGAAACCACAATTCTACCAGGAAGGCACAGACTTCCCCTTTGTTCCCCGAGGATCCCTCACACTTCAGGGAACCCTGAGCTGGCCTTCCAAAGACAACGCTCCCCGGGCCTCATTCCCGCCTCGCAATCCAGGCCCTGAGCAAGCCCGGCGGGCAGCCTCCTCCCACCTGGCTGTGCCAACCCTCCCTCTGCCCCTCAGGCCCCAGCTGCCACGCGCGGCCTGGCCTCTCTCACACATCCCACTGTGCTCCGCTGGTTTCTGGTCTTCAGTTCTCCAGAGAGCAGCCAGAGAGTTTTACCTAGAAACCAGGTTTCCCTGCTTAAAATTGTTCTTTGGCATTCTGTTGCTCAGGAAGAAGACAAGCACCGTTTACTGAGCCTGCATCTGCCTGCTGCCGGGCCCTCAGGGACCTCGTGGTTGCCCCCTTGAGCGACCAAGACCCTATCAAAGTCCTTTTAGCCGGGCGTGGTGGTACCTGCCCATCGTCCCAGCTACTTAGGACGCTGAGGCAGGAGGGTCCCTTGAGCCCAGGAGTTCAAAGCCAACCCGGACCACACGAAGAGACCGATCTCTAAAACAAAAGGTCCCCTGGACACTGCAGTCTTGGCTGTCTCGGGTCCTCTGTGCTGGCCATGCCCCTGGCAGGGCCTTCACCTCGTGGCTCCTCTCCCAAGTCGCTGCCCTCTGACGCCTTGCTCTACCACCCAGGGCCACTCCAGTTTCTTTCTAATTGGTCTGTTCATTTTTCTAGGAGTTACAACCTATAGGTAACTCATTTATTTTAATTTGAGACAGGTCTCACTCCGTCACCCAGGCTGGAGTACAGGAGAGTGATCACGGCTCACTGCAGCCTCAACCTCCTGGGCTCGAGTGATCTTCCCATCTCAGCCTCCTAAGTGGCTGGGGCCACAGGAGTGGGGATCTTGCTATGTTGCCCAGGCTGGTCTTGAACTCCTGGGCTCAAGTGATCCTCCCACCTTCCAAAGTACCGGGATTACAGGCGGGAGCCACTGCCCCGGCCACTTCCTTGTTTTATTTGTCTTCCTGTTGACTGTCTGCTACTCCCTCTAAAGCACAGGCTTCCTCAGGTGGGGACCTCCCTGCTTTGTTCCCTGCTGTTCCTCCAACAGATGAATTTCCAGCGCAAATTCATCCCGGAGCGTGAATTCACGCAGAGCCCCTGCACACACTGCAGGGCGAGGGAAGTCCAGCTCCATCCACCAGTCCGCAGGGGCAGCACCTCGACCTGCCTCAGTAGAGCTACGCTCCCAACACCACCACCCCACTCAGGGTCAGTCCTGGTGAAGGGGCATGCGGGCACCCCACGTCGCCTTTGTCTGTCCTTGAAAGAATGCCAGGCCGTGTGCTCAGGGAAGGCCGAGCAGATGAGGGAGAATTTCAGTTACACAGGCCTCCCTCAGCAGCTGAACAGGCGCCAGGAGTACCGGCAAGGACTCGGCAGATGGACGGTATTCATGGCAACACAAAAGATATGGTAGTCCATATTATCAAATCAAATACAAAACACGTAAAAGGCTTAGCTTCAGGGCACTGGCCTCATTCAACGGGTACCCTCCCCTTCTCCTGCTCTGCCCACCTGTCTAGCTCTGAACCTCTAAAGCAGAATGCAAATGGCCTGCTTTCATTGGGCCTCTGGGGTTAGAGCCAGCTGAGAGGCACAGGGTGTGGCAGGGGCGGGGGTGCCCAACCCAGCACAGCCAGGGGGTTCCAAAGGGAGGCAGAAATGAGACCGCAGGCCTATTCTCACTTCTGCTCAAGAGCCTGGCTATTTTAGGACTCCAGTCTTAAAAATACTTGGGAAATAATTAAGCTTCTATATATAGTAGATTAACATTTATTTCAAATGTGCTTGTCAAATAACTCTAATACTGAATCTAACAAGGTTAACTCTTTACTGCTTGTCACGTTCTAATGAAAAAGTCTACAGAAGTCTAATGTATAGTCCAGTATCAAATCGTTCTAGAAAATGATTACAGTAAAGATAAAACAATCTCCCAAGTTGAAAGGCAACTAGGGAGCTGTGTTTAAGGGACAGAGGTCCACTGCAGCCTCTCCTTCCTGAGTCAGGGCCATGCTGGGGTCTCGAACTCCGCATACCAGTCCCTGGAGAAGACCCTCTCTGGGTGGAGCCCCCTCTTGGCTGAGCAAAGGTCTTCTTAGCTAAGCTCCAAGTTCAAGGCACAAGTTTGGAATAACAGGCCTGGGTAGAAATGAAACCCACCTAGCGACCAGGAGAGCCTAACACAAATCACCTAGAAGTTGCCAAGGGCTGGTCTGAGAAAACCCGGGCACACGCTACGGTCGCCTCATCTGGGGACTGAGGGCAGGGCTGGGTCCCATGGACTCTTGATCCCCAGCATTTAACTCAATTCTGGTAAACCAAAACTACACGTTCTTCAGCCTCGAAGGGTGCTCCGAGGTGACAGCAATTCCAATGCTGTTTATCTGTTGGTAGGGAATGACAGTCCCTCAGCCCGTCCTCTGTCAGGGAAGCCCAAGCAGTGCTTATGACCTGGGTCACCCCATGGCACGACGACCGGCATGACACAGCGGAGACGGCTCCCTGGACGTGGCTGTAAGGCCCTCTTAGCAAACCATCCCGTCTTACTTCAACAACAAGTAAGTGGCCTGGGTCTCTCGGTGTAGTCTCAGACGCACCAACCACAGCCACTGGGGAGGCCAGCGGGGAGCCCGGCTGCTCCGATGCACCATCCTTTCTGTAAAATACTCATGTGGTCGCCACAGCGGGGCTACATTAAGCCATTTCTGGGCCCGTAAGGAGACAGGAGGCCTCCACTGCCCAACTCTTCCTCCTTCCACCCTCTCCATCCTCCCGAGTCCAGTGAGCACCTGGCAGCTCTCACGGGCCGTCAGCCCCGCCAAATGCCCGCTGACACCTGCATGTCCCCCTCCCTCTGGCCCTTATTGTTTCTTTTTCCAGTAAACGGACAATGAGCCTGTGGGGAACACCAAGTTCTAATTCATCTCCAAGAAGCCTGCAGCCTAGTCGAGTAGACAAGAAACCAGACCAAGTGGGACAGAGGAGCTGGCAGCAATCACAGAATGCCCTACCCTTCCTTCAAGAGATGTCGGATGTGTCCAGCTCCCAACCCCCACCTGTCCTCTACAAAGACACAGGAATGAACTGCCATGGCTCCAGGTCACCCACACCTGGACACCCATCCCGGCCTGTCACTCAGCTGCGTGACCGTGACTATCCCACGCAACCTCACGTGCTATCACCTGCAACATGAGCGCCCCCGCACTCCTGAGGACAGGTGTGGGAGGACTCGGCCTGTTCCACGCAACCTCATGTGCTATCATCTACAACATAAGCGTTCCCGCCCTCCTGAGGGCAGGTCTAGGAGGACTCAGCCTGTTGTGGGTGGTGGCCTGCCCTGTTTTCTCAGGCTGACCAAGTGAAGGAGATGGGAGGGAACAGGCACCAGGGCCACAGAGGGCGCACGGGGACACAGGCCCTGCCTTTAGGGTGCACCCTCTTGTCCACTCAAGACTGCAGAGGCATTTCGGAGATCTCACCGGTCAGACGGGCCAAAGTGTAGCCCCAGGCCCTGGTGCCTCATCTTCCATCACAAACCCAGCAACCATCACTGCCAGGCAGATCTTCAGGAACCCAACAAGGTTTTGTTCTGCAAAGTACTTAGAAGTGACAGGCTTAAGCCAAATCTCCACAAACACTAGAATGACACTTGGTCACACCAAACAGTACAACTTTTGTTTCTTAAGCCACCTTCTTATAAGAAAAAACATTTATTTTCCCAGCCTTGAAAAAGCCAGTCAAGAGCTAAAGTTCAATCCAAATTTCTGAGGAAAACAAAGGTGCCCTGGCCTGTCCTGCTCCTTCCAGCTGGAGGCTCCTGGGAAGCAGAGCCCACACCTAACCATCCTCTCCAGCAGCCACAGGCATGAAGAACGCAGGGCGTGGCGGGCGCTGGCCAGGGGGACCAGTGGGAGAAGGCGGCTGGACACTCTAGGTAGAAGTGGGGGCCCAAGCCATGGCCTGTGTGCCCCCAGGGGATCAGCAGGATGACCTAAGTCACAGGTGATTGATCAGGGCCACAGGTGACTGATCTGAGTCAGGTCAACAGGGACATAAGAAAACATGAGAATGTTGACAACGGGAATGCCTGCATGCAGCCAGACCCCTGCACTGCCACGGGCAATGGGCGCCCTATCCCTGTGGGACAGCTCCACGCAGGGATGACAGACAGGGAGCCAGGCGCCAAGCAGACAGTTCTGAGCTGGCAGGTCTGGGCTGGGGCTGTGGAGAAGCAGGCATTTCTAACAAGGCCCTAAGTGGCCCTACTTTGAGAGTCCCAGCCTTAGAACAGCTCCGGGGACTCCTCAGTGCCAAGGGCCTTTCATCCCTTTCTACCCGGACTCTACCTCCCACAAGCCTCATGGGCACAGCTTGGCTCTCAGGACTGTAAACCAAAAATAAAATCCTGAGTCCCCTAACTGACTGAATTGAACCCCCTCTTGGCCAAGGAGACCCCAGGGCAACCTGAGGAAAGAAATTCCAGGCCCTGACGGCAAGGGAGGTCAGACACGCCTGGTTACATCACCTCCCTTTGGAGTTTAGGCAGAGCTGACCAGCGTGATGAAACAGAGATCACAGACAGACAGCACAGCCTCAGCAGCAACGACACCAAACTCCAGCCTGACTCGGGTACAGCACCACATGACAAATAGCACACCCTGCAGGAAATCAAAATATTTCACCCCCAAATACATTTATTTCCCTGACATATTTGAAATGGTCCTGCAAAGCTGTCTTTTGTGAGGGAAATTTGCATCTGTAGAGAATCTCCCTCCCTTTCTAGGTCTTTCCTGGATCTAGGAGACATTTAACGAGTCTGACAGCATTCAGGTCTGAAAAGAGACATTTACCCTCTATTCTCCCCAAGGCTGCTGCCTGTGAGGCTTCATCTACTTAACCTTGGCCTCCACAGCCCCTTTAGCTTAACTCAAGCATTTCTCTTTGCTGACTTCAAGTCTTTAGACAAAGCTTAACTCTTTCAATCAATTGCCAGTCAGAATCCACCTATGATCTGTAAACCTACCCCTTCCTATACCTTACATGTACTGATTTATGTCTCTCTGCCTATAACTTCTGTCTCCCTAAAATGTATAAAATCAAATTAACGTGACTGCCTAGAGCACACTTTCTTAGGACCTCTTGACACTGTTCCCCTGGCCATGGCCACTACACTTATTGGCTCAGAACAAACCTCTTTCAGTATTTTATAGTTTGGCTTTTTAGCCAACAGGACCCTCTGCCTGGGCTCCCTGAAGCCCTCTCCCTGCTGCCTGGTCAGGTCACCGCTGTCTTTCACTTTCAGCCATATCCTCCTCCAGTCTCAGTCTCAGGCACAAGCCTGTTCTTCCTGTCGTGACTGGGAAGACAGTCAGCCTCACTAAAGGAGGCTTACTGAGTTGAGTTCATCACACCACTGGGTATGGACGTTACTGTGTGGCTCTCAGGAGGGGCCTTCCTTCTGAGCTCCAGGGACAGTTCTCAAGGCTGCCTATGTGCTGCTTCGGTTACAGAATTTGCAATATTTGAATCTGGTACGATCTTTAGACTTCAGCGACTCAACTGAAAAAAAAAAATCAAAACCAAAACCCACAAAAAAAGTGACCAAGTCCTGCCAGGGCCACCTGCATTTTAATGAACATATCTGTTTCTGCCACTGAATAACACACAAGAACTGAAGGGTTCCCTACGTGATTGAATTACTTGTTTGTTTTCCTAAAAGCAGTGTCTAAAAACCCCACTGAACAGTTTTTCTGTCCATCTCTTCCAGTCTCTGACCTCAGTTCTGAGTCAGGTCAACAGGGACATAAGAAAACATGAGATCAAAGAGGAGGAATCCATTAGAATCAAAAGGCCCCAGCTCTCTAAGAGGAGAATGCATTTTAAAGATAACCATTTACAGTAACATACAAAAGCCCTACTTAGACTTGAAAAAAAGTTTCTTTACAAATCTGTTTGCGATGAGAAAAATACAGCAGGATTGGGTGTAAGGCATAAAAACAAAGGTGCAGGAAGAAAGAGTAGCAATTTGTTACAGATCTTGCCCACTGAAACATGTAATTTGAGGTTAGCACAACACAGGAAGTCCTGCCAAACCTCACTGGGTCGGGAGGACCTCCTACTTCAGTGATTTAAATACCATTTTAAGGGAAGGGTGTTGTGAATGCCCCCTCCCACGCCAACTCTAACCTGTAGAGCAGGCGAGTAACTTCGTGACTGGTTAACAACGTGCGACCAGATGAAAGCACTAAACAATAAAGTGCGGAACACTACCAGCAGTTTGGTGAAAGATTTCTCAAAGGCTGTGCATCTGTGATCAAGGAGCCCACCAATGAAATTCTTTGTAGAGTTAAAAAAATTGCTTTATAGGTTGTTTTGGGGTATTATAGAGAAGTCTCCAGAGTATTTGGACTTCTAAGTTGTGGGTTCACTTTGAGCACCCACTATATGGCCAGCGATCCGAACCAGAAAGTTAATGATGAAGGTTCAAAGGGAATGGGGTGGCTACGAGTGTGGAATAGGAATGAGGGATCCTCAGAGAACAGGAATTCTGGGCACTGGGGATGGGGTGTGTGGACGCTAGGAAACAGGTAGGGTAGGAGGCCTGGAAGGTCAATGAAGTTCTTGGGGCTCAAAACATAGGTATTTTGAGAGCTGGGATACGGGAGGGCTTCCCTATCCCCAAGCGTGCGGTGAGGGCTGCGGGAGAATGGTTTCATTTTGACTTCAGACAGCCCAACTCGTCAGGATCTAACGGGGATTAACTGGGAGAGACATGGGGAGCAGCTGGCTTAGTCTCCCGCCCCTGGAAAGGCCAGGGTTGGTCCGAGTCGGGTGCCTCTGTGGGGCAGGGACTGGCTCTGCGGTAAGGAAAGAAATACGGGGGAGGGGCCCCGGGACCCGCCTTCTGGGGCGGTCGCAAGGGGTCCCGGAAGGCCGCGGTCCCGGGGGTCGGGGGGTCCCCGCGCGGGGGCGCGCCTCACCTCGCACATCCCCAGCCAGGGCCCGCCAAGTGGGCGCGTAGCCGATGCAGTGGCCACACCACGACGAGTAGAACTGCACGAGCCACGCGGCCGAGCTGTTGGCGGTGGCCCCGCGCACGCTGCCGCTGTCCAGCACCCACACGGCGTCCTCGCCCGCGCGGTACAGCCGCGCCGCACCGCCCGCGCCCGGCCCCACCGCCGCCGCCGCTAGCAGCACTAGCAGCCGCGGCAGCCGTGCGGCCCGCGGCGGGGGCGAGCGCCGGGCTCTCAGCGCAGGTCCCGCTCCGATTCCCGGGCTGCGCGCCACCGCCGCCCCGGCCGCCGCCATGTTGGAAGTGCCGCCGGCGCGCTGAACTTTCACCCTGGCAACCACCGTCACGTGCGCCGGCGCGCCCGGCCCCGCCCCCGCGCGCCCAGTTCTGTTCCGCCCCGCCCCCTCACGTCTGACCCCGCCCTCTCTCCCCGCCCCCGCCCCCGCCCATGCGTGGCAGCCCCGCCCCCAAGAGTCTGATGACGCCATCTCCCCGCCCAGGCGCGGCAGGCTCCGCCCAGGCCCCGCCCCACCCCGCCGCGCGTTCCCCAAACCCCTTCCCTGAACAGGGCCAGGTGGCCACATTTAGCAAATGGAAGTGCACGACGCCAGGTTCAACGTGAATTTCAGACAAACAGTGAGTCGGTTTTTCAGCCTAGGTCTGTGCCATGCCTGAAATACAAATTTAACAAGACATTCTTAGACGTAAAAAACTATTCCGGGGTTCTTTTACTTGGCAACCCCACCTGGGGCTTCAGAGGGTCTGCAAGCCAGCCTCGACTTTTTAATATGATATTGGAACGCTTAGAAAATGCAGCAAAACATCCACTCAAAGTCAGATGTGTTGTGTGCTACCTTTTAGGATGTTCCAGTCGAATGCAGCTTCACGGTTTGGAAATGAAATCATATGACTTTTTTGCTTCATTGAACAGGATACCTGATTTTTTTTTTTGTTCCTATTCCTAATTTTTACACATGTCAAGATTTTCTCTGAACTGTGTGACCAAAACAAAACAAGGGAGTGGGCGAGCCTGGGCAACATAGCGAGAGCCCATCTCTTAAAAAAAAGAAAAAAGCCGGGCATGGTGGTGCACACCTGTAGTCCCAGCTACTTGAGGGGCTAAGGTGGAGGATGGCTTGAGCCTGGGAGCTTGAGGCTGCAGTGAGCCGTGACTCTGCCACTGCACTCCAGCCTGGATGACAGAGCGAGACCTTGTCTCAAAATAAATAGATAACTGTATTGTGGGGTTCTGTGTAAGATTTTGTTTAAAAGGTTTTGCTGCTAACAATGGTTAACCCCAGATGAGAGGATTCTCCCCAGAGGGCCCCTGGCCAAGGCGTCTGCTCCCTTTTCCTCACGTCCTGCGTCTCCCTGTTCATGTTTCCTTCCATCACCCACGTTTCCTGGCTTCTGCTCTGTGCCAAGCCCTGGAGACAAATCAAGAACAAAACCGAGCCCCCAGTGTCCCTGGCCTGCATTTGGGCAGACCCCAAACAAACCAACGCGTAAAGCAGCCACCGCGTGCTATGAAAAGCAATGAAGCCGGACACGGAAGCAGGTGCCAGCAGGGCTGCCGTACAGAGGAGGGTGGGGAGGTCTTTGAGAAGGTGACCCGAATGGAGAAGGAGGTGAGGGAGGAGGCACACATGCAAAGGCCCTGGGGCAGAAGGGTGCTGAGCACGCTGGAGGAACAGCAAGGAGCCGGACCTGGTGGGAGCGGAGCAAGCTGGGGGAAGCGTGGGAGGGAAGAAAAGCTGAGAGCCCGAGCGAGACCCAGGGGGCCTCACAACCTGGGCCGCAGACTCAGACTTTGATGCTGAATGGGGGGGTGGCCACGGAAGGATCGGTGCAAGGATGCAGCTCTGCCCTTCTAGTTGCAGAGTAGGAGGGGCAGGAGGGGAAGCAGGGGACCTGGGAGGGGCCGCCGCCTCCTTCCACAAGCTGGAGGGACTCCGGGGAGGGGTGAGAGGCAGTGCTGGTGGAGGGGTCGGCTGAGTCTGGGTGGAGGCAGAGGGTGTCACATTCGCAGAGTTTGGGCCAAAGCAACCAGAGGAATGGGGTTGCTTACGGCTGAGACTAAATCCTGCAGCGGCGAGATGGGAGAGCTATGCTGGGGAGGATGCCATGAGTTTGCTTTGGACCTGTTACATCTGAGCAGCCTTTTCAACCTCTAAGGGAGGTGTCAGGTCAGGGTTTAGAAGTGGGAGTCGAGTCTGGAGCTCAGCGCTTGAGGCTGCTTGAGGTCCCCCGGGGAGGCTGTGGGACAGAGGGGAGGGCCACACACTGAGCCCCAGGCCTCCAGAAGGAGCAGCAGCGAGGTGGCAGGGGAACAAGGAGTGGAGGAAAGGAGGCTGATCTGGCTGAGACAGAGGACGTCATGAGCCCAACTGGAGGGGCACATTCGGAACATCGGGGCAACACCTCACCCCAAACCTGCTCGGTGAAACGGAGCCACCCCTGGGACCAAGCTTAGCCCAGCACTTAGAGGCCACACCCCAAAACAACCAGAGTTTCTCCCATCTAAGGCAGGGCGGGGGAGGGGAAGGGGTTAGGATTGAATCTCGGAGTCTACGTAAGAGCTGTCTGTGCTGAGCCAGATCCTGCCCAAAGCCTGCGTGAAATCTGCCCCCCACCCCACCTGCAGGAGAGGCATCGCACGTCGCTGTGGCAAAGGCCAGGTGACTGCAGGCGCGGTTAGCGTGCGTGCCGCGGAGCGAGAAAACACGCGGCCAGTGGCCATTTTCAGATGCCCTGACAGAGACAGCTCTGGCTTCAAAGAGATCAAAATGCGGGGAGATCACATCTCAGACATGATGAGATAAGGCACTGTGCAGGCTGAGGCAGCAGCATCTTGGACCTAATCTGCTGTGTTGGATCCTGATGAGCCTGATTCCGGGAAGGCCTCCAAGATTTCCAGTTGATCTGTTGTTCCCTGTGTAGAGCAGGTACTTGCCGTAAATCCCACCCTTAGGGCACAAAGCCTTGATGCTGTCTGCTTCAGGTTTCTGCACGTTCCTTCTAAACCAGCCTCCCCTATGGCAGATAAGCCCTGGGCCTGGGGGTGGTGGCGGGATCCCGTCTGTCGGTGCCTCCAGAGACACAGATGTGGCTTCCATTTGTAAGTCCCTACTAAATGTTTCTTCCTGAGAAACTGGACTTGTCAGCCTCTTTCTTCTGCCTCTCAGCCTCCTCCATCTTTGGGGCAGGTTTGCAGAGGCCTACCCATCGTGGAACAGGTATTGATATTCCTGTTTTACAGAGGGAGAAACTGAGGCTCAGAGGGCTGACTACTGTGTGAGGTGAAGGGCACATGGCATGTATGTGACAGAGAGGAGGGCCTCAGGCCCACGTGCCTCCCAGAACCCAGGAGGGCCCACTCTGATGCTTGCATTGGAGACAAAGACAGAACCCAGCTCTGAGCCGCCTCCCTTTCCACATGGGGAGAGCAGAGATGAGGCCCAATGGATTTCAATGGCCCCGGCTCCAGGACTTGCCCTGCTGTCCACGTCTCCCCCTTTAGCAGGAGTTTGGCATGGAGGGCTCAGCTGCTTAACGACCACCACCCATTTTGGGAAAACTTCTGAGGAAAAATTCTGCACACCTGTGCCAGCCCCTGAGCACTGGCGACGTGCCCGGGACAGTGCCTGAGGGAACAATTCTTCATGTCCTCACTAGGACACCATGAGGAGGTGGGTGGCCACCCTCCAGGGACTGTGGACATGGAGGCACGTCTGGGGGCAGGGGCTCCTGCCAGACCCCTAGGGAGAGGTGGAGCAGGGCCCAGGCAGCCTCAGAGCCCGAGCTGGCTCCCAGCACCAGTGTGGTTGGTGCTGTATCGGCTACAGCCTGATGGACATGGTGAGTGGCGGGCAGGAGAAGGGCGGCTGGGAGCCCCGGGGCAGGGCCAGGGCCAGGGGGTGTGTGTGATCCCATCCTCCGCTCCCAGCTCTGATGCTGCCATGCGGGGACAGGGCACCATGGGATGGCTGTGGGACCTGCCAACACTCTTCCAGGACCCCAAAGCTGCCTGGGGAGCTGGGAAAAGGACGGCTTGTGAGCCTGGCTTTGCTGGGCATGAACGGGCCAAGCTCGACCCTGGGGACAGAGAAAATGACCCGCAGGGACCCTGCTCCGCCTGGGCAGTGAGTGAGCTCTCCCAGCGCCCTGGGTGCCTGGAGGCTTTGCTTCCCAGGAAAGTGTGCGGCCGCCACCTTTCATAAAGGGCCCCCGGCCTTCATGCGTGTTTTATGAGGGTGGCCGTGATGGCCACGCAGGGCAGGGAATCAAAGGGACTCGTAAAGTTTGTCTGATGATTTGGGACTCGGAGCACTGCGGACACGTTCATGGGCATTTTATGCAGGAGGGAACCGTTAAGCAGGGAAGCTGAAAGAGACAGATCACGGGAAAATTAAATGTAGGGTTTAACTGAGAAATAATCATTTTCTATGAAAGATAATGACTTCTCTGGAGGCTGGTATCAAGATTTATTGGCCCAAGCGGTGACGACAGATCAGAGCCCAGGCAAATACAGCAGGAGACCTTGAAGGGGAGGAACCTTGGATTACCATCTTGCCCGGTCAATATATCTGAATGCCAAAGCCCTCCGCTCTGTATATGTCCTGTTGGGAGATTAAATGCGTTTACACCTCTGCTGAAGCGGCTTTTTCTCCGGTGCTCAGAGTAACCTGACGGCTCCGGCCCCCTCCAGGGCCGCTGTCCTTGGAAGCCCTGGCCCGGGTTTTCCTTCGTTCCTCACGACCAGCCCCCTTCAAGGGCACCCTACCACCTGCCAGCGACGCGAGGCACCTGCTGGGCTCCCAGGGAAAGTCACGCTGGTTCCAGCTGTGACTGCAGCCGCCACCGCATTGCGCCGCACGTCAGCACCAACCACGTGGCAGCGAGCCTGGGAGCCATCAGATTCGCTGCAAATCTGCGGGGCTTCAGTGGTGGAGATTTATCGTCATGCCAGATGCGTGTGTGTGAGATACATAATTCCTCTCACACGGCCTCATAAATCCAAAAGGGTCAGCAATAAATGGAAAAAAATAAAAAATCACAGACTAATTTGTTCAGAAGACTAGAAGGGGATCAATGAGAAAGCTGTAGCTCAGCTCAAAGTTTGTTCTGAAATTGGGAGCATGGAGCAGGAACACATTCCCCACTGGATCCAAACATCTGCATTCTCAGGTGGGCTGGGCAGGAGCTGGTGCAAAATCAGATGCATGGCCCGAGCTGGGCTTCCTGTGCACATGGTGAATGGGGACCCTGACACAGGCCGGCCATTGTTAACGGCACCTGGGGCTAAGCAGCCGCCCCGGGGCTGGAGAAGGCAGGCTGGGTCCAGCTGCTCCCGGGCGAGGGGTGTCTGGAGAGGGGCTCTTGCCTCACGGCAGGGGGCCCAAAGAGGTTCTAAGGGGCCTGGGGTCTCTCACCAGAGCTATGGGGTAGAGGGCCTTGGCAGCTCCGTGTGTCCTGTGACCTGGCATCTTAGGGCTTTGCCACGCCAGCTTTGTGATGCCTCCCACCAGACTGCATGCATAAAGTCTGGAGTATGCTCCTCTCTGAAGTGGAGGAGGCCTGAGGCCCTGGACAGGAGAAGCCACATCCTGGAAGGATCAGTGCTGGGACACAGATGTCCCTAAGGCCAACACGCTGCTCATCAACTCCGCATTCAAGAAGAGACCCTCAGATTCAAAAGGGTCCCAGAGAAATTACAGGGGTCCCAGTGAATCCTCTGGAAGCAAAGAAAAGTCCATGGCACCAGGAGAAATCAGCTGCCCTGGCCTTCCAGGCACAGCAAGTCCTGAGCATGCTCCAGAAGAGACCTTGGGCCACTGATCCCCAGAGGAAAAGCCCCCGGCCGTGCGGGCTGCGCAGAAATGACCTTGGGCCCTTGAGCCGTGGCTTCCTCTGGTCTGTGCAGCTCAGGTGTGAGACATCCATGCCCAGTCCACCCAGCTGCACGTCATGTGCCGGCAGTTTGGGTGTGGGAGGAGCCTCCAAAGTCAAAGCAGGCAGATGCCCCTGACTTCTAAGCAGGGCTCAGGGGTGTGAGTCAGCACCAGTCAGGCCCACCCCAGCTCTTCTTTTCCCCAGATGTTCTCTCTTCCTCTCTTGGCCTTCGCTGATCCCCATGACCCCCTTCCTGGCATAGGCGCTGCTCCGCCCCGTCCTCGTTCCTGCTCTTGGCGACTCTGACTGTTCTTGCCTCTGGGCTGCAACGCCTTTTCTTGGACGCCTCTTCGTGGCTTTGATGCGAAGAAGCAGGTGTGCAGTCCGGGCCTGGCTTCAGGTGACCGTCCCGCGGAGCCGGCGCCCACCCTGTCCACCGGGGGAAGAGCCGGCCACCCACCCGGTCCACCCCGGGAAGGTCCAGGCGACCGTCCCGCGGAGCCGGCCGCCCACCTGGTCCACCCTGGGAAGAGCCGGCCGCCCACCCAGTCCACCCCGGGAAGGTCCAGGCGACCGTCCCGCGGAGCCGGCCGCCCACCTGGTCCACCCTGGGAAGAGCCGGCCGCCCACCCAGTCCACCCTGGGAAGGTCCAGGCAACCATCCCGCACAGCCGGCCGCCCACCCCGTCCACCAGGGGAAGGTCCAGGCGACCGTCCCGCAGAGCCGGCGCCCACCCTGTCCACCAGGGGAAGAGCCGGCCGCCCACCCGGTCCACCCCGGGAAGAGCCGGCCGCCCACCCGGCCCACCCTGGGAAGAGCCGGCCGCCCACCCAGTCCACCCCGGGAAGGTCCAGGCGACCGTCCTGCGGAGCCGGCCGCCCACCTGGTCCACCCTGGGAAGAGCCGGCCGCCCACCCAGTCCACCCTGGGAAGGTCCAGGCGACCATCCCGCACAGCCGGCCGCCCACCCCGTCCACCAGGGGAAGGTCCAGGCAACCGTCCCGCACAGCCGGCCGCCCACCCTGTCCACCGGGGGAAGGTCCAGGCAACCGTCCCGCACAGCCGGCCGCCCACCCGGTCCACCCTGGGAAGGTCCAGGCGACCATCCTGCACAGCCGGCCGCCCACCCGGTCCACCGGGGAAAGGTCCAGGAGACTGTCCCGCACAGCCGGCCGCCCGGCCGGTCCACCCTGGGAAAGTCCAGGCCTCTAGGTTCTTACTCCCACGTGTGCATGTGTATGCCACACACAGCTCACAATGACATTGTGGACGCCTGTGCACCTCTGTAGTTCCAGAAAACACTCCCTAGGGGCTGCACCTGGGGGCCTGTGTGGAGAGAGCTGCTAAGGAGTCACGCAGGACCCTCCTGGTGAGCCACGTGGAGACCAAGTCCACTGCCTGGTCTCTCTCCACACCTGGGAGATGGGTACAGCGGCCTGAGTCTGTCTCCAGGAGCGGCTTTCTGCCCAGTGAGCCCTCGGGCCTGGGTGGGTCCTCTACCTGGCAGCTCAGGCCTCCCTCAACGTCCTCACCAGCATGCTCAAGGGACCCAGACTTTCCACTGGCGGCCAAGGGCACTTGGCCTGGGAGAGAGGCTGCCGGGGCTGCCAACCAGGGACATGGAGGTGTGGCTGCCTGTGGGGGTGTGGCTGCCTTCCTGTTCTTACCCAGCATTTCTTTGGGGTCTTGGCCCCTGGTGGGGGTCTTGGCCAAGCAGGCTCGGCTGCCCAGGGACCCTGCCGCAGGTGAGGCAGTGTCCAGGAGCTCATCCAGACCCACTAAGAGCTGCCCCGCTACCCACCCCGGCTCTCTGCATGCCCAGAGCTCTGCGCTCCTTCCCAGGGCTCTCCCCGACTGCCCAAGACCTCCTCAAAGGCCACATCAGCCCAGAACCCTGTGCCCAAAACAGGAGCCCAGTCCGCCGATCATCACTTCCACGTCACCAGCTGCCAACAGCCCTGACAGACCTTCCCTGGCCACAGAGGCCACTCTGGATGGAGCTGGGGGCTGCACTGATGGCCCTGGGAGCCCTCCAGGGGCACTGCCTGACCCCTCACACGACGAGTGCCCTGGCCAGCTGACAGGTTCAGGCCACTGGCTGCCTCCGGCCTCATCCCCTGCTGCAGAACTGCATCTACCCAACTGGTCGTCAACGCTTCCACCCGGACCAGCCACCCCTGGGCAGAGCCCCAACTACTGGGTTCCCGCCGACCCCTGGGGCCCAGGAAACAGTCCCTCCGGCAGACTCTCCTCAGACAAGGAGGACAAATCCTGGGTGGTGATGGCGGTGTCCTCCTCAAGGGGCCCCGAGGGCGGGGAAGGGAAGGCATCCGAGCATGGGTTGGTGTCTTCACCATCACTCTGTGCTTGGGGAGTGGGAGGAGGTGGGGGTAGGGGGGCCTCCCTGTGGATGGAGGACGGGAGGTCGGCACTGCCGTAGGACAGCAACTCGTCCACGGGAGACAGGATCTCAGTCAAGACGTCACCGGCAAGTAGGGGACAGGCTTCCTCCAGGACAGTGGGGGCCCCATTCCCACCAGGCCCAGGCGCCCGGCTCTCAGCTACTGGAGGTGCCAGCCTGCCTGGGTCCCCAGGAGGAGCCTGCAGGGTCACCGGGGTCTCGGGCTCTGGCATGAGGTACGGGAGTTTGCTCTTGGTGGATGGGCTCGGGTCAGCATCCCGGGTTCCCTCCTGGTAGCCAGAAGTCTCTCCTCCTTTGCCGAAATCTGCCCCTTCACTCAAAGAGGTCCACGAAGGAAAGACCAGCAGTGAGTCCGAGTCACCGGCAGAAGAGATTTGCAGCGGGAACACCACACCGGCGGCCTCAGGGGGTGCCTGGAGGGCTTCTCCTGTGTCTGACACCCCCATCAGGCTCTCGCTGGTCCCAGAAGCTTCCAGCCCCTCCCCAGGCCATGGGGACGGAAGAGCCACCTGGGGCTCCATGCCGCTTCTGACACCCCCTTTCAGGCTCTCGCTGGTCCCAGAAGCTTCCCGCCCCTCCCCGGACCGTGGGGAGGGAGGAGCCACCTGGGGCTCCACGCCGCTTCCAAGGCCCAGTGAGCCACCTGCAGGCAGGGAGCTCCCCGAGGCTGGCTTGGCCCCGGTACAGGGTTCTGGCAGGTCCTCCTCGCAGTCCTCCTCCCAAACTTTGCTGGAGGCCTCTGACAGCTCTGACCCTGACCTTGGAGAGGGGATGTCTGGGAAAGGCAGTAGCCAGCCTGCCTTTGGGCTTTGCTCCGGCGCTGAAACTTCTGCCATGGCCGTGTCCAAGGAGGAGCCACGCAGGGGGCCGGCCCTGCGGCCCTGGGGCCTCTGCCAGGTCACCCATCCTCCACCCCCAGGAGCACTGCCTGGCCGAGGCTCACCCTGGTTTGACCGCCAGGACAAAGGCAGGCCAGCTTCCCCCGAGGAGTGTCGGGCAGAGAGCTCTCCAGGCCAGCTGAAACCTTCGTCTGGGGAGTCTTCAGCTTCCAAGCTGGGAAGAGAGCTGGAGCTCCCAGAAAGCTGGATCAGGGTAGCCGCTGCTTTCTGGAACTCCCAGAGAGAGGGACAGGACAGGCTGCTCACAGAGCCTGCTGGGGAGGTGTGGGATGACACCGTGGCTTCTTCCGAAGGCCCCCAGCAGGTTCCAGAAGCAGACTCAGAGCCTGGACCGCAGGAGGAGGTGGTGGGGAGAAGGGGACTGCCCTGGTGCAGGATTGGGGGCGCCGCCTCCTCAGGGACCACAGGAGCTGCTAAGAGAGGGGGCAATCAACAGTGGTCACCCTCTGCACCCTGGACCCCATGCATATCCCACGACCCCCAAAGCCAGGAGGTCAGAACAGAGAAACACCCTGAACAGAGGCAGGAAAAGCGTCGAGGGTGCCAGCGTGTTCGACCCTTGTGATTCCAACCCAGGGGTTCACCACGCCCACCCCCACCCACACGCAATGAGTCATGTCCAGGGGCCTTGCCGAGCCTCGGGCACCCGGCCTCATAGCACCACAGCTGTGGTTCAAGGACTGACTGGTTGGCTCTGCCTTGTTTTATTTTCATTAGGGATGTGGGTGGATCCAGACAGAGGATCCCTGACCGTCACTCACCTCCCCTGGCAACCCTGTGATGGGGAGGTGCGTGGGCAGAGCCCCCCAGCTAGGCAGTGGGGAAGGCAGGGGCTGCGTATTGTGGGGAGAAGCTGGCTCTGATGTAGAAATGGCTTGGGGGACCCTTAGTGGGGACTCGATGGCTGAAGGAGGGGCTGGGGGCTGGGGCATTACCTGGGGAGGCAGCGGCCTGGGCAGCCTCCAGCCAGGTGGAGGAGATGCCGGGGACCTCCTGCTGACAGGCCTCCGTCCTGCAAGCACATTCGTGGAGAACCCTGTGGGGATCCTGGTCCTCCTGGCCTCTTCCCCAGGGCCCACTGTCAGGGACCCCACCAGGCTCAGTCCACAGCTCACACTCGAAAAACATCCCAGCCAGTCCTCTGCCACCACCTGAGTGACCCTGAGGGCAAGGGCTCCCCGAGGGCTTGTCTTTGGGGGCATCCAGTCTCAATCCCACTGGATCAGGTGGCAGAGAGGGGGGTGGGGCTGCCACTCCCAGGGGGTTCGAAGCCGCTCTGCTGACCTTGGGCTGATTCATGGGTGACATTTTTATTTCCAAAAGTGGGTCAGACCCAGGAGGGCTCAGGGTGGGTGCAGGGCTGTGCCCCGGCAGCACAGGTGTGCCAGGAGAGAGTGAGGGTCCCCACAGCAGGGGGACAGGGGGTACCGGCTGAACCCGTCTCCGTGCCTCACGCTCCACCCCTGCTCCAGGGAGCTCAGCCCCACACCTCTGCTCCCCCGATCGCCAGCTCTCGGTTTCCTGGGACTCCTCCACGGGGCTCTCAGCAAAATCCAGCCCCGATTCCAAGCCCTCTTCGCTCATGCTGTCCTCAGCCACCTGCTGGAGAGACGTTGCAGAAATGACACTGTTGGGGTGTGGCCTCTGTCTCTGTCCACCTCCCGTAGCTGGATGGAGCCCCTGTGCTTCCAGCGACCACGGTAAAGGAACAAAGACCACTCAAAAGAGGGCTGTGGAGACCCCCACTTGCCAGATTCCCCTCCTCCCATTGGGCCCTGCCACCATGGAAAAAAAGTCTGTTTTTCTGCCCAGGTGTTGAGTCTTAGGGTGAGACCCAGAGAACTGGCAAACCTCAGAACTGAAGGCATCTGCTGGGAAGGGCCCTGGGGCACCCATGGGATGGACCAGGAGACCCCTCAGGGCCACACAGCAAGGCCGGGCCCCACACAGCCCACAGGAAGGGCACGGCCACACCCGACTCACGCTGGCTTCTTGTGGGCCACAAGGACCTTCTCTGCCGCAGGAGCGTCGGCTGCGTTCCCTGAAGCTCCCCACATGGCTGTCTGTTGGAGCCCGGGGCTTCCCTGCTAAGGAAGGGCCGGGCTTGGTCTGAGGGTCTCCTGGAGGGCAAAGGGACTGTCAGCACTGGTGGGGACAGAGGCAGGGAGCAGGAGCAGCTCCCAGGAATTCCGAAGCCACATAAAACAAATCTTAAAATTCAAAGTGGTGTACACCTTTCTACAGTGCTTGGTTAGTATGAGGGCGGAAACATACATGGTAGTTTGCTCCTAAAATGATCCTGTCATTGGACAGTTAGTGATCAAAGTCCCAGCCAAAAGTTTAGAGAAAATTCGTTTAGAATTCAGAGGCCGGCTGGGCGCAGTGGCTCACGCCTATAATCCCAGCACTCTGGGAGGCCGAGGCGGGCGGATCACAAGGTCAGGAGTTCGAGACCAGCCTGGCCAATGTAGTGAAACCCCGTCTCTACTAAAAATACAAAAATTAGGCGGGCATGGTGGCGGGGGCCTATAATTCCAGCTACTCAGGAGGCTGAGGCAAAAGAATTGCTTGAACCCGGGAGGCGGAGGTTGCAGTGAGCCAAGATCACGCTACTGTACTCCAGCTGGGGAGAGAGTGAGACTTTGTCTCAAAATTATAATAATAATAATAATAATAATAATAATAATTTAGAGGCCTCTTTCCCTCCCTTGGGGGAAACCTTTTGCCAGAGCTTGTTCTTCCCCCTCGGTGCCGTCCGACAGACACTGGTGTGAGGCAGGGGTGGTGCAGAGGGCCGGTGGGGGGCAGGCCTCGGACACAGCAAGGCCACCAGTGCACCGCCGGGGATCACAAAGGGGGACAAAGGGACGGGTGGGGCCACCGCAGAGCCCTCCCCAGGAGCACCAGGCCCCCCAGCATTGCACCTCCATCTCCCTAGACTTTCGTTCTGTGGGGTCAGGGGACTCTGAGAGCCAAGGCCACCTGGCTAAGGGAACCAGAGCTGTTTGTCTAAAGCCCAAGGAGGGGGAAGCTCCATCAGTGGGAACACCTGCCCTCTTGTCCGTGGCTCCGGGTGACCCCAGCGACCACAATGGGGCGTCACCCAGGGAGCCCCTGCAAGCGCAGTCTTTTGATCAGAGAGCGGCCGGCACCGCAGTCAGGCAGACTCAGGGTGAACCCTAGACCACGTGAGAACATAAGTCAGGCCTCAGGCTCCTCCTCTGCTGCGTGGGCATAACGAGTGAATCCACCTCCAGAGGCAACGAGGACCCATGGTGGGTGCAGGCGCCTGGCTGGCCCCCCGAACGGTGACAGCTGGTACACGTGGCCATGCGGCGAGGGAGGCTTCAGGCTGAGCAAGCTTCACGGTGGCCGCAGAAGCCTGAACAGCGCAGGCCCGGAGGTGACGCGGGACACAGAGGGAAAGCGCTCTGTATTCACTCCGCCTCCCAGTGTCACTGGCCTCTCCAGGGAGCCCCACCAGCCACGCTCTCCTGGGCAGCCCCACAAGTGCTTCTGATCTCTTTCCGTCTCAACCCATCTGTCCTGAGGTTTGCTCTCCCTGGCCCCAACGGCAGGGACCCCCCAGTCTATGCCACCCCCCTTGGGTGGCATAGTCTCCCTGCTTCCGAGGATGGACACTGGGTGGGGGCCTTCTGAATTCGGCACCCAGGGCTGGTCAGGGAGCTCCGAGGTGGCATCGCAGGGCACACAACCCCCCACTCTTCAGCCGGCGGCTACCAGACGCACCACCAGGGTTCCCTGACACTGTGAGTGCATCTGCTCCCGCCCCACCTGCAAATTGGGGACTTGGCTCTCGGGGGGGGCCCCGGCCAAGTGTAAGGTTCAGAAAGAGAAAAATGTAATCGGTGCAGAAACCTCCGTCAGCTGAAGACGCTCAGGCAGTGCTGGCTTCCAAACACTTAAAAATCTGCCCCAGATGAACGAAGTTGCGACTAAAACAATCCCAGCCAGTTATGACTTTTAATTTCTCCAGAAGAGCCGCTGCGTCACCTCCGGTAGGAGATGGAGCCGGCCACTCTTCTTGCAGTGAAGGGGTCTGAGGCCAGGGTGGGGGGCCACCAGGGCCCATCTTCTTTGCTTTCCGTCCTTGTCCAGTGGCTGAGCTCCAGCCTCGGACAGGCTCTGCTGGATGTGGGGGAAGTGTCTGGCGCCGTGGAGGCCCACGCGGTGTTTCCAGGGTGCTTACCTGGGGGTGGCTCCTTCACCTCCCGAGACCTGCACTGAGCTGTGGGGAGGCGCCCCTCCGCCTCCTCGGCCTGGGGGGTGAGACGGGAGTGGACATGGCACAGGGCCCTGAAGGGAGGGCACCAAGGGCCAGGGATAGACCAGGATGGATGGGGACAGATGGGGACAGACTGGGGTGGATGGGGACAGCCGGGGGCGGACAGGGACAGATGGGGACAGGCAGGGACAAACAGGGACCCACTGCAGGAACCAAGGACCGGCCACAGGAACCAAGGGGCCCCAACCAAGATGAAGATCAAGTCACAGATTGGCAGAATGTTGGGGGGGAGGGTACCAAGATGAAGATCAAGTCACAGATTGGCAGAATGTTGGGGGGGGGTGGTCCCTGAAACAGGCGGTGCTGGGGAAAGGGCTTCCAGGGAGAGTGCGTACGGGAAAGGCTGGGCCCAGCCGCTGTCCGTCCGGGGGGCTCACGTGCTGCAGGCCCAGCAGAGGGGCCCGAGGCTGCTCCCCAGGCTCTGAAAGACACAATCCCAGGAGTCACCAGCAGCAACCACAGACTGAGACCAGGAAGGGAAGGAAGGAGGCAGGGGCAGAATGGAGCTGCCAGGGGGTGGGGGATGGGGAGAGACAAGCTAACCTCAAGGGAGACAGGGACGGCCTGGGGCCACATCCAGCAATCTGCCCTGCCATGTCCCCTGCCTGGAGGCCCGAGGGTCTGCTCAGCCCCAGCCTGGGAAAAGCAGCCTCTGAGACAAGCGCAGGGCAGGCCCTGCCCAATCCTCCTTCTGCCCTGGCCAGGGGCTCTCTGTGGGCCTGTGTTTCTGGGACCTGCCTGGCAACAGTCTGAGGGCTGCACGTGGCCCAGGGGCTCTGAGTAGCCGCCCCATGAGGAGCCCTTCCCAGACAGAACCTGAGTGGTTTCCCGGCTGGCACACCCCTCGATCTGTATCTTGGGAATGCTGGCTGCCAGTGCACGGGGTGGCCCGCCTGCTGGCAAACCCACTGTGTGCTCTGCTGTGCTGAGATGCAGAAACAGGGAGGCCGGGGTGGCCCGGTCACAGGCGGGGCACAGCAGGCCAGAACACAGGCCTACCTGACCCTGGGCCTAATGCCACCCCACACTGCCCAGGGCCCACTGAATGAGCATCCGTCTGACCCTGGGCGGTCGCCGCGGCTGCTCATTACCTTGACTG